>NC_000004.12:177671381-178296381 GCF_000001405.40 Homo sapiens | reverse complement strand
ATCTTCCTTCCTTGGCCTCCCAAAACGTTAGGATTTTAGGCAACCCAGCAATCATTCTCTTAAAAGAATCAGAATTTAAAGGAGGTATTCTTCTAGGGATGGAATACTTATCCCTACAAGACGAGGGCTGGGAGTGTAGGTGAATAAGTGATCGAGGGACTGGCATAGGCTGCATTACTTTTCATATTTTCTCACCAGAGCAGGACAATGAAACTACCTTGATTTTACTCCTTGCATGTCTGTGGCCTGCTCTTTTTTCATTTATCTCTAGTATGAAATACAAGTATCATTGTTCCAATGCACTATGGGTGAGGTACAAGAGTGAAACTTGAAAGTTTGCTTGAGCCTATTTTTGCACAGTTGCCTCTTCAGGACCCCTCCCTGAGAGTATTGTCACCCACCCCATTTCAATCCCCCCACCTCTTCTCACCCCACGGAAGCCAGGCTATGAAGACTTAGGGATTTTCAAAGCATTCATCATAACTTTTGCCACTTCTGGAATCCAAATTGCTGCATTTAGATTTTGTGGTTTTTCCAGAATTGATTTTGGATGAGAGAGTCAGTTTGTCTACTCTATTCTGATGGCCATGCCCAGCATATAGACCCCATTACACTTTGATATGAGTATGTCATTATTTTCTTAACTCTGATTCTGATAATATCAAGTATAACAGAGAATATAGACTCTACAAATAGCTCTTATTTGGAGTCATAAAGAAAGACTTTATGACTCCAAATCATCACTTGCTCACCCTTCAAAAGTGACTGAAGATTGAAGGCAAAAGGATGAGAAAGAGCTGGCATCAATGATAGCCTTAGGGTGAGTTCTCATTTAAGAGATATCTATAGCGGGCTTATTCAAAGTGGAGACTATGTGGCTTGATTCCAGGTAAAATATGCAACCTCTGCTTGCAAAGAAATAGAACCAAGTCATCTGAGTGCACAGTTCATAATCTCAATTAAATTAATGGGTTGGTTTGTTTAGGTAGAGCAGAGCCAGTGGTGCAGTGTCTTTCTTTAATTATAAAGTTAATAAAGACAGATCATGTTATCAATCGCTCCCATGGAACATAATAGCACTTTATAACATGAGAAAATTAGAAGTAACTACAATTAAAGGTAAACTTAAAGTAATAGAATTTCTGAGCTCAGTTAGAACCCTGTTAATCTTTTAACAATTTTAATGTCTGAACTTAACATCTGATCTTGTCTCATGTTAAAATTCTTCTTTGTGAGGTCAAAGCTAGCATGGAACATTTGGCTCAACTCCAGTAATTCTTGCTGGCATCTTATTTATTTATTTATTTATTTGCTTGTTTATAAGTCTGAGATGGCTGGATTTCTATAAAGTTTTTTGTCTATTTAACAAAAATTTTTCAAAGTATTTATCAGTTTATTAGTCAGACCACATTTAATTTTTACCTTCCTACCAGAAGTTACATGCTATAATAAGAATCGTGTGGAAAAAGAGAAATAAGTTTGCAAAAACCTTATAATATGTTTTCACAAAATAATAGTATGAAAGTCATCCAGCCAGGCGCAGTGGCTTATGCTTGTAATCCCAGCATTTTGAGAGGCTGAGGCGGGTGGATCACTGAGGTAAGGAGTTCGAGACCAGGTGAACATGGCAAAACCCCATCTCTACTAAAAATACAAAAATTAGCCAGGTGTGGTGATAAGTGCCTGTAATCCCAGCTACTCGGGAGGCTGAGGCAGGAAAATCACTTGAAACCAGGAGGCAGAGGTTGCAGTGAGCTGAGATCGCACCACTGCACTCCAGCCTGCATGACAGAGTGAGACTCTCAAAAAAAAAAAGTCATCCAAGATATACTTCCAATGTGTGTGCCTGTGTATTGTTTTGAGCTGAAACTTGAATCTAATCTTCACCTTTAATATACATTTCAGTAGATTTGTTTTTGTTCTACCCTTGCTACACCTAATTCTTACTGAATATTTAATGTAGAGACTATGGTTACAAACATGCAAATATCTTTTCCCCATTGTTACCTTTTATAATATTAAAAGAGCGGCATCATGGGCATGATCCAGAAACACTGCTACCTTGATTTACTGGATATAGCACGGGCTGTTTAGTAAGGCACACTTAGATTCTAATTTCAGCTTTCACACTGACTGAACTAGACAAGCTAGTGTCCATGTGTTCATTCTCTGTTTCCTTGAAAAAATGATAATGCTTAACAAGTATGATAATGTAGACTTATGTCATAATGAAGCACATGTACAGTAGAGTATCTTACAGAATTACTAACTGGTTAGTAAACAAATTATGAAATTTTCTTTTTCTTTGTAAAATATATGAAAGTTTATGAACCTTTTAGCTTATTTAATCTGTATTAATCATATATAATTATATAGCATATTTATACTGTATTAATCCATTCTTATGCTGCTATGAAGAAATACCTGAGACTGGTTAATTTACAAAGAAAAGAGGTGTAATTGACTCCCAGTTCCACATGGCTGGGGAAGCCTCAGGAAACTTACAATCACAGCAGAAGGCACCTTTTCACAGGGTGCCAGGAGAGAGAATGAGTGCGTGCAGGGGAAATGCCAGATGGTTATAAAAACATCAGATCTTGTGAGACTCACTATCACGAGAACAGCATGGGGCAAACCACTCCCATGATTCAATAGCCTCTACCCGATCCTGCCCTTGACACATGGGGTTTATTATAATTCACGGTGAGATTTAAGCGGGGACACAGAAGTGAATCATCTCAATAATTATATATAATATTTATACACACACACACCCCGAATTTTTAAAGATCTTTTTAAAAGAATTTTCTGACACAATTTTGAATTGCACAAAATTAAAAATTCCTTTTAATGTGGAATCTGTGACTTTTTCATATTCAGATATATGACAGTGCAAATAAAATTTATACTTGTCCATAATTAGCTACTTAACCTTCTCCAAATCTGTAACATATTTTTACTGATTCTGTGCCTATTTATCAATCTTCCCCTGTAACAATGCATTTATTATTTTTATTCAGTTACACATATGAGTCCCTTAAAAACTCTGAGGTTTTAGGTGATATTCTTCTTTTATTCATCTGTGTGTTCTGAAGAGAGTGCTAAAAAGAAGTAGCCATTCAGGGCTCAGTGTAAGACTGAGCACATCTTAAGCTTCTTATATCCTACATCAGTTTGAAAGTCTTCACTTAAAACTTTATTTTCCCACTACATTTAAATTTGTTTCACTGGGATCACAATTCAAACACTTTTCCAATCTTGGAAACTCTCATAGCCCTCCATTACCATGTTCATCAATTAATTCTGTTATTTTGTCTTTAACATACTGTTACCATCCATGCTATCATCTCTTCAAAATTCTCATGACCTCAGTTCAGCATGTTTTTATATTTTATCTGAATTATTGTATTCATTTCTCTCTGACATCCATGCTTCTAGCCCATCTCTTCCAATTGCATATACCCTACCAATGACCCTTGAAGAATAAATTACTTCTCATGGTAGGTAACTTGCCAAGACGTTTGCAAAAGTTTCTCCTATCCCTGTATGCAGCCCTTTTATAATGGGATATTACCACTCTTTTATTTAATGCTTTATTTTCCCAATGCTTGAATCTGGGATCACAGCGTAACTTATTTTGATTAGAGGGAGGTAGCAGAACTGATGTTTTGCAATATCCAAGTTTAGAATTCTTGCACCTTCTGTTTTTGCTGTCTTGGAACACAACGCTGCTATATGAACAAACCCAAACTAGCCTGCAGGAGCATAAAATCATATGCAGCAGAGACACAGTGACCCAACCATGGCCTTCTAGACCAACCACCTTCCATATAAGCCACCATTTCACTAAAGCTACAAAAATGATCGCTGGTAAGACAACCAAAAGAACCACCCTGGACAAGTTGAGCCCAGGACAAATTGCTCTCCAGAACAACCATGAGCAAATAAAACGGTTATTGCTTTAAACCATTAAGACATTAAGAACTGGTGTGGTTTTTACTCAGAAACATAAGTGATACAGAAATTGGTTCCAAGAAATGAGTGTTGCCATGACAAAAATCTAAAACTTGTGACATTGGCTTTGGGATTGGAGGCAAATAGATGCTGCTGGCCGAGACTAGATTGATATCCAGGTTGTCAATGAAGGCCGGCAAAGGAACTTGTTGAAGGCTGGAGAAAGGACAATTTGTGTTATGTATTACTGAACAGTTGGCAAAACCATTATCTGTGATAACTTAGCATATAGAACCCACTTAAGGAACTATATAGACAGAATGTGGAATATGTCACTAGGTGCTTCTATTTACAATAAAGTACTATAAGTGAGTGATGAGCTAAAAAAAGAAAAATTTCAGTTTTCTGGTAGAATAGAAAATAAATATGGGGGGCTTTAATATTTGCTAGTTTGGAAAATAAAATTGGTCTTATTTCTAGACGCTTCAGACTGCAAGAAATTTTCATAGTAAAGAGGTTTTTTTAATAAAGGCCAAAAGCTGGGTATTACTATGAAAAGCTTTATCAAGACCTCAAAACCATTTAAGGTGGTGCTGAGTAGACAGTTTCAGCCAGGTGAAAGGTTTCTGAGAATATTTAGAATGTTGTTTCACAATACCCAGACACACTACACAAGGTAGAGAAAACCAGTCTCTAATAAAATAATTGTGGATCTTACTTTTGACTGACGGAATAACTTATAACCTGATACACAAAATGCCCTGTATTAGTCTGTTCTCACGCTGCTAATAAAGACATATGCCAGACTGTAATTTATAAAGGAAAGAAGTTTAATTGATTCACAGATCCACATGGCTGGGGAGGCCTCACAATCATGGTGGAAGGCAAAGGAGGAGCAAAGTCATGTCTTACATGGTGGCAGGAAAGAGAGCTTGTGCAGGGGAACTCCCATTTATAAAACCATGCAATCTCATGAGACTTATTTATCAACACAAGAACAGTATGGGGGAAACTGCCCCCACGATTCAATTATCTCCACCTGGCCCTGCCCTTAACACATGGGGATTATTACAATTCAAGGTGAGATTTGGATGGGGACACAGCCAAACCATATCACGCCCTCAGTGATTACAAAGGAGTTTTCCAAATTGGACTAAAAGGGACCAAGAAATATTAAAAGGAAAAGGTTTTGGGTGCTCAAGCTTCTATGAGTTGGACACAGTTTAAGAAAGCTTTTTAGCTTTGAATAAACAACACACAGTCCATTTGTTATAAATATGAAACAGTGTATCAGAGAACAGAGCAAAGATCCAGATGATTTGCCAAGAACCATGAAAGATATGTAAGAAACCACATCTGAGGATAATGACTTGATCCTTATCCAGGAGAACCCCCTATCCCTGCAATATGAGGACCTTGCAATGGATGCCTGTCTGGGTTTTAGAACTGCCATGCACCAACTCACTGTCCTTGGGGAGTGCAGTGCTGCCTTGGGAGAATCTCAGTTGAACCTGCAGGTGAATGAGAATACAAGGAGCAGAACAAAACAGACCAGGTTCATTTCGTTGGATCAACCAGTAGAGCCGTGGAGAGTTATGTGAGTGACCCTAGGCAAAAATCAAAAAAAGAAAAAAACAAAACAAATACTGAGCCCATCATAGTTACTGTACCATAGAATTACAAACAGACAAAATAATTCTTGTTTTATGTCACTTAAGTTTTAAAGTTTTTTTTTATTTTTTTATTTTACTTTGAGTTCTGGGACACATGTGCAGAACATGCAGGTTTGTTACATACATATACATGTGCCATGGTGGTTTGCTGCACCTATCAACCTGTTTTCTAGGTTTTGAATCTCGCATACATCAGGTATCTGTCCTAATGCTCTCCCTCCCCTTGCCCCCCACCCCGCTACAGGCCCTGGTGTGTGATGTTTCCCTCCCTGTGTCCATGTGTTCTCATTGTTCAACTCCCACTTAGGAGTGAGAACATGTGGTGTTTGGTTTTCTGTTCCTGTGTCAGTTTGCTGAGAATGGTGGTTTCCAGCTTCATCTATGTCCCTGCAAAGGAAATGAACTCATTCTTTTTATGGCTGCATTGTATTCCATGGTATATATGTGCCATATTTTCTTTATCCAGTCTATCATTGATGGGCATTTGGATTGTTTCCAAGTCTTTGTTATTGTAAAGAGTAAACGTACGTGTGCATGTGTCTTTATAGTAGAATTATTTATATTCCCTTGGGTATATACCCAGTAATGGGATTGCTGGGTCAAATGGTATTTCTGGTTCTAGATCCTTGAGGAATCGCCATACTGTCTTCCTCAGTGGTTGAATTAATTTACACTTCCACCAACAGTGTAAAAGAGTTCCTATTTTTCCACATTCTCACCAGCATCTGTTGTTTCCTGACTTTTTAAAGATTGCCATTCTAACTGGCGTGAGATGTTATCTCATTGTGTTTTTGATTTGCATTTCTCTAATGACCAGTGACGATGAGCTTTTTTTCATATGTTTGTTGGCCGCATAAATTTCTCCTTTTGAAAAGTGTCTGTTCATATCCTTTGCCCACTTTTTGAGGGTTTTTTTTTCTTGTAAATTTGTTTAAGATCCTTGTAGGTACTGGATATTAGCTCTTTGTCAGATGGATAGATTGCAAAAATTTTCTCCGATTCTGTAGGTTGCCTGTTCATTCTGATGATAATTTATTTTGCTCTGCAGAAGCTCTTTAGTTTAATTAGATCTCATTTGTCAATCTTGGCTTTTGTTGCAATTGCTTTTGGTGTTTTAGTCATGAAATCTTTGCCTATGCCTATGTCCTGAATAGTATTGACTAGGTTTTATTCTGGGGTTTTTAGGGCTTTAGG
Organism: Homo sapiens; assembly: GCF_000001405.40. Taxonomy (NCBI): domain Eukaryota; kingdom Metazoa; phylum Chordata; class Mammalia; order Primates; family Hominidae; genus Homo; species Homo sapiens. The sequence goes on along the minus strand of NC_000004.12, from coordinate 178,289,560 downwards.
TTTTTCATTTAAATCTTTAATCCATCTTGAGTTAATTTTTGTATAAGGTGTAAGGAAGGGGGCCAGTTTCTATTTTTTTGAATATGGCTAGCCAGTTTCCCAGCACCATTTATTGAATAGGGAATCCTTTTCCTATTGCTTTTTTTTTTCAGGTTTGTTGAAGATCTCATGGGTGTAGATGTGTGGTGTTATTTTTGAGGTCTCTGTTCTGTTCCATTGGTTTATATATCTGTTTTGGTACCAGTACCATGCTGCGTTGGTAACTGTAGCCTTGTAGTATAGTATTGCTCATTGCCAGAATTAGTATTTCCTATATTTTCCTGTGCAATCATCAAAATATACCGGTTGACTTTTCTTCATAATAGAGCTAAATGTCCCATTACCCACAAGACCACTCTGACATTGTAATTCACCCATTCAGTGAAATATACCCTAATGTGTATATTGTCATTATTATCTGCCTGGTAAAATATATAACTTTGTTATGTGAATATCCAATTGGTTCAACTCATAACCTTTGAATTAGTGGCAATAAAATTTCTATAATTTAACATGAGTATAAAAGAATTCTTTTGAGTTAAACCTACTACATTCTTCCTGTAACACAACTATATTTTCTTCAATTATCTTTTTACCACATGCTGAGTAAAATTCCTATTCTATTTCCATCATGTCATTAGATCTACTTTCCATTTAACTTTGATAATAACAAAAGAGTCATGTTCCTAGATTTCAAATTCTCAGTCTTTCTATACTACAAATATTGAGAGGGTTTTTGTAGGTCATCAGTTCTCTTAACTGTCTTTATGTTGATGACATCTAAGCACTGCAAAGATAGTGAGGGAAGCACTAGTCATAGATCCTCTACCTTAGGAAATTACTATCTACTGCAGTCCATCAGTGTCTCTTTAGAAAGCCTCCTTAATCAAAACAGTGAGTAACTTGCAGACTGGTAAAAGCCACTTTCAACCAGCTAAATCATGACAATAAAAATAAATTCTTACATGGTTGGTGAAGTATACTGTTTATAGTAAGACAGATGCTTTCTCTAGCTTATTTGAAAAAAGAGCAGCATTTTTTTTGTGTTTGTTTCTGTTGATGGGTGTATCCAGCCATAAAAGATGCACTTTCTTGTATTTACCATTTCATTCTGATAATCATCACCAACACAGTGAACTGAGAAATGCAAGTTCTAATTTGAATATTTTTGAAAGCAAATTAAAAACAAAGTTTGATCTTTTTTAGGCCATTAAGATCAAATGAAAAATACAGCTTATAAAAATACTTCATTAAGCAAAAAGATAGAAAATATAATCTACAAATAGTCACCGAAACTAGAAGCTTATCAGTAATCAGACTGTATTACACAAGAGTAAATGAAGTAACTCTGTAGATTTTCAATCTGAGAATACATAGCCAGAAGACAGCAATTTAAACTGAAGGCTGTTAACAACAGACTTTAAAGTATAGCTACTACAAAGAGGTATTTTTCGATTATCCCTTTGAAGTTGTGATCCAGCTATCAAACATTTTGAACAGTATTGTTCATCTGTAAAATAGAATCACCTCAGGCAAAAACAGCAGGAAATTCAAACATCAATTCTAATTTTTTTTTTGCTCAAAACTTTAGACTATAGAAATGACAATTTTGTTGTCTGAATTCTTCTGTCTCACCAATTCTCAGAAAAATATTATATTTCAAGTAGAAATCATCAGGTATAATCATAAAGGGAAAATATGTCAATATTTCCTTATAACGCTCGCTCAACTAAGACATTTAACAGCAAAATTGTATTTATTCATAGGAGTGAATGGCGATTTGGGGAAAGATTACACAGAAAATCTGAAGATAAACTGAAAGCCATCTGTATCCATTCAAAATACTTTGGGTAATTATATGTATAAAACTGTACACTAGCATTAATGTAATTTGCACCTTGCCTATGAGGGGAGATAGTGTTTAATAATTGGAATGCAAGTAATGACTTCCTCACAAAGTGGAATTATGTAATATCTTTAATTTATAGAGATGTGTGTGTGTTTGATAAGCAGTACATCTTTTCTTAGGGAAACCAAGTTTGTACTTAGAAAATCGGCGAGCCTATTTCTATAAAGTGCATTGGTACTTCATGTGGACTACAGGAGAATATAGAGAATTAATAGTCACTACTATTATGTACCACTTTTTTTTTTTAAGCAGATAAAGGCTTGTTTTATTTTAATGGCTGATCTGTGTAATCATGGAGGCCAGTGTGTACAGACTAAGCGGGAGCTTTTATTTCTTGATCTCTTCCTCCTTGGACAAAGTCTGGATTATCTCCTTCTTCTCGGCCTGGAGACGCTCTTCACAGCACTTGCGTGCTCACTTGGTCATAGACCAGCTGGCCTCAGCCTGGTCAGCCAGGAGCTTCTTGCGGGCCCTGTCTATCTTAGCTTGTGGCTGTGTTCCCTGAGAATCCACTTGTTTTTGAACACATTCCCCTTCACCTTCAGGTACAGGCTGTGATACATGTAGCAATCAATCTTCTTAGATTCACAGTATCTTCTGAGCAGCAGGCGCAGAATCCTCATTCTCCTCATCCACGTGATCTTCTCTGGCATTCGGGCATTGGCTGTACCCTTTTGCTTACCTATGCCCATGTTGCCTGCCCTTACGGCCGGCCAAGGTATTTTTCCAGCATTGAGCCTGGGAATGGACAGGCACAGGCTTAAGGATGATCAGCCCATCTCTTATCAGCTTCCGGATCTGCTGACGTGAGTTGACATTGGCGATTTCACTGGTCTCACCGGGATCCAACCAGACCTTCTTCTTGCCGCAGCAGAGGATGCTAGAGGCGAGCCTCTTCTGAAGCCTGAGTATACTCATGGCGGTGGCTGTAGCAGTGAAAGGGACATACCACTTTCTAGAGATTTTAATATCTCTGGCAGCCAGAAATACTGTCTCTTTCTTAGCTCTGAATACTTAACATTCGTGGATATGAAATAATTTTTATTTGTTTTCTAATGCCCTAATATCTTAAATGCATAGTCACCCAAAATGAAGAAAACTGGTTTGAATAAGCCAGCTGGAGTTAAGAAGACATAACCAGCAATCAAAGATTTTCTAGAAATAATAAAGCAGTAATTACAATACATGAGTGTAGGGGCAGCAAGACTCTACCTGTATCCTCTCAGGGTCTTGGCTAGGTCTGATAATTAAATTGATGTAAAACAGATTCACAAGAGGAAGGCGTAGAAATTTACTTCATGTAAGTTTCATGTGGCATCGGCACCCTTATAAAGAAATGAAAACCCCAAAGAAGCAGTTAGAGTCAGTTACCTGTATACTGATGAAACAAAGAATGGTAAACTGAGAATTTGATAAGACAAAGGGGCTTAGGTGAGAGTCTTTACTTGGACAGATAAGGGTTAGTTTAACAAGGTTTGCTGTTGTACAGAATTCTCTCGGCCTCACCTTTCCATCTTTGATGATAAGACCATTGCCTTTTTTCTAGTATAGGAAGGATACATTTTACATAAGAATTTCATCTTTAACTTTTAAGACACAGAGCAAAGGTCAGAGTGATCCTCTTGTACCTGTTGTTTTTCAAGTTCCTTTAATTGAAACAAACAATAACCAAGGTGGCATTTTTTTAAATTAAATTTTTAAGTTTATAATTGACACATAATAATTGTACATATTTAGATGGTACACTGTAGTATTTCTTTTTTTCAGAAATACATGTTGTATAATTCAAAGAGATATTAAATTTTATTTATTAATTTAGATTCAGGGGTAAATGTGCATGTTTGTTTCATGGGTATATTGTATAATGGTGGGATTGGGCTACCAGTGTATCCGTCACTTGAATATTGAATGTTTTACTGAATAAATAATTTTTCAGCCTTCACTCTCTCCTATACTCCCCATTTTTGGAGTTCCTAGTGTCTATTATCTCCATCTTAATGTCCTCATGGACCCATGTTTAGCTCCTACATAAAGTGAGAACATGCCATATTAGATTTTCTGCTTTTGAGTTAGTTCACCTAATATAATGTCCACCAATTCCATCCATGCTGCTGCAAAAGACATTATTTCATTCTTTTTGATGGCTGCACTGTTATAATGTAATGTTTTAATGCATGTATACATGGTATAATGATCAAATTTGGGTAATTATTGTATTCATCACTTTCAACATTTGTCATTTCTTTGTGGTGACAACATGCAAAAACTTCTAGCTGTCTTAAAATCTATAATACATAGTTATTTGCTATAGCAGGTGGCATATTTTTACCTCCTTCATTGAGCAAAACGCAATACTCTGTTTTCCAGGATTTTCTACCAGTAATGTTGAAACACTAATATTCAGGAATGTATTGTTAAAAAGTGAGGTATAAGTATCATTTCAACCACATTCCATAATCAAAAGCTCCACCTGAGAAAGATCCGTGGTCCAAATGTTTCTTCATCTACTGGAGTCTCTCTAGGGATGATTACTAGAGGATGAGATTTTTGTCAAGATAAATCATCTTAGAGGAAAATGAGTCAAGCTCTAAGATAATAGTTCTGGCTCTGAAAGAATCAGAGAGGGTTGTGAAGGAATCTAGCCTAGGAGAAGAATTTAACTGATTTGGAAGGATGGTATGGGAGTTTGAGTTACAAGACTTTCCTTCTAATTCTCCCCACTCTGTTTCCCTTATCATACTCTGAAACCTCATACTATTTTCCATTTCTCTTCTCCCTGCAGTCATTCTAAATCCTCTAGAAGTAGTAACAGGGGCAAAACTAGATTTGGAAAAATACAAGTTATTAATAAACACAGGTAGCCATGTATAACTTCACTAGCAACCTTACATAAATAAGTGATTTTGAAAATCTTCAGATAATTTAAAAAATGGGATTAAAATGTATTCCAAAAATTTTTAATTTTGTTTCCCTCTAATTTTTAAGGCAGAATAAAGCTCACTATATAGGTTTAAAATATAGACGATTCAGATTTCAAATGTATTAGTGGAAAAATTTTATTACACCAACACCATACTTGCATTTTACTGTTTTGAAAGTCATCGTATACCAGAATAGCTACAACCATGTTATAAAAACTCCACTCAACTAAAGCTAATCAGCAATGTAGTTAAACATGTTTTGTAAGATTAGAAAAACTTGTTTGTATACACAACAAATTCGCAAAATTATTTTCAGTGTCAAGGAATAATAAGCAATGTCTTTGGGTTGTGTTATGTTAATCAAGAGTAGAAATTTTGAAAGTCTAAATGAGAAAAGAATCTCAAAGGTGTTCAGTGCTCTAAAATGATTCTTAGCTAATGGTAAACAGGCTGCTGTTACTCGTGTCACAAGTTACTCGTGCACTACCCTATTCAGTTCAGGAGTTCAAAAGGAGCAAGTAACTCAGCTCGTCTTACACTCCATTTGCTCTCGTAATAGAAAGTAGATTACAAAAGGTTAGGTAACTTTTGTAAAATTTTCTCAGTATTCTGTAGACATAGAAGGAACAGAATTACTGTACAGTAATTGACATGAAAATAAATAGAAGGTGCCTTTATTTTTTAATGACTTTTGTGAGTTTTCTGGAAGTGTAGGAAATTAAAAAAAAAAAAGAAAAAAGCAAACCATCACCACATATACAACAAACCTCCCTGGATGTATCTTCTCATAGCTCTGAATATTGATAATATCCTAAGTTAGTCAATGTAATAATGGTCCAACAGGAAATGCAATGTGATGTATCTATGAGGAAAAATAATATTAAAATTATTCGCCTTGAAGAGTCACAGACCATGAGAACAGATTACGGTATGTGCATGCTGGAGCAGGTAGTTCCTAAAGACCTTTTTAATATTTCAGATATTAAACATTTAGTTCCTGGAGCATATGGAAGTTCTGAGAGAAAAGAAAAGGTGAGCACTTGAGAGCTTCGAACAGCTGCAGCTTACTACAGAAAATGGAGGTATTTTAATATTGTAATCACACACAAAAGTATATTTGTGCACTTTGGGAGGCTGAGATGGGTGAATTACCTGAGGTCAAGAGTTGGAGACTAGCCCGGACAACATGGTGAAACCCTGTCTGAACTAAAAATACAAAAATTAACCACTTGCGATGGTGGGTGCTTGTAATCCCAGCTCCTCAGGAGACTGAGGCAGGAGAATCTCTTGAACCTGGGAGGTGGAGGTTGTCGTGAGCCGAGATTGCACCACTTCACTCCAGCACTCCAGCCCGGGTAACAGAGAGAGACTCTGTCTCAAAAAAAAAAATATATATATATATTGATGTTTAATGACTGAATACCAGCCCCTTAAATGCCAGAGCATCTTGCATCTTGGCCTTCATAAACATATTACTGCTCTATGCCAGACACTGTAGGGGTTTTAAGAATACAACAATGAATAACACATGCTTCCCCTATTAAGGGAACAAATAACCTTGTGGAAGAAATTAACAAGGTAGGCCAATAAAGTCTGTAATGGAGGGTGTTAATGAATTTAAATGTATAGAAAAAGGAATAACTAATGCCCCAGGAGAAATGAAGTTGGGTCACAGAAATGGACATTTGATATTGGTCTTGAAGAATAGGTAAGAGTTTATTGAATAAAGGAAGAAAATAAAATCTTCCCCAGCTAGTAAAATCTAAAAGGAAAAAAAAAATGTATTAGGAGTGTTAATCTACTGGGCATGATTGACAGTTGTTATTGAATTCAAATATTGGGCCTGGTCATTATTGATGGCATTATTCTCCCAAACAAGGCTGATCCATGCTTCCCCTCATTTTGGCACTTTTTTAAAGGCTATGAGGTAATATAATATACTAATATCATGTGGTAATATAATATACATGTGCAAATAACTTGTCTAAAGAAAATATTAATATATAGTCAGAAAATATGTGAATGAAACACACAGCCATTAAATAATCATATAAATAAATAAATATGTGTATATATATAGTTACCTAATAAAATTCATAATATAGTGTTAAAAGAAAAAATGCTACAAATTGATATGTGTTACATGATCTAATTTCTCAAAAAATCAAAACAAAATTTTAAAAACCCTAAATATGTATGTATCTATGTGTAAAAAACATTGGCATAAATATACTCCATAGGGTTACTTTGAAGTACTGACATTGTGGATGCCTTTTTCTTACTATACACATTTTTTAAAATTATTCTACAAATAACATGAGTTGTTTATTAAATACATACATAAATTTAAAAAGAAAACTACATTTTTTATATGTCTGAATAAGAGGCATAAAATGTGATAATTAAAGCAGAGTCTGAAGTATAAAAGCAAGTCATTTTAATAAAAATAAATTAAATAAAGACATTATGTGTCTCAAATTATCCTATAGCATTGATATGGATTCTTGAACTAGGATTAGAGATCTCTTTATGAAAATTTAATGGCTTTAGTACATTATGCAAAGTAGTTTTTTACAAGTTCATCTACATTTACCATCCAAATTAACTCCATGCCATCAAAAATGTTAATTAAATTTCTTATGACTCAGTTTCCTCTGATTGCAACTGTGAATAATATATCAAAACCACTCTGTATCTCTGCTCTGAAGACAGAACATAATTATGGTTATAATTTATACATATTCCTTGGAGTGTGTCCTTAGGTCTTTCTCAAAATGCACAGCTCTCCTGGCAACAAAGTGTCCTCTCTGGAGAAACTAAAATGTCTAGCAACATCAATTATTTAATATTACAACTTGAAGAATGCTAGGGACTCTCAATAAATTTATCAGCATTCTTCTTCAGTAGTAAGACAATTTCTTTACCATTTATTGCTTTAACACAAGTGAATAACTCTAGCTGTGAACTTCTTTATGAACAATTAAAGTACTTGGTTTCCTTTGCTTCGTAATCATTACTGGCACAAGCTAGCTAGAAAACATAAACATAGTGTAAAGGTTTGGTGTTCAGATATCCACGTCATAAAGGAGGGGCAAATTAGACAACTGAGTCTAGGTTTAAAACTTATAATTGATGCAAAAAACAAAAGTTGCAGTATGAATTCAGATCTAAGAACTGGAAGCAGCCCCTCAGAGTTGGGAAGGAATAGGGATGCTGGCCATTCCTAAACCAAGGAATGTGCGTTCTTAAAGAGGAAGCCTCTATTTTACTATGTTTTAATATGAGCAGATAAAAAAAAATCATTAAGATCTGAAGTGATTAGAACCACTTGATAGAATCTACGACTGGAACTACTACCAAGTCGTTCTAATTAGAAGACTCAGATCTAACAGAAGATATTGGTAATTGTAGAAGACCAAAGTGTTCCGTCAACAGTATCTCTTAAACATTTTTTAACATCTCTCTTCTGACTCCGCCTTCTTTTCAACCATGACAATCTCTGCCATGGGCAAGTACAATAGACAGACACCTCTCTGGTGTCTCTTCTTCCATTCTTATTCCAATCTCAGTGTATTTTCTACACTGCAGTCAGTATCCTAAAATACGTAAACTCCTATCATGTTGCTATACATTTTGAATCTTTCAAAAAGTTTCTTGTAGCTTCTAAAATTAAGATTAACCACCTCCCCTCCATTTGCAGCCTACTTTTTGAAAATGACCCAATTGTGCCATAGAACTGATATTTATAGTTTTTTGAATAAATACAAAAAATGAACCTACTACTCTTGAAATTTATGTTTGTCTTATCTTAGTTCCTGCCTCAGGATATTGACCCCTCAGGCAAGGAACTGAAACCAGATCACCAGATCCAGACGATGCGTCTCCAGCTCCTTCACTACTCATGATTATTTCCTTACCCCTCCCTAATTTCTGTTTTCCCACAAGTAGCTGCATTCCTTCCCTGCTATATAAACCTCCAATTTTAGTTCGTTGAGAGAAACAGTTTTCAGCCATTTCTCCAGCTGAAGTCACCCAAATAAATAAAGTCACCTTATTCCCTGGCAATAGTCATTGTCTCACTGGCTTTCTGTGCAGTGATGGATGGGACTTCCACGGAACCTCTGGCATTTCAGTAGTATCTCCACTCTGATCTCACCCCAGCCTCCCTCTGGGTTGTCTACAAGCCAGCATTGTCAGCCCCAAGACTGTTATTCACCCTCAAGATGTCCTATATTTGCTCCTTTTTGAGAGCCCTGATACGTCTTATCTCTCCTCCGAGCTAATCTCCCTCCTTAGCAATTTCTAAAATGTCTCTAACTCTTTAGATTTTGATTCAAACAGTGCTTTCTGAGCCACGACTTCTCTGATCAACCTTTATCCCCAAAATCATGTTGAATACCCTAGTATCCAACAGTTCTCAGGAGAGCCCCAAAGTCCTAAATAATTTAAATCCAGTCTGTTGATCGTTGCTAGTGGTACTCCGAACCTAAAATATTCAGCTGTTGCTTACTTTTGAATCTATATTGAATGGACACAGCCTATTCACAAACTAGACGGGGAAAATGTTAAGATGCACAGACTCAAGACATCTTAGCCAACCTGTGTCAAAGGATGCTTTTGTTGAAATTTAGGACTTTTGGCCAAAGTTGATTGTTTGTTGCCAACTAGTATTATTTAATGTGTGCAGATATTTTAAATGCAAAATGGAGAAGTGCTGATTGGTTCAGACACAGTACAATATTTGAACTCAATATTTTCTATTCGGACTTGATAGATATATAACTAAGAAATTGGACAGGTGGATTTGGGTAAAAAGATAGTTATAACTCATATATTAACAATGATTAATTTGCATGGCTTAATGGTATTCCATCAAAATGCATTTTTTACCTTTTTAATATACTTCATCATTTGACTTTTGTACCCCCTTTATGTTGATTTTTTTAACTTACATTTCTTTCGTCAACTGTTTCCTTTTTTTGTGAAAAATGTTAATTTCTTTTTGCCTTTATGTTTTCTTACTTCAATATGTCTGTGAGTTTCAGTTGCTATTATTTATTTTCTTTGTTTTATTTCATTTTCTTAACGCTAGGGTTAACAGCCTACCAGAAAAATTTAGAATGTGTTGGAAGTGAAGAAAAGGTGCAAGGGATACATGGAAAATAATTTTATTTTCTCTTTCTCAACAGTAGGGGAGGCAAAATTTTACCTCTATCCTTTAGGTTTCTAGCAAGGCCTGAGAATTAAGTTGGCATAAGTTAAATTAACAGAGGAAATCATACAAATATAAAGAAATGAAGACACAAAGAAGTGATAAAACCGAAATGCTTTTATATTAGGTTGAGCAAAGAGAGGCAATTGTGGAAAAGTAACTAAATTATATAGGGAGGCTAAAGAAAGATAATAATTACTCTAACAAGATCTATTTGTACCTAATTATTTCAGCTACGACACCCCATTGAAGAACATTTCATTTCTCCTGATACAGGAAAGGAATTTTTCACACAGGAGTGTTTAATCTCCTGTTTTCAGGGAGAAAGAGATTAGAATGCCTTTCTTGTGTCTGCTGTTTTTAAGTGACTTCAGCTCAAAGTAATCCTTATGTCAAAGTGACGTGTTTTGGAGGGTATATTTTTTCCACTCTTCAATATCAATTTAAATTGGCACTCCTAGAAAGTTACCTCAGATGTTAATATATCACCTCTGTTTTGTTATTTGTGTAATTGAGAAGGCTACCTAAAAATCCAGTGATAGGATAGAAAGATCATGAGTCAATTTCATGGTTGACAGAACAATGTAATGATTCCTTTCAGAAATTTGCTAGAAGAAACATTTGATAATTATTGGTTTCAGCAAAATATTTGATTACTGGAATTAATTCCACAATTTTATTTTTTATTTGGAACAAAAGCAACCTTTGTTTAAGGAAGAAAGCATATGTGTTTGTATCACACAATTCACAAATATTTTAGATAGACTTTCCTGGTTAAAGGAAGCCACACACATAACCTCAAGAGGACAATATCAAAATCAATTCATAACATAATCTTTCAGAAATGAAATTTCCTGTGTGTGTATTTTAATAGTAGAACTTTTTTCTGTCTGTATTCTATCAACAATTTTCACTAAAGAGCTATAAATGGAGTTATGTCTTGAAATCTAATGTTTTATGTTTATGTTTTAGGTTTATATTTATCTTAAATATTTATTATTAATTGACAATTTATAATTGTATAAATTTATCTGGTACAAAGTGATATTATCATTTATGAATACAATGTGGAATAATTAAATCAAACTAGTTAACATACCCATCACTTCAAACATTTCTTTTCATGGTCAGAACATTTGCAATGTACACTCTTAGCAATTTTGAAAGGTACAATTCTCAAGTATTAACTATATCACACTGTGCGTTAAATTCAAGGAATCTAACATTTTAAAATAGGATATAAAAACTGAAGTTTGAATTCTGCTGTCTTCCTTTCTATCTATACTGAATTGATAAAAAGAACGCAAGAGATTTGCAATTTAGGGGTTAAAAGAAATGAGGCAAGTGGCTGGGGAAAGTTGGAAAGACATTTTTACTATTTGAAAACAGAATAACCTACAGAAATGCTTTGTTGAACTGCTGAACAAGTAAGAATTTTGCCATCTTGTTGGATAATCTACTGATTAAAAAGTATTTCTCCACGTAGGCAATCATTTGTATCTGTTGCCTTGGGCAAGGTCTCCATACATTTCAAGTTGTACTTTAAACTTCCTGCCAAAGACAGGTAGAATGCATCAAGTCTTGTCTAAATCTTCTTTCTTGTGAAATAATCTATCACTGAGTTGTTCTTGAATATTTATTGGAGTGCTTTGAGGCTTCAAGACACAATTACTTGATTTACTTAGCAGGAAATGAGACACTGATCAATCAAGCATTCTTGTCCCTGATTTACATTCATTCTAGCAACTTTAACAAAGCCTGATTTTAATAAAATTTGTAAAATTCATTTGTTTTACAGCAAAAAATTCTGACTTTGGTTCGTTAGTTATTTACATTTAGTATTCAAGACACAAATCACAACAGGATACTGTACAATTACGGCATCATTTCTAAATGTTTAGAAAGTTAAACATTGGCAATTTAGATGAAACTAAAAGAGTTCCTGATGCTCTATTAAGGTTATCAAAGAGACCTGGCAATACCCATAGAATAAAAGTACTTGGATTTGAGGGTATTATACTGAGTAAAACTAACCATTACCCCCATCTGCCAACTCTGATAGTTAATCATAAATACTTGTGTGTGAGTGCACCTATGCATGAACTCCCCCTAACCCCCACCACCACTCTCTCTCTCTCACTGTCACACACCCCTACACCACACACACACTCATTACATCAACAAATAAAAATTAAGCACTTTCTGTATTCTAGGCTCTGTGCAGGTAAAGGATAATGAAAAACAACTTGTGCCCTGAAGGGCTGATAGCACAAAGAGGTGAGAGGCATGTAAAAAATCATTTTTAAAGAAGGGATGACCATGACGATACGCATTCAGATAGCGCAGAAGTAGAATGTAGGGTTTTGAAATTTCTTAAGGGTGTTGGTGAGTTTTACAAAAAATAAGTGTCCATGTGTGTCTTTAAATGAGGAAAAATGCGAAGTCATTTTAAATTAAACATTCTGGGAGAAAAAAAAAACAATTGTGGGTGTCAGGTCAGAAAAAGCTTCCATGGAAATAGAATAGTGTTCAATGTTCTGAGTAGACAGCTCTATAAGCTGAAAACATTGGCTAAATTAATTACTTCTGTGAATTCTAAGATAGAGTATATGGCCCAAAGCCAGTCTCAAAATAGTCAATTTTATTCTTTTCTGGTTTTAAATACCTTAATTATTGCCTTTATTATTTTCTACTTTCTTATTTTAGTTTGATACTTCTTTAGAATAGCTCCTGTTGCAAAGAATGTATTATTCTTTTTTAATTAAATTAACATTTCTGTATGTATGTTTGGTTTTGTCTCAGATATTATTTATACATGATTTGTAATAATTTTGTACACAAGAATGTGTGATCCTAACCTAAATTTATATATATATATATATATATATATATATATATATATATATGTTAAACCAGAGATCTTTTTTCTTTTTTAATTTCAAGCATTTGGTAATTAGTTTTTTTAAAACTATTTTGCATTTTTAAATACATAGAAATAAAATATTTTCAAGGGGATATATATACACACACATCTGTAAATGATATTATACAGACGTATACACATAATATCTGTATATCATATTGATGGATGGTTTTCTGCTTCTTAGTTCAGCTAAAATCTGAGTTCTTATCTTATGACCAGGAAAAATTAGGCGTGAGGGCACATTAAAAGGTGTGGAGAGCAGAATCTATTGAAAGAAAGAGCTCAGCAAAAACAAACAACAACAAAAAACAAACAAACAACAACAAAAAACAGGTCCTGCCCACAGGCTCCCACCTCACAGATGAGCTGAAGAGGCCAGGCTCCTCCCCCTTGCATAAGGCATGAATTCCTGGTGGCTCCACCCAGTTCTCCCATTTTGCACGTGGGCCCTTAGTTGGAGCCACTCCACATTGATTTATTTCCCTTACTGTGCTTATGTTAAGAGATAGATTTTTTTCACCATCCGCATTTTTAGGCAAGCCCCCTGTGCACAATAACCTGGGCAGCATTTGGCTGTCTCCTGTCTCTATCATTCCCCACTCTAAAAAGTACATCTAACTGCTATTAGAATAAGGATAAGGGTTAAGGATGAAGATCGATCTTAACTGCTTCCTGCTGGCAGGGGGCGCTGTTTGGGAAATCAGATCTCCCTCAGAGGCCTATCTAAGGGTCCCTGGCAAGATTGGCCATTGTCTGAGGCTCTGGTTGCATGACAGTTTGGAGTCAGATGGATTGAAGGTGAGAAGAAACAAACTGGGCTATTAGAAAACATGTATCAAAGTGAAACAAGTTTTGGGGGGTAAGGAAAGCTCAAAAATCCCAAGGCCTTTTACCAGTTTGCACACAGAGAGGGAGACCAAAAACCCAACTGGAAAAGAAAAAAAATGACTTTTACCCGTTTGCCAGCATGTCAGGCTTCTGGGTTCCCTTTCCCTGAGGCCAATCCTAAGCCAACCAGTTTAAGGTTTGGGAAGTTAACTTTGCCCAGTTTTGGAGGATGCATCTGGGAGGAGAGTCCTGTAATACAGACACAATTACCTATCAGTGAAGAGAGGACAAAGGAGGGGAAAAGAGGGGACTTTTATCAAAGCAGTCCCAGGGGTTCAGGATGCATTTGAAAGGGGTACAGACTGAAGATGAATGGCTTCTTCTCTAGAAAGAGGGGAGCAAGTCATCCCAGGTTCCTTTCTCTTCCTAGCGAATACGCGGGCTACACGAGGGAGACAAAGTGAGGCACTGCTCTTTCTGTCTTCCATCCTTATATCTCCAAGTCCCAGGGACCGCAACAGCGTGCTGCCGATGGATGTTAAAGTAGCTTTCACCCAGGTTAACAGGGGGCCAGGCGGGGGTGCGGAGGGTGGGGGTGGGAATTTAGTTTTCCTCCAACAAGGGAGAAAAAAGGATGCCTTGTGATATGCCCAGATAACTGGTGGCTATGGTTATGCTTGCTAAGGTTTGGGTGCATGGGGCTTGGCTTTGGTTATCTCCCTTGGTCTTACTTTCAAAAAGGAAAACTTGGGGTGATGGATACCCTATTTATTTCCATCACCTGGCAGGATTTGCAACGTAATTGCTCAGAACTAGAATATTGATGCAGATTTTTACATTACCCATCCATTTTGTTCCTTCTGAGCTGCAGTTGGAGATTGCTGCTTTGTTCACAGGAACAACCAAGGATTAGTCTACAATGTAGGCAAGAAACTTAAAAACAACTAGTGAGTCTAGAATTTAATAACAAGTGTATGATCAGTTTTGAAACATAATTTATTTCTCTCCAGTCCTCATTTTCATTAAAAACAAATCATGGTAAGACTGCGTTGTTTGCAGAATAGACTTTAGCCTTATACTGGGCCTGATTATTTGCATAAAGTGCAGCAATTATAATTGATTTTACATAGCCTTTTTAAACTGGTGTTCATGGAATTCTGTTCTACAAGGAATCTCAGATAGGGCTTTTGTTAAAGCCAAGCCCAGCCATGGGTTTGTACCCTCAAATACCTACGAGTTGGGTGAACTCCTCTCTTCTTGAGGTCCCAAGAACATGGGGTTCCTGGGCCTGTTAGAAGGTGACATTCTTTACTCCCCTCAGGTTAAGAACCCTGTATGGGGACTGTGTAGATAAGGTATGAGGCCAGTTTTCCCAAGGGGCATTTATTGGCTCTGCAAGTTGAGCTTGACTCCTTAAAGAGAACCATACCCTTCCAGTCAAAGCCTTGGTAAAACAACCAGTTTCTCTAATTGTGTGCTGTTACAAAAGAAAATTGATTCTTATTGCACAGATACAAACAACTATATTGGCATAAGATAAGAATACTCACAAACTAGTTTCCAAATTCTGGAGAAGCCAGGCAGAGAGAGAAACAAATATGCTCCAAATTTTGGTCACAGGAGTATAGCTTACCCAATTATTAAAGACCATAAATAGTTCAAAGTAAGTTTTCTTGACTGTGCAAAACAAAAAAAGGATCAGCAATGTTCCAAACAAAAGTCAAAAAGATTTTTTCGGTTTCCTATTATTTCAGTCCATTCAGTTTACTCTTATTTTGCTTGATATTTGTGAATGTTTCAGCACTTCATGAGTCCTGTACATGTTTACTTTATTCCAATATCACAATCTCCAAAGTTATCAGAAACCTGCATTTGAGAGCACCTGTCAAAATTCTGTAGCTGATTATCAAACATCTCCTAAAGAGGATCAAAATAAGACAACAATTGTCTGTGCATAACAACATATCCAGGGTAGTTATATTCAAAAACACGATAGGCAAAGAAGTTTGGTTATCTCCGTGGTTTACAATAACTTAACCTAACAACCTTAATTGTGATGACAGTATATACTCAGACATTAGAATGTTAGAAATCCCATATAATTTTGAAACATATGTTAACATTAGTCCCTAAAATATAACCTGAAAACAATTAAACATCATTTTGGTAATGCCATGTACCTAATCATGTCAGGTAATCATGTTTACCACTCTTCTGGATGCTCCAGGGGCCAGGAAAGACAAATTTTGAAGCTGAAGTTTGATTTTGGGAAGGCTGTTACTTATGTTAGATCTTTAAAACTCTTGATATTGTAAAAGAGAATTTCAGATTACAGTGATTTATTTTGTCAAAATGATGACTCAGAGATTTTTAAAAAGCAAAATCCTTTCAAAAACCTTTACAATTTTTGCTAAAGTGCAGATTGGTGCCTTAAGAGAACTTCGTTGTGCTTTTATTTCAATGCTCAATTTACAGAAAAGCCACGCAATACCCTTTTGAATTTAGTCAGTATGTTCACACATGGAAATTCTTTTTCAAGATTAATTTTTACAATCTGTCTACATCTTGTTTTAGTTGTATCTTATTTAATTCAAAACAATCCTTTAACCCTAGGCAAAAATTTACATTTTGACAACATCTGCATTTTACCAATACCTTTAAGGCCATTTTTATTTCTCAAGGATTAAAGTCACATGAACTAAAAGGTACCACAGTTTTGATCCAAGCACTTATCCTTCTTTAAGTCAATTAATTAGAGCTCTTTTTATATATACCGCACACAACACATATATAACCACACAGACAAAGAGAAGCAGATCCAGTAGTTATAAGATTTTCCATTTGCCAATCTCGTAATTGGAGTATTGTCCTCCAGGTGGAATCCTTTAAGAGCAAGGCTAGGAAAGCATGCTATTTTTACAGCCCAATAAACAGGTGTAGCTGGAAGACAAAAACAGTTTTTGAGAGGGAACTATCCACCTCTAATTCCTGAGGAGCCAGGAGGAAAACAGAGGTCTCTCCCAAAATAGAATCTGTGGCACCTTTTCTGCTTTTCCCAAGGAGTCCCAGTCCATCAGAAATTATCTTAGGACCTCTCATGCAAGAATTAAGAGTGCCAAGGCAAAATGGAAAAAAAAAAAATTCAGTAGACTGAGAAAAAAACCTTTTTCCAGAAAAACAAGATCCAAGAAGAGAAAAACATAAAGGCCTTTTAAATACACCTACAACTTGCATATCCATTTTTAATTAAGCTGAGTGATCTTTAAGAAAATCCTTTTAGATCCCTTATTACCTGACTTTAACCATGTCAAGCGGCCAATATTTCTGGCTTTCTAACTTTAGCAAAGGTAACCTCCCAGGAGCTCAGAGAAAGGAATTTTCAGGACTGTTTGTAGAGGGGAAGAAAAATCATCAAATGGCAAAGGTCACACAGATATCCAACCAGAAAGAACTCATTCCATAAGCCAGTATTGAACCTGGGCCACCATTGTAAAATGGCACAGGCTAAAACAAAGCACTGCTATGTGGTTACAGGTCACACTTCCAAGGACATAAAACAAGATGGAGGCCTACAGCAAAGTTTGCTATTGACCAGTTTTCCTGGCTGACTTGAACAGCAGGCCTATGGAGTCCTAGACCTGCATCTCATTTTAAGGTGTCCTTCTTTCTGACAGAGCCATACAGAAAGACAGGCAAAGCATGCCAGATTGGCTATAGCTTAAGACCAAACTCACAAATCCTTTTTCATAACTAAAACTTTACAGAGAATATAAACAGTGATATTTGGGATCCTGGCCTAGTAAAATGTTTTCTAAAAGAGGGGAAAAAAAGCCTCTCATATAAAACTTAACTCCTGAGCTTATGGAGAAAAGAAAAAAACAGCTTGAAGTGCAGGGCTATGTTAACTGTCGACAGGGTGGAGAAAAGAAAAAACAAACAAACAAACAAAAAAACAGCTTAAAGTTCAGGGCGGAAAGATGCCTGAAGGAAGAACCTCTAATTCCTTTGCCAATGGGTTTCTCCTACAGGGAGAGAAATTTTACTTGCTGTTGGACTGAGCTGGACCTCTCTGCTAGGGGAAGGGGAAGACCCTGTGGATGTGTGGCAGGGAATGCTGGCCGGCCTGCTATACAGGCCCCTCGGGCCATGTGTCTGGGACCCAGCTGAAAGGGGAGAGGGTGCAGGGAGCTGCCGTTCATGTGTTCTTCCCACGTGCATGCCTGCAGCCATTAGGGTAATGAAAAGATAGGTGCCATTACAGTCCCAAAAAGGAGGAAGATGCCATACAAAAGACTGGTTTGGGCCAAGGCAGACATTCCTCGCAACTGAGAGCAACTGGGCAGGGGTGGGTGGCAGTTTCCTCTACCCTCAGAAGAAGTCCGAGGATATAAAGTCTCAGAAACAAAAGGGAAGGATATTTTTTGGTTCGCATTTTACTCACCTTTCCTCATGTCCCTGTTCCAGCCATCAAAGTGATGCAGGACTTTTTGCTCCTTAGTTCAGCTAAACTCCAGGTTCTTGTTTCATGACCAGGAAAAATTAGGCACGTGAACACATTGAAAGGTGAGGAGAGTGGAATTTATTAAAAGAAAGTTCTTAGCAAAAAAAAGGGGGCTCTGCCAACAGGCTCCCACCTCGCAGTTTGAATACCAGGCCATAATACATGAGCTGAAGACGTTAGACACCTCCCCCCTGAATAAGGTGGGAATTTCCAGTGGCTCCACCCCATTCTCCCAGTGCCAGGTGGGCCCTTATTCTGAGCCACTCCACACAGATTTATTTTCCGTACTGCGCATATGTTAATGGATGGAATTTTTCTCCATTGGCATGTTTAGGCAAGCCCCCTGAGCACAATGACCTGGATAGCATTTGGCTGTCTACTGTATCTATCAATACTAAATATATATAGATGATGCTATTGATTTTTCTGTCTTTTTCTCTTTTATGCTTTAAAGTCTTTCTTCCTTTCTTTCTTTTTCTATGTATAGGTGTGTATGTATTTATATCAGAGAGAAGGAAAAAATGTTTTGTTACTTTTCATTTTTCTTAATGGAACTCATGTATACATTTTCTACTATTTTATTATAATAGTTCTCTTTAACTCAAAATATATTTTAACACTCGACTACATGTGCAAAGTATAAACATAACACTATATCTTTACTTTAACTCAATTTATCAAACTGGAAAACACAAATTTAGTAAAATAACAGACCTAGTAAGAGGAGCTTTTGAGCGAAACTACACATTTTCAAAGAATAAAAATGAAGGAGAAATGATTGTCAGTTAATATTACAGAATTTATTAAACTGATTTAGCATTATCTAAACTAGTTATAGTTGCACTGCAGAAAAATATGTGTTTTTCATTTGCTTATAGGCTGTTTTCCAAAGCCTTATTATATTGTAGTGATAATCTGGGTTTTTTTTTTTTTTTTTTTGTCTGTTAAGAATCACTTTCTTATTCCCTTTAGGAATTAAACTCTCCACTCTTCCTAATTTGGCATTCCAGGCGGAGTTAACCTCACTACCACCCTCCCACATAACAACCATGGTTCCCTTGTGATGAAGGCCTAGCCAGGCTACATATTTCCCTTCCTGCTAACCTCATCTGATTTACTACAAACATGGGCATTGATATGGTTTTGGTTTGGCTGTGTCCCCACTCAAATCTCATCTTGAATTCCCATATGTTGTGGGAGGGAACCGGTGGGAGGTAATTGAATCATGGGGGCAAGTCTTTCGCATGCTGTTCTTGTGATAGTGAATAAGTGTCATGACATCTGATAGTTTAATAAAGAGGAGTTCCCCTGCACAAGTTCTCTCCCTTTGCCTGCTGCCATCCACGTAAGATGTAACTTGCTCCTCCTTGCCTCCTACCATGATTGTGAGGCCTCTCCAGCCACTTGGAACTGTAAGTACATTAAAACTTTTTCTTGTATAAATTACCTAGTCATGACTATGTCTTTATTAGCAGCATGAAAATGAACTAATACAGTAAATTGGTACCAATAGAGTGGGGTACTGCTGAAAATATACCCAAAAATCTGGAAAAAACTTTGGAACTGGGTAACAGGCAGAGGTTGGAACAATTTGGAGGGCTCAGAATAATTCATAAAAATGTGGGAAAGTTTGGAACTGTCTAGAGACTTGTTGAGTGACTTTGATCAAAATGCTGATTATGATATGGACAAAGAAATCCAGGCTGAGGTCGTCTCAGATGGAGATGAGGAACTTGTTGGGAACTAGAGCAAAGTTCACCCTTGTTATGTTTTAGCAAAGAGACTGGCAGCATTTTGCCCCTGCTCTAGAGATTTGTGAAGCTCTGAACTTGAGAGAGATAATTTAGGATATATGGTGGAAGAAATTTCTAAGCAGCAAAGCATTCAAGAGGTAACTTGGATGCTGTTAATTGTATTCAGTTTCAAAAGGGAAACACAGCATAAAAGTTCAGAAAATTTGTAGCCTGACAATGTGATAGAAAGAAAGTCCCATTTTCTGGGAGAAACTCAAATAGGCTGCAGGAATTTGCATAAGTAACGAGGTGCCAAATGTTAATTGCCAAGACAATGGGAAAATAGCTCTAGGGCATGTCAGAGGTCTTCACATCAGCCCTTCCCATCAAGGCCCAGGGGCCCAGGAGGAAAAAGTGGTTTCCTAGCTTGGGCCTAGGGTCCCTCTGCTGTGTGCAGCCAAGGGACTTGGTGCCCTGCATCCTAGCCACTAGGCTAAAAGTTGTCAATGTAGAGCTCAGGCCATGGCTTCAGAGGATGCAAGTGCCAAGACTTGGCAGCTTCCACGTGGCGTTAAGCATGAGAGTGCACAGAAGTCAAGAATTGGGGTTTGGAAAGTTCTGCCTAGATTTCAGAAGATGTATAGAAATGCCTGAATGCTCAGGCAGAAGTTTGCTGCAGGGGCAGGGCCCTCATGGAGAACCTCTGCTAGGGCAGTGCAGAAGGGAAATGTGGGGTTGGAGCCCCCACACAGAGTCTCTACTGGGGCACTGCCTAGTGGAGCTGTGAAAAGAGAGCCACCATCCTCCAGACAGCAGAATGGTAGATTCACTGACAGCTTGCACTATGCACCTGAAAAAACTGCAGACACTCAACACCAGCTCATGAAGACAGCCAGGATGGAGGCTGTACCCCACAAACCCACAGAAGCAGAGCTGTCCAAGAACATCGGAACCCACTTCTTGCATCAGTGTGACCTGAATGCAAGACATGGAGTCAAAGGAGATCACTGTGGAGCTTTAAGATTTGACTGGCCCTCTGGATTTTGGACTTGCGTCATTCCTGTAGCTTCTTTGCTTTGGCCAATTAATCCTATTTGGAATGTGTTTATTTACCCAATGCCTATACCCCTGTTGTATCTAGGAGGTAACTAACTTGCTTTTGATTTTACAGGCTTATAGGTAGAAGGGATTTTCCTTGTCTCAGATGAGACTTTGGACTGTGGATATTTGAGTTAATGATGAAATGAGTTAAGACGTTGGGAGAGTATTGGGAAGTCATGATTGGTTTCAAAATGTGAGGACATGAGATTTGGGAGGGGCCAGGGGTAGAATGATATGGTTTGGCTGTGTCCCCACCCAAATGTTATCTTGAATTCCCACGTGCTGTGGGAGGGACCTGACAGGCGGTAATTGAATCATGGGGGCAAGTCTTTCCTGCACTGTTCTCATGGTAGTGCATAAGTCTCACGAGATCTGATCGTTTTATAAAGAGGAATTCCCTTGCACAAGTTCACTCTCTTTACCTGCTGCCATCCATGTAAGATGTGAGTTGCACCTCTTGCCTTCCACCATGATTGTGAGGCCCCCCAGCTACTTGGAACTGTAAGTTCATTAAACCTTGTTCCTGTATAAATTACCCAGTCTTTGGTATGTCTGTATTAGCAGCATGAAAATGGAGTAATACAGGCATGCAGCCCATACAAGGATATTCAGAGTCCATTCTAATACTTTTAGGGAAACTTTTGGGAAGTGAGATTCTGTCTACCTGCTGGAACTAGTAGGTTTTGACCTGGAGCTATCTCTTGTTATCCCATCAAAACAAAGGGTGCGATTGCCTTACAGTAAAGCTAATTCAGGAGAAAGCAAATGCCAGAGATCAGTAAAGACAGAGTATAAAAGGTGCACATCTAGATATATCGGTACCAGAAGTCAGTTTTTCAATGGGATATTTCTATACCAAGGCCTCAATTAATAAACATTTCTTAGATGACTACACTGTGCAGGTAATATACAAGATAATTGGAACAAAATGATAAAATATGCAGATCTTGGTAGGTTCTCTAGTTGAGAGAGATAAATACATGAGCATGTAAGTTCAGTAGAGTTTTTAAGTGTTATGAGAAAAATATGTGCAAAGCACAGAGAGATCAAAAAGAAAGAGGCAGTCCAAACAATGTAAAGAGAATTTAAAAAATACCTATATAGGCCAGGCATGGTGCCTCACGCCTATAATCCCAGCACTTTGGGAGGCTGAGGTGGGTGGATCACAAGGTCAGGAGTTCGAGACCAGCCTGGCCAACATGGTGAAACCCCATCTCTACTAAAAATACAAAAAATAGCTGGGTGTGGTGGCCCACGCCTGTAATCCCAGCTACTTGGGGGGCTGAGGCAGGAAAATTGATTGAACCTGGGAGGCAGGGGTTGCAGTGAGCCCAAATGGTGCTACTGCACTCCCGCCTGGGTGACAGAGCAAGACTCCATCTCGGAAAGAAAAAAACAAAAAACAAACAAACAAACAAACCTATAAATCATTTACACTTTATTAGATTCTCAGTAAGCAATCATAAAGCAAAAACATGTAGAGGATGCATTCTCTGTGAAAGGAGTTTTTAAAATATACTGAGGCAGGAGCAGCAGAGATCATGTAGGAAAAACCCCACACGTGTTTAATTTTGTTTTTCATGTTGCTATACCTCTAGAACAAACTTTGTGTTATAACCTTTTGATTTATTTATTTGACTAGTAGAAAATGTGACACTCAGAATGCTTAAACTCTTCCCAGATCAAAAAATGTATCACACACATAATAATCATTGTAAAATACAGAAGCCTGAAGGCAGCTTACATCTAAAATCTATGTTGTGAAACAGCTAAGATTTGTGGAAAATAATACATTAGGTTTTGTAGTGCCTTTCAGAGTGAAATTTATAGATTTGGAAATAAACTGACATTTTTCTTACCAACAGCAATTGAAAATAGCAATGTTGATTCATAGAATGGACAACTATATACATGATTGAAGAAGAGCTGTAAGTAGTTACAGCTCATGGTCTGTCAGGAAGACACAACTTCAGAAAACAAAATTGTTCCAAAGATGCCTACGAAAGTTTGTTAATGAGACTGCATTAATGGAGGAAGATTATGATATGGTAGCTAAGTTAATTAACTATTCCAGGAAATATCCGCGAGGAGATATTTTTGCCTCATAGTATCACTGTTAATATGAGGAGAGCAGATTATGATCTGTTGTTTTTGGAGCATCAAATATCATTCTAGGTGGTTAATCATGTTGACATATTCTAAAATTTATTATGTCGACTATATCAATCTCCTTAGAAAATCAGTCTTATATATTACCTTAGCAAATAAATCATTAATGATCCTATCAATAGGCAATTCAGATAAATTTAACTATGATCTTCATAAATAGGTATGAAAGAGAATGTGCTCTATTCTTAGTATTTAGAGGCCATGTGAATGGATAACACGTTATTCACAATAATCTTTATTCTTTCTGCTGCTAGTGGGAAACAAGAGTGAGACTATTGACTACAACAAACAAATAAACAAACAAAAAATGCGGTGTATTAGATTAGCTCTGGCTCCTAAAGGAATTAGGTGCTCTTGCATCTTTAAAGCACCTACTTCTAAAATCAGCTAAATCAGCAATCAATGTGACAAAGATGAGTCTTTGCCATCCAAAATTTTATGAATATGAGTGTGTGCATTTAATCAGAATGATAATAATTACTTTGAATTTTTACCCTGAATTAGGTAAAAAATTAAGTTAAAAATTTCAATTCAATCAATATTATTTGATAAATTAGGTATAGTTTGTGAGTATTTTGTTTAACATGGAGAAATTACATAACCTTAAAAGCATATATTTTACTTAATTTTTACTTTTAATTTGTTTGTGGCTACTTTACATGAACATTCATTAAAGGATAAAATATGTAGCAATTTCTAAACAATTATATAATTAGATGAAATAGAAGAAATACACTTTTCTGACATTCAGGAGCAGGAAGCATAGCGTTATGACCACCTGAAGAACAGAAACCAAGAAAGTGAATTCTACCATTGCCCGAGCTCCCTGCCTGGTAGCAAGGCTTTTACTGCTTTTTGTGGAGGAGAAATCAAACAGAGCCCAGATATCCTGTTAAGTTGAAGAGAAATAAACTGGAGTTTGGGAAAACTAGGTGTGGGGGTAGAAAAATTCCACCTTCGTCCTCTTAGGTTCCCAGCTAGGACTAAGAATTAAATTGGCATAAGATAGAGTAACAGGAGAAAAGCATAGAAATTGACTTAATACAAGTTTTACTAGGCATGAGAGCCTTCACAAAGAATTGAAAGGGCCAGACATAGTGGCTCACACCTGTAGTCTCAGCATTTTGGGAGGCGAAGGCAGAGGATCGCTTGAAACTAAGAGTCTGAGACCAGCCTGGGCAACAAAGCGAGACCCTGTCTTTACAAAATAAAAATTAAAAATTAGATGGGCATAGTGGCATGCACCTGCTGTCCTGGATACTTGGGAAGCTGAGGAGGAAGAATGGCTTAGCCCAGGAGTTCAAGGCTGCAGTGAGCTTTGATTTTGCTACTGCATTCTAGCCTAGGAGAAAGAGTGAGACCTCATCTTATAGAAAAAAAAGAAAGAAAGAAATGAAATGAAGACCCAAAGAAGCAGTCAGTTATTTATATACTAAATTGGAACAAAGAATTGTACATTGTGAAGAAGCAAACAATTATGTGGGAAGGCTTAAAAGATAAGAGTTATTTTAACTAGGTCTGTACAGAATTCTTTTGGTCTCAGCTTTTCATCCTTGAGGATAAAGATGTTGTCTTTCCTTATAGTAGAGGGAGGGTATCTTTTACATGGGAAAAATGGAAATATGAAACTGCATGAAGGTCAAAGTGATCTTGCACCTGCTGTTTGTCAAATGTCTTAAACTTAAATAGTCAATATGGCAGAATAGCATATTTTAACCCCTTCAGAGGCTTATAGAATTTGCAAAGCAGAATTTCAGAGAGAAGAAAGCCAGGCAGAAAAAGAGATTTTAAAATATTCATGTATCTTGAATCTTTGGTTAAAATATCAACTTTCTCATGAAATCCCATGAGGATAAGAAAGAACAATTTCTTAAGGAAAGGATTTTCCTTCAGGGAGCTACAATATAAACAATTCTCAGAGTTTACACAGTTTGGAGAATCACTCAAGATTCCTTCAGCCACAGGACAGAAACCTCTTTGAATATACATGGCAATCAGGATAGACACCACATGGGGCATAGCTTGTAACTGAGGCTAAATAAACCCTAGATTAAAGGCTACTCCTGAGCGGTCCTTGTAGGGCTTTAACATAATGATGCAAAAGGATCAAGCTGATACGCAAGTAAGTTAACTGCCTTGCAGGAAAAGTCCAATGCATTTTTTAAAAACGCAAATAAAATGTAGCACTCAATAATGTAAAATACATGTCTAACATCTAATGAGAAAATATTTCAATACAAAGAATCAGAAAATATGACCCATATATATGGGTATGTACATTGTCAACAGTTTGTGAAGTTGTTATATATATGTACACATAAGTATATGCATATATATGTACGTATATGCATATATATGTGCACATACGTATATGCATATATGTACGTACACATATGTATATGCATCTATGTACGTACACATACGTATATGCATATATGTACATACACATACGTATGCGCACATATATGTGCATACATATATGCATACATATGCGCGCATATGTATGCGCACACACATATATATAACACCTTCACAAAATGTTGGAAAATACAATATTATAAATCAGAAATTAACTGAGTGAGATGAACAACAACTAGGGCATTGTAGAATAAAATATTAGTAAACTTGAACATACAAAATCCATTAAAAATGAAACGGAGAAACATAACTGAAAATAATAAACAGATTCAGATACATGTTGGAAAATATCAATTGGTTTAACATAGATGAAATTAGAATCCTAAAAAGGACAACCAAAAATATTTTTTAAGGTAATGACTAAAATATTTCTAATTTTGATGAGAACTATACCTTCCATAACCAGAAATTTTAACAAATTTAAAATAATATATAACAGGTATACATAAATACACACACATAAACAATCCACATCAAAGATCATCAAACAGAAATTCCTAAGCTCCAGGAATGAAGACAAAGTATTAAGATTAGTCACAGGAAAATTACTGATACATACACAAGAGCAAGGATAAGAATTAGACTAGACTTCTTATCTCAAACTATACAAGCTAGAAGAAAATGGATTGATATGATTCAAGAAGTAAAAGAAAACAAAAAGAAAAACCTTATGACCAAGAACTACATACTCAGTGAAAATATCTAGACAAGATAAAAACTTTATTCACACAATTAGCAGTCAAGAAAATGTGTCACAATTTGCAAGACAAGAAACATAAGCAGATGGAAAATGACAGAAAATGGATATATGGGACTATTAAAAAAAGCAGTAAATGGTAAGTGTTGGGTAAATATTGAAGATTTTTCTATATTTTAAAATTTTTAAGTATAATTATTTAAAGTATAAATAATAATATATTTCAGAAGTCATAATCCATATAGGTATAAAATATATGAAAGCATTAGCAGAAAAGCCTGGATGGGGGAAGAAAAGTACAAAAATATTAGGGCTAACATTGCATAGGAAGTGACAAAATATTATTTACAGGTAGATTTTAATAAGCAAAATATGCACATTTAATTTTTTATAATTTCAACTTTTATTTTAGATTCAGGGGTACATGTGCAGTTTTGTTACCCGGGTATATTGCATGATGCTGAGGTTTGGGGTACAATTAATCCCATCACCCAAGTACTGAGTATAGTACCCAGTGGTCAGTTTTTCAACACTTGCCTGCTTCCTACTTTTCTCCCTCTATTGTTGCCATCTTTATGTCTGTGAGTACCCAATGTTTAGCTCCTGCTTAAGTGAGAACATGTGGTATTTGGTTTTCTGTTTCTGCATTTATTTGCTCAGCATAATGACCTCCAACTGCATCCATGTTGCTGCAAGGGACACGATTGTGTTCCTTTTTTATGGCTGTGTAGTATTCCACAGTGAATATTTACCATATTTTCTTTACCCATTCTACAGTTGATGGGAACCTAGATTGATTCCATATCTTTGCTATTGTGAATAGGGCTGTGATGAACATACCAGTGCATTTGTGTTTTTGGTAGAATGATTTATTTTCTTTTAGATATATACTCAGTAATAGGATTGCTGGGTTGAATGGTAGTTCTGATTTAGTTCTTTGAGAACTCTCCAAACTACTTTCCACAGTGGCTGAACTAATTTGCATTTCCACTAAAAGTGTATAAGCATTCCCTTCTCCCCATAACCTCCACAGTTTCTTCTTTTGAGAAGTTTCTGTTCATGTCTTTTGCTCACTTTTTAATGTCTTTTTAAGTTTGTCCCATTGTTTAAGTTCCTTATAGATTCTGGATATTAGACATTAGTCAGATGAAACGTGCACATTTTAAAGCCTAATGCAGCTGCCAAAACAAAATTAAAGAAGTATGCATTATAAGCCAATCATGTAGATAATATGAAATTCTAAAATATACTCAAAAACTCAAGAAAATATTAGAAACAAACAAAAAGGAGACATGTGGAAAAAATGAAATGCAGGTCCATGGATTGACCACAACTGTAATGATGGTTGGATAATAATGGAAATTTAAATGGCCTAAATATTTCAAATAAAAGACAGAGATTATTACATTGACCAAGACTCAAATAGATACTGTCTACCAGAAATCCTCTGCAGGAGTAAAGACACAAGATACTAAGTATAAAAGGATGGAAAAGCTATGTCATGAAAAGATTATACATAGGGAAACTGGAGTGGCCATACTAATATAAAACAAATTAGACTTCAAAATCTGTAGTGTTACCCTAGACAGAAAGGTACTCTTCAAAATGTAAAGAAGTTAATTGATCAAGAAGAATATCAAACACCAAACTTCATAAATATGTACTCCTCCAGTAACAGAGCTTCAAGATACATGAAGAAAATATTGCCAGAAAAGAAAGGAGAAATACATCCACAGTTAGAATTGGAGATTTTCACATCTCTCTCAGTAATTTAAAGAACAAATAGAATATCAGCAAGATTACTGAATAGTCGAACAACACTATCAACAACCTGTACCTAATTGATTTTTAACAGCTATATTGAGGTAGAATTGAAATACAGAGGACTCTGCACATTTAATAAGTACAATTTGATGAGTTTGGACATATGCAAACATCTGTGATAACATCATCAGAAACAAGGTAATAGACATATCTAACACCTCCTACAGTTTTCTTGTGTCACTTAGATTTGGTTTTTGTTTTTCTCTGTGTATGGTAAGAATATTTAAAAAGAAATCTACCTTCTTAACAAATTTTGAAGTGCACAGTACTGTATTGTTAACTATAGGCACTGTGTTTAAGAACAGTTTTTTTACAATAAAACACTAAAATGGATAAATTTCTGTTTTGACTTAAAAGCAAGAAAAGAGAAAAGGTACAAATCACAAAATTAGAAATGAAAGAGAAACTTTAACAACAAAGGATTAATGGGGAAAAATCTGCCTATAAATTTGATGATTTAGATAAAATGATCCAATGTTTTAAAAAAACACATTACTGATACTGACTAAAAATTAATAGGAAAAGCCCCAAGTAATAGCCTTATGCCTATTGATAAAATCTTTTAAAAATTTTAGACCCAGATGGCTTCATGATAAAGTTTATCCAACATTTAAGGAAGAAATAATCACAGTTCTACACAATGTTTTATAGAAAATAGAAAATACAATAGCACTTCCCACCTCATTTTAAAACATCATCATTGCTCTGCTACCAAAACAAGGTAAACAAGTAACAAGAAATAAAACTGCCTATTACTAACCCTAATAAATGTAAATCCCAAAACCCTTAAAGCAATATTAGCAGATAAAATAAAATATAGGAGAAGGATAAATACATGTAGGGGTTTATCTAAAGAATTTCAATGATCTAACATTTCAAAGGTCAATTGATGGATTCATCCACATTAACAGAATAAAGAAAAAAACTATAAGATCTGAACATATGCATAAAATTATTTGACACAATTAAAACCTCTTACCAAAGTCTACCCTGGATGTGACTCTTTAATGCACTGGTGATTGAAACTGAAGCAGATTCCTTGCCCATGATTTGATGAAATTTTGGTAGCTTAAGAGATGAAATAAAGGAATGAACTATTATGGCATAAAAGAAATCAAGTGATATGCATCGATATTCCTACAGCATTTTCATCGAAAGTGTTTTTTTTTTTCATTATTGTCCATGCATTAGTCTCTATTTGAAACTGAACAGCTGTAAACAGTTGTGTCTCTGAAAAAATCTTTTCTATTCAGTAAAAGGGCAACATTTTCAGAACATATACTGGTTTTTGCACTATTATTTCTGAAAAATGTTATTCGAATGGAGTGAAGAAATATTTTTTAAAATCTGTCTTTTTATCTTTTCCAAAATTAGTTACAAGAATCAGAAACTGTAGGATTTAATTACAATTTTCATTTAAATACATAGATAATCACTGTTATATCATAGGAACAAGAAGCAGATATCAACTGATCAGTAAAGAAACGTGTGTCACTTAATAAATCACAAAACACATGAAATATGTGTCGCTTAATAAATCCCAAAACACATGTAATGTGATTCCAAGGAGGGAGATAGCCAATGGGAGAAGGACAAAGAAGGAAACACAAAGAGTGTATAAAAGCTATTATAACATGAAGAACAGTAATCTTATAAAAATAATATAAAAATAGTCATTTACTTCAGGTTTTTTTTTAAACAAAGAAAATCCAGAAAGGTATAAAGTAGTCATACATGCAGTCTGCTAACCTTTTGGGACATAAAACCAGGATCTCAAATACAGATATTTATTACAACTATTCAGTTTATGATATGATCAATAAAGGTCCCAAATATACAGCTAATTATAGTGAAGTTCTCATACTGGGCAATTAGTTCTAGGTCAGGCTTGTTATACAACATTATTATGAATTAAGTATTCTATTATTTCATAGTGTGTAAGTAAAATATATAACATCCAGGACTATATAATATTGCACTGTATATGCAAATCTAATTTGAAGTGAATAAGAAAATGTGAGATCATTTACAAACATTAGCAAGCTTAGCGAGCTATTGTTTCCATTTTATGTTACTGTTAATAACCAAATAAAAATAACTTGCTCTGAATCATGCAGTATAATCTTTCCTATTTTAGGGAAATTGTGAAAAGGGATTGCACTCTTTTTCTGGAGTTCAAAGGTCTTCTGAATACCAGATTGCTTTTTGTGTTTCTGCAAAGTTATTAGTCCTGTATATAGGAATCTTTCTTTGGAGTGTTTTTTACTATTTTAATTTGTTCGATGTGGACTAGCATTCCCAAAAAAAATCAGTAAAGTAAGCTACACATAAAGATGGATCCCCTTTTATGGATCATTAATTGCCTCTTATTGCAACTCCTGGTTGCATTCAAAGGCTCTTTCAACTGTTCTGTGGTCAAATAAAGTGAGATATACTTGTGCGGGTAGGAATGGCATTTAGCAATTCATTCTATGGTGACCATTATTAAAGTATATCTTAGTAAATCTAACATCACTGATTCTTAAGTAATTTGCTGTCATGGTACTAATGTTTCTCTCAATTCTGTAATGTGCATTAAGATTGATAATACTTCATTTTGTTCTAATTCATTTATGTGCGTAATTGCAGGTTATGAAGTCATCATCTTACCCACTAATTATTTTCCTGCTGACAACCTACAAAATATGCTTTGTTTCCTGCTGAAAGGTTTCAATAAATTAAAGAAGAAATTTTTCTGACATGTAAACTTCTAATAAAAAATCTAATTCTGTTAAATATCTGTTGAGTTAAAATGAAAAGACTGTTTTTTCACATATCAAAGTTTAAAAATAAATTAATCAGTTTTGTGACATTGTGGATACAGAATGACCTTGGACATGGAGTATAATTATTATTCTTGTCATTATTAATTGTGACCTGATGGTAATATACCTTTTTCAATAATAAATAGTGAATTAGTATATTAGTGAATCAGATATATATTAGTAAATTATGTCTTATGAGAAAGATAAAGTAAAACAATGATAACCACATAAACATATTCAGAAATATGAACTATACTGATATGACTAGAATTGCTCTGCAGTTTAGTTTTCATACCTTTTAAAAATCAAAACTTTAAAAGGTAAATCATATTAGTTACAAAGTTTACTGCATTCATAAAATAAAAACATAATCAAGAGAAAAACATTTCAAAAGAAGAATAGAAAAACAAAAAATAATTTCTTCCCAACTTTCTTCCACTAAAAGATCCTTCTTGATAAATTAAACTGTATTCCTAATAACATTAAGGAGGATAAAATACATTTCATAGGGCTATCCCTACAAGATAGTTGCTGATTATTTTTAGCTTGTTTTCAAGAAAGTGGCCAAAATTAGCATAGTAGTTGTAAAAAAAATAGTTTTATTTTTTATGTATTGAATGACATATTAGGTTACTATTACTAGGAATTAATTTATATAATTAATATTCAATATTTGTCACACAGATGTATGAAAGACAATCATAAGCAAATGTATACTTTTTCAAATATGCATTAGATGTAAATTTAACCACTCTAATATAAAAATTCTGTTGGATATTTTTCTACTGGGACTTCCGAATAGGCCAAGCGAGTGGAGGCATTCTAATACACAAATTTGATGAAGTTTGAACTCACAAAACCACTCCATTATTTTTTTGTTTCTGCAATTATGTAAGACTCTCAGAAAAGTCTTTAGATCTGACATGAGAACTTAACTAGACTACATGAAATTGTTTCTCTTTGCAGAAAAAAAATGTGACTATTAGACTGTAACCATTGTTCTTAAGATTTGATAAATTCTTGTGTCTCATTATAAAAAAAAGTAGCATAGATCTTACATTTTAGAAAGGAAAACAAGTAATAGCTGCAAATCCCTTCCTAAAATGGAATTGCTTTGTTTGAAAAGAATTCATTCTCACAATTTGCATATGTTTTCTTCACTTATAAGTTAGAAACAAAGGAAAATAACATTTTTTCCTTTGTATCCAAAGAATGTGAACAAAATTTGTGACTGGATTTCATAATTAGCCTGTATTTTTTTTGCAGGAAGTAATTAAAGGAATTATAAATACCTTTAATAAGGTATTTTATTTAATACCTTTAATAAGATATTTTATTTAATATTTTTAATAAGATATTTTAATAAGATGTGGTAGCCCAAATGAGGAGTTGTTTTTAGACAAAATCTACCAGATATCTAGTACTCAATGACATAAGTTGCAGAGTTCAATATCTTTGCAGTGATCATATGTCCTATCCTTATTTCAGAAGATTGTTCAGAGTGTGAGTAATAGCTACATAATGTATGATACTGCATTTAATATGTAAAGTAATTGAAGTGGTCTTTGACTCAGAAGATCAAAATATTTGTAGTTCAATGCAATCAAAATAATTCAAATGTAGTCTAACCAACAGAAGGAAAGAATCCTGAATTTCGACAGGTTAGAGAATTAGTGCAAAACCCTCTAAGTACTGGCATCTTTCTTGCTTACGGTAGTCCTGCATTGCTTTTAAATTAGAATCGTTAGTATACACAAGGTTATTGTTTGCAATAGAAAACCAAGAGAACTTCAGATATTTATGAATCAGAGAACAGTTGAACAAGTCACAGTACTATGATGTAACAGGGTACTAGGCAGCTCTGAGAAGGTATGAGGTGTACTTTTATACATGATTTATGAAGTTGTCTTCAAGATATGTTGTAAAGGCAGATTAAACTGTGTATACCTTTACTTATCTAAGAATGGGGAATACATATAGAGAAAATTTATATACATACATAGAGTTTACATATATGTATGATCAAATTATTTTTAATAAACGCTTGTATATGAGGGAGGAATTGAAGTATGCAGTTTAGAGGCAACCAGAGAACAAAGATATAAACTAAATTTCCTTAGGCTTATTTTGTTCATATATATGATTCTGAATTGTGTAAATATTATATATATATGAAAAGAAGTCGTTAAAATCTTATTCTGTAAAGACAAGAAAATGAAACAAATTAGTATACTGAATGTTGGCATAACACTTAACTGAGGAATTTTTGTAAGAGTTTAAAAATACAGTATTTTGAATATTACCCCCACAGTAGGATATGTCTTAAGGGGGAAAAATGACAAAAAATATTGTAACTATTTGAGCTTCTCAGTGATAGTGTATCTATCACATTATTCTGAGACTGCTTTGACTTTACTGTGAAATAATGGAAATAACTGTGGTGATGTTACAGCAAGCTGGCATGTTTGGGTAGAATAAATCAGCTGCAGGTATAATATTATTAAGGACAAATAAAAACCTACGTTTCTAAGTGTACAAGAATAAGTATATGACTCATATACTTGCATAAAATAGACATATTTTCTATCTATGTTTCCAAATAGACCAATCCTCTAGCAATGTGTATCACTGACACCTGGACTGTATCCTCAAAATGCCATGACTCCTCTCCCTGCAAACACCCTTCCCCTCTCAACAACTCCCTCCTCTCCACCAAAGAGAAGAATCTGGTCAAGACATGTTCAAAATGTGCATAAAATACAGGCATAAGTTGTATTATCTCACCTCGCTTTATGGCACTTTGCAGATGTTATGCTTTTTACAAATTGAAGGTTTGTGTCAACCCTGTGTCAAGCCTGTCTATTGGTGCCATTTTTCCAACAGCATGAGCTCACTTTATGTCTGTGTCACATTTTGGTAATTCTTACCATATTTCAAATTTCTAAATTATTTTTATATCTGCTATGGCAATCTGTGATCTGTGATATTTGATATTACTGTTGTAGTTTTGGGATGCCATGAACTATGCCCATATAAGACAGAAAACTTAGTAGGTATTGTGTGTGTTCTGACCATTCCACTGACTTGTTGTTCCCCCACATCTCTCTTCCTCTTTTTCAGTCTCTCTCTTCCCTGAGTCACAACAAGATTGAAACTAGGCCAATAAATGTTTTCAATGGCCTCTAAATGTTTAAGTGAAAGGAACAGTCACATGTTTTAACTTTAAATCAAAAGCAAAGAATGATTAATCTTAGTGAGGAAGGCGTGTTGAAAGATTACATAGATCAAAAGCTAGTCCTCTTGTGCCAAAAAGCCAAACTATGAATGCAAAGGAAGAATTCTTGAAGAAAATTAAAAATGCTACTCAAGTGAGAACATGAAAGATAAATAAATAAAA
This sequence comes from Homo sapiens, assembly GCF_000001405.40. Classification (NCBI taxonomy): domain Eukaryota; kingdom Metazoa; phylum Chordata; class Mammalia; order Primates; family Hominidae; genus Homo; species Homo sapiens. The sequence continues at coordinate 178,255,084 of NC_000004.12, read as the reverse complement.
CAGCATTAATGCCAATGTGGAGAAAGTTTTACCAGCAAATGAAATAAAGCACCTACCATTTATTCTGCATTTTGTGTACAAGCAATACATCTGAGAGTCTGCATAGAAGATCAAACCAGCCACAATGTTCCCTTAAGCCCAAACCTAATTCAAAGCAATAATTCTTCAATTCTACGAAGGCTTAGAGAGGTGAGGGAGCTACAGAAGAAAAGTTGAAAGCTAGCAGAGGTTCTTTTCTGAAGCTTAAGGGAATAAGCCATCTTCATAATGTACAAGTACAAGGTGAAGCACCACGTGCTTTTCCAGAAGCTGTAGCAAGTTATTCAGAAAATCTAGCTAAGATCATTGATGAAGGTGGCCACACTAAACAACAGATTTTTAATGTAGATAAAACAGCTTTCTATTGAAACAAGATACCATCTAGGACTTTCAAAGCTGGACAGAGGTCAATGCTTGGCTTCAAGGCTTTAAAGGACAGGCTGACACTCTTGTTAGGAGCTAATGTAGCTAGTGACTTTAAGATGAAGCCAATGCTCATTTACTACACTGTAAATCCTGGGGCACTAAGAATTTTGCCAAATCTACTCTTCCTGTGCTGTAGAAATGAAACAACAAAGCCTGGATGACAACACATCCATTTTAACCACATTGTTTACTGAATATTTTAAACCCATTGTTGAGACCTATCGCCCAGACAAAGAGATGCCTTTCAAAATATTACTACTCATTGACAAAGCACTTGGTCATCCAAGAGCTCTGATGGGGCTGTAAAGAAAGATTAATATGGCTTTCAGGCCTACTAAATAGCAGCCATTCTGCAGCCTATGGATCAGGGAGTAATTTTGAAGTTTAATTCTTATTATTTAAGAAATATATTTCATAAGGCTATAGTTGCAATAGATAGTGATTACTCTGATAGATCTGGCCAAAGTAAATTGAAAATCTCTGAAAACAATTCATCATTCCAAATGTCATTAAGAACACTTGTGTTTCATGGGAGGAGGTAAAAATATCAACATTAATGGGAGCTTGAAAGAAGTTGATTCCAACTCTCATGGATGACTTTGAAAGAGTCAAGACTTCAGTGGAAGAAGTAACTGCGAATAAGGTGGAAATAGCAAGAGAATATTAGAATGATAAGTGAAGCCTGAAAATATAACTCAATTACTGTAGTCCCACAATACAAATTTGAAAGGATGGAGTACTGCTTCTCATGAATGAGCAAAGTGATTTCTTGAGACAAATCTTCCGCTGGTGAAGATGCTGTGACAACTGTTGAAATGACAACAAAGGGCTTAGAAGGTTACATATGCTTAGATAATAAAGCAGCAGCAGGTTTTGAGAGGATCGATTCTAATTTTGAAAGAAGTTCTACTATGGTGAAAATGCTATGAAACAACATCACATGTTACAGATAAATCTTTTGTGAAAGGAAGCGTCAATCAATATGGCAACTTCATTGTTGTCTTATCTGAAGAAATTGCGACAGCCCTCCTAACCTTTAGCAACCATCACCCTGATCAGGGAACAGCAATGAACATCGAGGCAAGGTCCTCCACCAACAAAAAGATTATGACTTGCCGAAAGCTAAGATGATCATTAGCATTTTTTAGCAGTAAATTATTTTCAAGTCAGATATGTACACTGTTTAAGAAGTAGTGTTATTGCACGCTCAGAATACAATGTGGTATAAACCTAACTAATTTGCACTGAGAAGAAAAAACATTCATGTGACTCACTTTATTGTGATATTGGCCTAATTGCAGTGTTCTGGAACAGAACCTGGAATACCTCTAAGATATACCTGCATCTTGCCAAACTTAAATGGAAGTATGCTGTTAAATATTCTTATTTTCTTGTTTAAAGTTCAGAGAATCCAGCAAGAGGAATCGACCATTGGCAGAAGATAGGAAAATTGAGCTTCAACAATAATTATTGTAATGAATTGAAACACATACAACATTTTAAATCCATGAGCTAACAATTGTCACTTTTGTGGTTGTTAAGTATGAAACTTAACATTTTAAAAACTGACAAACAACGAGAAACATCAAGCATTTATTCTGCATTGCCTAAACAACTATACCTCTGGGAATCTAAATGTTGATGGAGGAAACTTCTTTTTGAAATCATTTTCTACCTAAAAATTAGGAAGGAATATTAGAAGTTGTGATGGTTAATACTGAGTGTCAACTTGATTGGATTGAAGGATGCAAAGTATTGATCCTGGGTGTGCCTGTGAGGGTGTTGCCAAAAGAGATTGACATTTGAGTCAGCGGGCTGCGAAAGGCAGACCCACCCTTAATCTGGGTGGGCACCATCTAATCAACTGCTAGTGTGGCCAGGATATAAAGCAGGCAGAAAAACGTGAAAAGACTAGACTGGTCTAGCCTCTCAGCCTGCATCTTTCTCCAGTTCTGGATGCTTCCTGCCTTTGAACATCAGACTCCAAGTTCTTCAGTTTTGGGACTGGGACTGACTCTCCTTATTCATCAGCTTGCAGACGGCCTATTGTGGGACGTTGTGATTGTGTGAGTTAATACTTAATCTACTCCCCTTTATGTATATATATGTATTATATATATATTTATATATTTTTATATATATTATATATATATTTATATATATTTTATATATATATATATTACATGTCTACAATTTTTAACCCCAATCAAATAATGAATCTAGGAGTTGATTACTAATGCTTGTTAGCATCACAAGAGAAAAATTTATCAAGATTTATATCTCACTCGTTGGAAGTATGAAATACCATCTAGGAAATACTTTCACTGAAACAACCAAACTTGCATCTCACCATGGCACTATATCTTAAAACCAGTTTACCCAGAAATACTGAGAACAGAAGAACGTGTTCAACAATAAAAAATGGTGCAAATGCCAAATTAGAGATTACAAAAATATCTGTAGGATAGCCAACCTGCTTCTTCAACAAAACTACAATCTAACGGGAAAGTAAAGAGGAAAAGGTAGAACCTATACATTAAAGGACAGTTATGCAAAAGATAACTATATAATTGGTCATGTAAACAGGACACTTTGAGAATGAAAGGGGTTACTATTAAAAATTATGCTTGGCCAAACTGTGTAAGCAGGGATGCCACCCAGACAACTGGGATATATCACTCTAAATAAAAAAGATATCAACCAATTAAACCTATGGACTCCAGTTATTTCTATTTTTTAATTTAACAAAAGAGAGACAATAGGAAAAATATTATCAATGGCTAGATATTTGAAGACATTAAGAATTACTGTTAATCATTTAAGGAGTGATATAGTATTATGGTTACAATTTTTAAAGAGTTCTATCTTTAAATAACACATAGTAAATACATACTGAAAATTTACTTATAAAAATATGTCTTGTTTTGCTTCGAAATAATCAAGGGGGAAGTGGATGACAGTACAGGCATTACATAATTGGCCATGAGTTGGTTAATTTGACTAATGGAGTTTAATATACTGTTATATACATTTTGTATATGTTTGAACATATACAAATAACAAATAACACAGGAGTTTTATTTTGTATAATTTTAAATGGCTGCAAAGTTTCATAATATTTTTAAGAAAGCCATACATTATTAGTTATTCTTTTGTACTGTGGCTGAGAAAAGACAGTGCAAAAGATCTTTAGGTCCAAGAGCAGAAGGAAAGCACAACTTTCTTTTGATTAGCATAATCAAGGCAGTGGCAAGAGTGGGGAGAGAGATACTCTCATAGAGAATCTGGATAGACAGGACAATAAGTAAATAACAAAAGTTTTCTGTGACAGTTTGCATGCAAGTTGTAATACTGTCTGAGGGCCATGTAGACTTGAGTGATGGGTATCTCAAAATGAACTTTGAAATTCAAAGACTGAGGGTTTGCTATGGAGCCCATTGAGATGCACTGATAATACTCCCATTCACTCATTCAACAAGTGTATATCTAGCATCTCCTCTGTGCCAGGCACTGCTCTGGGTGCCAAGAATGTAGCCGTAGGGGAAAAGGGAGGGAGACATATATATATTTTATACGGGGCTTCAGCTATATATGTATCATGGGGTGCATACCTCATAAATTGCTTGGGCTTTGGTGATGAGTGAGTTCTTGTTCTAAGGTCACACAAATATATATATATATATATATATATATATACACACACATATATAAATATATATAAAAATAAACTTATATATAAAATAAAATTATATATAATAAAATCATATGTAATAAAATTGTGTATATATATATATATATATATATATTATTTGTCTTCAACCACCAACATAGCTTTAAATGAAATAGTAACAGTGGGCAGTTGTAGTTATTTTATTATTTGTGGGAGAAAATATTTTATCATTTAATATGATATTTACTATAGGTTTTGTATTATTTCTTTCCAAAATTAAAAAGTTTCATTTTATTCTTGGTTTGCAAAGAGTCTGTCTCATGAATGGCTGTTAAATTTTATAATTTTCTCCCATGTAAATTAAAATGATTGTATAATATTTCTCATTTTTTCATTAATGTGGTTGGTACACACATTATATATGGATAGTGATATCTATATCTACATCTATCTATAATTATATGTCACTATAGATCTATAATTATATAATTTATATAATTATATATTTATAAATAGATATATGTAAATATATCATTATAGATATTTATAGATATAGGTAGATATAGATATCATTATACATATCTAATGATAAATGTGCTATGCAAGATTGTGAGACATGCTAGGGAGAAACATGGAGCAGAAAGTGGCTATAGAGTTTTCATGGTTTTAGGTCTTAGGTGTAAATACTTAATCTATCTTGAGTTAATTTTTCTATAAGGTGTAAGGAAAGGGTCCAGTTTCAATTTCCTGCATATGGCTAGCCAGTTTTCCCAGCACCATTTATTAAACAGGGAATTCCTTCACCATTGCTTGCTTTTGTCAGGTTTGTCAGAGATCAGATGGTTGTAGATGTGTGGCGTTATTTCTGAGGTCTCTGTTCTGTTCCATTGGTCTATATATCTGCTTTGATACCAGTACCATGCTTTTTTGGTTACTGTAGGCTTGTAGTATAGTTTGAAGTCAGGTAGCCTGATGCTTCTAGGTAATACCATTCAGGACATAGGCATGGGCACAGACTTCATGACTAAAATAACAAAAGAAATGGCAACAAAAGCCAAAATTGACAAATGGGATCTAATTAAACTAAAGAGTTTCTGCACAGCAAAAGAGACTATCATCAGAGTGAACAGGCAATCTACAGAATGGGAGAAAAATTTTGCCATCTATCCATCTGTCAAAGGGCTAATATCCACAATCTACAAAGAACTTAAACAAATTTACAAGAAAAAACCAACAACCCCATCAAAAAGTGAGCAAAGAACATGAACAGACACTTTTCAAAAGAAGACATTTATGTGGCCAACAAACATATGAAAAAAAAGCTCATTATCACTGATCATTAGAGAAATGCAAATCAAAACTACAATGAGATACCATCTCATGCCAGTTAGAATGACAATCATTAAAAATCAGGAAACAACAGATACTGGGGAGGATGTGGAGGTACAGGAACGCTTTTACACTGTTCGTGGGAGTGCAAATTAGTTCAACCATTGTGGAAGATAGTGTGGCGATTCCTCAAGGATCTAGAACTAGAAATACCATTTGACCAGCCATCCCATTACTGGGTATATACCCAAAGGATTATAAATCATTCTCCTATAAAGACACATGCACACGTATGTTTATTGCAGCACTGTTTACAATAGCAGAGACTTGGAACCAACCCAATTGTCCATCAATGTTAGACTGGATAAAGAAAATGTGGCACAAATACACCGTGGAGTATAAGCAGCTATAAAAAAGAATGAGTTCATGTCCTTTGCAGGGACATGGATGAAGCTGGAAACCATCATTCTTAGCAAATTAACACAGGAATAGAAGACCAAACACTGCATGTTCTCATTCATAAGTGGGAGTCGAACAAGGAGAATATATGGGCATAAGGAGGGGAACATCACACACCAGAACTTGTTGGGGGATGGGGGGCAAGGGGAGGGATAGCATTAGGAGAAACACCTAATGTAGATGATGGATTGACGGGTGCAGGAAACCACCACGTGTATACCTATGTAACAAACCTGCACGTTCTGCACATATATCCCAGAACTTAAAGTATAATAAAAAAAGAGAGAGAGAGAGAGAGAGAGAGAAAATAGCTGAATTTTCAAATTAAAAAAAAAAAAAACATAGGCCAGGTGCAGTGGCTCGCGCCTGTAATCCCAGCACTTTGGGAGGCTGAGGTGGGTGGATCACGAGGTCAAGAAATCAAGACCATCCTGGCTAACATGGTGAAACCTCGTCTCTACTAAAAATACAAAAATTAGCTGGGCATGGTGGTGCGCACCTGTAGTCCCAGCTACTCGGGAGGCTGAGTCAGGAGAATCACTTGAAGCTGGGAGCCGGAGGTTTCAGTGAGCTGAGTTTGCGCCACTATACTCCAGGCTGGCGACAGAGCAAGACTCCATCTCAAAAAAGAAAAGAAAAGAAAAGAAAAGAAAAGTGGCTATAAAGAAGGTTGACCGCTTGCAATTTTATACTGTAAGGCCTTATTGATAAGGTGACATTTGCTTCAAGACAATGAAGGAGGTGAGAATGCAGGACATATGAAAATGTGAGGAAGACTCATGCAATGAGAGCAGCACATACAAATGCCCCAGGTAGGAAAGAAGGGTGCCTGGTTTGTTTCAAAAACTACTAGAAGGCCGCTGTGGCTAGAGCAGAGTGAGCAAGAGGGGGCAAATCAGGGCCTTACAGGAGAGAATGAAAACTAGGCTGGAGCCGAGGTCCAGTTTTTAAATGATGCAAATGAATAGTGATTCAAAGACTGAATTGATGTATAGAAAATCATAGCTTCTTTATACCTGAGTTTGAGAACCAGGAATATCATCAATTAGTTATAAAAGCTAGGGCTTACTTTGGCTTTCAATTGGAGCCTCTAGGGCAGGAGGAGTTTGTGAACTGCTATGGTAATCTATAGCTTATTTCTTAGTTGATAACATTTCAGAATATTTTAGGAAGTAAAGTATTTCTCAAAGTTTTTTTTTGAAAAATTATTGAATTCTTCTAGGCATTTGAAGAGAATATAATGGAGCTAATATCCCACTGACTATTAGTTTTGTGAAATTCTAAGTTTACAATATAAAATAGCTGTGCTTTCTCTGAAGTTTCTCATTGTTTTTAAAATGAGAATATTAATGGTAGTTCACCAAGTACAAGATATTTGATTATATAGCTTATTTTTAGACACTGCCTAACATCTCATTGAATACTAATTCTATTAGTCATACAATCTCTGAAACAGGTGAGAGGATGATGGACTCTCTCTTACAGAGATACACATTCTTACTATTTTAATCCGTTTAATGCTAGTCCTTCTATGCAAACATTTTAAACTATCTATTCAGCACAACCCACCTGCAAACAAGTATGCATACTGTATATGTAAAGCTCAATGAATTTTACAAAATAAGAAACTGTGTAGCCAGAACCCAGATCAAGAAACCCAACATTTCTGACATCCTCAAAGTCTACTTGTGCTCTTACCAATCATAACCTTCCTAAACTCCCACCACCTTGGATTGCAGAGACACCACACTACCATTGTGACTTGAAAACTATAGATATGTAGGCCAGGCGCGGTGGCTCACGCTTGTAATCCCAGCACTTTGGGAGGCCCAGGCGAGTGGATCACGAGGTCAGGAGATCGAGACCATCCTGGCTAACACGGTGAAACCCCGTCTCTACTAAAAATACAAAAAATTAGCCAGGCGTGGTGGCCAACCCCTGTAGTCCCAGCTACTCAGGAGGCTGAGGCAGGAGAATGGTGTGAACCCAGGAGGCGGAGCTTGCAGTGAGCCCAGATCGTGCCACTGCACTCCAGCCTGGGCAACAGAGCGAGACTCCGTCTCAAAAAAAAAAAAAAAAGAAAGAAAGAAAGAAAACGATAGATATGTTTTGCCTGCTTTTGAACTTTTATCTAAATTGAATCATACAGTGTTTGTAACTGGCTTCATTTGCTCTTCATTTATGTTTATGAGATTCCATTATATTTTGCTATCATTTCTATGTAGCATTTCGTTTTTAAAAATACTGCAACATATTTACACATTCTACTGTTCAAGGGCATTTGGGTATTTCTGATTTTAAACTACTACGTGCAGTACTACTTTGAACATTATGGCTCTCTCTCTCTCTCTCTCTTTCTGTTTCTCTCTCTACCCCCCCCCCACCCTGCCTCTCTCTCTCTTCCTCCCTCCATCCCTCCCTCCCTCATATGTTTGATGAACATATGTACACATTTGTTTTAGGTATACACAGAGAACTAAAATTATTTACCATAATTATGCCTGAGTTCAACCTTAGTAATTGTACCAAATAGCTTTTCAAAGTGATTATAGCAGTTTACTCACCAGCTGTGTATGAGAGCTGCCTTTGTTCTACAATGTGTCTTGACCTTGTCTTTCAATCTCTTCATTATTTTAGTGATTCTGCTGGGAATGTAGCATTATCTCTTATTTGCTTTTGTGCCTCATTACTAGGAGAGTTAAGGGCACATTTTTATGCATTTATTGTCCATTTGAATAATCTCTTGTGAATTACTTCTTTATAATTTTGCCAATTTTTCTTTGGAGACAGCCTGTCATTTCATAACTGCTCTTAAAATCCCTTTGTATATATTCTGAGTATATGCATTTCTTGGAGAATGTGTATTGTAAATATCTCTTCTCATATTCTGATTTTCCATTACATTCCTCTAATGTACTTTGATGAATACACATCTCACTGTAGTACAGCGTATCATTTTTATACTTACATTATTAGTCCTTTGTCTTTGACAAAACTTTGCCTACATCAGAGTCATGAAGATGTTCACCTTCGTTTTCTTTTATAGCTTTATAGGTTTATCTTTTAATGTGTTAAATATCTATGTTCTGGATATGGTATAAAATGGGGATTAAGATACATTTTTAAAAAGGATATCTAATTAATCTAGATAGATTTAATAAAACGTTTCTATTTTCCTTGTGGAATTCTAATATAGCTTTTATCATGTGTCAAGTGGATGTACATTCTGAGTTCTATTTCTAGGCTCTATTTTGTCTTGATCTCTAATAGTGTAAATTCTTGTTTTGGTCTTTGTGCCAGCTGTGGATATTCTTGGTCATTTGCTATTTTATGTAAATTTTAGATGTGCTTGTCAATCATCTGTTTCCCCACAAAGTGGCTGGTATTTAAATGGGGATATCACTGAAAATATAGATCAGCTTAGAAACATCTGATATTTTGTATAGCATTAAAAACATATACATAACATGTTCATCCTTTTATAGGCTTTTAAATATTTTCTCAAAATGTTTTCGTGGTTTCAAGCTTATTGCAAAACTTTTATCAGCTGTACTGAAGTATTTAATGTTTCTTTGTAACAGTGAAAATAATGCTTTAAATAATGCAAATTAATTTTCTAGTTTTTTTAGATATAGAAATAAAACTGATTTGTTTCTTGAGGTTTACCCACAAACATTGCTAAATTCATAAATTTTCCTGTATTTTTTTAATTATATCATTCTGTAATTGGCAAATAATGGCTGTTTTAGTTCTTTCTTTCCAGTTTTTATACCTTAAATTTTATCTTGTCTTATTACACTGTCTTGGACCACCAGGATGGTGTTGAATGAAACAGTAACAATGGGCAAATGTAATTATTTGCTTATCTGTGGGAGAAATATTTAAATATTTTTATCATTTAATGTGATATTTACTATAGGTTTTGTATTATTTCTTTACAAAATTAAAAAAGATTCATTTTATTCTTGGTTTGCAAGGAGTCTGTATCATGAATGGTTGTTAAATTTTATCATTTTTCCATATACATTAAAATGATTATATAATATTTCTCACTTTTTCATTAATGTGGTGGATACATTATAATAATTGCTTCTCAAATATTAAATCAGCATCACATTTCTGAAATAAACTCCACTCATCTTCTGTTTAGGATATATATGTATCTAATTGCGCAAGAGAGATCAATTGGTAATTTTTCTTTCTTGTAATGCCCTTGGTTACTTATTTATTATGTTATGATAAATACAGCCTCAGAAAAAGATTTGGGAAAGAAATATCAGTTGTTACTTGAATTAAAATGGCCATACTGCTCAAAGCAACTTATAGATTCAATGCTATCCTATTAAACTACCATTGACATTCTTCACAGAACTAGAGAAAACTATTTTAAAATTCATATTGAACCAAAAAAAGAGCCCAAATTGCCAACACAATCCTAAGCACAAAGTACAAAGCTGGAGGCATCATGCCATCGACTTCAAACTATACGTTGGTGCACAGTTGCAGTTTTTGTCATTAAAAGTAATGGAAAAACAGCAATTACTTTTGCACCAACCCAATACAAGGCCACAGTAACCGAAACAGCATGGCCCTGGTACAAAAACAGAAACATAGACCAAGGGAACAGAATAGAGAACCCAGAAATAAGACTGCAAACCTACAACTATCTGATCTTTGACAAACCTGACAAAAACAAGCAATGGAGAAAGCATTCCCTGTTCAATAACTTGTGCTGGGATAACTGGCTAACCATATGCCGAAGACTGAAAGTGGACCCCTGACTTACAACATATACAAAAATTAACTCAAGATGAATTAAAGACTTAAATGTAAAACCCCAAACTATAAAAACCCTGGAAGACAACTGAAGCAATACCATTCAGGACATAGTCAGGGGCAAAGATATTATGATGAAGAAGCCAAAAGCAATTGCAACAAAAGTAAAAATCGACAAACAAAATCTAAACAAACAAAAGAGCTTCTCCACAGCAAAAGAAACTATCAACAGAGTAAACAGACAACCTAAAAAATGGGAGAATATCTTTGCAAACTATCCATCCAACAAAGGTCTGGTATCCAGCTTCTATAAGGAACTTAAATTTACAAGGAAAAAAAAACATTAAAAGGACATGAACAGACACTTTTCAAAAAAAGACATGCATGTGGTGAACAATCATATGATAAAAAGCTCAACATCACTGATCATTAGAGAAATGCAAATCAAAACCACAATGAGACACCATCTCACCTCAGTCAGAATGGCTACTATTAAACAGTCAAAAAATAACAAATGCTGGCGAGATCGTGTAGAAAAGGGAATACATATACTGTTAGTGAGAGTGTAAATTAGTTCAACCATTGTGGAAGACAGTGTGGCAATTCCTCAATGACTTAAAGACAGAAATAACATTTGACCCAGCAATCCCATTACTGGGCATATCCTCAAAGGAATAGAAATTATTCTTTCTTTTTTTTTTTTTTTTTTTTGAGATGGAGTCTTGCTCTTTTGCCCAGGCTGGAGTGCAGTGGCACTATCTCGGCTCACTACAAGCTCTGCCTCCTGGGTTCATGCCATTCTCCTGCCTCAGCCTCCCGAGTAGCTGGGACTACAAGCACCCGCCACCACATCCAGCTAATTTTTTCTATTTTTAGTAGAGACGGGGTTTCACCGTGTTAGCCAGGATGGTCTCGATCTCCTGACCTCGTGATCCGCCTGCCTCGGCCTCCCAAAGTGCTGGGTTTACAGGCGTGAGCCACCAAACCCTGCCAGGAATGGAAATTATTCTATTAAAAAGACACATTCACGCATATGTTCACTGCGACGCTATTCACAGTAGCAAAGTCATGGAATCAACCTAAATGTCCATCAATGATATGCTGGATAAAGAACATGTACACACACACACACACACACACACACACACACACACACACACACACACACACACCATGGACTACTATGCAGCCATAAAAAAGAATGTGATCATGTCCCTTGCAGGGACATGTATGGAGCTGGAGGCCATTTTCCTTAGCAAACTAATGCTACTGGATGTTTGGGGAGTCACTTTTCTGGCTGAAAATCTCTGGCTTGTGGCACCTTTGCTCAAGTTTTGCTTGGGCCTGCTGGGCTTGTTCCACCCACTCAGCCTGGCAGGCTAAGTTCAGCTCGCATTACTGGCCTGGATCCTATGCCTCCAAGGGAGACAGCAAGTCAGGCGTTGAGTGGTGAGGGGTGTGTGAGTGAGCATGGAGTCCAGCCACTGTGTACAGTCAGACCCGCTGGCTACTGACATGGCACAGGCAGCTCCAGGTGCCAGCATGGGCTCCTGCTCTCTGTGAGGCTGCAGCTCAATCAGGCGTGCTGCAGGCAGCTGCCCCGGCTAGCACCGGGGAATGTGGTAGCACCTGGAAGCTTGGAGACACCAGAAACTGCAGAGCCTGAAAGAGAGAGTAACAGCCCTGGCTCAGGGAGCTCTCAGGTCTGGGCTCCCCAAAGGCCTATTGCTCTTCTGTCCTCTTCACACTCAATGTGGTGAGCAAGGGACATGTTTCAGCCCTGTTTATGTTACAGCTCTTTTAGCTTCACCATTCAGTGGGTCACAAGTTCTTGTCCTGTGTCCAGGCAGAATGAGGTACACAGAAAAGTGGAGGGTGAGGAAGACAAAGAGGCATGTTATTGACCAATAGAACAGCTCAGAGGAGACCTGTAGTGGGCAGCTTCTCTCCATAGCCAGGGTGTTTCAATGAGTGTTCAGCTCTCAGCACAGAGTGTAGCTCCTCTCTTCTAGGCAGGTCATCCCAACAAGTGCTCAGCTCTCAGAGAGCACAGAGGGTAGCTCCTCTTCACAGCTGGTCAACCTATCATCTTTTTCAGCTTTCAGTGGACAAGGTAGCTCCTCTCTGCAAATGGTCATCTTGCAGCCTCCTCACTTTCTCTCTGCAGTTGGTCAACCTGTTGTCTCCCCATCCACTTCCCATCCTCTCTTTGAGTCTGGCTGAGTCTGGGATTTTTATGGGCCTCAGAGGAAAGGAAGTGGGTGCTGACTGGTCCATGGGTGGCCATGGGTGGGCCCAGGGAAAAGCATCACACATTCCCACTCCAGTCTATGGGACCAGCAGCACAGCCCCCAGGCTTCAGGCCTTCCCCAGCTTGAAGCTGGGGCTTCACCAGAGACCCACCCTCTTCCACCCAGGAGCCTGTCTCCTGCCACCCTTCATGGCACCCAGGCTGTTTGTGCCAAGGGGTGCCTTCGGGCCAGTGTCAAGCTGCCCTCAGCCCCTCCTTGGCCTCCCTTCCATGCTCCTTGGTGCCCAAAGTCTGGAGGTGGCCAAGGTGGTAGGGGGCTGACATGTCAGGAGTGCCCCAAGCATACACACAACTGGCCAGGCTGTGATGGCCCACAGACTTAGTCCCATCTTTGCTCCAGGATCCGAGCCTGTACCAGAAGTGGGGAGCAGCCAGGCAGCAGAAACAGACACTTCCAAGCCTGAGGGTGAAAGGGGGGCCTTTCCAGGCCCCTGAGAGTGCAGGGATGCCTGGGTCCACAGCTGCGGCTTGGGTGGCTGCAGCTGTGCCTGGGATGGTGGGGCTCCTGCCTGCTTCTGGCTGCCAAGAACACAGGGGTGCCCAGGTGGCAACTGCAGCTTTGGAGGCTACAGTTGTGTCTGGGGCGCTCCTGCTCCACCAACTGGGAAGAGGTGGGGCTCCTTGCTTGTTCTCAGCTCCCACTGGCTCTGTGGAGCACAGTGCCACCCTGGGTAGAGCTCTGCTTCTTCATCCCCCAACCTGTGCCTGACTGCACTGCTCCTCTGCCAGCGAGTGACTTGGCCTGGCCTCATGGCGGTGGCCCCCATCATAGCAGTTTCTGGGAGGCTCCCAGGGGTAGGCTCCAGGGACTGCCCACCTCCTCCCTCCCCAATCCCCAAGCAGCTGTACACGAGAGCACTGATGGGTAAGGATTCGGAGTAGTGGAGGCTCTGGGCCTGGGAGTAGGGCCTGCCCGGCTGGGTGAGGGTAGGAGCAGTGCAGTAGGCTACCTCGGGGATGCAGGACACAGGAGATGTGGGGCGCAGGGGTCCCACCACCGCCACTGCTACTCACACAGCTGCTCCTGCCACCACCACTTGCCCCTCCCCACTGTAACCAGCGTGATGGCAGCAGCCAATCTGGATGGCCCGTGGCTGTCATCACTAATGCAGGACAGGAAAGTATAAGTGGAAACTAAATAACGAGAATGCATAGACACATAGAAGGGAACAGCACACATTGGGACCTTTTGGAGTGTGGAGAGTGGAAGGAGAGAGAGAATAGGAAAAATAACTAATGGGTACTAGGCTTAATACCTGGGTGATTAAATAATCTATACAACAAAATCTCCATGACACAAGTTTATCTATGTAACAAAACTACCCTTGAATTTAAAGTCAAAATAAGTACTTATTTTTAAATATTTTTAGAAAAATTTATTACTTATTGATAGCTTTAAATTCTTTAACAATATTGCACACTTCAGATTTCATATTTTGTGTGTGCGTCAATATTGGTAAGTTGTATTTTTTGAGAAATTTTTTCCATTGCACAAAAATGATACATTTTTTGATTTCAAGTTGTTCTTTATATTATCTATGTCTACACAGTATGTTGCAATTCATTCTTTTCTTGCAGTTTGTCTCATTTTGCTTTGTTCATATTTTTGTTATTGGTGGTACATATTTGTTCACATTTTTCATTGTGAGTCTTTTTGTGTGTTTATCAATCTTACTAATCATTTCAAAAAATCATCAACAGTTGTTTTTCTTTATTTGTTCTATCATACTTTATTTTGTATTTCATTTGTTTCTAATTACTCTTTATTATTTTCTTCCTACTACTTCCTACACGTTGACTTTCTGTTTTCCCAGATTCTCGAGGTGGGAAGTCAGGTCTCAGATTTCGTCTTTATTTATTTCTGATATATGTATTTAAAATAAAGAATGTTCTTATGAATAACATTAGCTCTCTGTTGTTTCCCTGTGTCCATGTGTACTCAATGTTTAGCTCCCACTTAAAAAATGAAAATATGTGATATTTGGTTTTCTGTTCCTGCATTAGTTCACTTAGGATAATGACCTCTGGCTCTATCCATATTGCTGCAGAGGACATTATCTCATTCTTTTTTTATGGTTGCGTAGTATTCCATGGTGTATATGTACCACATTTTCTTTATTCAGTCTAAGATTGATGGGAATTTAAGTTGATTCAAATGTCTTTGCTATTGTGAATAATGTGACAAACACACATGTGAATGTGTCTTTATGGTAGAATGATTGATATTCCTTTGGATATACACCCAATAATTGGATTTCGGGGTCAAATGGTACTTCTAAGTTCTTTGAGAAATCACCAAACTGCTTTCCACAATGACTGAACTAATTTAAATTCCTACCAGCAGTATATAAGTGTTCCCTTATCACCACAACCTCCCCAGCATCTGTTATTTTTTTTCTTTTTAATAACAGCCATTCTGACTGGTGTCAGATGGTACCTCATGGTAGTTTTAATTTGCAGTTCTTTAATGATTAGAGCTGTGGAGCATTTGTTTATATGCTTGTTGGCTATGTGTATGTCTTCTTTAGAAAAGTGTCTGTTCATGACCTTTGCCTTCTTTTCTATGGGGATGTTTGGTTTTTGCTTGTTAGTTTGTTTAAGTTCCTTATATATTCTGGATACTAGATCTTTGTCAGATGCATGGTTTGCAAATATTTTCTCCCATTCTACAGGTTGTCTGTTTACTCTATTGGTAGTTTCTCTTGCTGTGCAAAAGCTCCTTAGTTTAGTTAGGTCCCACTTGTCAATTTGTGTTTTTGTTGGAATTGCTTTTGGTGTCTTTGTCATGAAATCTTTGCCAGAGCCTATGTCCAGAATGATATTTTCTAGGTTATCTTCCTGAGTTTTTATACATGGGGTTTTACATTTAAGCCTCTAGTCCATCTTGAGTTGATTTTTGTATGCAGTGTAAGGAAAGGGTCTAATTCCTGTCTTTTGCATATAGGTAGCCAGTTATCCCAGTATCATTTATTGAATATTGATTCCTTTCCTCATTGCTTGTTCTTGGTTCTTGTCACAGTTGTTGAAGATCAGATGAATGTAGGTATGTGTGGCTTTATTTGGGGGCTCTTTGGTTCCATTGGTCTATGTGTCTGTTTTTATACCAGTACCATTATGTTTCGGTTTCTGTAGCCTTGTACTGTAGTTTGAAGTCAGATAATGTAATTCCTCCAGCTTTTTTCTTTTTTCTCAAGATTACTTTGGCTATTCAGGCCCTGTTTTGGTACCATATGAATTTTAAAATAGTTTTTTTTTCTAATTCTGTGAAGAATAACCTTGGTAGTTTGATTGGAATAGCACTGAGTCTGTAAATTGCTTTGGGCAGTATGTTCATTTTAACAGTATTTATCCATGAGCTTTTTGATGTGCTGCTGGATTTGGTTTGCTAGTATTATGTTGATAATTTTTGCATCAATTTTCATCAAAGAGGCCTGAAGTCTTCTTTTTTTGTTGTGTCTCTGTCTCTGCTTATTATTAGAATAATGCTTTCATTGTAGAATGAGATACAGAGGAGTCCTTCCTCCTTAATTGTTTGTGACAATATCCACAGGAATGGTACCAGCTCTTCTTTATACATTTGGTAGAATTTGTCTGTGAATCTCTCTGGTCCTGGGCTTCTTGTAGTTTGTACACTTTTTTATTACAGATTCAATTTCAGAACTCATTATTGGTCTGTTCTGGGATTCAATTTCTTCCTGGTTTAATATTGGGAGATTATATGTTTCTGGGAGTTTATTTCTTCTAGGTTTTCTAGTTTGTATTAGAGCTACTATGTTTTGTTAATTTTTCACATTCATTCTAATGTGTTTAGAGACCACACCCTGGAAGATTTTAATTCTTGTAAAACTTTGGGAGTTCACATTATAGCCTAGGTCTAAAGTTTTTGTTTTCGTTTTTTTCTACAATTAGAAAATCAAACTCATCCCAGTTTTCTATATTTATTAATGTATTTTTGTTTCCAATATATTGCAAAAGGTCATTCATTTGAATTTTACCATGGCAGAATTTTTTAACATGGCAGAATTTTAACATGGCAGAATTTAACACAGCAGAATTTTAACTGTCCTTTCATAAAAGAAACAATAGCTTTACTTTCATGCTTCAGATGGATCCATCTTTCTTTGTTGTGTGTTTGCTTTTCTCACTAGTAATTACTACCTCCGTCGAGGCTGCCAACAAATAATGTTGTCTAAATAAAGCCTATAAAGCTGCCCTAGACTATCATACTCATATTTTTTGTAATTGAGTTTCTCTTTATTAAAGGCTTGGAATGGAATTTGCGAAGAGGAAAAATGTCTTATATTTTGTTTTATTGCAATGTTTCCAATCATTCCAATAAGATTGAAACAACTTTATTCTTTTGACATTTAGGTATTCCTACATTAATAATATCAATGAGCCTTATTAAATATGTTGTGTAGTTATAATGTCTGTCCTTTAGTAAAGCGTTTTCCTTACAGTAGTAAAAGGTAGAGCCATGTCAATGAAATTCTGTGCTCTAATCAGTCATAAGATGATTATCCACAACATTATCCATTTTCTTTCTACTCTTAATGCTGATATTCTGTATTTACTAAACTGCATGGCCAGTGATTCTAGAATCATTAAACAATGATATTTTCTTCATGTCTCTTCATGAAAACTATAATTTTACATAGTCATAAAATACATCTGACTGACAGCAAAATCAGTTTCAGATTACATTAATTGCTGGTCAATGATTTTTCTAGCTAGAGATTATTTTACTCATTAGTCACAAATAGGTATGCAAAACTGGTTCTGAAATTGAGGCAGTAATTAACAGCCTACAAATCAAAAAAAGCCCAGGACCAGATGAATTCTCAGCTGAATTCTACCAGAAATACAAAGAGGAGCTGATACCATTCCTTCTGAAACTATTCAAAACAATTGAAAAGAAGGGACTCCCCTAACTCATTTTATGAGAGCAGCTTCATCCTGATACCAAAACCTGTCAGAGAAACAACAAAAAAATAAAATTTCAGGCCAATATCCCTAATGAATATCGATGCAAAAATCCTCAATAAAATACTGGCAAACCAAATCCAGCAGCACATCAAAAAGCTTATCCACTATGAACCAGTCAGCTTCATCCTTGGGATGCAAGGCTGGTTCAACATATGCAAATCAATAAATGTAATCCATCTCATGTTGCGGGAAGTCAGGGACACTGAATGGAGGGACCCACTGAAGCCATGGCAGCAGAACATAAATTGTGAAGATTTCATGGACATTTATTAGTTCCCCAAGTTAATACTTTTATAATTTCTTATGCCTGTCTTTACTGCAATCTCTGAACATAAATTTTGAGGATTTCATGGACATGTATCACTTCCCCAATCAATATTCTTGTGATTTCCTACGCCTGTCTTTACTTTAATCTCTTAACCCCATCATCTTCTTAAACTGAGGATGTATGTCACCTCAGGAACCTGTGATGACTGCGTTAACTGCACAGATTGTTTTAACAACATGAAATCTGGGAACCTTGAAAAAAGAACATGATAACAGCGACGTTCAGGGAACAAGGGAGATAACCATTAGGTCTGGCTGCCTGAGAGCCGGGTGGAACAGAGCCATATTTCTCTTCTTTCAAAAGCAAATAGGAGAAATATCGCTGAATTCTTTTTCTCAGCGAGAAACAGCCCTGAGAAAGAGAATGCGTTCCTAGGGGTAGGTCTCTGAAATGGCCACTCTGGGAATGTCTGTCTTTTATGGTTGTAGATAAGCGATGAAATAAGCCCTGGTCTCCCATAGCGCTCCCAGGACTATTAGGATGAGGAAATTCCTGCCTAATAAATTTTGGTCAGACCAGTTGTCCGCTCTCAAACCCTGTCTCCTGATAAGATGTTATCAATGACAATGCGTGCACGAAACTTCATTAGCAATTTTAATTTCGCCCTGGTCCTGTGATCTCGCCCTGCCTCTATTTGCCTTGTAATATTTTACTACTTTGTGAAGCATGTGATCTCTATGACCCACACCCTATTTGTACACTCTCTCCCCTTTTGAAAATCACTAATAAAAACTTGCTGATTTTGTGGCTTGGGGGGCATCATGGAACCTGCTGACATATGATGTCTCCCCCAGATACCCAGCTTTAAAATTTCTCTCTTTTGTACTCTTTTCCATTATTTCTCAGACAGGCTGACACTTAGGGAAATAGAAAAGAACTTACGTGAAATAATGTTGAATTATCAGGGGCGGGTTTCCCAATAATCTCATAAACAGAACCAATGACAAAAAGCACATCATTATCTCAATAGATGCAGAAAAGGCTTTTGATAAAATTCAACATTCCTTCATGTTAGAAACTCTCAATATACTAGGAATTGATGGAACATATCTCAAAATAATAAGAGCTATTTATGACAAACACACAACCAACATCATACTGAATGGGCAAAAGCTGGAAGCATTCCCTCTGAAAACTAACACAAGACAAGGATGCTCCTTCTTACCAGTCCTATTCAACCTAGTATTGGAAGTTCTGGCCAGGGCAATCAGGAAAGAGAAAGAAATAAAGCATATTCAAATAGGAAGAGAGAAAGTCTAACTGTCTCTGTTTGTAGATGACAAGATTCTATATTTAGAAAACCCCATCGTGTCAGCCCCAAAACTCCTTAAGCTGTAAGCAATTTCAGCAACCTCTCAGGATACAAAACCAATGTGCAAAAATCATAAGCATTCCTATACACCAACAAAAGACAAGCAAAGAGCCAAATCATGAATGAATTCCCATTCACAATTGCTACAGAGAGAAAAAAATATGTAGGAATACAGCTTACAAGGGATGTGAAGGACCTCTTCAAGGAGAACTACAAGCCACTTCTCAAGGAAACAAGATACGACACAAACAAATGGAAAAACATTTCATTCTCATGGAAAGGAAGAATCAGTAACATGAAAATGGTCATGCTGCCCAAAGTAATTTATAGATTCAATGCAATTCCTATCAAACTACCATTGATATTCTGCACAGAATTAGAAAAACCTGCTTTAAATTTCATACAGAACCAAAAAAGACAACCCTAAGCAAAAGAACAAAGCTGGAGGCATCATACTACTTGACTTCAAACTATACTACAAGGCTACAGTAACCAAACAGCATGGTACTGGTACCAAAACAGATACATAGGCCAATGGACCAGAACAGAGACCTCAGAAATAATACCATACATCTATAAACATCTGATCTTTGACAAAGCTGACAAAAACATGCAATGGGGAAAGGATTTCCTATTTAATAAATGGTACTGGGAAAACTGGCAAGCCATATGCAGAAAACAGAAACTGGACCCCTTCCTTACACCTTATACAAAAATTAACTCAAGGTGGATTAAAGACATAAATGTAAAACCTCAAACTATAAAAATCCTAGAAGAAAATCTATGCAGTACCATTCAGAACATACAGAATATGGGCATACAGAACATTCAGAATATGGGCACATATTTCATGACAAAAATGCCAAAAGCTATTTCAACAATAGCAAACTAGACAAATGGAATCTAATTAAAGAGCTTCTGCACAGAAAAAAAATAAAAAACCATCATCAGAGTGAACACGCAAACTACAGAATGGGAGAAAATGTTTGCAATCTACCCATCTGATGAAGGTCTAATATCCAGAATCTACAAGGTACTTAAACAAATTTTTTATAAGAAAGAATCAAACAACCCCATCAAAAAGTAGGCTAAGAATATGAACAGACACTTCTCAAAAGAAGACATTTATGTGGCCAAGAAACATATGAAAAAAATCTCAACATCATTAGTCATTATAGAAATGCAAATCAAAACCACAATGAGATACCATCTCATTCTAGTCAGAATGGCAATCATTAAAAAGTCAAGAAAAAATAGATGCTGAGGAGGCTGTTGAGAAATGGGAATGTTTTTACACTGTTGGTGGGAATATAAATTAATTCAACCATTGTGGAAGACAGTGTGGCAATTCCTCAAAGATTTAGAACCAGAAATACCAATTCACCTAGCAATCCCATTACTAGGTATATACTCAAAGAAATGTAAATCATTCTACCACAAAGACACATGCACATGTATATTTATTGCAGAACTGTTTGCAATAGCAAAGACTTGGAACCAACCAAAATGATTGGTTTATCCAGTGATAGACTGGATAAAGAACATGTGGTACATATACACCATGGAATATTATGCAGCCATAAAAAGATCATGTCCTTTGCAGAAACATGGGTGAAGCTGGAAACCATCATTCTCAGCAAATTAACACAGGAGCAGAAAACCAAACACTGCATGTTCTCACTCACAGGTGGAATTTCAACCATGAGAACACATGGACACAAGGAGGGGAACATCACACATCGGGGCCTGTGGTGGAGGGAGGGGAGGGAGAGCATCAGGACAAATAGCTAATGCATGTGGGGCTTAAAACCTAGATAATGGGTAGTTAGGTGCAGCAAACCACCATGGCACACATATACCTATGTAACAAATGTGCACATTCTGTACATGTATTCCAGAACTTACAGTAAAATAAAACAAAATAAATTAATAAATAAATAAAAATAAAATGTCAAGGAAATAAGCCAAAATAAAATCAATAGCTATGTTAGGATAACAAAAGCCAAAGTTATTCACTTAGTATATACATTGGACCATAAAAAAAAGAAAAACTTGTGTGATCTATCCTTCAGACTGATTTGTTTCGTCATTTTTGTGTATTTTGTTTTTAATTAGTTTGAATGCAATTGGCAGTTTCATTTTTACCACCAATTCCCCCTGCCCCCTTCGCTTTTTTTTTCTTAACAGTTTAATTCTTAATCACCCTCTGCAGGCATGTGAAAGTGAAATCCTGCATTATTGTTTCTCTTATATAAAGTAGTCAAGATTACATGAGAAGTATTGACATTCTTTTTGTAATACCTCTAGTTGAACTTGCACACATTTTGGAACTAAATTGTGTAACTATCCTACTACTTTCGGTTGATAGTAATAGTATATCTACATAATTCTTAAATTCAACTTCATTATCACCTTGGTTCTTAGTATGGTTCTGTATTAATCAGAAATTTTATATTCTCAGTTGTGCTTTGCCTTTGTAGCTTAAACAATACACTATAGTGAGAACTACTTTTAGAGCAAGACTCACAAAGTCCATTTTTTAATGAACAGATAGAAATTCTTACATCAATTTGGATAAAATATATATTTCTAAGAATAATTTACATAAGAACATAAATAATTTAATATTACATCTAAAGCAAGAAATAAAATTGTTATTAATTATGTTAATGAAGCAAGCAAATGTTAAAACTAAGTTCCATCCTCTTATCTGCTGCATATAGATATGGTAGTAAAAAATGCATTTTCTTTGAATTATTTGAACCTTTGTAAATACAAAAAATGAAAAATACCTTAGAAAAGTGTTTAGCATCTGGTAGGTGAAAAATAATATGGCTTTCATAAAATCATAGCAGAAAACCACATAGGGTAAATGTGCCAATATTAAAAGACAATAACATTAGATGCTTATAACCTTAAAGTGCAGTAACAAAATTAACATTTTAATTGAACTCAGAGTTTATTTTGTAGAAAACCATATCAGTAATGCAGAAGAAAATTTTGAGAACATTTCCACAAAGCAGATTCAAAAGACAAGAGAAAAATAAAACACACAAAAATGATGAGACGTGAAAATCTTAAACTGGAAACACACAATGAGAACTTGAAATACTCCTTTCTAATAAATAATAAATACATCTGAAGAAAAATTCTTTGCTTTGCTTAGTAAGTATTGGAGAAATGCTGCATATTCCAGAAGACTTTGGCTCTTTCCCTAGGTCTATTGTGTCAAAAGTACTTAACAATATAGCTTAAAAATTATGCAAACCTGGCTTTACTTATTCCATTATTTATCTGTTTCTATTTTTTAAAATTTTTCCATAAGTTATTGGGGTAAAGGTGATATTTGATTACATAAGTTCTTTAGTGGTGACTTGTGAGATTTTGGGGCACCCATCACCTAAGCAGTATGCACTGCACCCTATCTGTAGTCTTTTATCACTCGCCTCTCCTCCCATCCTTTCCCCACAAGTCCCCAAAGTCCACTGTAACATTCTTATGCCTTTGCATTCTCATAGCTTAGCTCCCACGTATCAGTGAGAACATACAATGTTTAGTTTTCCATTCCTGAGTTACTTCACTTAGAATAATAGTTTCCAATTCATCCAGGTGGATGCAAACGCCCTTAATTGATTCCTTTTTATGGATGAGTAGTATTCCATCATATGTATCTCATCTACATATATATATATATATATATATATATGAGTTTCTTCATCCATCCATTCATTGATTGATGGTCATTTAGGTTGGTTCTGTGTCTGGAATTGGTTCCTCTGGTGGGTTTTTTGTCTCACTGACTTCAAGAATGAAGCCACAGACCCTCACAGTGAGTGTTACAGTTCTTAAAGATGGTGTGTCTGGAGTTTGTTCCTTCAGATGTTCAGATGTGTCCTGAGTTTCTTCCTTCTAGTGGGTTCGTGGTCTTGCTGACTTCAGGAGTGAAGCCACAGACCTTCACAGTGAGTGTTACAGCTCATAAAGGTAGTACGGACCCAGAGTGAGCAGCAGCAAGATTTATTGCGAAGAGTGAAAGAACACAGCTTCCACAGGATGGAAGGGGACCTGGGTGGGTTGCTGCTGCTGGCTCAGGTGGCCAGCTTTTATTCCCTTATTTGGCCCCACCCACATCCTGCTGATTGGTCCATTTTACAGAGAGCTGATTGGTCCATTTTACAGAGTGCTGATTGGTCCGTTTTGACAGAGTGCTGATTGGTGCGTTTACAAGCATTTAGCTAGACACAGAGCGCTGATTGGTGCATTTACAATCCTTTAGCTAGACAGAAAAGTTCTCCAAGTCCTCACCTGACCCAGAAGCCCCGCTGCCTTCACCTCTCAGTTCCATGATTTTGGAATTGCAAGTTGTGCTGCTATAAACATGCATGTACAAGTTTTTTTTTTTTTTTTTGAATAATGACTTCTTTTCCTCTGGGTAGATACCCAGTAGTGGGATTGCTGGATCAAATGGTAGTTCTACTTTTAGTTCTTCAAGGAATCTCCACACAGTTTCCCATAGCAGCTGTACTAGTTTACATTCCCACCAGCAGAGTAGAAGTGTTCCCTGATCACTGCATACACGCCAACATCTACTGGTTTTTCATTTTTTTTTATTATGGCTGTTCTTGGAGGAGTAAAGTGGTATCGTATTGTGGTTTTGATTTGCATTTCCCTGATCATTAGTTATGTTGAACATTTTTTCATGTTTTTTGGTAATTTGTATATCTTCTTTTGAGAATTGTCTATTCATGTCCTTAGCCCACTTTTTGATGAGATTGTTTGTTTTTTTCTTACTGATTTGTTTGAGTTCATTGTAGATTCTGGATATTAGTCCTTTGTCAGATGTGTACATTGTGAAGGTTTTCTCCCACTCTGTGGGTTGTCTATTTACTCTGCTGACCGTGCCTCTTGCCATGCAAAAGCTCTTTAGTTTAATTAAGTCCCAACTGTTTATCTTTGTTTTTATTTCATTTGCTTTTGGGTTCTTGGTCATGAAACCCTTGCCTAAGTCAATGTCTAGAAGGGTTTTTATGTTACCTTCTAGAATTTTTATAGTTTCAGGTCTTAAATTTAAGCCTTTGATCCATGTTGAGTTGATTTTTGTATAAGGTGAGAGAGATGAGGATCTAGTTTCATTCTCCTCCATGTGGCTAGCCAATTATCCCAGCACCATTTGATGAAACTGGTGTCCTTTCCCCCCTTTATGTTTTTGTTTGCTTTGTTGAAGATCAGTTGGCTGTAAGTATTTGGGTTTATTTCTGGGTTCTCTATTTTGTACCATTGACCTATGTGCCTATTTTTATACAAGTACAATGCTATTTTGGTGAGTATGGCCTTATATTCTAGTTTGAAGTCAGGTAGTGTGATTCCTCCAGATTTGTTCTTTTTGCTTAGTTTTGCTTTGGGTATGCAGGCTCTTTTGTGGTTCCACATAAATTTTGGAAGTTTTTTTCCTAATTCTGTAAAAAATGATGGTGGTGTTTTGATGGGGATTGAATTGAATTTGTAGATTGCTTTTGGCCGCATGGCCATTTTCACAATGTTGTTTCACATTGTGGAACAATGTATTGTTTCACATTGTGGAACAATGTATTGTTTCACATTGTGGAACAATGTATTGTTTCACAATAGATAAGCATGAGATGTGTTTCCATTTGTCTGTGTTGTCTATGATTTCTTTCAGCAGTGTTTTGTAGTTTTCTTTGTAGAAGTCTTTTGCCTCCTTAGTTAGGTGTATTCCTAATTTTTTTTTTCAGCTATTGTAAAAGGGGTTAAGTTCTTGATTTGATTCTCTGCTTGGTCACTATTGGTGTATAGAAGAGTTACTGATTTGTGTACATTAATCTTGTATCCAGAAACTTTGCTGAATTCTTTTATCAGTTCTAGGAGCTTTCTGAAGGAGTCTTTAGGGTTTTTTACATAAATGATGATATCATCAGAAAACAGGCATAGTTTGACTTCCTCTTTACCAATTTGGATGCCCTTTATTTCTTTCTCTTATCTAATTGCTCTGGCTAGGACTTCCAGTACTATGTTGAAGAGGAGTGGTGACAGTGTGCCTCCTTGTCTTGTTCCAGTTCTCAGAGGGAATGCTTTCAACTTTTCCCCATTCAGAATTATGTTGGCTGTGGGTTTGCCATAGATGACTTTTTTTACATTGAGGTATGTCCCTTGTATGCTGATTTTGCTGAGACTTTTAATCATAAAGCGATTCTGGATTTTGTTGAATGCTTTTTCTGCATTTATTGAGATGATCATGTGATTTTTGTTTTTAATTCTGTTTTTGTGGTGTTTCACATTTATTGACTTGTGTATGTTAAATCATCCCTACATCTCTAGTATGAAACCCACTTGATTATGGTGGATTATCTTTTTGATATGTTCTTGGATTCGGTTAGCTAGTATTTTGTTAAGGATTTTAGCATCTATGTTCATCAAGGATATCAGTCTGTAGTTTTCTTTTTTGGTTATGTCCTTTCCTGGTTTTGGTATTAGGGTGATGCCGGCTTCATAGAATAAATTAGGGAGGATTCCCTCTTTCTCTGTCTTGTGGGATGGAGTCAAAAGGATTGGTACCAATTCTTCTTGGAATGTCTGGTAGAATTCTGCTGTGAATCTGTTTGGTCCTGGATTTAATTTTTGTTGGTAATTTTTAAATTACCATTTCAATCTCACTGTTTGTTATTGATCTGTTTAGGGTACCTAATTCCTCCTGAACTAAGCTAGGAGGGTTGTATTTTTCCAGGAATTTATCCATCTCTTCTAGGTTTTCTAGTTTATGTGCATAAATGTGTTTGTAGTAGCCTAGAATATTCTTTTGTAATTCAGTGGTGTCAGTTGTAATATCTCCTGTTTCATTTCTTAATGAGGTTATTTGGATTTTCTGAACTTCTTTTCTTTGTTAATTTTGCTAATGATCCATCAATTTTGTTTGTCTTTTCAAAGAAGCAGCTTTTTGTTTGATTTATCTTCTGTAATTGTTTTTGTTTCAATTTCATTTAGTTCTGTTCTGATCTTGGTTATTTCCTTTCAGCTGCTGGGTTTGATTTTGGTTTGTTCTTGTTTCTCTAGTTCGTTGAGGTGGGACCTTAAAATGTCAGTTTGTGCTATTTCAGTGTTTTTTATGTAGGTGTTTAGGGCTATGAATTTTCCTCTTAACACCACCTTTGCTGTATCCCAGAGGTTCTTATTTATTTATTTTTGTGATGGAGTTTTGCTCTTGTTGCCCAGGCTGGAGTGCAATGGCATGATCTTGGCTCACTCTAACCTCTGCCTGCTGCTGGATTCAAGTGATTCTCCTGCCTCAGCCTCCCGAGTAGCTGGGATTACAGGCATGCACCAACATGCCCAGCTAATTTTGTATTTTTAGTGGAGATGGGGTTTCTCCATGTTTGTCAGGCTGGTCTTGAACTCCCTAGCTCAGGTGACCTGCCCGCTTCAGCCTCCCAAAGTGCTGGGATTACAGGCATGAGCCACCATGCCCAGCCCCCCAGAAGTTTGATAGCTTGTGTTAATATTGTCATTTGGTTCAAAGAATTTTTTAATTTCCATCTTGATTTTGTATTTGACCCAATGCTCATTCAGGAGCAGGTTATTTAATTTCCATGTAATTGCATGGTTTTGAAAGTTCCTTTTGGAGTTGATTTCCAGTTTTATTCCACTGTGGTCTGAGAGAGGGCTTGATGTAATTTTGATTTTCTTAAATTTATTGAGGCTATTATATGGCCTATCACATAGTCTGTCTTGTAGAAAGTTCCATGCACTGTTGAATAGAATGTGTATTCTGCAAATGGGGATGAAATGTGCTGTATATATCTGTTAAGTCTATTTGTTCCAAGGTATAGTTCAAATCCATTGTTTCTGCCAGGCAAGGTGGCTCATGCCTACAATCCCAGTACTTTGGGAGGCTGAGGCAGGTGGATCATATGAGGTCAGGATTTTGAGACCAGCCTGGCCAACATGATAAAACCCAATCTCTACTAAAAATACAAAAATCAGCTGAGCATGGTGGTGGACACCTGTAATCCCAGCTACTTGGGAGGCTGAGGCAGGAGAATCACCTGAACCCAGGAGATGGAGGTTGCAGTGAGCCAAGATCGCATCACTGCACTCCAGCCTGGGCGACAGAGCAAGACTGTCTCAAAAAATAAAAATAAATAAACAATACACCCATCGTTTCTTTGTTGACTTTCTGTCTTATGACCTGTCTAGTGCTGTCAGTGGAGTATTGCAGTCCCCCACTATTATTGTGTTGCTGTCTATCTCATATCTTAGGTCTGTTAGTAATTGTTTTATAAGTTTGGGAGCTCCAACGTTAGGTGCTTACGTGTTTAGGATTGTGATATTTTTCTGTTGAACAAGGCCTTTTACCATTATATAATGTCCCTCTTTGTCTCTTTTAATTGCTGTTGCTTTGAAGTTTGTTTTTCCTGTTATAAGAATAGCTATCCCTGCTCACTTTTGCTGTCCATTTGCATAAAATATCTTTTTCCACCCCTTTACTTTAACTGAGAGGAGGTGCCAGCTAGGCTTCCTGGGTCCAGTAGGGGCTCAGAAAGCTGTGAAACTTACTCATTTCCTGCATCAGGACTTCCTTCGGTCCTGGATGAATAATATTGAAGATATATGCTTAAAATATTCCTAACACCAGGATTTGTGCATGTGTTTTCTTCCCGAAGAAAGCTATAAACAGCGAAAATTTTGCTGTAAGTTTCCCTGTGTCCTCTCTCCCTCCGCCTCCCCTGAAATTAAAGTAAAAGGAATGTTAACTGCCTGTTTTTCTGTGACCAGCGGACCTTATCTATACTCCCAATTCCAATTCCTTGTAAACATATTTTGTAAAGTCCTGTAAGATCCTCTCTCCTTTGCCATGCCGCTACAAGGTCATAAAGTAAATAAAACCTAAGTTGCAATTCCGGTTTTCCTCAAAATCTAGGATATGTCACAAAATAATTTACTGCCTTTCTTTCTCACTCTGGTAACATCTTCCAGCCACATGTATTTCCCACCTTAAAGAGTTTAAAAGGCAATTATATAATCTAACTCTGGCTACCCATTTGGGACCCCTTCCACACTATGGAAGCTTTGTACTTTCACTCTGCTCAATAAAACCTACAACTTTTTCTCACTCTCGGTCCGTGTCTCTATCACTTGTCACAGTCAGCCACCACACCAATTTTTGGCGTGGCTAGGCAAGAACCTTAGGTGCTACATAAGTTTATGTGACTCTTCATATGTTAGGTGAGTCTCCTGAAGGTAGCAGAGCATTGGTTGGTGAGTTCTTCTCTATTCTGCAGTTCTGTATCTTTTAAGTGGAGCATTTAAGCCATTTACATGTTTACAATGTTAGTATTGAGATGTGAGGTACCTTTGCATTCATTGTGCTATTTCTTGCCTTTGTACCTTGTTTTCGTTTTTTTGTTTTTGCTTTTTAACTTGTATTTCACTTTTATAGGTCCTGTGTGATTTATGCTTTAAAGAGGTTCTGTTTTGATGTGTTTCCAGGATTTGTTTCAAGATTTAGAACTCCTTTTGGCAGTTCTTATAATGGTGGCTTGGTAATGGTGAATTCTCTCAGTATTTGTTTGTCTGAAAATGACTGTATCTTTTCTTCATATATAATGCTTAGTTTCGCTGGGTACAAAATTCTTGTCCGATATTTGTTTTGTTTGAGGAGGCTGAAGATAGAACCCTGATCCCTTCCAGCTTATAGGGTTTCTGCTGAGAAAGCTGTTGTTATTCTGAAAGGTTTTCCTGTATAGGTTACCTGGTGCTTTTGTCTCACAGCTCTTAAGATTCTTTCCTTTGTGTTAACATTAGAGAAACTGATAACAAAGTGGCTAGGTGAAGAGATTTTTGTGATGAATTTCCCAGGTGTCCTTTGTGCTTCTAGTATTTGGATGTCTAGGTCTCTAACAAGGCTGGGAAAGTTTTCCTTGATTATTCCCCTAAATATGTTTTCCAAATTTTTAGATTTCTCTTCTTCCTCAGGAACACTGATTATTCTTATGTTTGGTGGTTTAACATAATCCCTGACTTCTTGGAGGCTTTTTTCATATTTTCTTATTCTTTTTTCTTTGTCTTTGTTGAATAAGGTTAATTCAAAGACCTTGTCTTTAAGCTCTGACTTTCTTCTACTTGTTCAACTCTATTGCTGAGACTTTCCGAAGCATTCTGCATTTCTTTGAGTGTGTCCGATGTTTCCTGAAGTTTTGTTTCCTGAAGTTTCCTGATTTTTCCTTATGCTATCTATTTCCTTAAATATTTCTCCTTTCACTTCTTGTACCGTATTTTGGATTTCCTTGCATTGGGCTTCGCCTTTCTCTGGTGCCTCCCTGATTAGCTTAATAACTAACCTCTTGAATTCTTTTTCAGGTAAATCAGGGATTTCTTCTTGGTTTGGATCCATCGCTGGTGAACTAGTGTGATTTTGGTGGGTGGTATGAAAGAGCGTTGTTTTATCATATTTCTGGTTGTTTTCTGGTTCCTTCTCATTTGGGTAGGTGCTGTCAGAGGGAAGGTCTAGGGCTCAAGGCTGTTGTTCAGGTTATTTTGTTCCATGGGATGTTCCCTTGATGTAGTGCTCTCCCCCTTTTCCTATGGATGTGGCTTCCTGTGAGCTAAGCTGCAGTGATTATTATCTCTCTTCTGGATCTGGCCGCCCAGCAAGTCTACCCAGCTCGGAGCTGGTACTAGGGGTTGTCTGCACAGAGTTCTGTGATGTGAACTGTCTATGAGTCTCTCAGCTGTAGATACCAGTGCCTGTTCCAGTGGAGGTGATGGGGGATGCAAGGGACTCTGTGGAGGTCCTTAGCTTTGGTGGTTTAATGTTCTATTTTTGTGCTGGTTGGCCTCCTGCCAGGAGGTTGTGCTTTCCACGGAGCACCAGCTGTGATATGATGGGGAGGAACCAGTGGTGGTGGGGCCCTAGAACTCCCAAGATTATATGCCATTTGTCTTCAGCTACCAGGGTGGATAGGGAAAGCCTACAGATTGGGGCAGGGCTAGGCGAGTTTGAGCTCAAACTCTCCTTGGGCGGGTCTTGCTGCAGCTGCTGTAGGGGATGGGGGTGAGGTTCCCAGGTCAATGGAGTTGTGTACCTGGGAGGATTCTGGCTGCCTGTGCTGAGTCATGCAGGTTGTCAGGGAAGTAGGGGAAAGCCAGCAGTCACAGGCCTCACCCAGCTCCCATGCAAACTGAAGGGCTGGTTTCAACTCCCACCATGCCTTCTCTAACAGCCTCGAGTTGAGTCTGTTTCCAGGTGGTGGGTAAGCCCAGTTTGAGATCTTGACCCAGGCTAGCCACCTCCCAGCTGTGAAAGAAAAGGGCTTGGTTCTTCCTTCGCCTATGGAGTCTGCACACCAGATTTGCACCCTCCCCTGAGTTCTGGCCAGGAAGCTTCTCGTGGGGTTCAAATTGTTACTAAGTTCAGCTGGAGACTTCCCTCTCCCTGGGGAGTTTGTCCCTGCTCCTCTGGCTGCCCTCCAGGAGGAGCCCTGTGGTGCCAGGCAGGAATGGTCTGCTTAGGGACCCAGCAAGCTCCCAGGACATTTCCTGCTGCTTCTTCTACCCCTGTATTTTGCTGGGCTCTCTAGATTGACTCGGCTCCAGATAAGTTTGAAAACTTCTCCAGCAAACAGACTTTCAGTTTCCCCAGTGGGGATGTGTGTTCGGGAGAGGAGAATTTTCCTTCCCCGCTTCCACAGTTGGGGAACTCATAGTATTGTGAGTGTCTTCTGAGTCCTGGAGGAGCAGTCCCTATTCAACTATTTTTAAACCATGCATATTATATGATTCTATTTGTATAAAATAGCCAGAATAGTTAAATCCATAAAGACAGAACCCACATTGGCGGTTACCAGGGTCTGAGGTAAGGAGTAATGTGAAGAAACTGATTAAGGTATAGCTTTTTACTCTGGAGAAACCAAAATGTTTTGTAGTTAGATAGAGGTGGTGATTTTACACATTGGGAATATCCTAATTGTCACTGAATTACTCACTTTAAAATGACTAGTTTGGTATTTTGTAAATTTCACCTCAATAAATTATTTTTAAAATAAATATATAAATATACTAATCAAATAATAATAGTAAAGAAGCAGGCCTTTGATTTAGACAGATCTGGATTTGAGTCTTAACTGCACCCTCGACCTCTGTGTGGCCTTCCTTTTTGTAAAACATGAAATGACAATAAGAGTATCTACCTCATAGGGTTGTTATGAGGCCTAAATAAAAGAATAATGTACTTAGCATCATGTCAAACACGCAATGAGTATCTGACAAGTGGTGGTTAGTATTCTGATTAATAGTAATCATCCCAATTCCACAGAATGCCAAAGCAAAAAGGAACCTCTGAGATTTCTTAACTCAGTCTGCTGATTGTATAGATGAAGAAGGCCCAGAGATCCAAGACTAATAAGGGGTTCCGGGTTTTCTGAAGTCTATTCTAAAGATCTTTCCCCCACACACCACATACTTACAGACAGACTATGGCTCTTCTTCAGCAGAATAACGATGAGGGTTAGTTTGGTTCTTTGAGCCCTTCTAGCCTTCCTTTCCCCATTCTGGTGACTTTATAATGTTCTAGGTGATTCCTATTTGAGGTAGATGCCAATCCCTAGAATCTGGCCTACCCTTAAGGATGATCAAGGCATGGAAGAATGCCAAGAGCAATCTCCTTAGCATCCAGAGCTGTCTTCTTCACTACACACTTCCTGCACTCCCACTTTATACCAGGCATTGGACTAGGTGCTTTACTTTGTACTTGGGGAACCTGCAACAAGTGCCCAGGCTCCTGGCTTGGTGCCGTCCTTAGAAGTAAAACAATTTTGTTGTCGTTTTTCATTAAGTTCAAATGGCACTTTTATCAAGGAAAATGAATTAGTATATTCATTAAATGTGTTTATTAGGTCCTAACTGTATATATTAGAAAGGAAAAAAATGAAGAAGGTATAATTTGGAGCTTACAGAAATTACTTTCTAGTATGGGAAAATATAGGAAAAAATACCAGCGATAATTACATGATAGCAGGTATAATATATTGTTTGTCATATTGCTTTTATCTATGACTACAGTTCATGCAAAAAACATTACATTCATCTTTCCCATCCACTTCTTCATTATTACATGAGCCACTTGAATAACCAAAATAATTTTACAAAGTACAACTCATGTTTTCCTCCATTAGAGATAGTTGATATAAGGTGGTTTTAAAATCCATGCATGATGTGAGCACTTGAAAATTTATTCAAAACCACAACCATCTGTTTATATATCATTAAAATAGTTATAGTCATATATGACAGTCTTGAGACTTCCAAAAGTCTTATAAATATATTTATATATATTTGTGTGATTTGCATGAGCATACATACATATATATATACATATATTCCCCACAATATACCAATCAAAGTAGCTAATCATTGCTTTTTAAAACAAAATTTTAAAAGCTTTGTACATAACAACATAGAAATAATAGTAATAAGTACTAAATATGGATTACTTTTTTACTTGTTTGTATAAATACATTTCATCAAGAGACATTTACAAGCATTCAAAACCAGCATTGGATGGAAGGTTTCTTTGCTTTTGTTTTTCTAAGTCTGGTGGATGACCCTGAGCAGAGGCTGGACTGCCCCTCCCACCTTTGGGAAATAACACTTCGGGACAAAGGTAGCAGAACTCGTTACTGCTTGGCGGGGATAAAAAATTCACTTGTCACGCTGTCTCTTTGGACACCACCTCCATAGGTTGAGGGGTCATTTGGAGCATTTATTAAAGCAGGACATGCATGGACATGGATGATGTATGCTAGACAGGCCTTCGCTGGCAAAGGGAGGAAATGGTGGTTGAAGGTGTTTCTGTGGTGTGGGGCTTGAGGAGAATGGTCATTGTATGCATAGTTTTTTTGCCCTTCAAGCTTGGTGTTTTAGGAAAACAAAATGAGTTTCTCTTGCTTTTAGTTTGTTTCTTTGTTTTAGTCTGCACACATTGGTGTTTACTGGTTGAATGACTTCTCCAGCATACATTGAGTCTGTGATATATGAGGTAAAAAGAAAACAAGGGGAACTGCCTATTCTGTCATTCCGTGGGTCCCAAGATCTCTAAGCAGTCTGCCTTCTTTTCTTCCCTTTTACAGTATGCTTTTGTTTGATTTATATGTAAGTTCCAGGAATTTTAGCTGTACTTTGTGGAAGGAATATGTAAAAGTATAGCTAATCTATCTTTTCTACATGAGGGAATTTTGAACAAATCAAATATAAGGAGATGCCTTGTATTTTAAATGTCATATTCCTTGTATTTTAAATTTGGTCAAGCTTATGAAATACCCTCTCTAGACTATAGTTTTCTCCACTGTAAAACATGCATGTGAATAGTACCAATCTCACAAGATTGAGGAATATATAAAACAGTTTCTGCAACGTGCCTAATGGCCTGGTACATAATAAATGCTCAAGACATCCCAGATGTCATTTTTAATCAAATTTGTTTTTATAGTTAAAGTGTAGCTTTTCACACACACATTGGTATAAGGATCATTTGTATTCATATGACTTGTTTATTTATACGTTTTGCTATTTATTCTATAAGATTTTTGGAATCTTTTAAACTATTTTTAAAACTTTTATATTTTAAGGATACTACAAAAATGGCCCCAATGTATTATTTGCCCTTTGACTTCTTCATTTTTTTTTTGTTGTATAAACTGTTCTTAAATTTTATGTAGCAAAGTTTATATTTTTTTCTGTCCTTTATTGCTTCTGGGTTTTCAGTCACTGTTATTTTTCAATTTCCTTATGATATTTGGCCAAAATAAGCCTTACTTATATGTAATAAATATTTTCTATTGTTCATAAAATGTATACATATACAAAATGTTAATTTATCCAGATGGCCTAGGTAAAAAATATAAGTGAGTTTTTTCTTCCACTTTTTTTTTTACATGCCCTGAATTACTTCTACCTGTAGTTTTCTTCCTCCATTCTTCTCTTCTTTCCTCTCTCTCCCTTTATTTCTTTTTTCTTTTTTGTTGTCTATAATTCTAATATATTAGTACAATTTCCTGTGGGGTTGCAGAATAGGTCTCACTGTCTTATAATTACTGTGTAATCACAAACCAAAAATGTTATGGATTTCACAAAACTGTAGTTTTGTGAATATAAAAGAAAAATAGGTCTAAACAGTTTCATTTTGTCTCATGTTTGATATGAATCAGTAGATTGTCTTTACCATGATAATTAATGCTGAACTTATAAGAAAATGCATTGGTTCTATTTTTAAGTGGATCAATGTATCTGATACAGGCTTAAAATAAACACAATTCAGGAAATGTTCATAACAGCTTTGTGGTTAATCTAATCACTTATTCTGTGAATATAATATTTCACTATAGAGAGATCTCAGGGTTTTTGCCACTTATAAATAAAATTTAGAAATATTTTAAAGAAAAACTTGACATAATGTAGATGTTCTGATTTATGAGCCCAGCAAATTGTTTGTTTAAACATTCTTAGAGACTTCCAAGGAAGAAATTAACTGCGAGGCTAAAGTTGGATGCTCAATAAATACTTACTTATAGCCTTAATTTGAGGACAGGGAAACCTTTTGCTGCCCTTCCTTAATTATGGGGCTGACACCTGGATAGCCTGAAAAATAAGTTAACATTTCCATACAAACATATCTCCTAGTCTGATGCTCTAATTATGGTTTTGAGACTTTTCTTTCATTCATTTAAACTGTGATTACTATATGAGTCTTATTGTAATTGATGCATTGTAATTGTACATAATTTAGGGATACAATTTGATGTTTTGATACATATGTGTGTTGTATAAGGCATTTATAATTTCTCTATGGTGAGAACATTCAAAAGCCTCTCCTCAAGCTATTCTGTAAAATACAATACCTCACTCTTAATAATAACCATCATCACCCTACTGGGCAACACAAAACCAGAACTTATTTCTATTTAATTGTAACTTTGTACCTGTTGACTAATCTTTCCCCATCCTCCAAGACACGTAATTTAAACACTGAATGAAATTAAAAAATGCAACAAAACAAAATTCAAATTTCCTATGCTTTTAGATAACTCTAACACATGAGACCACTGAGAATGTCTAAATATTAACAAGGGAGGACACTGGGAGTAGATCAGTATGTCTGATTGTGTAGCATAGCTTTTGAATATAGAAAGCAAATCAAAACTGTAAAAACTTTATTCGAAATGTACATTCTGTCACATAGAAATTTTCATTTCCAAATCATTTGTCTGTATCATAGAAGTTTTCATTTCCAAATCACTTGCCTGTATAAATGGCAGTGCTTAGAGAACGTTTACAGCCAAGACATTTTCTGGTGCTTGGAGAATGTTTACAGCCAAGAAATTTTGTCCTTTGAAAGCATATGCTACTTGTGGACAGAAGATGAATTTATTTGTAAGCGTAACTAAATTGGAAGAAGCTGAAAAATTTAGAAAAACAGATTCTTTGGGATAATTTTATTTCATGTGAGTATTAGAAACAGTTCATCTATGGTGAAAAATATAGCAAATGTACAGGCAAAAATAGTAATTAGAAAAACATGAATAATTGATTCATCAAATTTTTAACAGGTATTATCTAGGATCTCTATTTCAAAGGATAATAAGGATTAAAGGATACTGTATCAATCATATTTTGACTTACAGCCTTTGTATATTCCTATTCTGAGTTACAGAATTTTTAATATAAATTTCATTCATTTTTCCTATTTTTTTCTTGATAGACACTTCTCAAACAAGTTACATCAACGTGGTGAAAAATAAACTTTCTTTACAACCTGAAATATTTCAGAATGTATTAGCTGTTTTATTATGAGGATGAGTAGAATAAACAGAAAATAGGATATTATGTTACTTTTAAATATTCACCTTACTTTATTCTACCATCTCAATGATAACATAAAATCATAAAAACTCAAAAGCTTCTTAGAGGCTTGGAAGCACAGAAACAGTGTAAAGATGGTATTTTTACCCATTTGATGATAAAGATGGTATAGTGTGGCATGTATATCCTGTAGATTGATAGAATTATATATCTTGTGTTTAAAGCAACAGAGAATTCAGAGTACTCCTACTCAATATTCTTTTTTGTAACATATATTTTTATTAGATGGTGCATTTAAGTATTTGGACATTTATGAAGTTCCTCTGAACAAACATATAAAATGCAGTTTATAAAAATGCTTTCAGCTTAGGTATAAGAATCCTACATTTTGTTTTTAGTTTTTATAAGTACATAGACTTGAATATAGTGAGGGTTTTTTTTTTTGTATAACAGAGAAACGTTCAAAGAAGATTGATCTCCCTCCTTTTATGATTTTATATATCTCCATGTTTATATGTACTTTTACAGTTAATTTATTTTTTCTTTTTCTATTACTTTTTCTCTTTTTTTTTTGAGATGAAGTGTCACTTTGTCACCCAGGCAGGAGCGCAGTGGCGTGATCTCGGCTCACTGCAACCTCTGCCTACCAGTTTCAAGTGATTCTCCTGCTTCAGCCTCCCCAGTAGCTGGGACTACAGGTGTGCACCACCACGCCTGGCTAATTTTTGTAATTTTTTAATGGGGTTTCACCATATTGGCCAGGCTGTTCTTGAACTCCTGACCTCGTGGTCTGCCTGCCTCAGTCTCCCAAAGTGCTGGGATTACAGGCATGAGCCAATGCACCCAGCAATTTATTTTTTCAAATCCAAATTATGCCTTTAGAAAAAAATCTTAATGAAATAAAATTAGACTCTTATTCAACTGCATCTTTACTAAAAATTTTCTCCCATTAAAATATCTTTAAAAATAGTTGAGTGAAAAATATGTTTTCCATTATACTATTTATAATTGCTAACATGGTTTGCATTTATATATTATGTTCATTTATCTCTATCAATAATTATTAGTTAACAATAATATTTTAATAATCAATGTATTTAAAAGTGCTGCAAAATACATGTACTTTCTAAAGTATGAAGAGTACCTCATACTACAAATATTTTAAATAATTTGTATCATTTAAAAACAAAGCTACTGTCCTGTGGGACTGATGCAACTCTTTTTTTTTTTTTTTTTTTTTTTTTTTTTTACTTATTTATATTTTTGAGACAGAGTTTTGCTCTTGTCGCCCAGACTGGAGTACAATGGCACAATCTCAGCTCACTGCAACATCCACCTCCTGGGTTCAAGCTATTCTCCTGCCTCAGCCTCCAGAGTAGCTGGGATTACAGGGGCCCGCCGCCACGCCTGGCTAATTTTTGTATTTTTAGTAGAGATAGGATTTTGCCATGTTGGCCAGGCTGGTCTCAAACTCCCGACCACAAGTGATCTGCCCGCCTCAGCTTCCCAAAGTGCTGCGATTACAGGCATGAGCCAGCGCACCTGGCCAAAAGAAGGATTTTTCTTTATAAGACTTTCATAACTGTGGGGCTAGAATATCTTCATAATTTTGCTGAGTACTTTTTAGAACAATGCAAGTTATGTAGAAAGAGTGGTAGAAATGACTTTGTAAGTTTCCCTAATACCAGCTTAGCTTCAATTATGTCAATTTTTAGAAACACTCACCTTACAATTTGTTTAAAGGTACCGATGATATTATTCATAGGTGAAAGGTGGATCACTTCTAAAGAATGGAATTATTAAGCACGCAAATCTGAGAAGAATGCCTAGAACTATGGATTTCCGAACTGGCCCCAGAATGGCTGACTTAAAATATCTAAAGGTAGGGCCCAGGGCAAGACATTTTTAAAAGCTCCTCAAGTAATTTTATTGTGCAGCTAGGTTTGCAAATGCAGATTTAGAGAAAAACTACCTTAGTCATGAGAAATGTTAAAGTATTATAGAATAAAGAAGATTAATTTTATTTTTTAAAAAATGCCTTAAAAACAGGAATTTGTAGTTTCATAGTTTTAATACTATGAATAATTCATAAATATAAATTAATAGAAATACTTGCAAGCAGCAATAATATAAATGTGTTATCCTTCTCTTTTCTAACGAATCCTTCACTTAAAATTGTATTCATAAAGTCTTAAGACTATAAATGAGTCTTTGAGAGGGAAAGGCCATAGAAAGGATGGAGTATAAAAATGAAAGGTGAAAGAGAATTTGGAAGTCAGTTTTCTTTATATATAAATTTAATAATTTTTTTCTTAATTACAAAGACATTATGGGTTTATATTCAAACATATAGACATGTACAACAAAGTAAACAGTATGACCATTGTTAATATTTTTTTAAATATATTTCTAATCTTTTAATTAAGCCTATCTGTAAATATCTTTTTTCATATTATATTCCTAGTGTCTCATACATATCTGTTCAATAAATACCTTCTTTTTTTTTTTTTTTTTTGAGACAGTGTCTTGCTTTTGTCACCCAGGCTAGAGTGCAGTGGTGCAATCTCTGCTCACTGCAACCTCTGCCTCTGACTCCCAGGTTTGTCCTCAGCTTCCCAAAGTGCTGGCATTACAGGCATGAGCCACCGGGCCCAGCTGATGCAACTCTTATGTGTGATAAAAGGCATAATTCAGAGAAGAAGCCTAGGAAACAACTACAGATAATTTTCAGTTTTATTAGGTGCTTCTAGCAATCCTAAGTATTCAGATATTATTATCTCTAATTTATACATAAAGAGCCATATAATCAAAGAACAAAATATAATACACTTGAAAATGATATATAAAATGAAAAGTGCACAGTGAATCTGCACATTAACTAAGGCACTAATGTGGAGATATAGGTGACCAACTGACAAGTATCGTACATAGCATTAGCTTAGCAAATTTTCTCCTACACCCTCATCCCTGTATCTTCCTAATGTTGATTTTTTTCAATACACTCAGAAATATAGATACATATAGAATATAAATAGGAGAAATACAAACATAATGCTGACTACGTATTTTGCAATAGTAGTATATTATAACTTAAGTTCCTAAAAAAAAGTGCTGATCCTGCCATTCATGGATGACTACAGAGACTGGAAGATTATTTGAAAAGATCTGAGTCATCTATGTCATGTAGTACTAAAACAGCTCATTAAGTGAAAACAAAC
Organism: Homo sapiens; assembly: GCF_000001405.40. NCBI lineage: Eukaryota > Metazoa > Chordata > Mammalia > Primates > Hominidae > Homo > Homo sapiens. Next base: position 178,215,364 of record NC_000004.12, on the reverse strand, counting down.
AAACAAAAAAATAGGTGTTTGGCATAATGCAAATTTATGATATAATTAAAAGGCACATTGCATTTAATAGTTTCTATTGTTATCACTGAAGACAAGTTAATTTGAAAATCTTCCCAATTGCCTAGGAGTAGGTAGTGCAATATTGTGAAAAAAATATGGATAATGAAATAGAAAATAAGTGCATCTCTGTTTCAACCCCAACTCTAACTACACAGACATTTGGACTTTTTGAATTATCATTTCTGGACTTTGATTTACTCATCTATAAAATGACTGTTAGGCTAAAAAAGCCTCATGGATTTTTTCAGCAACTATTATGTATAATGTTCTGTGTACATCACTTGCATTTTTAGGAATAAACCTATGATTCTAAATATAGCATGAGTTCATGTGCATCCTAGGTGTGTATCTGGAAGGACCTTAGAGATGGTCTAAAGATGGAGAAAAACACTGTTCATAAACACTATTAACGAGATCTTTTGAGAACAGTAAATAGCACATTAAATTACACTCCCATTTTGCATAATTATAACTAATTATAGTTATTAGACTAATGATCTTAGTCATCAAGAACAATGTAATTGTTGTAAAGGTTAAAAAATATAACAAATTGACATCATTCTATTATGGTTCTTTCATAACTCCCTGGATATCAATTTTCAGTTTTCTTCATGGGCTTTTCTTTTTCAAATAACCCTTTAAATGAGAGAATTCGTTTTACCCCCAGTTCCTCCCTAAGGTAATATTCTTGGCCTTTTCACTTCTAATACTTCAGATTCCATTTACATGGTCCCATGAACAACAAAAGTTTACCAGATATACACTTACCATTCTTAAATTCTCATCTCAACCCTAAACCTCTGGATATGTCCTTTTAAACTTTCCCCCCACTCCCGGCAACCTCTATTCCAATATGTTCAAAACAGTAACTCGCTCTTTGACCACATCTCTCCTTTACCAGTTAATTTTCAGAAAAGCTAGTGGCTTCTCAAGACTGTAATATGGATTCCTAGATTTTTCTCACATTTACATGGCCAATCACTGTGCAAGTAATCATAAAAACTTGATGATTCTACTCCAAACTCTGTTACATTTTATCCCTCTCTTGAATATTTTAGATGCATCTTTCTTTTTATGAGCTTTTACACTAATTTCATAATCTGATTCCTGTTCTCATTTGCCCCTGCACCCAACTTTGAACAGATTTAGTAATACCACCTCTCTGATCTTTGCGAGATGACATTGTGACAAGGTCATCTCCAACTCAAAATTGTTTTCCTCCTGATGTCAAGCTGAATATAATTGCCTGAGTATGACATAAACATGCTTCTTGAGATCATTAATGCCCATCCACCCAGTTTCATATCCAACCTTTTTCTCTCCATTCCAGAGACACTGGAGTTCGCTGTTCCTTAGTGTGACATATTACATCATGTTTCTATTCCTCTGTATTTGTCCCTTTGAGTAACTGGAATACTGCTTTCCATTTCTTTTCATGTCATGTTTCCGCATTGCCTAACCTCCCCACAAGTCCTACTGACTCGTTTGCAGATGCATTTAAATGATCCTTCTTCCAGGCTTCCACTCTATTCTATTGAAGTTTCTCTTTCTATCTCTCTCTAACTGTAAAACATTGTAATTTTTTGTTGTTTATATGTTACCCGGTAATAAAACATTATCAAGTATATATTACATATTTAATTGGCTAGAATGCTAAAGTAATGAGTGAGTCAAAATTGATGTGGATAATTTCGAATGTTATGACACAAAATTGCAATAAATGAATATGCATGTAATAATATGGCCATAGTAGGAATTAAAGTTCATCATTTGTAAAAGTTATGAGTTCAGAAAGAGACAAGTTGGCAGATAGTGAACTGAAAATTAAAGATGTTTTAAAATTATACAGTGCTCTGTTAAAGAACTTTAACGGAAATTTCAGATTGAGAGTTATATTTGAGAAGATAATACATACATTGTCATCAAAAATAAATCACAACATTTTCACGGCTATATATAGTTTCATGTGCATCCAGGTGAAGAGACCACCAAACAGGCTTTGTGTGAGCAACAAGGCTGTTTATTTCACCTGGATGCAGGCGGGCTGAGTCCGAAAAGAGAGTCAGCGAAGGGAGATGGGGTGGGGCCATTTTATAGGATTTGGGTAGGTAAAGGAAAATTACAGTCAAAGTGGGGGTTCTTCTCTGGCGGGCAGGAGTGGGGGTCACAACGTGCTCAGTAGGGGAGCTTTTGAGCCAGGATGAGCCAGGAGAAGGAATTTCACAAGATAATGTCATCAGTTAAGGCAGGAACAGGCCATTTTCACTTCTTTTGTGGTGGAATGTCATCAGTTAAGGCAGGAACCGGCCATCTGGATGTGTACGTGCAGGTCAAGGGGATATGATGGCTTAGCTTGGGCTCAGAGGCCTGACATTCCTGTCTTCTTATATTAATAAGAAAAATAAAATGAAATAGTGGTAAAGTGTTGGGATGGCGAAAATTTTGGGGGATGGTATGGAGAGATAATGGGCGATGTTTCTCAGGGCTGCTTTGAGTGGGATTAGGGGTGGCGTGGGAACCTATAGTGGGAGAGATTAAGCTGAAGGAAGATTTTGTGGTAAGGGGTGATATTGTGGGACTGTTAGAAGAAACATTTGTCATTTAGAATTATTGGTGATAGCCTGGATATGGTTTTGTATGAGTTGAAAAACTAAACGGAATAAGAGAAGGAGAAAAACAGGTATTAAAGGTCTAAGAATTGGGAGGACCCAGGACATCTAATTAGAGAGTGCCTAAGGAGATTCAGCATAGTCCTGCCAGCAAAGATTATTTATTTACTTCAAGAGTTAAGAGTGGCAGTTTGGGGATAGCACCAGGAGATATCAGCTGTGATGACTTGGAGAAACAGTGTAAACTGGCAGTGTAAACAAGAGCAGGGCATGTATGAGTACTTGAGAACGGTGAATAGGAGTATCACTAGACAGAAGATAGTAGGGATGACAAGTTTTTTGGGGCACAGTCCAAGTTGGTCTGGTGTCTGGAATGAGACTGGGGCTTAATAAAAAGGAGCGTCCATACAGGAGCTCAAATGGGCTGTACCCTGTAGCATTCTGAGGACAGGTCTGATTTCTGAGAAGAGAAAGTGGTGAAAGTATTGTCCAGTCCTTTTTAAGTTGGTGGCTGAGCTTGGTGAGGTGTGTCTTTAAAAGACCATTAGTCCGTTCTACCTTTCCTGAAGATTGAGGATGGTAAGGGATATGAAGTTTCCACTGAATACCAAGAGCCTGAGAAAGCACTTGGGTGATTTGGCTAGTAAAGGCTTGTCCGTTATCAGACTGTAGAGAGATGGGAAGGCCAAACTGAGGAATTATGTCTGACAGAAGGGAAGAAATGACCGCGGCGGCCTTCTCAGACCCTGTGGGAAAGGCCTCTACCCATCCAGTGAAAGTGTCTACCCAGACTAAGAGATATTTTAGTTTTCTGACTTGGGGCATGTGAGTAAAGCCAATTTGCCAGTCCTGGGCAGGGGCAAATCCCTGAGCTTGATCTGTAGGAAAGGGAGGGGGCCTGAACAATCCCTGAGGGGTAGTAGAATAGCAAATGGAACACTGAGAAGTGATCCCTTGAGGATAGATTTCCATGATGGAAAGGAAATGAGAGGTTCTAAGAGACAGGCTAACAGCTTGTAACCTACATGGAAGAGGTTATAAAATGATGACAGAATAGAATCAAGGCTGGAAGGAGATATTTTCCTTGGTCTAAGAACCACTTGCCTTGTGTGGGAAGAGATTGATAGGTGGAAGTTTCAGCAGGGGAGTAGATGGGAGTGACTGATGTGAAGGAGAAAAACTGGCAGTGAGGGACAGAAGTTGGAGAGGTAGCTGCTTGTCTAGCCACCTTATCAGCATAAGCATTGCCTGGAGCAATGGGATCTGACACCTTTTGATGCCCCTTGCAGTGAATGACCCCAGCTTCCTTTGGAAGTAAAGCGGTATTGAGCAGAGTTTTTATTAAAGAGGTATTAACGATGGAGGACCCTTGTGTAGTAAGGAAACCTCTTTCAGCCTATATGACCGCATGGTGGTACACAATATGGAAGGCATATTTAGAGTCAATATAAATATTGATGCGTAGTCCTTTTGCAAGAGTGAGGGCCTGAGTTAAGGCAACTAGTTCGGCTTGCTGAGAGGTAGTGGAGGGGGGCAGAGCGCCTCAATAACAGATGTGGAAGATACTATTGCATAGCCTGCCTTTGCTGGTGAGTGGTGATTACGCCTGGTGGAACTGCCATCAATAAATCAAGTGTGATCAGGGTGAGAAACAGGGAAGAAGGAAATGTGGGGAAACGGGATGAACATCAGGTGGATCAGAGAGATGCAATCATGAGGGTCAGGTGTGGTATCCAGAATACTGTGGGTGGCCGGATTGACGTCTGGGCCAGGAACAACGGTAATTGTGGGACACTCAACAAAGAGTGAGTATAGCTGAAGGAACTGGGGAGCAGAAAGTATATGCGTCAGGTGTGAGGAAGAAAATAGATTTTGGAAATTATGAGAGCTGTAGAGAGTGAGTTGAGCATAGTGTGTGATTTTGAGGGCCTCTAAAAGTATTAGAGTGGTAGCAGCCACTGCACGGAGACATGAGGGCTAGGCTAAAACAGTAAGGTGAAGTTGTTTGGACAGAAAGGCTACAGGGTGCGGTCCTGGCTCTTTTGTAAGAATTCTGACTGCACTAACCATGCCTAGGAAGGAAAGGAGTTGTTGTTTTATAAGGGATTGAAGTTTGAGAGATCAGCTAGACATGATCAGCAGGGAGAGCACTTGTGTTTTTATGAGAGTTACACCAAGATAGGTAACAGATGAGGAAGAAATTTGGGCTCGACTGAAGTAATGGGGGCTGCCTGTGAAGCCTTGCGGCAGTACAGCCCAGGTAATTTGCTGAGCATGATGGGTGTCAGGGTCAGTCCAAGTGAAAGCAAAGAGAGGCTGGGATGAAGGGTGCAAAGGAATAGTAAAGAAAGCATGTTTGAGATCTAGAACAGAATAATGGGTTGTGGAGGGAGGTATTGAGGATAGGAGAGTAAATGGGTTTGGCACTATGGGGTGGATAGGCAAAACAATTTGATTGATAAGGAGCAGATCCTGAACTAACCTGTAAGTCTTGTCTGGTTTTAGGACAGGTAAAACAGGGGAATTGTAAGGAGAGTTCATAAGCTTTAAAAGGCCATGCTGTAACAGGTGAGTGATAACAGGCTTTAATCCTTTTAAAGCATGCTGTGGGATGGGATATTGGCATTGAGTGGGGTAACAGTGATTAGGTTTTAATGAGATGGTAAGGGGTGCAAGATCGGTCGCCAAAGAGGGAGTAGAGGTATCCCATACTTGTGGGTTAGGGTGGGGGTATACAAGAGGAGGATGCAAAGGAAGTTTTGGATTGGGAAGAAGGGCAGCAATGAGGTGTGGCCCATGAATAGTCAGGGAAGCAGATAATTTATTTAAAGTGTCTCAGCCTAATAAGGGAACTGGGCAGGTGGGGATAACTAAGTTGGCACCAGAGTTGGGGAGTTTTAAGAGGTTTAGAAGCCTGGCCATCAATACCTACAACAGTTATGGAGGCAAGGGAAACAGGCCCTTGAAAAGAAGGTAATGTGGAGTGGGTAGCCTAGGTATTGATTAAGAAGGGGACGGACTTACCCTCCACTGTGAGAGTTACCCGAAGCTCGGCGTCCCTGATGGTCTAGGGGTCTTCTGAAGCAATCGGGCAGTGTCAGTCTTCAGCCACTAAGTCAAGGAGATCTGGGAAGGAGTCAGTCAGAGAGCCTTGGGCCAGAGTTCCAGGGGCTCCGGGAGTGGCTGCCAGCTGAGTTGAACAGTTCGATTTTCAGTGGGGTCCCATACAGATGGGACATGGCTTAGGAGGAAACCTGGGCTGTGGGCATTCCTTGGCCTGGTGGCCAAATTTCTGGCACTTGTAGCAAGCTCCTGGGGGAGGCGGGCCTGGAGGAATGCCTGGCCACTGTGGTTCAGGCGTTTGGAAGTTCTTGTGTGCTGGAGATGTGGCTGGGGTTTGTCTCACTGTGGAGGCAAGGAATTGCAACTTTTTTCTGTTATTGTACACCTTGAAGGTGAGGTTAATTAAGTCCTGTTGTGGGGTTTGAGGGCCAGAATTTAATTTTTGGAGTTTTATTTAATGTCAGGAGCAGATTGGGTAATAAAATGTATATTGATAATAAGACAGCCTTTTGACCTTTCAGGGTCTAGGGCTGTAAAGCATCTCAGGGTTGCTGCAAAATGAGCCATGAACTGGGCTGGGTTTTTATATTTGATGAAAAAGAGCCTAAACGCTCTCTGATTTAGGATAAAGAAAAAGGAGCATTAACCTTGACTTATGCCTTTAGCTCCAGCCACCTTTTTAAGAGGAAATTGCTGGGCAGGTGGGGGAGGGCTAGTCATGGAACAAAACTGTAAGCCAGACCAGGTGTGAGGAGGGGAGGTGATAAAAGGATTATAGGGTGGAGGAAAAGAGGCTGAGGAAGAATTGGGACCTAGCTCAGCCTGGCAAGGAGGGGAGAGGTCAAATGGGTCCATAGAAAAGGAAGATTAGAAAGACTCAGGGACACTTGGGGTTGGGACTGAGGGGACAGGTGGGAGGGAAAGACAGAATATTTGGGACGAGTTGGATTGGGAACAGAGACTAGGGAGGGACTGATGTGTAAAAGAATGCCTGGACATCAGACACCTCAGACCGTTTGCCCATTTTATGACAAGAATTATTTAGATCTTGTAGGATGGAAAAATTGAAAGTGCCATTTTCTGGCTATTTGGAACCACTGTCAAGTTTATATTGGGGTCAAGTGGCATTGCAGAAGAAAATAAGGCATTTAGGTTTTAGGTCAGGTGTGAGTTGAAGAGGTTTTAGGTTTTTAAGAACACAGGCTAAGGTGAGAAGAAGGGGGAATGGAAGGCGGAAGCTTGCCCATAGCGAAAGAGGCAAACCAAGAGAAAAGAGAGAGTAGAGACACGGAGAGAAGGGGTTGGGGGGTTCTTGCCCCCTAGAAAAGCAGAAAAGGGGTCAGGGCATGGAAATAAGGGGTTGAGGCACAGAGAAAAGAGGTCGGGGCACGGAAATAAGGGATTGGGGTGCAGAGATAAGAGGTCGGGGCATGGAAATAAGGGATGGGGTGCAGAGATAAGAGGTCGGGGTGTGGAAATAAGGGATCGGGGCACAGAGATAAGAGGTCAGGGCACAGAAATAAGGGATCAGGGCACAGAAAAAAGGGATTGGGGGGTTCTTGCCCCCCAGAAAAGCAGAGAATGGGTAGAGACAGGGAGAGAAGGGGTCGGGTTCCTTGCCCCTCCCCCAGAAAAGCAGGACTTGCTGCTAAGGGTGAAGGACCAAGGCAGGCATCCCTGCGTGGTGAGACACCTCTGAAACATGGGTGAATAATCAGAGAGGCATCCCTACAATGATTAAACACCAAGGGAAGTCTGCCTTCCCAAGTCCGTGACCGGCGCCGGAGTTTTGGGTCCACGGATAAAATGTGTCTCCTTTGTCTATACCAGAAAATGAAAAGAATTGAAATTAAGCGAAGGGAGAGATTGAAGGGTGGCACCAAGATTGAAAGGAAAAAGTGGTTGAGGGATAGTGAGAGAGGTTGGAGAAGAGAGTATGAAGAGACCACTTAGCTGATTTTAAATTGGTGAGATGTTCCTTGGGCTGGTGGGTCTAAGGACCTGAGGTCGTAGGTGGATCTTTTTCACGGAGCAAAGAACAGGAGGACAGGGGATTGATCTCCCAAGGGAGGTCCCCCGATCCGAGTCACAGCACCAAATTTCATGCACTTCCATGTGAAGAGACCACCAAACAGGTTTTGTGTGAGCAACAAGGCTGTTTATTTCACCCGGGTGCAGGTGGGCTGAGTCCAAAAAGAGAGTCAGCGAAGGGAGATAGGGGTGGGGCCGTTTTATAAGATTTGGGTAGGTAAAGGAAAATTACAGTCAAACGGGGGTTGTTCTCTGGTGGGCAGGAGTGGGGGTCACAAGGTGCTCAGTAGGGGAGCTTTTGAGCCAGGATGAGCCAGGAGAAGGAATTTCACAAGATAATGCCATCAGTTAAGGCAGGAACTGGCCATTTTCATTTCCTTAGTGGTGGAATGTCATCAGTTAAGGCAGGAACCAGCCATCTGGATGTGTACGTGCAGGTCACAGGGGATATGATGGCTTAGCTTGGGGTCAGAGGCCTGACATATAGCTACAACAAAACAGATACTCATATTTTCAACATTAACAACATTAATATTGGTAACTGGATTTAAATATAAAGAACAGAACATTTAAAAAATAATGCAAAATAATGTTACTATTTCTTGGTATTAGCTTCTAAATTATCCACCTGGTTTTAGTCAATGTAAACTAAGTAGGAAATCTGCTATCATATTTTCATGTAGAATTTTCAATACTTTTAATGTCATTCTGCTATAAAGAAATATCTTTAAAATTACAGCTTTTTTCTTTTTATAAATTTCAATAACTTTAGGGGTACAACTGGTTTTTTCTTATATGGATAAATTGTAACATGGTGAAGTCTGGGCTTTTGGTGTACCCCTCCCCTGAATAGTGTACATTGCACACAATAGGTGATTTTTAATCTCTCACCCTTCTCCCACCCTTCCCCCTTCTGAGTCTCCAATGTTCATTATACAATTCTGTATGCCTTTTCATATCCAGAGCTTAGCTCCCATTTATAGGTAAAAACATGTAGTATTTGGTTTTTCTGTTCCTGCGTTACTTCACTTAGGATAATAGCTTCCAATTCCACCCAACTTGCTGCAAAAGACATTATTTTTATCTTTTTTGTGGCTAAGTAGTATTCCATGGTATAAGTATACCACATTTTCTTTATCCACTTATTGGTAGTTTGGTACTTAGGTTGATTCCATATATTTTATGTGTAAATTGTACTACAATAAACATACAAATGCAGGTGTCTTTTTTATTTAATGACTTATTTTTCTTTGGGTAGATACCTAGTTGTTGGGATTGTTGGATTGAATGGTAGATACAAAAAACTAAAAAAAAAAATCAAAGTAATGGAGTACTCAGTTTTAGGAACTATAGTGAAACCACAGTCCATGTGTAACTTTAGAAGGCAATTAAAGTTTGAATAATTACGTATGTTAAAAAGTATGTAAAAACCTTCTAGGAAAGGATTAGATATAATCTAGATGTTTAACAGAAGGTAGTTAAATAAGAAACATGGCATCTACAAAACAACAAGATCTATATGAGGAGGTTGCAACCTAGGCATTCCAGCCATTACCTAGCTAACTCATTTACATGTCATTTCTCAGGAATTTCTGGCACTCTCTGCCTTGTTACTCAGCAGATTTTGAGGCTTTCTTCATTTAGCTTAGAGATTGAAGAGCAACTTTAACAATTATTTTGTTTTTAATCCTTGAACAGTTACCAGGTTCTTTAAAGCTGACACATTATTTTACACAACTTCCTTTCACTTTCTACATTTATATTAAACATTTAATTCAGAAATGTCTATCATTATTGAACTGTCAGTGAATGCTTGGCCTTCTACTTGTGAAGAATTTAATTTTCCCTCTCTGTTTATTCTGAAAAATTCTCAGGAAAACATAATTATGTATTTACATGAGACCTTTCTCAAAATGTTCTTTAAAAAATAAACAAAAAAGCAATTGACAAATCACCCAGTGAATGGCTGTAAGCAGGTTCTGAAATATCTTTGCAGAAGAAATTTGACTACATAAGTAAGATGAATTTTAATTAATTTCAGTGAAAACATTATTGAATTATACATTCCACCCTGTAACTATGCTGGGTAAAGGTTTTCCTTTGATTGTTAATTCTAGGGGGCTAATAACTTTCCAAATAAAAGCAGAGATTTAGAAAATCTAAATGTCAAATTTCAACTTGAAATAAAAATAGTTTCAGCGCCTAATAAATAGATTTTGAAGATGTAGTTAGCAGGAAATTAATGTATATTAAGGCCTTTTTTCATCCTGCATCTATATTACCTAAACTTTCCATCTCATTATCTTTCCCTTCAATTCTCAGGTGTTATTTTGATCTTGCTATTATGTGTGGGCAAATCGATGGTCACAAAGGTTAAATCTTTGCCCATAGTCTTAAAAATCATATGGCACAGAAAGCCTTAAATACAGGTGTGCATGATTGTAGAGTTCATAGATCTTTCACAATGCTACAGATTACAATGTTGACTATTAAGTCATTAATATGCATTTTTCATTTATTAAAATGATCATTCTTTCAGTTTTGTAGATGCAAAATAAATTCAAATTATTTAAAATGCTTAGATTCACAGCAAAATTGAATAGAAGGTATGGAGAATTCTCGAATACTCCTTGCCCCTCCACCTACAAACATGGATAACTTCCCCCATTATCACTGTAATCCATCAGAGTAGTACATTTGTTATAACAGATGAACTCACATTGACACATCATTATCACCCAAAGTCAATAGTTATGTAAGGGTTCAGCTTGGTAATATACACCTATAGGTTTGAAGAAATGTATAACAATTGTAGCCATGATTATAGTATTTTACGGACTACATTTGATGCCCTAAGAATCCTCTATAGTCTGTTTATTCATTTCTCCCTCTCCTAATCCCTGGAACCCACGGATGTTTTTATGTCTCCACAGTTTGTCTTTTCTAGAATATCTTATAATTGGAATCATACAATATGTAGCCTTTTCAGAGTAGTTTTGAAAAGCTAGTAATATGCATTTATGTTCCCTCATGTCTTTTCATGTCTTGATAACTCATTGGCTGGATGTATTGCAGTTTATCCATCCACCTCCTGAAGGACATCTTGGTTGTTGTCTTAGTACATTTGTGTTGCTATAACAGAATACCTGAGGCTGGGTAATTTATTTAAATAAGAGATTTATTTGGCTCATGATTCCAGTGGCTGCAAAGTCCAAGAATAGCAGCTACATCTGGTGAGTGCCTCATGAGGCTTCAACTCATAGCAGAAAACAGATTGGCTCATACAAAGAGATCACACATGGCAAGACAGGGAGCAAGAAAAACTGAAGAAGCCAGACCCTTTAACAACCTGTGTTTTAGGGGACTAAATTATTATCACAAGAGTGAGAACTCATTCACCTCTGAGGGAGGAGATTAATCTAGTCTTGTGGGATCTACTCCTATGACTTAAATAACTTCCAATAACCTCACTTCCCAGCACTGCCACCTCCCAACATTGCCACTTCCTAACATTACCACTTCCCAACATTACCTCGACAGATCAAATGTCAGTGAGTTTTGGTGGCCACAAACCACATCCAAACCATAGCAGTTGCTTAAAAGTTTCAGCAATTATGAATGCAGTTGCTATCAACATTCACTTTCAGGGTTTTCTGTGGACATGTTTTCCTCCTGTTGATATAGCAAGGAGCATAAACACTGCATTATATGCTAAAAGCGTGTTTATTCTTATACGAAACTGCTAAATTGTCTTTCAAAGTGGCTGTAGAAATTTGCATTCCATCATCAATGAATGAGTCTTTGTTGTTTGACATCCTTGCCATCATTTGGTGTTGTCAATGTTCTAGATTTTGAACATTTGAATAGGTATGTAGTGATATCTCATTGCAGTTCTAATCTTCCTTTCTCTGATGACCTATGATATCTAGCATATATTCATATGCTTACGTAGCCTTTTTAGATGGACTTCTTTTACTTAGTATTATGCTGTTGTAGTTTGCATGTTTATTCCCTCCAAAATTCTTGTTGAAATGTGGCAGCATTGAAAAACGGGGGCCTTTAACAAGTGACTGAATCATGAGGGCTCTGCTCTCATGAATGGATTAATCCATTCACAGGTTAATAAATTAGTGGGTTGGTGGAATAATGAGTTATCATGGCATTAGTTTTAACGGCTTTATGAGAAGAGGAAAAGAGACATTATCTAGCATGCTTAGTCCCCTCACCATGTGATGCTCTGTACCACCTCAAGACTCTGCTGAGGGTCCCTGCCAGCAAGCAGGCCCTCATCAGAAGTTGCCCTTTGACCTTGAACCTCTCGGCTTCCATAAATAAAGTCATAAAATAAAGTCATTTTTTCTTATAAATTACCTAATGTCAATAACTATGTAATAAGCAACAGAAAATAGACTAAGACAAAATATTAAGTTTCTCCATGTCTTTTCCTGGCTCATTTCTTTTTGTCACTGAATAATAGTTCATTGTCTGAGTTTGATGGTTTCTTTCTCCATTCACTTACTGAAGGGCATCTTGCTTGCCTCTAAGCTTTGAAAATTATGAATAAAACTTATGTAAACATGTGTGTGGACATAAATGTTCAACTTTTGGGGGTAAATAGCAACCAGTGCAATGGCTATATTGTAAGGTAAGATTATGTTTAGTTTTGAAAGAAGTCACCAAATGTCCTCTAATAGGACTGTACAATTCTGAAATTCCAGCAGCAATGAATTGGAGATTTCATTGGTCACATTTTTATCAGCATTTGGCATTGTCAGTCTTCTGAGTTTTGGCCATTCTAATAGATGTTTGATGATATCTCATGGTTTTTTAAATTTGGCTTTTCCTGATGATGTATGTTAAGGAGCATCTTTTCCCATGCTTATTTGCCATTACTATGTATTTTGATGAGGTATTTGATAAGGTTTTTAACCCATTTTTAAATTAGATTATTTATTGTTGAATTTTAAGACATTTTATTTTATTTTATTTTATTTTATTTTATTTTATTTTATTTTATTTTTGAGATAGAGTCTAACTTCGTCACCCTGGATGTAGTGCACTGGCACAATCTTGGCTTACTGCAGCCTCAACTATCTGGGCTTAAGTGATCCTCCCACCTCAGCCCCAGGAAGCAGCTGGGACTATAGGCATGTGCCACCACACCAGGCTAATTTTTATATATTTTTTGTAGAGACAGGGTTTTGCCATGTTGCCCAGGCTGGTCTTGAACTCCTGAGCTCAAGCAATCAACCTACCTCGGCCTCCCTAAGTGCTGGGATTACAGGTAAACCACCACACCCGGCCAAGTGGTACTTTTACATTTTGGATAAGCATCCTTCATTAGATGTATCTTTGGCAAACCTTGTTTTCTGTTCTGTGGCTTGTCTTTTCATTCTCTTGACATTGTCATGCACAGAGCAGAAGTTTTTCATTTTAATTTAGTTCACCTTATCAATTATTTCTTTCATGGCTCATGCCTTTGTTGTCATAATCTAAAAAGTCATCACCATTCCAGGAAGTCATCACAGCCGTTTTCTCCTGCATTATCTTTTAAGAGTTTTATAGTTTTGCATTTTACATTTGGGTCTATGATCCATTTTGAATTAATTTTATGAGGCGTGTAAGATCTGCATCTGGATTTATTTATTTTTATTTTTTCCTGTGAACGTTTAGTTGTTCCACCATTTGTTGAAAGAACTATCTTTTCTCTATTATATTGTCTTTGCTCCTTTGTCAAAGATAAATTAATTCTATTTATGTAAGTGTATTTCTGAGCTTTTTCATGTTTCATTGATCTATTTGTCAGTTATTTCTCTAATACTATACTGTCTTGCTTACTTTAGCTTTATAGTAAGTCTTGAGGTTGGGAAGTGTGTCATTCCTCAGTCTCTTTTCCCTTTCAGCATTTTGCTGGGTATTTTGAATCTTTTGCTTCTTCAGTATGAGGTGAAAAAGCAGAGGTCATAAGGAACATCTTCACCTTTTTCCTGATCTTGTTGGAAAAGCTTCTGTTTTCTCACCATTAGTTTTGGTGTGTGGTTTTTGTTTTTTTGTAGATATTTATCAAGCTGAGAAAGTTTTTCTCTTTTTCTGATTTGCTGAGAGTCATGTTCTTTTGTCAAATACCTTTCCTGATTCTATTGATATAAACAAGCAATTTTTCCTCCTTAGCCTGTTGATGTGATCAGTTACATTAGTTGATTTATCAATACTGAACCAGCTTTGCATATGTGAAATAAATCTTAGTCATAGTGTACAATTTTGTAATCTGTATTATTGGGTTCTATTTGTTAATATTTTGTCAAAGATTTCTGCATCTATGTTCAGGAGTGACAGTCATCTATAATTGTATTATCATGTAATGTCTTACTCTGGCTTGGGTATTAAGGTGATGTCTCCTAGAAGGAATTCATAATCTCTCAGAAGTAATTTGTCTTCTGGAAGAAATTGTACATAATTCATATAATTTCTTCTTGTATTAAATAACATGCTGCCGAATTCATCAATGAATCGAATTGGGCCTTGTGCTTTCTGTTTTGGAATGTTATTAATTCTTGTTTCAATTTATTCAATATGTGTAATGTTTATTTCTTCTCTTGTGAGCTTTGTTAGCTTGTATCCTCACAGAAATTGTTTTATTTCCTTGTAGTTATAAAATTTGTGGGCATAGAATAGTACATAGTATTGTATTCCTTTATTTTGCTTTTAATGTCCTTGGGACCTGTAGTAATGTTTCTCTTTTATTTCTTTTTAAATTGACAAAAAGGTATATATTTATGGTATAAAACCTGTTGTTTTGATATATGTATGCATTATAAAATAGCTAAGTCAAGCTTATTAACCTGTGTATTACCTCACATACTTGTTTTTTTGTGTGCAGTGACAGCATTTGCAATCTACACTCTCATAGATGTTCAAGTGTACAGTATATTGCTATTATCTGTAGTCACCATGCTGTACAATAGATCCTTTGAATTTATTCTTCCTATTTAACTAAAATTTGGTGTCCTATGACGAATGTCTTCTGAAAACCATGATCCTCTTCCTCTGAACCCCTATTTATTAATAACACTCTGTTTCTATGAGTTTAATTTTTACATTCCACATTTAAGTGATATCATGCAGTATTTGTCTTTCTGTGCCTGACTTATTTAACTTAATATAACACTGTTCTCCAGACTTACTTATGTTGTTACAAATGACAGAATTTCCTTCTTTTTTAAGGCTGAATAGCACTCCACTGTGTGTGTGTGTGTATGTGTGTGTGCCTATCACATTTTTTAACCATTTATCCATTGATAGACACTTACATTGATTCCTTATCTTCTTGACTATTGTGAATAATGCTGCAAAAAACATGGAAGTGCCAATATCTTTTTGACATATGTATTTCATTATATATATATATATATATATATATATATATATATATATATATATTCAGTAGTGGGATTGCTAGAGAATTTCATGGTTCTATTTCTAATTTTAAATTTTTGAAGACTCTCCATACTGCTTTCCATAGTTGTTGTACTAATTTATGTTCCTGCATTTCAAGTATTCCTCTGTTCCTTTTTCATTTTCTTCTTCTTCTGGTGTTACACCCTACATACATATATTATATCTTCTGTAGTTGCCCTACAGTTCTTGGATGTACTGCTATGGGCTTTTTTTTTTCATTCTTTTTTCTTTGCTTTCCAGTTTTGGAGTTTTCTGTTGAGATATCTTCAAGCTCAGAAATTTCAGTCTACAAATAAGTCCATCAAAGTCATTCTTCATTTCTGTTGCAGTTTCTGATGTCTAGCATTTTTAAAATTCTTTCTTAGAATTTCCATCTCTCTGCTTACATTGTTCAACTGTTCTTGCATGCAGTCTATTTTAAATCTGTTGGAGCCCTCTGACTTATTAATTGTAGCTGTTTTGTTTTACAAGTTTGATAATTCCAACATCCCTACCATATCAGGGTCTGGTTCTTTCACTTGTTCTGTTTCCTTAAACTATGTGTTTTTGCCATTTCGTATCCCTTCTTAATTTTTCTTGATAGCCAGTCGTGATATACTTAATAAAAGAAACTATTGTAAATAGGGCTGTTATAATGTGATGATAAGATATGGGGGGGTGCGGGTGGCCACAGGAAAAGTAGTCTTCGGTTCCATGACTAGGTCTCAGTCTTTCAGCAATTCTCTGCTTCTAGACTGTTAACTTTGTAAGTGCTTCTCAGTCACCTTCTCCTCATTAGTGGGACAGGCTGGAGGGAGCTGGAGATAGTATATTATTTCTCCTACATGGAAGGCTAGAGAGGGCTGGAATTGAGTATTTCCCTCCCTCCAAATTAAAAGCTAGAACCAACTGGATTTGGGTATTTTCCTTTTCTCAGGTCAGTTAGGTTTGGAAAACCCCAGCAGGTTAGGCTCTAATTCAATAGTTTTTCCTCTTGAGGCCAGACTTTGTTAAGAAGAGCAGAATGCTCTGGAATATTTCCAAATAGTTTATTTTCCCTTTCTTCTGCTGGAAGCATGAAGGAAATTGTCTCTGATATTCACTGTGAGAATGTGGTAAATCTCCAAAAGGTAAAATTGATAAAAATCTCAGGGCCCCTGATGACTGGATTCCCCCAGAGATTTTATCTCTCAGACTTGTCCACACTGAACTGATAGCAATTCATCAATCACAGTTTAGGTTTCCCTACCAAGGCACTGGTTCCCACAGAGGTTTCTATTTATAGGTTTCTGCTCTGGGAAGTTTGTAACCTAATCATAGAAGTGATATTCCAAGAATGCTGTCATATTCTATGTGTTAGAAAACAGTTTCTTGGTCCAGCTCACACTCAAGAGGAGGAAATTATACAAGGGTTTGAATACCAGGAGGCAGAGATCATTGGGGGCTATCATAGATGTCAGCCTACTTCATTGCTTATGATTTTTATTTTTCTTTTGTGTTCCTCTTAGTTTCTTAAGATTTCCCTGTGTGACCCTCAGGTGATCACAGCCTCTACTGATTCTTCCAACCTCTCTTGCTATCCCCAAATACCTAACCAAATGGCTGATAACTCCAAGAACAACTCTATTTCTGAAAAAAATTTTGGACAACTATGTCCCAAAGTAGATGAACATTAGTTATCATCCCTGGCTAAATCTAAAATTCTGCCTTTACTTCCCAAAGCACAGAAAGAGCTCCCTTATAGTTGACCTCAGGTTGTAACATTATGGATAAAGGGCTGTGTTCAATAGTAGTGTGGTTGATTTTATTTCATAGTTTATTTCTACATAATTTGTTTTTATTTCATCAACCTTGATTGAATATCAACAGTTTTGGTAATACTTTCAAGAAATAATTTCGTTTGAGTGAGCCTATTTCAATTTTGTATTCCATTTGATTATTAATTTTGACTTTTTTGCTTTTAATTTCTTTGGGTATATTGTGTCTTTTAGTTTTGTCTTGACTTTCTTGAGTTGGATGTTTTCAAATCATGTCTTATGAGGAGCAGGTGTCAAGGTAGATGTGTACAGGCAAGATCTATTCTGAGAAAATACCTATGAAGATTATGTGAGAAGGATCAGGATCAAGCAGAGAAGAACTTCAGATTATGGTACACATCTTACACCTGTGAAAGGAGAGTGACAGGAAGGAGGATTGGGTAAGGGGAGCTTCAGACTAAAGTACAGCTCTGGGACAGTCTCAGGCAGGATGATGGGAAACCTCAGAGCAAAGATTGCCAAATAGAGTCCCATATTGGGCAGGAACAGTCCCACCATCATACCACTGTCATAACGTTATTGGCTCTGAAAAGACCAGGGAGAGTGTGACCTTGAAGTGAATGTTGTGGCAGATAGAAGCATGAGACAGCTGGAAGCCAATTCCCCTCCTTGTAGGAGGTGTGCTTGGAGAGAAATATGAGGGCTACACCTCCCATCGCACCGCAATCGATCCCTTGCAACACACAGATCCTCTTTCTCAAACATTTTTGGAAAGCAGCACACATCTATATTTGTCATAGGCCTTTTTTTCATGATGGAAAAGTATTAGAGAGAGCTTCTGGAAAGAACTAAGCCCACATTACTGCAACTTGTCTTAAAGCTGTTATCTCACTTTTTAAGTGTGCCTTGTAAATACTGTCACCCTCAGTGATAGCCTCTTGATCTTACTGAAGAGTTCATATGGTGTCCTTGGTGGTCTAGCTCAAACTCCTATTCATGAGGAAAAGGAACCCTTGGTAATCAATTGTACCATTCTCAGACCTGGACTACAGCATGTGTCCATTCACTGCAACACTTGAACAAGTGAGTATCAAGTGGAGCCAATGTGGATCTCATGAAATTACAGTATTTCCCCTGGCCTCCATTGTGTAAAAGCTGCACTACTTCCTCCTGTTGATCAGGGTAAGTTGTCCTTGCCAGTTATCGTGGAGCCACTCTTGACTGTGAAGGATGAAGGGAAGATGAGTCAGAAGCAGGCTGTGAGAATCCAGCATCAGACTATCATGAAGCATTGACTTCTCTGAAGTGAGAGACTGATGAAGGAAGGATTAGGTAGTAGGAGTCTCAGGCAGGCCAGGTACACGGAGACAGAGTTTAAAAAATGCCTGTGCTGTGAAGGAATGTCTTGGGCAAGTATGGCCCAGCTCCAGCATCCCCGTTGTGTTCAGTCATTGTCTGTGAGAAGCACAGGGAAAAAGAGTCCTTGGCATAATACGGTGGGGGCGGCAGGTCCAACAGTACAGAGGCTGGAGTCTGTCCAGTACCTAATCTCCTTGCAGAAGATTCGCTTGAACAAGATCTAAGCAACACACTTCCATTGCCACCTCAGGATCATATCTATCAAGTGTTTAATTTTATTTTTTATAGATGTAGGCATTTACAATTCTAATCTCCCTCTAAATACTTCTTGCACTGAATCTTACCTGTTTTAAAAGTTAATACTTTTATTATTCTTCACGTGTATTTTCTAATATCTATTATATCTGTTACGTAGTTTTTTGTTTGTTTGTTTGTTTTCTTTTTGAGATGGAGTTTTGCTCTTGTTGCCCAGGCTGGAGTACAATGGCGTGATCTCAACTCACTGCAACCTCCACCTCCCGAGTTCAAGCGATTCTCCTGCCTCAGTCTCCCAAGTAGCTGGGACCACAGGCATGCACCACCACGCCTGGCTGATTTTTGTATTTTTAGTAGAGATGGGGTTTCACCATGTTGGTCAGGCTGGTCTTGAATTTCTGACCTCAGCTGATCCACCCACCTCGGCCTTCCAAAGGTGAGCCACTGCACCAGCCGACAGCCTTCTTAATAATTACACAGAAGCATTTTTTCTATTTAGATATATTTTATCTTTAATTCCTTTTAAAATCAGTTATATTTTGTTTAGAGAACATAGTCAATATGACATAATCCTGATTCTTTAATATTTGTATTGGGCTTGTTTGAATGTTAAATATATGCATGAAATGTGTATTTTTGAATTTTCAGGTTTGCCATTCCTTATGTGGGATATTTTATGCATGTTAATTTCATTATTCAAATATGTATGTATCTATAATTTTTTTTCTTCTGTTTGATCTCTCAATTATTGAGGGACTTGCATTTAATTCTTCTCTCGGAAGACGGATTTATTAAGTCTCCTGTTAATTCTGTTACTTCTAGTTTTACTTAATTTGAAGTTATCTTGTTATATATGTAAAATGCCCAACATATTATATCTGCAGGGTGAATTACACAGTTTAATATTATGTGGGATCACATTAATTCCTAGTGATACTTTTTGTTTAAATATATTTTTTCAAATGAGCTTTACAGTTTTTTTAGTTAGGAGATATTGGTGGTAAATTTGCTCCTGTTAAATTTTTAATATAAAAATTATTTTCTCTCAGCACTTTGAAGATGTACTATATACTCTGTCTTCCACTTATGCAGTTTGAAAATTATTTGTCGTAGTTTTTTGTACTTCTTATTACTTTTACAATCTTCTTTTTGGCTTCACTGTGGTACAGTTTCATGATAAATATTGCTAGTTGTAGATTAATTTTTATCCTGTTTGGGACCTGTGAAGCTTTCTGAATCTTAAGTTTAAAGTCTTACTGATTCTGAGAAATACTGATGTACTTTATCTTCAAATTTCACCTTCTTCCAATGTCTCTACTGCCAGCGTCTAGGACTAATTTAAAGTCACACTCTTACTGTACTCTTCTGCAATCTCATTTAAATTTCACATTTTAAATATGCTTGTTTCTCCTATATGCATTTAGGCTTATACCTTCAATTTTGTTTTTAAGTTTACTAATTCTCTCTTTAATGGCACCTCAACTACTATTTAAACCACTCATTGTATTTCTAACCTTAACACGGGAACACATACACACATAAATATATAGATCACTTCAACAAATTACATTTGTTTGTATTTTGAAATAGCTTGCCATTGTTGTTAACCTCTTTTTTTTTCTTAGTCATGGTTTGATATCTTTTATATTGTAAACCAATTAAGACACATATTTTGTATTATGTATTTTGTTGTCCAAATATCTTAAATCTTTGCAAATCTAGTGGTGGAATTTATTATTTATGTTGACAATAAGTGATGAGGACCAATGTCTTTCTCATTGATTTACTGATCTACTTTATTTTTCTCAACAGAGGTTCAATTTAGCTTCATCTTTGGAAACTGAGTCCTGGGCTGAGGGTGCTTTCCTTCCAAGATGAGATTTATTTGTTTCCATATTAACTCCTGAAAGTACTGCCAATACAAGAAACTTGCAAAATCAATAATTTGCTTATTTGTGGACCAAACGGTATTTTATATTCAGATTCAAAAATCACCTGATGATAATTTAAAATTCTCAGGCATTTGTTTTTTAAACACTTTACATATAGCTAGGCCTGAGACAGATAATATCCATTACCATTTCCATTTGTAGAGTTGTTATTTTTATTTTCTTGAGCATATTTTTTATTTTCCTCTAGCTGAGCAACAATATAGACTAGAGATGAAATGTGGACCTAGACGAAATGTGGACCTAGCAATCTAGGTTAACCTGGATGGCTGAGGTTGAAACATAATTCCACCATGTACTAAATATGTGATTTTGAGCAGCTTACCTAACTTTCTCTACTTCAATTTCTACATTCCAAAAATCTGAGTTATTATGGTTATTTGGGAGATTAACTGATTTTAAGTCAATTTTCTTAGAATGGTGCCTCGCATACTATATATGGTCAAACTTGTTAGTCATTCCCATATAATAATGATCTATTATTTTTGAGACTAGGCCTTAAAACTTTTTGATTCCTCAGAACCAAAAGTATTTTTTCCCACTAGTCCCTGTTCAGACATAAACTTCAAACTCTCCTTCAGTAGGCCTTAGCAGAGTCAATAGTTTCATCATTGAAATACCTCTCTGGATTTTCTCTAGTCTCTCAATTTTATCTCTTATGATTTCCTTTATTTTCCTTACAGCTAAACCATGGAGCTTAAACATATTTTTCCACATCTTTCGACGACCCTAAAGTGTGAAGTGTTTTTCTAACACAACAGTTTTTCTTTTTGAAGGGCATATATATCTAATCTACTGTAGTATAAAAAATGGTCTCTCACCCTTTACTAGAATTTTATGCTGTGTCAACACTGGATTTCTTTCCTATTGTAAAAGTGACACACTTGGAACAACTGTAGTTCTAAAAAGTAATCCCATGTTTATACAACTGGTTGCAGCTAGATTGTCACTTTATTTGTAAACAGTAATGTTTCCCAGGAGAAGTGTCCAGTTTTACATTTAATGATGTGATAAATTGAATAATGTCTACTTCACCCACTAGAATGTGAGATTTTTCAGGACAGAGACTGACTTTCAATGTACCTCCAG
Source organism: Homo sapiens (assembly GCF_000001405.40). NCBI lineage: Eukaryota > Metazoa > Chordata > Mammalia > Primates > Hominidae > Homo > Homo sapiens. The sequence continues at coordinate 178,193,755 of NC_000004.12, read as the reverse complement.
TATCCAGCCCAGTGCTTCTTATTTTTTATAAGTTTCTTCCCAACAATGGAGGCTGAGTGGCAAGGAAACTGCCTTAACCAGATACATGATATTGGCTAAGATTTTATAACAAAGTCAAGTAGCTGGCAAAACTTTGGGGAGCGTGTATGTTCAAATCAGATATAAGAAACTGTTATTCATTATTACTCTGGATATTCATCGTTGTCCTTGACATCCTCACCAATGCAAATCAATACAAGTTTCTGTCATTGTCTAAAAGATTTCCTTATCATTTCAAAAACAAATATTTACCAGCTTTTTGAGGTGGATAACTTTAGATGATACTAATTATGGTGTTTCATGTGAGTATCATTTTCTAACCCTTGGGCAGTTTTAGCTTTTTATTAATGCAACTTTTAGAATTTGAGTTATTCCTTCTCCACATGCTTACTATTCTTACTCTTGATGACATCACAATCCAGTAGATGATCTCTATCAGTCTATGAATTTTCAATAACTTAAGCTTTTCATATCCAATCATATTTCTTTCTTTCCACCGTACTCCAACCATCAACTTGTATAATCCTGCCCTTGTTATCATCAAACTCTGTAACACATCTGGAATCCTGTCATATAAGCTTGCCACTATGTGACCAGCAGTTTCTCTCATCCTTGCTTATTCCAACAACTTTTTTAACCACATTAAAATCTTCAGTTTTTTTTACTTTAATTTGTATGCTTCACCACCTCCACTCACTTTTCTCACATTTTTACTTCACTCCTTATGTTGTCTAAATTATATGGACCAATATTTTAATAATTTATTTGCAAACACTACTAAGCCTCTTGTCCCATCTCTTCCTCCATAATTCCCACCAACCAAAACTGCAAACCTGCTTATAATATCTGCCTATTCTGCAAATTTATACAAGCAGCAATATGTTCCAAGACTTTAAAAAATCACATAAAAATGCTGACTAGTCTCATTTGAAATTAATGAACAGAAATTTCAAAAGGCCTCTTAACCCTATGCAGAATTTCTTTTATATTTCCTCAGTAACTTTTATTCATCACTCCCCCTTGTAATTCTTATCCATCCACAAACCTGCCTCTATACTCCAAATGGCTGCCTTCATTACCTGTTTTAATTAGTAGATTGAAGCAAACGGAGGAGTATTCCCTCTTCTCACTACCACCAAATCTAACAACTCACTCGCAGCTGGGCTATTAAGCCAAGACTTCTGTTTATGCTTTGCATTCTATCTTCTCTTAATCTATTTAAATATTTTCTCCTGCAATCATATCTCCTTAAACTGTATCATTAATTTCTCCTTGTTTACCAAATCATTCCTTTTGGAAGAGGAACATCTTTTCCCTTATCTTCATGTTTCTAAACGAAGAGAGCTCCCCTAGAGTAATGTCTTTGGTCCTCAGGAAGAAGGAAACAGTTTCTTTATTGGTGAGATTTGTCTATCCACTTTTCTTTCTTACCTTTCAATCCACTTTTCTCTGCTGAACAGAGCTATCTATCCTTAAAATTTACAAACCTAGGTAATTTGCTACTTTGGTTTTCTCTCTTTTTCAGACCAGATTCAGGTCACAATCCTGATTATTCAGATCTATATCCAAGACCCAATCTGTTTTTCAGATGTTCTGTCCCAAAATCTAGACTGGTGCAGACAGAAAATATTATTTGACTTCTCGCCTTTTCCCTGTAGATTTAGAGAAAATTATCCAATCAACTTATTACTTATACAGCTAACACTTTAATGTTTACTTTTCTGACACGTGTGTTTTATTTATTAATTGATTCTGATATTGAGGAGAAAATAAAGTTCCATAAATATATAAGAATTTCATCAGCATAAAATCAAATTTAATCTAAAAAAATAGAAAACTTGTCAACATTCCTTTTCAGCTACTGCTGTAATATCCTACTCCTCTTCTCACTGAAATTTCTTTTTTTAAAAAAATCATTTTGGCCAGATTCCTCTCTGTTATCTTATATTTTTCTTTCCTCAGGCCTGTACCTCCAGTTAGGATGCCATGACCTTCACTCTCTGGGTGGCGTTTTCTTACATCACCAGCAAGCACACTGATATTTAAGGAGAATATCCCTGTCTTAATCTGCTTGAATCCTTAGCTCCTTCCTTATTGAGATTATTGTTTTAAGTTCTGTTACACTCACTTGTTAAAGTTTTTATTTATTCATGCAATTAACTAGAGTACTTAATAATTACAGGTTTTGTTCTAGATGCTGGGGCCATGTCAGGGAACAAAACACACACACACTAACAAATAAATAAAAATATATATCAGGTGCTATAAAGAAGGACAGGGAGGTATCTGTCATAAAACCTGGAGAATGAGCAATTTTCTAAAGGATGATCATGGAAATCTGAATCTAAAAGCAGATATTTGAGGAAAGGCCTGAAGGAAGAAAGACAATGATGGGAGTAGGAAACTAAACTATATGGAAAACTGTGTAAAAAGTGTTCTAGACACTAGGAATAAGTTTGCTGTAAAGGGGATCAGAGAACTGAGGAACTACTTGGAGGGAAAGGGAACCAAGTCATTCCTACATGTGAGAAATAATGACATGGTTGATCCTGGTACTACTGATCAAGTGGAGAGAACAAATTTGTTATTAAATGAGATAGAGAGAGAAAATGTCTTAAAATTGAGACAGAAAATGGGATGTAGTGCATAAGTAAAGAGATTTTTCTTAGATGGATACACAGAAAGGTTTGCAAAGAAAGTCAGAACACATGAGAAGAGATACCATAGGGGATTCTTTCCTAATTGCTTACATTTTCTCTGTGAAATAAGATGCATGGTCTTGATCTGGGAGGAAGGACAGAGTAGGAGTTTGGGAAGATTTAAGAAAGAGTTAAAACTATGAATTAGCCGGGCGTGTTGGCTCACGCCTGTAATCCCAGCACTCTGGGAGGCCGAGGCGGGCAGATCACGAGGTCAGGAGATCGAGACCATCCTGGCTAACACGGTGAAACCCTGTCTCTACTAAAAATACAAAAAAATTCTCAGGGCGTGGTGGCGGGCGCCTGTAGTCCCAGCTACTCGGGAGGCTGAGGCAGGAGAATGGCGTGAACCCGGGAGGCGGAGCTTGCAGTGAGCCGAGATCGCGCCACTGCACTCCAGCCTGGGCGACAGAGCGAGACTCCGTCTCAAAAAAAAAACAAAAAAACAAAAAAACAAAAAAAAACTATGAATTAGCTGGGTACGAGAACGGAGGAGTGGATGGACTAAGTAATTCGTATGCTTTTAGGGCAGAATGCTTGTGTTTGTGAAAGCAAGGAGCAACCAAGCAGGGTAACTGTTTTCCTCTAGCTACCATTAGCTTTGTGGGCAAGGGTTGTTAGGTAATTGATTTTAATTAAGATTTTGTTGCTCCATGCAAACACAATAGATCAAGCGAGGGCTAGAGGAGATGAGGGCATATTCTAATAATCAATTTTTCGTGAGTTCAGTATGTATTCTTCTCATGCTTTTCCACTCCTCTTCCTCATCTCTACCCAGCCTTGTCTGGGGATTGCCCTGCGTCCCCTTCTTTTCCCTGCAGTTTTAACTGTCATGATAGGCAACCTCATCCAGCTGCAGGCTTTAAACACCACGGCTTATGACAACCAGATATTCATTCTGAGTCCTTATGTCTTCCCTGGCTCCAAATTTATATATTTGGCCCACCATGATCTGTGCTCCCCGATAGACAAAGAGCAAGAGAAAAACCTTATGTGTTTAAAGACAGCACTTCACCACCACCTTCTGAACAACCAGAAGCAGAAGCAAAGAGTGACTGTCAATACTCTGAGTGCTTCTAGCAAGCTCGCCTATGTGCCAATGGTTATAGACTCATTCTACCTCTTAGCTTTAGGAATCCACAATTAACCCAGTTAATTAAGACTATCCCAGTTCATCTCAGACATCACAAGAAGCCGAGGACATCTTAAGCATCCTTCAGTCCCAGGCTTTAAATACAACTCTAAAGTTGCCTTTTATAAGACCCTTCTCCCAAGTATTCCAACTCCTAAAATATTTTCTCTTTGCCATTTTTAACTCTCAGTTAGCGTTCTGAAAAATCTCTATATCCTCAAATTCTCCTCTTCACCATTCGCTCTACAATGTGGCTACCCTCTGATGACATAAGTTCTCTTTCAACTCTCTCTAATGGTGTGATTTTCTTTCCCATTCCTGATAGCATGGATCTGGAGATAAATGAGTTTTCTCCTGACTTTGCACTCTGCTTCCAGAACTTTCTTCCTCCCTATCGCATTACCATCACCCATGTCCTACCTCATTTTATCAAATTTCACCAACCCACATGCCACCCTACTAAAGACATCCAACTTGTTCCCATTCATTTCTTTAAAAGTTTAGCTCCAATTTCATTGTCATTTGATCCAAAACTGCTCATGAAATATTTTGCTTATTTCATTATCCACATAGTCCTTCTAATTTGCTGAACTCTCAGCTCCTTGACAACTTCAGTTCTGGAGAAGTTGTCCTCCATTATACTTCAGCCACATGCTCTTATCATCTTTCGTCATTCATTTCATTATCGCCAGTACCTGAAACCAGTATTGGTTTCATTGGGTTCAGGATTCCTACTTTATATATATAGATACATATATATACACATACACACACATACATATATATACACACATACAAATATACAAACACACATATATGCATATATATGTATATATAAAATATATATAAAATCTATGTATTCTGTATATATACATACATATATGTATGTATATAGATATATAGATATATACACATATGTATATATTTATTGCATAAAGTTTATAATATACATATGTACGTATGTATGTATGTATATATATACATGTATATATGCATATGTAGGTATATACGGGCATATACATGTATATATATACAGTCTTGCTCCGTCACCCAGACTGGAGCACAATGGCTTGATCTCGGCTCACTGCAACCTCTGCTTCCAGGTTTAAGCAATTCTCATGCCTCAGCCTCCTGAATAGCTGGGACAACTGGCACACACCACCATGCCTGGCTAACTTTTGGCATTTTTAGTAGAAACAAGGTCTTACCATGTTGGCCAGGCTGGTCTCAAACTCCTGGCCTCAAGTCATTTGCCCTCCTCAGCCTCCCAAAGTGCTAGGTAAGATAACTTTAAAGTTTATAATCATTTCAGATTACAAAAGAATTTCAGTGGTGGTAGAGTTTTTATGTACTCCAGTTGCAATATTATTAATGTCTTACATTAGTTTGGAATATTTGTTATAATTAATGAGCCAATATTGATGCACTATTATTGCATAAAGTTTATAATTTATTTATGTTTCTTTAGTTTTAATTTAATGTCTCTTTTGCTTTGTTTCGTTTTGTTTTCTCCCAAGATCCCATCCAGGATATCACATTATATTTAGGAGTCATGTCTTCTTAAGTATCCAGCTGTTGATTATCACTTTCTATCATCCTATCTCATTATCTCATATTTCCAGAAACAAGTAAGCAAACAACAACAACAATTTTAAACTTAACTAGACCTAAACTCCATTGGTCATAACAGCTTTTGTCTGTATCAACTACCTTCTTATATGTATTCTTAGCAGGATTAAATTTCATAGCACATAACTACAATTACATCCTCACCTCACCTTCACATCTCTTGCCCCTTTTACCTTTTGTTGAGAAACCACCATCCCAATCAGATTTTTTCCCCTCACCACGTCACTGAAACTGAGTTGGCCAAAATCTATCAATATAGAAGTCACTGACAAATGTTGCTAAATCTAATGGTGAGTTTTCTTTATTACACATCTTATTTGACATTGCAAGAGCATTTCATTCAGTCGATTATCACCTTATCAATCGGTGTCTTTCATATTTTAACGTCTTTCTTTTCCTCCTATACCACTATGTTCAATATCAAACTACTTTGCATTTTTAAAAAATCACTTTCACTTTTGACTTTGAAATGCTCTGGGATCTAGTCTTTAAAGGGCGGCACCAATTCTTTACCTTCTAATTATTTTACACAATCTTCTGGTTTCAAATACCACCTAAAGACAACTCCTAAACATATATATTTTCATCTCAGGTATCTCCCCTAGATCCCAAACTGATATTCCAAATAGCATGCTTAATATTTTGCATGGATATTTCACAAGTAACTCAAACTGACTGTGGGTAAAAACGAGTTTCTGAACACTAACCACATCCCCAATACACACATACATACATGCATACATACATGCATACGTACATACAAATGAAAACTCTTCCTGCTGTTGTTCATCCTTACTTTGATTATTGGTCATTCTATGCTTTAAATTAGTCCAGAAATTTTGCTACTACCCTTGCCTGTTTTTATTTTTTATTCACATTACAAAAAACTCGACCAACAATTTATGAAAGCTTAACCTTCAAAATATACCCCAACATCTAAGCACTTATCATCAATACACCAATGGGGCACATCTCTTGCCTGGATTATAATTAGTCACCTTGATTCTTCACTTGTCCCTTCAGCAAGATGAAGAAATCTTAAATGATAAGTCATATTATGTTACTAGTATTCAAAATCTTTCAAATGCTTTTCCACTCTATCCACATTGTTATATTTTCTGTTTAGGTGAAAGCTAAAATTCTAGCAAGAACCTATATAAAACTTTAAATTGTGATTTTCCATCCTCCCTTTCTTCATCTCCCTTCTATTAATTCTCTTGTTTAATCTAATCTAGCCATATTAAATTCTGAGCTATTTCTTGCAAATGCAGGCATAATATTATGTCAGATTCTGGGTATTTGATATTTCATATGCCTGGAACCTCTTCCTACAGGTATTTTCATGATAGACTCCCATTAGTCTAATATGGCTTAAAATGGCTATCTTAGGTTTGGCTGCATTACAATTCATCTCTATATCTTCATGAACTCCTCAGTGATCTTTGTCACATCCAGAATTGGATTCTCTTAATACAGAGACACATGAAATAAAATACAAGTTCTATCTCCCCTCTCCACACCTAATTTAGAATAGTGAAACAGGGACAGGAGGAGCACATTAAACACTCCCATTCAAAAATGAAAAGAAAGGGAGGAATTTAGAAGTCACTAGTTCATGGTAATTCTCAAATCCCACTGGATCAATTTTGTGAGGTCACCTTACACTGTTCCCAGATTTTATGAGGCCTTTCTTCCCTTGATTAAATCCGTGTTCTGCTCCCTTAACTTCTTTCCCCAGCCTATTAATTTCTTTGACTTGCTCTCTATCTTCTGGTGTCCTTTCTTTTTTTCCATTGTCCCCTTTTGCCACATCTGGAGAGAGTGGTGGGAAATGTGTCCTCCTGTGGAACTAAGAAGTTCTCTGAAGCTGCTTCATAGACATGCAAGTCTTTTAATATCTTGAATAGCCTCAATGTCTTTTAGTGCAGATTGGTAGTAAGTAGGCCAATGCAACTTAATAAAAACTTTGAAGCACTCTATGCATTTCATTATATTTCATTTTAAATGTCAAAAGTTATACCGAGAATTTATTCTTTCTTCTTCTCTGTCTCTCAAGTTCTTGTTCTCTCTCTCTCTCTCTCTATAAGTAAAAATTTGACAACACAAAAGGCTTCATGAGACAGTCTGTAGTCTTTTAGGATTCCTTATGTCCAAGTGAAAGGGTATCTATTAATCTTAATGACCACAACCTTGATGTGGTTTCTATCCTAAGGCTAGGATGGAAGTCTGAAATTGACACTAAATTTGAACTTTCCCTTGAGTTCAAGATTTAATATGTTCATTTTTACTTGGCAGGAACTAGTTCATTACCACTCAGAAAGTCTGAGAATTTCTGTGATCTCTCTATTCAGTCATGCTATTCTTAGCATAGAAGTCAGTTCTTTCCTATCACGTTTTCTACTACTTTAATAAGCACAACTATCAAGCAGACAACCAGCACTATCTATCAGTATTTTGCTTCAAAACTTCCTTGTTCATTTCCACAAGTGCTTGTTATCACCCCTAAGTTACCACAGGTGCAAACCATGCCAAACTCTCACCGCGTTGTTATGTGTTGCTATTTTTATATCCTCTTATCAGAGTTTTCTCACTTCCCACTGCCCAGACCCAAGCCAATGGCACATATTTGAGTTTGTATTAGAATAGCAACATCCCAACTCCAGTAACAAAGTTCCCATTAATCATTTTTTTTTACATAAAAATCAACTAAAATTGTCAGAGACTTATAAAGGAGACATTCCTATGCTCACAAACATGCTGGTCTAGGGGTCCCTCTGGAATCTGAATGACTTAGATTAAATTCAACTGTGTTTAGATCCAGGCTGCAAGTTGGGTTAGGTGATATGGTTTGGATGTGTCCCTACCCAAATCTTGAATTGTAGGTCCCGTAACCCCCACATGTCATGAGAAAGACCCCGTGGGAGGTAACTGAATCATGGGGATGGTTTCTCCCATGCTATTATTGTGATAGTGAGTTCTCACGAGATCTGATGGTTTTATAAGGGGCTTTTCCCTCTTTGCTCCACAGGTCTCTTTCCTGCCACCATGTGAAGAAGAATGTGTTTGCTTCCCCTTCCACTATGATTGTAAATTTCCTGAGGCCTCCCCAGCCATGCAGAAGTGTTAGTCAATTAAATCTCTTTCTTTATAGTTACCCATTTCTTCATAGCAGCGAGAGAATGGACTAATACATAGGTCAATTCCACTTCTGTTATTCTGTGACAAGCAGGTTCTCAAGACATGTTCCTTTTGTGGTAGGTATCAAGAAGATAAACTGAGCCATGTATCCATATTTATACTTTATTTCAAGTTGCACACACTAGACAGGGCAAACCACAAAGCATTAGATGGAGAAAATAACATAGCAGCGCCTACATCAGTGTGACCAGAACGTATTCTCTCTCTTCAGTAGGAGACACTGCAATTACAAGGCAAAATCTGTGACCGTATTATCTTACCTTATACATTGCAGGGGAATAATGAATTAAGAACAAAACTCCACTCTATCAAAACACCACTTCAGTGAAACCCTCCTGACCTCCATGTTTAAATTTAATCCTCCTACAATTCGCCCTCGCTACTGAAAAAAAATATTTATAGATCTGTTTACTTAGTTATCTAATATGCCTCTCAAACTCAATATAACTAACCCTAATTATCCATTTTTTCCTCCCATATACTCTGCCTCAGACCTACTAAAATTTGTAATTGGGATTGGCTGCTTGGTTAAAATGACAGTGAAAAAGGAAAAACCTAGACTTCGTATTTGATTTCATTTTTCTCTTTACTTTTCCTCCAAGAAGTGATTCATCATGTCCCGTCTACTTCACCTCTAAAATCTATTTTATATTGTTTCCCTCTTCTTCATCTTCCCATCAATTTGATGAAAGTTACCATGATTTCATGTCTAGACTCCATAATAGCATATTTCAGGAATTTAGCTTTCCCTTACATTGTTTTCTGAAAGAAAACAATCTTGCTTTTCAGAGGTTAGACCTTAGTCTGACTGTTATACCTTTGAAGGTAATATGTCTTTTTCTGGTTACCATTAAGCTTATTTATTCTTTTTTTGTTTTCCACAGTTTTACTGTTTTTTTTCTATTTACTCTACTTGGAATTCACAGAGATTCTTTCTCTCACATAATTCTTTCATATAATGCACACAATTTCACATAATTCTTTAATCTTTGGATTTGTTTCTTTCATCAGTTTCAAAAACATTTAGCCATTTTATCCTAAAATATTGGTTCTGCCCTGATCTCTCTCTTTCCTTTCCCTCAGAGCCTCCCATTACATGCATGCTATGCTGTTTCTCTGTGCCTCATATGGCTTAAATCTTTTCCTGTATTTTTATTCTATTTAAAAACGTTTTGGTGTTTCAGTTCAGACATATTCTAACAACCTGCTTTCTAGGTTATTAATCTTACCTTTTGTGTTTTTAATGTTATTGAACTAAGTGAAAATAAGCATAGTTTCAGGTATCGTATTTTGATTTTCTTGAGTCTCCACATTATTCTCTCTTCTAGATTACCATTTTCTGGTGAATATACAGTGCACAAGACGAAGTAGTAGACATTTTTTAAGGCAGTAATTTGGAGAATTTAAATCAACCTTATCGTTTACACACTGAATATGGTGTATTGTTATATATACTATGAATGGAAATAACTTACATAAAACCATGATCCATAAAAATATATAAATTAGCATCAATACATAACACATTTACTAGGATTCAAGAACATAATTTATGTCCTTAAATTCATAGTGTACTGTATATTTATATAAATTAAAAATTGTGAGTGTAATATTGTTTTAAAAAGATAAAGTTCAAAAGCATATTGATGATATTTTGAGAACTATAGTACTTACAACAACGAAAAAAAAATTAAGTGTGAGTTACAGGGAGCATGAATTTATGAAGGAGCCCTGAAATAATGCATAAGATTAAAATACACATAGAAATAGTCATTCCAGATGTAGTGGCATGGCCACTCTTAAGAAACTGAGTGAAATTTGAAATATACAAATAAGCATAAGGAAAAAGAGTGTATGTATGTATTTAATTTATGTAATATTTAAAAAATTCAACTGCATAATATTTTAATATACTGTCTGTTTATTAATAATGCTGAAATAACCATTTAAACTACTACTCCATACTTTATAATATGGAAAACTTTACACTTTTTATTTTAGATGTGCTTTATTTTTGCAGATGCTAACAACAAAACTGTGTTCTTTAAAAAATCTCTAAGCGCTGGAAAATATCAATAGATCAGATTTTGAATTGAAATGGATAAGCTAAATACATTCAGTTTTACTCATGGGACAGTGCTTAAGTGTGTGAAGATCCAAATTTGCTTTGAAGAGTTGTAGTAAACAAGAAATAAGTAATGTGTGGGTATAATTTCTTCTCAAATCTACGCCTGCATTTTATTAGTTGTGATACAATAATATTTCAAAAATAGAATAGTGATTCTTACTTTTAAACTTATATACTTTCTACCTCTTCTATGAATTTCTACCTCACTTTATTATAATATTAAATATTACAACATGCAAAAATGCATCAGTGGAAGGCTACTTTCAACCAGTGTTTAAAAAAAAAAAGGAAAAAAAAAAAAGCCATCTGTTTGCCAGCTATCTATGTATTTACATATCTCTTTATCCATCTGTGTACCACAAAATCTGGGTCAGAAATGTTTCTTGTTGTATCAAAATTATTGTAAGTTTACAAAATGTTATTTGTTTGAATGTGGGACTCTTTATCTGTCATATTCAACCATGAAATTGTTCCAAGAATAGATTAAATTAGCATTAAATTTCACTCTTTTTTGCAGAATTACAACTAGCTGAAAAAGTAATAATATTACATTGCACCTGCAAATCATTCTTTTCATGTGAGTTTCTATTTTGTGAATAATTAGGCACACATATCGAAGTTTGAATGCCTAATTTGTGGCAAAATATGTTTGCTATGGTCAAATATTTCAACAAATATTGTAGGAAAATATTGCATAAATACAATTGCTCAATATATTCTGAAGCAAGTTACTTAAAGCTATAAATAATATTGTGAAATGCATTCAAGTCATGACTTAAAATGCAGACTTGTAAAATTCATTAAAGACATACTTAAGATAACAATGTTGTATATTTTTAAAGTCATTATTAAATAAAACATTACCAAATTAATCTTAAAGTATAATAGTAGATGTTTAGCAGACCTTAAATGTTAATGTGTTAGTCTCAGGTATATTTATTTAAAGAAAGAGTAAAAAAATTGGTGCATATACTTTCAAAACTATCTTTGTGTTTCTATATTCCATCTGGTTTCAAGCCTAACTAATTATTAGACGTGTATTAGACAATTATTTTATTTCCCAGATGAACAGTATTAGAACATAAATATAAATTATATATAATGATATTTTAACATTTTTGATTTAAAAGGTAAATTTTGGTTACAATTTTTATTTTATTTATTTATTTATTTTTTGGGGGGGTTTCGAGACAGGATCTCTCTTTCTCACCCAGGCTGGAGTACATTGGCAAAATCGTAGTTCACTGTAACCTCAAACTCCTGGGCTCAAGATGTCCTCCCTCCTTAGCCTCCGTATTAGCTAGGCCTACAGGTGAACCCACCATGCCAGCTAATTTTTTTAATTGTTATTTTTTTGTAGAGACAGAGTCTAGCTATGTTGCCCAGACTGGTCTCCAACTCCTGGCCTCAAGCAATCCTCCTTGACCTCCCAAAGTGCTGTGATTATAGTGATTAATTTTAAAAAAATTTATATAATAGGAAAAATTTGGCAGGGATAAGTTAAAATCTGAACTTCAATTTTACCATTATCAAATAAATTGGGATAATATTTACTTAGAATGTGTGTTTGAAATTGACACATAGTAGGCATTACACATCTATACAAATTACTTTTACTATTATTATTTTCTTCATATTTTCCCTGGTCATAATTAAGGTACTAGCCATTATTATACCATTAGTTATGTAACAAGAATGTTAAACTACTCTTATCACAGAATAGTAATTACGCCTATCACTGAATAATAAACACATATTTCCAAAGTCATGCAAAAGCACTGATACATCTCACTTCAAAAGAGAGCTCAAGAAAGTACCATAAACTAAGTGATTTAGGATTTCTCCGTAGTCATTTGATGAAGAACATTATGGTTACACTTGATCATTATATTCATTAGGCATTTGCAAATAAAAACTGCCACACTATATTGGAAAGAAGCCAAGTGGAGTTCATGTGTGGTGAGTAGAGATTGCATGAATAGATTGCACCAGGTCCTAGGCAGCCAGGCAAGGCAATAAAGATAAATAATATATGTGAAGATTATAAAGGAGGAAATGTAACTTCTATTTCTTAAAAATTGTATTAAGATATAATTCTCATGCCATGAAACTTACCCATTTAAACTGTACAGTCTAATGTTTATTCATATATTCACAGAATTGTGCAACCATAAGCACAATCTAATTTTGGAACATTTTCATCAACCCGAAAAGAAACCCCATATTTATTAACAGTCATTCTCATCTACACTCACCTACAGTACCTACAGTAGACAATCACTGACTTCTTTCAATGGGTAGAATTTGTCAGTTCTACCCATTGAATATAAATAGAATCCTACAGTGTGTGGTCTTTTGTGGATGTCTTCTTTCATTTAGCGTATTGTATCCATGTTTTATCCAATTGCAGCATGTGATTTATTTTTTAATATTGTGTAATATTCCATTGCATAAATATGCCAAAATTTATGCACATTTAAGTTTTTAAACCATGTTTTTGCTATTATAATGCAACTGTAAGCATGTATGTGCATTTTTGTGTGGACATGTATACCTTGGAGGGAATTTGCTGGGACACATGGTAACCCAATATTTAACATTTAAGGAACTGCTAAAGTGTTATTCAAATCAGCTTCAACATTTTACATTCCCATCAGCACTGAATAAGTGTTTCAATTTCTCCCTCGTCTCCAACACTTAGTGTTTATCTTTTCATTTTAGTCATCCTAATTTTTGTAAAGTGATGGCATTTCTTACAGTTCTGATTCGAGTTTCCCTAATGAGCAATGATGTTGATAATCTTTTAATGTGCTTGTAGGCCATTTGTAGATTTAGTTTGGAGAATTTAATATACAAATCTTTTACCAATTTTTAAACTGAGTTATAATTATGATTATTGAATTATAAAAGTTTTTTATATATTTGGAATACAAGTGCCTTATGTGATATGCAAACATTTTCTTCCATTCTTTGGATTGTTTCTTCACTTTCCTCATGGTATCCTTTGCAGCACAAACTGTTTAATTTGGATTAAGTCTAATGTATCTACCTTTTCTTTAGTTATTTTATTTTTGGCGTCATATATAAGTACCATTGTATAACCCAGAGTTATCAAGCTTTACTTCAATGTTTTCTTCTAAGGGTTGTATAGTTTTAGAGCTTACATTTATATCTTTGTGTCATTTTGAGTTAATTTTTCATATGGTTTGAAATAGGGGTCCAACTTTGTTCTAGTGAATATGGATATTGAATCATCCCAGCACAGTTATTGAGACGATTTTTTCCCTATTGAATTGTCTTGTCATATATATGTATATGTATGTGTCTATATACACACACACATATGAAATACATATTTGCCAGTGCCACATTGTCTTCATTAATAAAGCTGTTTAGTAAGCTTTGAAATCAGGAATTTTGAGATCTCCTAATTTGTTTTTCATTATCAAGATTGTTTTTGCTATTTTGAGCCCCTTGAGTTTCCGTATGAATTTTAGAATCAGCTTGTTAATTTCTGTAACCAAAAGAAAAAAAGACAACTGAAGTGCTGATAAAGATTTCTTTGAATCTGCAGATCAATTTGGGGAATGTTGCCATCTAAACAATATTAAATCTTCCAATTCATGAACATGGGATCTCTTTCTATTTATGTAGGTTCCCTTTAATTTCTTCATTGCTATTTTGTGGGTTTTGGTATACAAGTTTAAATTTGTTTTATTTTTTCTTAAATATTTTATTCCATATTATACTGTTGTACAGGAAATTATATTGTTAATTTTTTATGGATTGTAAAATGCTGGCATATAGAAATGCTATTTATTTCTGGATATTGATCTGTTATCCTTGCAACATTCTGAACTTGTCTATTAGTTGTAATGATTGTATGTGTATGTGTGTGGAGGGGTATTCCTTAGGATTTTCTCAGTACAAGATTATGCTCTCTGCAAGTAGCAATAGTTTTACTTCTGCCCTTCCAATCTAGATGCCTTTATTTATTTATTTATTTATTTATTTATTTATTTATTCTAAATTCCCTTGGCTAGAACCTTCAGTACAATGTTGAAGAGAAATGATGACAGGAGACACCCTCCTTTTGTTCCTGTCCTTAAATGGAAAACAGTCTTTCACCTTTCACTAGGTTACCTGTGAGTTTTTAATAGATCCCTTTATTAATTTGAGAAGGATAACTTTATTCCTAGTTGGTTGAATGTTATAATTGTGAAAATATATTAGATTTTGTCAAATGCTTTTTCTAATGTATTGAGATTATCATGTGCTTTGTCTTTTATTTAATAAATGTAGCATATTATGTTAATTGAGCATTAAATATTAAAGTAACCTTCCATTCCTGCAATAAATCCAAGTTGGATATAGTAATACTATAGCATTATAGTAATTGGTTGGTGATTTTTGTGTCTATATACAAAAATATTGTTCTGTAATTTCCTTGTGATGCCTTGGTCTCTTTTTAGTATCAGGGAAAAGGGTATTACTGGTTTCATAGAATAAGGTGAAGAGTGCTTTCCTTTCTTTTATTTTTCTAAAGATTTATGAAAAAATAATATTAATTTTTTTCTCAAATATTTGGTAGAATTCACCAGTGAATCCCTCTAGAACTTAGCTCTTGTTTATGGGAAGTTTCTAATATTTAATCCAATCTATTAATATTTTATCAGTTTATTTGGTTTTCTATTTATTCTTGAGTCAGTTTTTATAGTTTATGTCCTGCTAAGAATGTGTCAATTTCATTTAATTTATCTAATTTGTTGGCACATAGGTTTAATAAGATTCCCTTATCAAATAAAGATAAAGAACCCTTTATTTACTCATGGTTGTTAGTGATACACACTTTTTCATTAACTTCCATTATTGTGTAGAAAATCAAAAGGTATATACAATAAATTATTATTATATAAATAAGAGAAGTGATTAACAAGATTGCTAGATTCAAAATCAGTATAAAAATTAAGTTGCATTTTTATGTACAACAGGAAACACTTTATAAATAATAAAATATAATTTATGATACAATAATATAAAGAACCTATAAATATATTAAATGAAATATGTACAAAAACTTTCTGGAGAATATTATAGAACTTAACTGATAAATATTAAATATGTCCAAAATACAGTTAAAATATATCACTTTTACTTTTTAGGGGATTTAATGTAGAAAATGTTTTAATTTTCCAATTAATTTTATTATTAAATATAACCATAATAAGTAGCTATTGGTGGGTTTTTTGTTTTGTTTTGATTTGGTTTTACTTTTGTGACCTGAGAAAGTATTTCAAAAAAGGTAGATTCATACATGTCCAAAAATATGAACAAAGGGGTCGGGCGCGGTAGCTCACGCCTGTAATCCCAGCACTTTGGGAGGCCAAGGCAGGCGGATCACCTGAGGTCAAGAGTTCGAGACCAGCCTGGCCAACATGATGAAACCCTGTCTTTACTAAAGTTATAAAAATTAGCCAGGCGTGGTGGCGGGCGCCTGTAATCCCAGCTACTGAGGCATGAGAATCCCTTGAACCTGGGAGGCCGAGGAGCTGAGATCGTGCCACTTGCACTCTAGCTTGGAAGACAGAGAGAGACTCTGTCTCCAAAAAAAAAAAGAAAGAAATATAGTAAAAAAATGTTTATTGCCCCTTTTCAGATGTCCATAACTTATTATAAAATTGTACTCATTAAGGGATTGGAGGAAAATAGAAAATCCAGTCAATGGAAGAAAATAGCCCTGACAGATGCTTACACATGTGGATATGAGATAGAGGTATTATTACAGAAAAGAGATAGTAATTATAATTAATTTTAAATAAGTTACATAATAGTAGAATATCATTCTGAGCTTGGTGTAGAAAATCCTGTTTTAAAAGCATATAAATAATGTAAACCACAAACAGAAAGTCTGAGACAAATTCTGCATTCAAATTGAGAGACTGTTCTTCATATACATCATAATAAAAATAACATTAGACAAGCTATAAAATAGAAGAGAATATTTTTAACACACAAAATATCTATATGTATAGGTTGAAAGAAATTCTACTAAACACTAAGACAATCAATTGAACAGAAAAATAATGGATAAAGACTTGAATTTTATAGAATGGAAATACAAATGGCCCATAAACATACAATTAGCTATTTAACTTTATTAGTTACCAAAAATGTAAATAAAAATCCTTAAATAAATTAAAAAATTTTATTGTACATTATTGTGTTTTAATAATCATTCAAATGATTACCAGAAATTAAATATTCTGATGATATTAAGTATTAGATGTGGCTTGATGGGCATAGCCATTGCTAGGAAGTAGAATCAGCTATAAGCACCTTGTAAGAGTATAACATCATTGCTTAATGAAGGTGCATATGTGTGAAACCCATGATGTAGGCATATACCACATGTCTAAACTTGCACATGACAAGTAGTAAAGCAGCAATTTTATAGCAAAAACCAAAGAGAAGAAAGAAAAAAGAAAACTACCTAATGTAAAATTAGAATGGATAAATAATTGATACTATATTTGTACAAAGGAATATTATTAGTGGTAAACATTAATACATTTGCTATGAATATCAACTTTTATGCAACTGGAAAGTGTTCAGTAATGGAAATTAGTCATAAAACAGAGCAAAGAAATTACATTACTATTTCATAGACAGAGAGCTCCCTTATGGCCAATTTATTTTTAGTGTGGATTTCCTTCAGAAAAGTTACTTGTTTAGAGGTAGGTTTGTTGCAATCACTTGATATGCTTTCTCAAACTACATAATTTCACCTTCGTACTCAAAGTCCTCCACGAGCCATACCAGTATGTGGGTAAGGGCACTCTTCTATTTCCTCTCACCACTCTCTTTTTGCTGCCTTCACATGTATACATTGAGTTCACTAGTGTTGACAATGTAACTTTGCTTCTTTTGTTAAATGTATCTATGACTTCATTAGTATGTGATTGTTGAAATCAAATGTATTCAATTCTCAATAAAAATAACACCTAGATAGGTCTTTTGAGTATTACCACATTTCCTAACCATACTCCACTTAAGCAGAATTTAATGCCCTAACATATGTGCATTTCACAACGGCACAAAATATATTTCACAAAAAAGTATTTGTATTCAGTAATTCTCAAAAATTGTGATAAACTTAAAATTGACTGTTACTCAATCACATTGCAGTTCCTATGAAGGGTTACTTACTTTTCTAGGTGCTAGGGAAGTAATTGCAAACAATACTATATTCATGATGCTTACATTATTTGATAAGATTACCTTCTAATTTAACACTATGCACATGAATGGAGTATATTGTCCTAAGATATCCAGCATTGCATTAAAGTTTGTGTTTCACAAACTGCTATTGCCAAGAAGTGCTACAGATAAATCCATTGCAGAACTCACAGTGTGTCTAGTAGGTCTCTTTCTCTCTATATATAGAGATAGATATCTCCCCTGATTTTTAAAATATTTTCATACAATTTTTATACAATATGGATAATATTATTGAATATAATTATATGAAAAGTTTAAGGAAGGGTAAAAGATAGTTTAAAGAATTCTATCAACTTTCACTAAGAGTGGAGCATGTATTTAGCCTTTATATGTCTACAATCTAACACAAGTAGGAAAATGTAATCAGGTAACTTTTTTTTCACCAATACCAATGCAAAGAGTGAAAATATATTTTATATTAACATGTTAAAATATAGTGAACACTATTCTATTCTGATATAATTCCTTGAAGACAGATTTTAAGAGCATTCTCATTAGATATTTTCCTTTAATTTTGATAGAGAGAGAGAATTGCTGTAAAAACTAGCTAAACTACCATGTTCCCTGGGTTTCACTATCTCGGGAATCAGAGAAAAACATGAGATGAGTCATATTGAAGAGGACCCTCAGCCACCTTGAGAGAGTAGACAACTTTCTTCAGCTATTCTTCTTGCTTTCCTCATTCTGAGGTGATGATGGAGCAAGCTGAGCAATGACCTCATGCATTTTTATCTCTGCAGTCCAGTCCAGTCCCGCAGGTGTTGACAAATGGCTAGAGAATTCACAGTCATATAAAATGGCATTCTCAAATAAATCCAAAATATTATATATTCACTCACTTAAAGCATATTTATATTTGTACTAAGTGTATTTTCAAGGCACAATATTTTAGATACAAAAGACATTAGATATTCTTCCCAGTTAATTAAAGATAATAATACCGATAATATACAAAGCTACGTGACATATTATAAGCAATATAATTAAATATTTTGTATCTCTATACTTGTGAGGTATATTCTAAAAATAAAAAAATATTAAAATGCATTGTTGTAAAGACGTAGTTCCCAAACATGCCATAAGCAATATCTCAAGAATGACTAATTAATATGTAATTGCTATCTTAAAATATAACTAAATTTGTTAAATAAGGCCTATAATTTTAGATTGAAAGCAATTTCTTCTTAATCAACGGTAATATAAAATAAACTTACATTTAGGCAAAATAAAGATATGAATTATTCAAGTGTGTCTTCTAAAGACAGAATATCTTAACTCAGGGATACACTTTTATACCACATACTTAACTACCACAATGACATTAAAATTTAGAATTACAAGATGTATTTTAAATGTTATTGTCTTTGTGAACAATATTTAAATTACATAGGCCTTATTGAGCTTGCATAGAGAAATATTTAATACTACAAGTAATTTTTAATATCCTCCTGATACTAGTAAAAGGTAGTTCTACTAAGCATTTCTTTAGAACACTTTCTTCCATCACAAATACACACACACACACGCACACACATGCACAAAATATCTGACCGTGCAGGAAGAAATAATAAATTGATGCAATATCTTCATCTCTATGCAGATGAAGAATAGTAAGCTCTTGTCCCTGATTTAACATTCACAGAAAATCAACCAACTTAAAGAGTAACATGAAAAAATACTTGTGTCAGCATTTTTTTTGTAATCATGTATTTCAATACAGCAGTGCACAATTTAATGAGAATCCCTTCAAAATAAATCGTAGCACTAGGGTAGTTTCGGAAAGAATAGTTCATCATTGAAACATTCCAAACAGGGAAAGTCATTTCTGATAAACCATATATATTAGACCTTCGCAAAGGAGTGAAATGCGAACATGGTCAGCTTGTCTGAATGTCCCCTAACGCACTCCCAATTATCTGCATTACAAACATAATAGTCGGCTTTAAAAACAAGATTAAGACCAGAAATTTACTGCCACAGAAACATAGCACCTTTTGATCCTCTACTCAGTTCAAAGTTATTGCTGGAAACAATCTTCGTGTTTCCAAGGATATTTGCTTATGTATATGTAGATATTTTTTGCAAGAACATAATTTTATATTTATGAAGCAAGTCAATTCTCTGTAAATAAATACAAATGGAAAACAAATACTGCAAGCATCAAGTATGAGTGGATTTTGTTTTGATCACCTAAATTCTTTCTCATTTTGATTTGTCTTTTGAGGACTACTGCTTTCTTTATAAAGCGTAATGCATGCATCACTTGGTACAATTTTATTTCTTTCATGAGTCAAATAAACATTTCAATTTTTTTTTCCAGAAGGACGCAGACACACTAACTCCTTTAGTTTAATTTTGACATGTCTTAATATTACCAAGATCTAGCAGGAATTCCCAGGATTTTACTTAAAACATCTAAAATGTATTTTACGTTGTTAATCAATACATATATTAAGTTGCCTCCAATTTATAATAAAATTTGACAAAGCTCTAAATAAAACCATATAATAGATTAAGGCACTGAGACAACTCCATTTAAATATTTTGGTTAGTATTATTTTTCCCTTGTTTCATACAAAGGTAAGAAAGCCAAACAAAGTAGATCACTAGGTTTACAAAGATTTTCTTAATTATTTATCTCACCCAAAATCCTAATCTTCTGACATTGACAGAGGGTCTTATACTCACAGTTCTAATACACTTTGTTATATTGAGGATCCAGATCCTATACTGAAATGTTTATAATTTCTCTCAAATTTGCATGAAAATATTCTGCCAAAAATATTAAAATATATACGCATATATTATCATAGTGGAAGAGAGCAGGCCCTAGATAGATGATATATAAAATATATAAAATGCAAATACAATATTTATATGGCCTAGCAGTGTGCACAAGAAACCAGTAAGGCAGAATCTACTAACTCCATGATCTATATTTTAACTGGAATTGTTCAGTGTTCAGCTTAAATGTTATCTTTTAATAAGACTGTAAGAAGTGATTTGCATAATCTTCAATCAAAACAGGTTAGATATTCAAAAGAGCCATAAGTATTCTTTTTCAATACTCATATTAGTGCAGCTTCAAAAAGGGCTGTTTATGACAGCCAGGCAAGAAAATAGAAATATAGTTGTTAATCACTGTGTAATTACAAAATGTCTCCCATTATAATCATGGCAATATTTTATTCCAAACTTATACTTGCTCCTATTGCCTTGCAGGTGTCTTCATAATTCATTTATTTCACTATTTCTTTTTCACACCTCTAAAAAATAAAACAAATAGTGAGGAAGCCTAAAAATGCAATTGAAACTTTTGATACCTGAGCTGTGTTTTACTTTGGTAGTTTTCTTAGAAAAAAAATAATAAATGAAATGTGTCCTATGATATATTAAGAATTTTTTTTTTTTGAAACAGAGTCTCGATCTATTGTCCAGGTTGGAGGACAGTGGCATGATCTCAGCTCACTGTGACCTCTGCCTCCCGGATTCAAATGATTCTTCTGCCTCAGCCTCCCCAAGTAGCTGGGACTACAGGAACACACCACCATACCCAGCTCATTTTTGTTTTTTTTTTTATTATTATACTTTAAGTTTTAGGGTACATGTGCACAACATGCAGGTTAGTTACATATGTATACATGTGCCATTTTGGTGTGCTGCACCCATCAACTTGTCATTTAACATTAGATATATCTCCTAATGCTATCTCTCCCCACTCCCCCTACCCCACAACAGGCCCAGTGTGTGATGTTCCCCTTCCTGTGTCCATGTGTTCTCATTGTTCAATTCCTACCTATGAGTCAGAACATGTGGTGTTTGGTTTTTTGTCCTTGCAATTGTTTGCTGAGAATGATGGTTTCCAGTTTCATCCATGTCCCTATAAAGGACATGAACTCATCCTTTTTTATGGCTGCATAGTATTCCATGGTGTATATGTGCCACATTTTCTTAATCCAGTCTATCATTGTTGGACATTTGGGTTGGTTCTAAGTTTTTGCTATTGTGAATAGTGCCACAATAAACATACATGTGCATGTGTATTTATAGCGGCATGATTTATAATCCTTTGGGTATATACCCAGTAATGGGTGGCTGGGTCAAATGGTATTTCTAGTTCAAGATCCCTGAGGAATCGCCACACCGACTTCCACAATGGTTGAACTAGTTTACAGTCCCACCAACAGTGTAAAAGTGTTCCTATTTCTCCACATCCTCTCCAGCACCTGTTGTTTTCTGACTTTTTAATGATCGCCATTCTAACTGGTGTGAGATGGTATCTCATTGTGGTTTTGATTTGCATTTCTCTGATGGCCAGTGATGATGAGCATTTTTTCATGTGTCTTTTGGCTGCATAAATGTCTTCTTTGGAGAAGTGTCTGTTCATATCCTTCGCCCACTTTTTGATGGGGCTTTTTGTTTTTTTCTTGTAGATTTGTTTGAGTTCTTTGTAGATTCTGGATATTAGCCCTTTATCAGATGAGTAGATTGCAAAAATTTTCTCCCATTCTGTTATGTTGCCTGTTCACTCTGATGGTAGTTTCTTTTGCTGCACAGAAGCTCTTTAGTTGAATTAGATCCCATTTGTCAATTTTGGCTTTTGTTGCCATTGCTTTTGGTGTTTTAGACATGAAGTACTCGCCCATGCCTATGTCCTGAATGGTGTTGCCTAGGTTTTCTTCTAGGGTTTTTATGGTTTTAGGTCTGATATTTAAGTCTTTAATCCATCTTGAATTAATTTTTGTATAAGGTGTAAGGAAGGGATCCAGTTTCAGCTTTCTACATATGGCTAGCCAGTTTTCCCAGCACCATTTGTTAAATAGGGAATCCTTTCCCCATTTCTTGTCTTTTGTCAGGTTTGTCAAAGATCAAATGGTTGTAGATGTGTGGTATTATTTCTGAGGGCTCTGTTCTTTTCCATTGGTCTATATCTCTGTTTTGGTACCACTAGCATTCTGTTTTGGTTACTGTAGCCTTGTAGTAGAGTTTGAAGTCAGGTAGAGTGATGCCTCCAGCTTTGTTCTTTTGGCTTAGGATTGACTTGGCAATGCTGGCTCTTTTTTGGTTCCATGTGAACTTTAAAGTAGTTTTTTCCAATTCTGTGAAGAAAGTCATTGGTAGCTTGTTGGGGATGGCATTGAATCTATAAATTACCTTGGGCAGTATGGCCATTTTCACGATATTGATTCTTCCTACCCATGAGAATGGAATGTTCTTCCATTTGTTTGTATCCTCTTTTATTTCATTGAGCAATGGTTTGTAGTTCTCCTTGAAGAGGTCCTTCACATCCCTTGTAAGTTGGATTCCTAGGTATTTTATTCTCTTTGAAGCAATTGTGAATGGGAGTTCACTCATGATTTGGCTCTCTGTCTATTATTGGTGTATAAGAATGCTTGTGATTTTTGCACATTGATTTTGTATCCTGAGACTTTGCTGAAGTTGCCTATCAGCTTAAGGAGATTTTGGGCTGAGACGATGGGATTTTCTAGATATACAACCATGTCATCTGCAAACAGGGACAATGGAGTTTCACCATGTTGGCCAGGCTGGTCTCAAACTCCTGACTTCGTGATCCACCCTCCCTTGGCCTCCCAAAGTCCTGGGATTACAGGTGTGAGTCACTGTGCCCAGCAAGAATTCTTAACTATGTATGAGAGCTAGATGAGAGTACTTTCAAGCCATAAATCAAAATCTCCTATATAAATTTTTAGTATTACTTTGTACCTCTTGAATATTATTAAGTTTTCCATGATCCTTCGTTTTATTTAGTTAACTTATAAATGAATGGGTAAGAATAATCATTTAAAATATTTGTTAAAAGTAATAAATATACCAGAGGTACTTTGACAGAATCAAAATTAGGAAATGTGTGATCACACTTTTTTATTTCAATCATTTTATTATTCTCTTAAATGCTGTAATATTCAAAGATTATTTGAAAATTTTTTCAAAGTATTTTAATTTTGCTGTTTCCCAATATTTTTGCTGGTTTCATTTCCATACAGGTCTAATCCAGGATTAGCAAAATATTTACACTAATACTCACATTGAAAACCAAAATAGAAAAGTACACAATCAAATCAATTTGTTTAAAACTGCTCAAGTATGAACAAAGTAACATTTTATCATTTGGAGAGACAAATAAAGTTTATACACCCTGTATTTGGAAATAATGTGAACACAAACTTAACATAGAGTGGTTCGCAGGTGTTCCCTGAAGATCAGTTTCAGGACTCTCCCTACCCACAGGCACTCACCCCAAAAGGGCACCAAAATCTGAGGATGCTCAAGTTCCTCATATAAAATGGCATAGTATTTGCATATAACCTATGCACATCCTCCTGTATACATTAAATCATCTCTAGATTACTTTAAGTCATCTCTAGATAATACTCAATACAAGGTAAATGCTATGTAAATAGTTGATGTACTGTATCTCTATTTGTATTGATTTTTACTGCTACTTCTTTATTTTTTATTTTTCCAAATATTTTGATATATTGTTGGTTGAATCAAAGGATGCGTAACCTGTGGATATGGAAGACTGACTCCATTTTTATGGAAAGTGCAGGTTACACTTCTTAAACTTTGAAGATTAATGAGACAGAATATGAGCCAAGCTCCATTCCTTGATAACTGTGAGTGTTACAGCAAATTACTTAAGTTCTGTGTAAATTTTCTCTAGTGTGAAATGGGAATAGTAATGCTTCCAAACTTGAGGAGACAATATGGGAATTTAGTGAATTTTTTAAATCAGAGTACCCTGTACACAAAGCACCCTTAATCAATATATTATCTTTCATGATTTAATTATTAGTGGTAATATGTTAAATTATTAAACTATAAGTTTAAATGCAACTCCTTGCATTTTTTTATGGCATAGAATTAGCTGTGATTTGTAACTCTGCCACTTACTTGCTGATATTAGAAAATTAACCAAATCTGAGGGAGCCTTGTTTCTCCATTGTAAAACAGTGCTACAATAATATGTTTTACGATACAAGATTATTGGGCATGAAATATTATTTGTGAACTGAACATTGGTGTGAAATATAATTTGCATACCACATGTCAACTAATGAATCTTAGTTATCATTAGCATTTGTTTTAGTAAAGAAGAATGCTCGCTGTCCAAACTCTTCATGCCCACACAGTTCATAAATACTTTCTTGCTTAATTAAAACATTTAGATCACTGGATGGGAGGGCAACTAGGAGGGAAAGAGAAGGAAAAAACATCACTATAGTAATTTCGCAATGATTATTGTCGGCTCCTGTAAATAGATAATAATTTTCCTCATTTTTTCCCACCTTCCACTGTCCACATCCTTCAGTCTATTCTTTTTTTCTAATTTGCTTTCTTTATTTTTTAGTCTCTCTCCTCCTCCTATGTTTTTAAATAATTATTTTCAGGTACAGAGATTTTATCACTTTACAAGACCTTATCATTCCAGAGACGTACAAAGCACCCTGCTTGTTTCATCTGGCCTTAGTTTTATTCCCTTCCTCATTCAATATGAAGTAAATTTAACCTACAGCGGTATCTTAGTCTGTGTGGGCTGCCACAACAAAACACCATAGATCTGGTAGCTTATAAACAACAGAAATTTATTTCTTACAGTTCTGAAGTCAGAGAAACCCAAGATCAAGGCATGGCAAATTTCATGCTTTTTTAATTAATGGCATCTTCTTGCTAAGTCCTCACAGGGTGGAGGGGATGAACAGGATCCCTTGGCACTTCTTTGTAAGGGCACTAATCCTATTCATGAGGGCCCTGTCCTTATAATTTAATCAGTACCAGATATCCAAAGGCATCTCATAATAGTATCGTATTGGTGACTAGGTTTTAACGTCTGAATTTGAAATGGATACAAACATTCAAATCATAGTAGTATTTTTGTTTCAAATTTTGTTATGTTTTAAATTGAAGTCAGTAAGAATAATACATTTAAAATATATTTACCTCAATTATTCCTAAATTGTTATTAAAAGCAGATGCTAAAAGGAGTGCCATAAAGCAATTTGAAAAAATACTATGAAATTGTTTATCTTGCTACCTGATTTAACAAAATTTCCAGACACTAATCCATATAAATAAATAAATCCACACACACACATACTTGCACCATCTAACAGATGTACATGCATTATACAAAGCAATAATAGTTTTAAAATTCCGCTAGACCAAAACACATATATAGAGCAATCTAATAAAAAGAGCACTCAGAAGAGACATATATTTGTTTATATTGAACACTTACAAGTAATAATATTGTTAGGTAAAAAAAGTTTTGCTGAATAGTGTTAGAGAAATTGGCACAATATATTGAGAAAAAGCAGGACTTTTTCACATCACTTAATATTGTTTTGTTCCTGTGACAATTTAAAAAAAAATTAAAAATATGTGTATGTAACCTAAGTATTTTGTTCATGTTGAGTGCTTTTATATTAAGTTTAAAGCTTTAAAAATAATGTAATTTCTGAGGTTTTGTAAACATTTCATTTTAAATTGAAACTACTATATCAATGTTTAAAATGTACTCATTAGGATATAAGTAATATTAGGACTTACTTATATTAATCCACTTTTCTACAATTAAAAAAATCCTGTAGCCATGCGCCGTGGCTCATGCCCATAATCCCAGCACTTTGGGAGGCTGAGGCAGGTGGATCACCTGAGGTCAGGCGTTCGAGAGCAGCCTGACCAATATGGTGAAACCCTGTCTCTATTAAATACAAAAATTAGCCGGGCATGGTGTTACGCGTCTGTAGTCCCAGCTACTCAGGAGGCTGAGGCAGGAGAATCGCTTGAACCCGGGAGGCAGATGCTGCAATGAGCTGAGATCGCGCCACTGCACTCCTGCCTGGGCGACACTTTTCCTAGAGTGAGAGACAGTTAACTAAACAACTTTCATGTTTCATGCTAAAAATCAAATAGTGATTTGTTATTAAAATATTTTAATGACCTATCAGCTATCAACTTGACTTGATCATTCCTCAGTTTTCTTGAAAGAAAATAATTGGAAACTCTTTTACATACAAAATGATTTAAAAGTTACTCATTGAAGCGATTCATTTCCTCAACTTCTGGGACATAGATTAAATTAGGATTGTTTACTTTTTTAAACTAAACCACATATATGTGACTTTATATATTATATGACTGAATATATAATAGATTTTCATTGTTCACGATAGTCATGTTCTCTAAAGACATGAAACACTCAATTAGCAAATAAATATAAAGCCCTTTTTCCCGGGGAAAGACAACACTGGATTCCTGAGTACCACTGGCCAGGACATGTTCATCAACTGATCAATACGAAGCTTTGTTTTCTGTGTGTTTCGTTTAAAACTACCTTCTTTGATATATATTTGTTACAAATAATTAATTTCATTGTCTTTGCATGAATTAAGACCAGGGGTTTTCGAGGCCGTTTGCATAATGCAGGTTTCTTTGCCAACATTCTTATAAAACATTCCAATCTTGTCAACATTAAAAACCTGCTTTTCTACATTATCCTTTTTCTGTGTAACACATGGCAGTTATTTCAGACATTCTTTATCAGCTTCCTGGACTGCAGCACCTACCTCACCTGCAAGCATAAAATTGCTCAAACCCCATCACCTTTTAAAACATGCATGCAAGCCAACACCAGCCAGGAGGTGTTCAACGTTTTTAACGTTTTCCTGACCCTGCATAATGAAACCATAAATTTCTTTGCTTTCCAGCCTCACAACAACGCTGTCTACTACATTTAAAAACAATCAGTCTTCTCACGAATCCACAAATTTACCTATTGTTCTATCTTTTCCATAGCTTCATTATGCGCTATAGGTGTCACATTAGCACTTTCTGGACTGGCCTCACATACAGATCAGCAAATTTCCTCTTTCTTTTTCTGGTTGTAACATATTATTGATTCATTAACATTGAACTTATGGCCAGCAGCACTATAATTCATGCATGAATGAAACTAATCCAACACACGTATTTTCTCTCTAAAGCACATCATAGCCTTCTTGCACTTAGGAACACTACACAGTGCTTCAGCACTATACTTGGGGCCGTTATAAACAGGGAACCCACCCACAAAAATGAGAAAAATATGAAAAAAAGTGACATTAAGTAGACTGTGAAAAGGATGCTCGTTTGCGGTGTGAGAGTCGAAACAAAAGGGCGTAGCTTTGCTTTGACTCAGCACAGAACATGTTCCTGGAGTGACTCAAATATTTTGCTGCTGAGCCCATGCCCGCAAATCACCTTGAAAGTGCTGAGAATTTTGATTTTGGGGTTACAAACAACTATAAATTTTTGCTAGCAGGTAAATTCACAAATACGGAATCCACAAATAATAAGGCTCAACTATTTTTGTGAGTGTGTGTGTGTGCATATTTATTTATATGAATATAGTGTTTGGATATTTTGTTAAATAAGACAGCAGGACAAAGCATTTTATAGTATTTTTGCAAATTGATTTATGGCACTCACCTTTAGGATCTATGTTTCAAATAACAGTCTAAGCTATAGCATAAGTGACTACTTAACATTTTGATAAGTTGGTTAATTACTTTTCAGAGTGGTTGTACTGTTTCTCACCCCTACCAGCCATGTATGAAAGTTCAAGTTACCACACATCCTCAATAGCATTTGCTATTATCAGATTTTCTAGTGGAAGCCATTCTAGTGGGTATAAAATAGCATCTCATTGTAGTTTTAATAGTTTTAATATTTATCTCCCTGGATTACCTTGGCACTTTGTCAAAAAAAAAAACTGACTGTGTATACATGTAGCAGCATTACAAGACTGTTTTCCATTACTCTATTTGAGTATTCACATGTCAATACCTCACTGTTTTGATTACTTTGGGTTTGCTATGCAGCAATTCACTGAGGAGAGGGAAATCTGAGTATCTCTGAAGGTCCTTTTGTGTCCCTCTATCTGGCAGTTTAGCAATAAAGTTGTTCAACTAGACTGAGCCAGTGACAGGGAGACAGAAAGGATTTGGCTGATAGCAGCATTCCTGGCACACAAAACTGGATTCAGGTCTTAGATATGCATAGATATGCATTCTCCTTAGTGCCATTCTTGGGTCTGGAGATCCTTTGATACACTTGCCTTACTTGGATATACTAGGTGTGCCCTAGCCCATTTTAGGTTAGCATATATATATATATGTAAAGTAGCGTGGGAAGGAACTTCTCCTCCCACAGAAGTGTGCTGAGTCAGCTGTCAGTCCACATTCAGAGACACTCACTGCGAAAGCCCTGAGCCTTGGTGTAGAGAGAGCACGATGCTCAGTCTATGCTGTGGAATGGGAGTTGAGGTTGCTGCATGCACTCCACTATTTCAGTACGTGTGAGTTTCCTTGAGTACTTCTCTGTTGTATCCACAGTATGTCACACTAAATGATGGTGCTTTTCATCCCCTTGCACAACAGTGTTGAAGTCAGTATAAGGCCAACATCCAACATCCTTTTTAAAAAGGCATTTCTAGGTACTTAGCATTTCCACATATATTTTATATTCTGCTTTTTGTTCTTTATGAATTCCTGCTACATATTCCATTGGAATTGCATTGAATCTCTTGGTCAATTGAGGGATAATGAACATTTGAATATTACTGTCTTCCTGTTTTTGAAGATGGAATACCGTTCCACTTATGTATATCTTATTGGTTACCACTTTAACTAGTTTGTAAGTTTATAGTTTTGTTAAATTTCTTCTAAGTATTTTGTGTTTGATAATATCCTAAATTATTTTGAGTTTAACGTAATTTTCTATGTCTTGTTTCTATTGAAAAGATACAACTGATTTTTAAAAATTGGCCATGTATCCTGCTATCTTGATAAATTCACATATTACTACTGACACTTCTTTCAGAGATTTCTACAGAAGTTTTATGCAGACAATACTGTCATCTGTGACTAAATATTTATCTTACAAACTTTATGTCATGCATTTCTTTTCCTTGCCTTATTGCAATTCCTAAAATGCTCAGAAAGAAAATGAAGTGATGACTGCAGGTATCCATACCTTGTTCTCTACTGGGGAGTGTTACGGGCTGAAATGCATTGCTCCCATAGTCGTATGTTGATATGTTTTTATGGTATTAGTATTTGTTCTTACATCAATTATTTCTTTTCCATGATCACCTTAGCTTCACTTTGCTCTTCCATTTCTAGTTTCCTGTGAAATAATCTTAGCCAATCTCATCTTGGAGGCTGGAAAGAAAAAAAAAGAATCTTAGCCTGTTAATTTTAGGCCATTTTTCTACCATAGGCATTGACATTATAAATGTCCCTTCAAGCTATAGTTTAGCAGTGTCCCAAAAATTTTGATAGCTTATATTTTTCATTGCGTATATCTCTTATAGGTCAAAATTAAACTTTTAGAAATTCAATATACCTTCTAAATTTAGTTATATTTTATTCTGTGATCTAGGGGTTATTTAAGCGAATGTTATTAAATACACAAATATTTGGGAATTTTTCTGAAAATCTAATTTATCTTCACTTCTAATTTAATTCTGTTTTCATAAGAGGACATATGCTAAAAAATTCCATCTTTTGGAATTTATTAAGATACTTATATTTTTATAACTCATTTTTATACAAAATATATTTATAAAAGAAAGTATAATATAAAAGTGAGATTGTCATAGTGAATGTTCTATGTACACTTGAAAGAATATATACTCTGCACTTGTTTAAATTACTTGAATTTATAAATATCAGTTGTCTCAGGGTTGTTCACATATTCTATATTGTATTTTGCCTAATTCTATCATTTATAGAAATTACATTAAACAATATGTCTGTAGTGCTGTATTGTTCCATTTCTCCCTTAGGGAATATCTGCTTTTGCTTGACATATTTAGAGGTCTTTTTTTATTAGGATTTCACAAATTTCAGATTGCTATGTCTTGCTGATCAACTTCTTATTTCATCATTATGAAGAAACTCTGTTTTCTCTAGCAATACTTCTTGTCTTAAAGTGTAACTTATCTGATATTAATATAGTCCTATCAGCTTTTTATAGTTTTTGGGTATTATTAATAAGTTAATATGAACTTTTGAGCACAAGCATTCATGTGGATACATGTTCTTATCTCTCTTGGGTAAATACTTAGGGTTAGGTTGCTAGATGGTTTGGCTGTGTCCTCCCCCAAATTTCATCTTGAATTGTAATTCCCATAATCCCCATATGTCATGGCAGGGACCCAGTGGAAGGTAATTGAATCATGGGGGCAGGTTTTATCATGCTGTTCTCCTGAGAGTGAATAAGTCTCATGAGATACAATAGTTTTATAAATAGCAGTTCCTCTGCACACACTCTCTTGGTTGCCACCATGTAATACATGACTTTCCTCCTCCTTCACTTTCCAACGTGATTATGAGGCCATTAAACCTCTTTTTCTTCATAATTCTCAGTCTTGAGTATTTCTTCATAGCAGTATGAAAATGGACTAATACAATAAATTGGTACCAGGGGTGGGTACTGCTGTAAAGATACCCAAAAAATGTGGAAGCAGCTTTGGAACTGGGAAACACGCAGAGGTTGAAACAGTTTGGAAGGCTCAGAAGAAGATAAGAAAATGTGGGAAAGTTTGGAACTTCCTAGAGACTTGGATGGCTGAGAAGACAAGAAGAAGTGGGAAAATTTGGAACTTCTTAAAGACTTGTTGAATAGCTCTGACCAAAATGCTGACAGTAATATGGACAAGAAGGTCTAGGCTGAGATGGTCTTAGATGGAGATGAGGAACTTGTTGAGAACTGGAGTAAAAGTCACTCTTGCTATGTGAAGAGACTGGTGGCATTTTACCCCTGCCCTAGAAATCTGTGGCACTCTGAACTTAAGAGAGATGATTTAGTGTATCTGGCAGAGGAAATTTCTAAGCAGCGAAGTGTTTAAGAGGAAGAAGAGAATAAAAGCATAAAAAAAATTTGCAGCCCGATGATGCAATAGAAAAGAAAAAGCCATTTTCTGGAGAGAAATTCAAGCTGGCTGCAGAAATTTGCATAAGTAACAAGGAGCAGAATGTTAATCACCAAGACAATGGGGAAAATATCCCCAGGGTATGTCAGAGACCTTCATGACAGCCTCTCCCATCACAGGCCTGGGGGCCTATGAGGAAAAAATGGTTTCCTGGGGTGGGTCCAGGGCCCTCCTGCTGTGTGCAGACTTGAGAGTTGGTGCTCTGTGTCCCAGCCACTCTAGCTGTGTCTAAAATGGGCCAATGTACATCTCAGGCCATGGCTTCAGAGGGTGCAAGCCCCAAGCCTTGGCAATTTCCACATGGTGTTGAGTGTGTAGAGGTACAGAAGTCAATAATTGAGGTTTGGGAATCTCCATCTATATTTCAGAGGTTGTATGGAAATGCCTGGATGTCCAGGCAAAAGTCTGCTGCATGGGTGGAGCCCTCATGGAGAACCTCTTGTAGGGCAGTACAGAAGGGAAATGTGGGGTGGGTGCTCCCACACAGAGTCCCTAACAGGGCACTGCCTGCTGGAGCTGTGAGAGGAAGGCCACTATCCTCCAGACCCCAGGATGGTAGATCCACCAGCAGCTTGCACCATGCAACTGGAAGAAACCACAGAAACTCAACACCAGCCTGTGAAAACAACCAGGAGGGGAGCTGTATGCTGCAAAGCCACAGAGGCAGAGCTGCCCAAGGCCATGGGAGCCCACCTCTTGCATCAGCGTGACCCGGATGTAAGGCATGGAGTCCAAAGGAGAACATTCTGAAACTTTAAGGCTCATAGGTGGAAAGGACTTGCTTGTCTCAGAACAGACTTTCGACTTGGACTTTTGGGTTAATGCTGGACTGAGTTAAGACTTTGGGAGACTGTTGGTAAAACATTATTGTGTTTTGAAATGTGAAGACATGAGATTTGGGAGGGGCCACAGCCAGAATAATATAGTTTGGCTGTGTCCCCACCCAAATCTCATCTTGAATTGTAGTTCCCATAATTCTCATGTGTCATGGGAGGGACAGAAAGGGAGGTAATTGAATCATGGGAGTGGGTTTTTCCCATGGCTGTTCTTCTGATAGTGAATAAGTCTCATGAGATCTGATGGTTTTATAAAGGGCAGCTCCCCTGCACATGCTGTCTTGCCTGCCACCATGTAAGACATGCCTTTGCTCCTCCTTTGCCTTCTGGCATGATTGTGAGGCTTCCCCAGACAGGCGAAACTGTGAGTCCATTACCCCTCTTTTTCTTTATAAATTACCTAGTCTTGGGTATTTCTTCATAGCAGTATGAAAATGGACTAATACCCTAGGTTTTGTGGTGTATTTAACATCATAAGGTATTGCAAAACCATTATTCAATGTTACAGTATCACTTTGCATTTATACCCTCATTTTATGTGATTTCCACTTGCTACTAGCCAGCATTTAATATTTTTGCTATTGTTTTTTGTGTGTTTGTATGTTTGTTTTTAGTTTTAGGGCTTCAGGTAGGTATACAGTTGCAACTTATTGTAGTTTAATCTGCATTCTTTAATGACTAATTATGTTGAGTAACTTTCCATGTGGTTTTTTCTTTTCTTATATTTTCTTTAGTGGAGTGTCTGTTTAATTTTTTTTTCATTTTCAAGGAGTTATTTTTATTATTGAATTATTGGAGTTTTAAGTATATAATATCTATTTCTCTATATTCCATATATTATACATCTCTATGGAATATAGATATTATATATCTCCTTAATACATTTCTTTGTTCAGGCAAAATTTTGCAAACATTTACTACTAGGCTACAGTTTTACTTTCCAACTTGTTATTTATGTATTTTGAATAGGAAAAAGAATTGATGAAGTCTAATGTATATATTTTTTCTTTTATAGTTTATGATTTTTGTATTCTACTCAAGAAATTATTTACCTAACCCAAGATAATAAGAATTTTTCATATTTTTCTTCTATTTTATTTATAGATTCAGCTCTTACATTTAGACCAATGACCCATTTCAATATAATTTTTGTCATTTTTATGTACTATTAGGTGAGCATATTATATATATTGTATCATAATATAGTAACACCTTTTTCTAAAAATCAGTGACTATATGTGTGAGTTTATTCCTTTACTTTCTATTACTGTGTTTCATTAATTTATATTCTAGTGCCTTTTAACTCTCTCTATATGTGTAATTATTTTAGCAGCATCTTTAG
The DNA here is from genome assembly GCF_000001405.40 of Homo sapiens. Taxonomy (NCBI): domain Eukaryota; kingdom Metazoa; phylum Chordata; class Mammalia; order Primates; family Hominidae; genus Homo; species Homo sapiens. The sequence continues at coordinate 178,159,475 of NC_000004.12, read as the reverse complement.
ATTTTATATTACACATCTTCAAATATTCAACATTTAAACTTACTATTATTCCATTTTCCACATCACTTGTGATGATTCTAGGTTCCTACTTCCTATTTTGTACTTCCCATTTTACATTTTATACTTTATACCCACTGTACTTTGTTCTATTTTTTCATTTCTTTCTTCTACATACTGTATAAATCTCACCTTTCAATGCTGTTATATTTCTCTTACCATTTGCCAATAAAGAAATCAATTCATAAAAAATTGTGTATTTACCCACGTTTGCAATTTCAGATACTCTTCTTATTTTTTACCTGGTACCATTATCTTTCAGCTTAAAGTACATTCTTTAGCCTTTCTCCCAATACAGGTCTGTGGCCACAAAACTTCACTATTTATTTAACTGTATAAGTATTTCCTTCTAATTTTAAGAACATTTTTCCTGGATTCTGTTCTGAAAACTTTTCTTTCAGCATTGTAGAAACATCATTGCATTATCTGTGGCTTCAGTTGTGTCTGGCTAAATGTTAGTTATCACTCATTTCAGTATTTTGTTTGTAATAATTCTTTTGTTCTCTGGCTATTTTCAAAATTTGTCATGTGTTTCAGCAGTTTTACTATGATGTGATTTTCTTGGTATTTATTCTGCCTATGATCTGCTGGTATGGGTCTGTAAGTAGGTGTTTTCATCAAACTGGAAAAATGACAAATGTTCATTTTTAATTCAAATACTTGTTCCATTCCAATCTCACGGTTCTCTTTTTTCTGAGGCTCCAACTATAAGCCATGTTAGAACCTAACTGGTAATCTGTTCTTCAATCTTATAAAGAATATGTTGAGATTAGGTCATTTTTACTAATATATCATGAAGTTCACTTTTCATTTATTCAATTCTCTCCAATCTGCTGTTAACAACATGCAGTGAATTTCTTATTTTGATTCTTGGACTTTTCCATTCTAAATTCTGTGTCTGGTTATTTTTTAATTGGTTCCATTTATTCCTTGCATTTTCCAAACTATTAATTTATTAAGGCTGCATTTTCCTTTAATCCTTCAAAATATTTAAAATAGATGTTTGAGAGTTCTTGTCTCTAAACCCGTCATATGAGCCATCTTGCAACTGGTTTCTATATTCTTTTTATCTTGACCATATAAGATATTTTTGCTTGGTATAGCATTGTAGGTTGGCATGTTGCTTTTTTCAACAATTTCAAGATATCTCTCCACTCTCTTTAGGCTTACATAGTTTCTGAAAAACAAAACAAAATAAAACGAAGCTATTTACATTGTTATCTTTTTTCCTCTGTACAGAATGTTCATTTTTCCTTAGATGCCTTCAAGGTTTTATCTTAACATTTTTCAGCACACTGTGATTTTTTTTCTTTATAAAATATTTCTTTTATTTTGTATTTACCTTGTTAGAGTTATCGAAACTTCCTTTATCTGTGGTTTGTAGCTTTTTATTTACTTTAGAAATTTTTGTGCCATTATTTCTTCAAAGAATTTATTTGCCTTTTCTTCTCCCTCTCCTCTCTCTATAAATACATGTACTTTTAAATTCTGTGCCACAGCTCTTGAGTGTACTATTTATCTTTTTACAATTTTCTTGTTGCATTTTATTTTGAATTGTTTTTATTATTCTACTTTTAAGTCCAGTGGAGTCTTTCCTCAGCTGTGATTAGTTTACTGGAGAGACTACTAAAGGAAATTTTTATCTCTGATATAATATAGCTAATTCCAAATTCCAGACATTAAGTTTAGAAGAGCAGGTGAAACAGGTATACATTATTTATGCCTAGAAATGGGTATGACCCTTTCTTTGTCAGGCCGTTATTGTGTAGGGTTAGGTTAATATTGTTGGTTGTGAGACAGGCTTGTGTTTTGTAGGCTTGTGTTTTGTCATTACCATTTTCTCAGTTCCCACAGACTTCACATTCATTTCTCTTTGTGCTGTTGTTGTGTGTCCTAGAATTCTGGAGAACTTCTCTTGGCATTTCCGCTCCATTATTTCCCTCATCTTTCACCTTGTTCCTGGATTTCTAATAACAGGATGTTCTCTCTCTCTTTCTCTTTGCTCTTGTCTCTCTTCCAGTGGTGGAAGCTGTTGCTATGCTTTTGATACTATTTATGCTAATGCTATGCTTATGTCTGGGGTAGCAAGTTCTTGTCTCTCCTCATCCAGCCTCAGTCTTTGCATGGGCTGCATGCCTGGACCTCAGGAGTTAGGGCTTTTCAGTGTTCCTGCCTCTGCTCCACCCATGGCAGCCAAATTTTGTCTTGTATCTGTTGTGGGTCTTTTTTTGTTGTTATTGTTTTGTTTTGTTTTGTTTTGTTTTGAGATAGAGTCTGACTCCGTCGCCCAAGGTGGAGTGCAGTAGTGTGAACTCGTCACTGGAACCTCCACCTCCTGGGTTCAAGCAATTCTCCTGCCTCAGCCTCCCCAGAAGATGGGACTACAGGCATGTACCACCATGCTTGGCTAATGTTTTTGTGTGTTTTTAGTAGAGACAGGGTTTTACCATGTAGGCCAGGCTGGTCTCAAACTCCTGACATCAAATGATCCACCCTCCTCAGCCTGCCAAAGTGCTGGGATTACAGGCATGAGCCACTGCACCTGGCTTCTTGTGGGTCTTCTATAAGATAAAGTTATTCCCCTGTGAACAGTGGTAGTGGAACAGCGATTTGTATTCCCAAAGACTTCAGAGCCTGATTTTTCTGCCTCACCCCCAAGGGCAGAGGATTTTGCATGTACGCTTCCCCAGAGCAGTGGATTTTTGCTTTGCTCTCAGGAGCATGGAGCAGGTTCTTCCCAACCCTTCCCTAGAGGCAGATGGGTTTGCTTCTATCCATATGTCTTGGGGCCTATGTATGACGGAATCTGTCACTCCTTCATCAGGAGAGAGAAAAAACAGCCTATATTTCTTTACTGCTCTCTAGCAGCATAGTTTAATTCTTAAAAATATTTAGAATAGCTGCTTTATAGCAGCTGTCTCTCTGTCACCCCACCATTCAAGCCATTTTGCAACCAGTCTCTGTTTTCTCCATTTTTTTTCTCAACTACATATTTTTGCTTGGTATAAAGTTATCTTTCCTAAGAACGCTAAGGAGACTCTATTGAGTCTTCTCCTCTGCCCATTAAGATTTCCATCAAAAATCTATTTCTGCAGTATTGAGATTTCTCAAAGAACTAAGAGTAGATCTACCATTCCATCCATCAGTCCCACTACTGGGTATGTACCCAAAGGAGAAGAAGTCATTATATCAAAAAGATACCTACTCGCTTAGGCTTATCATAGCACAATTCACAATTGCAAACATTTCAAGTCAACCTAAGTGCCCATCAACTGATGCATGGATAAGAAAATGTACTGTATATATATATATCATGAAATACCACTCTGCCATAAAAAAAGAATGAAATCATGTCTTTTGCACCAATGCAAGTTGGAACTGGAGGCCATTATCCTAAGTGAAGTAACTTAGGAATGGAAAGCCAAATACTGCATGTTCTTACTTACAAGTGGGAGTTAAGCTATGCATATGTAAAGGCATACAGGGTACTCTAACAGGCATTGGAAGAGATTTAGAAGGGAGGAGGGTAGGAGGGAAGTGAGAGATGAAAACTACCTGTTAAGAATAATGAATACTATTTGGGTGATGGGTAAACCCAAAGCCCACACTGCACTACTATGCAATTCATCCCTGTAACCAAAAAACAATTGTACCCCTAAAGCTATTTGTTTTTAATTTAAATCTATTTCTATTAAAAATCTAGCAGAAGTAAGTGAAGAATCATTTGTGATTAAATATACATTTCTCTTGTATCTGGGGCTCCCAATCATTGTAAACTGGTATTCAGCCCTACTGTTTCCCTTTAGAATATCGTTCGATTTTTGTGCTTGTTTTATTGCTTTGGTTTGGCTTTTTGCAGATTTCTGGCTGTGTCCTGCCAAAAGTGTAACAGTTCATACATCTTGTGTTCTTGGAAAGAGCTTAACACTCCTTGGAGTTGAGTTCCCTTAACAGACTTGTAACTTCAACTCGTTGAATGGATTAAAATAATTATATTTTGTATATTATCTCATTGTTTCTCATTTTTCCTTTGAGAGTGATGTTTGTTTTCAGGTTTCTATACTCAGAGTGAAAGGAGCACACTTGTCCTGTGTATTTAATGGAATTTTATTTTAAATAAGGCATTTATTTACACAGCCAATATTTCTTTAGATTTTCTCTACATGTGTTTTTTATTAATATTTTCTTGTTTTTTAAACTTGATCAATACCACTGAATATTCCTGTAATTGTGAGTTCTCTGCTAATGAATTATCTATATTTGAATTTACTGCAAATGCCTTTGACCTTTTCTCTTTCTATGTTTTGTTTTCCAGAAGTTCTATTATGGATGTGCTTAAGCATTGATTCTCTTCAGGGCAGTTCTCAAATCTAAGGATTTTGGAATTTCTTCAGTTTGCAATGTTAATTAGTCATTGTCACTTCTTCCCTTCTTCTCTTCTCCCATTTGTGACTTACTAATTTGCACATAAGTTTCTGTCAGTAGGTTCCCATAGAATTTGTAAGTGCTCTTTTTTGTCTTCCATTCATTTTGTTCATCAGCCTGGATATTTTCTATGAATTTGTCTTTCACTTCACTAATCCTCTCTTTTTTTCTTGTTCCTCTTAAAATCCTAGTCCTATGGTTTAGCTCTTCAGGAAGCCAAATCAAACAATTGGAGGTTTAATAAGCTTCTCCTTCCTTGAAGTTCCTTGATGCTGAACTTCAAATTTTGTCTATCTCCAAGTGGCTGACATAAATCTATGCACAGCTTTTGGTCTTTTCAGCTGCTTTTTCCAGAATAGACAGACAGTTCCAGATGAAAAGATATCCTAATCAATGGGTAACAAATATTTTTCTAAGAACAATCATACATATTTTCCAATATTTAAGAAAAAGAAAAGAAGCAAATAATTTTAAGAAGTCCAATTATTTCCATTCTTATTTATATTTCCACTGATAGTTATCAGCTCGTATATTATTGTTAATTAAACTCTACAGATGGATTACGAGTAAAGGAAGCTTATGTCTCATTTATATAGAGTAATAAGAATTTCTTTCTATGAAAATGGTATTGTTATTCTTACTATTATTATTTCTTAATTTTAGAAAGTCAGTCATGTATTGAGTGTATATTACAGATTGTTATATTCTTTGCCATGCAATACTATGTTAATACACTTTTTGTGATTGTAATAATGTGCCCTAAGAGAATTCTGAAGATTTGCATTTGTATGTCTGCTTTTCGGAACCATTTCCACCATTGCCAGTGCTCTCTTTCCACCACTTTAATAAAGTAATAGCATCTTTACGGCATCATTTTCCATGAAGATCTCCTTACCCATATTTTTGGACAAAATATGTTTGATCCTCTGCAATTCACTTATTGTTTTTGAGTCATATAGCCTTCCTATAAAAATGTGTCTGGCACTTGCCTCGTGGAGGTGTTTTTAATTTCCCACTTACAAGTTCTTTATTTTATGTGTAACTTGGTTTGGAAAACAACAAATGACTTAATTTATAATGATAAGATTTTAGGATAAGCAAATATGCCATGTCTTCAAAATATTCTCCATGATCCTCCAAAGCAGACTATTGTCCTAATATGCCTCTGTGTAAAGTCAGTTTTGATGTTGATGAACTTATATTATGTCATTAGCGTCATAATCTAAGACTTTCTATGAACTAGCATTATGTCATTGTCATCATAATCTAAGACTTTCTATGAACTTGCATTATGTCATTTGCATCATAATCTAAGACTTTCTATAATAATCAATCCTTTTTTGAGATTGATTAAAAATTATTGAGGACATTATGACTTTTTCATAAGTGAATTTGAAGTAAACAACTGAATATTTATTTGGCTACACCAATAAAGTAATTTAGAATTATCATTTTGAATGTTAAATATTTTAATATTTCATGTAAGATACATACAAATTATATAGTTATGCCAGCATGTATTGTAGCATATGAAAGACACAGGTGAAGTTAAATCAGATAATTTTAATATAAGGGACTAGGAAATAACTGGCCTTAAAGGTCATGTATATGTCTTATCTGTATTTAAAGAATAAATAACATTAACATAGCAAATATGATAAGAAAGTCTAACCACTCAGAATTACATAAAATTCTGAAAAATATTATTATCAGATTTCTTTTAAGAAGTAAGACATTGTGTCTAAAGAATATTTAATGTTGAATAGGGATATATAACTATTTCATGCAGTGAAATTAAAAATTTCAGTTTGAGTAGAACTGTTGATCATCACCCTTCTAAGTGTGAATACACAAACACATGTACATGTTTCAGATAGCTATGTATTATTCATGGAATTAAGAACTTACACTTTTTATACTTTTTGTGTTCCTTAGGAACGTTACAGATAATTTTTCATAGCTGTGCTATTGTTGCAAAAACTTTAGCAGTGTGTCTTCTGGAAAACTAAACTTTTGGCATAACATTGTTAAAAAAATTACTGTTTTTTTGCAGACGTGGTACTCTAAGAACTGTATTGTCCCAGGGCTTTCTGCAGTGTCATTTATATTTGAGATTATTGGTTTTCTTAAAATATAAGAGGTATATTATTTATTTAACTTTGGTCTCATCTGTGTTCTTCATGAACATATTTCATGAAAATAAACATGCAATTGCTGCCTAGTTCATTAATAAATAGAACCCAGTGGGCCACAAATATGCCACTTATATTATATACTTTTAATACATTGAATGTTCACATTGTTGTAAAATATATTTAGTGCTTTATGATAAAAGTAACATTAATATTCAAATATAAAGCCAATTAATGCTTACAGATAAAGTAAAACATGATAAAAATTTCACAAATAGGAAATCATCTGTGTATACATACAGTATCTGTTTAAGAAAGTATAAGTATACAGTTTAAGAAAATAAAATTTAATTTTTTAATTATACTAAAAAATCTAAGGTTATACTTGATGTTATTATTTCAAACATCAGCTTTCCTTTCTCTAGCTTATTTTTTATTTTTGTGTCCTTATTTCTTCATTTACGTAAGAAATAATCTCTTGAACATATAAACGTCTGATGCAGAGAAATCCTCCACTAATTTCAACCTTAAAATGTAATTGCAAAATAATACAATATTCCTCCTATTCCTTAAAAGGGATGTTTACTATTTTACTTTTGGTCTTATTTGGCTACATTTGCCCTGTACTCATCAGTAAAACTAAATTGGAAAGTCACTTGCTTAGTACTCCTAAAAATTAGTATTAGCTAGATAAATTAATGCTGAGTGCAGAAGCATTTACTAAAAACAATCAAAGGTCATGATAATGGATAAAAAAAGTTTGGTCAGAGTGTGGCATATCGAATCTGACAAATGGAAATGGGCTGTCCTGAGTATAGAAAATAAGGAACTGTGTTATCTAAAATGTAAAACTAATATTTAAAATTAGTGAAAAGATGACCTGCTTTTTACTATCGGTATTTGTTGGCGATTTTAAACATCAGTGATAAAATACTCCTTCCTAAAAAACAAATTAGTGAATCTATATTCTAAACAATCATGGCAGTTACTGGTGTAGATTTCCAATATATATAAATATTTACATATATGCAAATTAGGGCATATTTTAATTTTTAAATAAAAGCTTGTCTATTTAATAAATATTGACTGTATTCTATACAGAATGTTACTGTACAGTGAGCCTCTCACACATGAATATGTGCTCATATTGAGCCTTGGCTTGTAATAGCTCAGAAACTTTCAAGTTTACTTTGGACAAAGTTTCTGTTTCCAACCCCAATGTTATTATGTAGTCCTGACTAGTAAAGTACATTTAAAGTAAATAATGAGAGCGTGATTCTTGTGTAAGCAAAATCCAAAACTTATTTCAATTCTGTTATGTCTTTGAATACCAGGAGAAACAATAAATCTGGCTTAACAAAGGTGCTGGTCATACCAAATGTAATAACAGAGCTATTTTGAATTGGTTTCTTTGTCCAAATATAGTACAAAAAAAATCAAAGTAAAATAATATTAATGAACCTGTAGTCTATTGAATAACATAAAAATCTGTGTGTTCATCAGGTAATAAATGAACAAATGAATAGAGGAGGAAAGGAGATTTCTTTCTTAAAGTAGAATTCCAACCTATAAATACTATATAGAAGGAATAATAAAGTTGGAAAATCACCATGTGCAACATTCAAAGACTTGACTCAGAAAAGAATCTACGAAGACTATTAAAGCTAGTGGGTCAAATGTTGAAAGGAAACAGGGTTTTTATATAATAATCTCTAATTATTTCTTCCTGGTTACTTATTATGCAAAATTAGTTACACTACAGTTGAAAGACTGGGTGGACGATTTTTAGTCAAATTATGTGTTGACAGCACCAAAAGGACACACTGAGAGAATGTCCCTTTTTATGTGATGCACCGATGTTCTGCTCACTGCTGTGATATCCCTATTAGCCGAATTATGTAGCTTTGTCATTCAAAACAATTTACCAGTATGACCTATGGGCTTAATACACGCTGAAGGCTAATACTTCTGAGAGCGTAATAGGGCAGGAAATGCTGTTGTTTCTGTTTTGCTATCTTACTGCATGCATGCTTAACATATACAACAGGCAAAAGTCAAGGGAAGTTCAGAAAATGGAAGCATGCCTCCATATCTGTGTTCATAAATTTATTATTGTGACAAATATTTTGCTTTTCTTCCATTTGTAACAATTATCTTTAAAGATATTAAGTATTTAAAAAATCACTTGGATTAAATTGATTTCTTTTTTAATTATTTATAATTAATTTATTATGTGGTTATTTTTATAACCTTATTTAAATGATTGATTCACTTATTTTTCTCTCTAGTAAAATAATACAAGTATTTTAGGGCTGCAAATGTTCCTTTACTTTCAGCATTGGCCATGTCAGAAATATTATGTATAGTGTAATTATTTTACTTGGGCTTTTGAAAAGTGAGTAATTGCAGCTTAGTAAGCTGTTAGGAAAGCAAACTGCCTAGGAGAGTGTTTTGTTTGGCATTTAATTTCTAATTGTTTAATTTATTTAAATGGCCTTTTCTTAATGGTTTCAAATTTTATTGTTTTGTGAAATTTCATATATGGTAAAATTGATCATCTATTTTTGATGTTTCGTAGCTAGAAGACAAACCATCATTGAATTGTATGAAAGTTTTGTGGAGATGTATATACATGCACTCACACACAAACACGTGTTACTGCATATATATACATATAAACATGTTAATGTGTGTTTGTGTATGTGTATACATATATACACATACATGCATATTCTAATGGCTATAAAATATTATTCAGATATTCTCGATTCTTGTTTATCATTTGAATTTCTAAACAAATGAGTGAGAATGCTATCTTAAAGTTCTCCTAGTACTGTTACATTTTGCTTTTTTATTTTTTTAATACCGATATTCTTCATACATTTTATATAAACATACTGGATGCATTAACTGTCACAGCAGTTATTACTAACTTTTTTCTCGCTCTGTGAATGTATCAAAATCTTCTTTATCAAGAGTAGACATATTATTTGCTTGTCTTTTTTTCTGCCGTGTGCTAATACTGTGTTTCTCCCTTCCTTGGTGGGTAAGACCTGACTTACCATCAGATTGAAAGACTATTAATCTTCCTTGGACAACCAAGGTGATTTTCTGCTGCCTCTTGCTGGAACAGGAAGAGAGAAAAATGGGAGGGAAGTAAAGCATTAATCTCCAAGTAGAATAGCTGTCTAGAAATGCCAAGTTACTACATACATTTTCATTTCCCATGTAGTAGCTAATTCTGATATTACAAACCGAGAATTAGAGAAATCAAGAAGGTTCAGTACCCTAATAATGGAGTTCTGTAATCTGTGGGCTTTTTGGATAAAACAGTGATGTACAAGGAGTATGCACACAATATTTCTAATTTTATAGTAATATCCATATGACATATTTTTAAAGTACAATGTAGATCATACAGAATGAATAACTTTTTTTTTGAGACGGAGTCTCTCTCTGTCACCCAAGCTGGAGTACAGTGGCATGATCTCGGCTCACTGCAGCCTCTGCCTCCCAGGTTCAAGTGATTCTCCTGCCTCAGCCTCCCGAGTAGCTGGGACTACAGGGGCGTGCCACCATGCTGCCTAATTTTTGTATTTTTAGTATAGACGGGGTTTCTACTAAACCATGTTGGCCAGGATGGTCTTGATCTCCTGACCTCATTACCACCTGCCTCAGCCTCCCAAAATGCTGGGATTACAAGCGTGAGCCACCGCAAACGGCCGAACATCTTTACTATTTTGAGAGACACTGAAATACTAAGCTTTCAAACAAATTATAAATACATACATTTCAAATAGCATCATATAGTAGCCAATTCATTTCCATACCTGAAATGATATCAAAATGTAATTAAAGCAATAGTATGTCCAAAACAAATTTTTTCTTTTAAATTCATTGGGTTAAATGGAATAACTTGGTTTATTACATTTCTTCCACAGATACAGAAAAAAATTTCTACATACTAAGTTCACAAATAGGATGTTTCTAAATTTTCCATTATATTATATGTTCAATAATTGACTCTTTTATTAATAATGAAGTTTACAATAATCTATTATTTTGCCTTCAGTATAATTGGGTTCTATTAATCATAAAACTATATGTTGTTTATGGAAAGATATCCCTGATACTGTTTTTGCAAAATTATGACAGTGAGATAAATCTGACAAGGGAAATTTATGACAGTGAAAGAAATCTGACATAACTGGCTCTATCTTGCTTCTTGCCTCCAAGCTGCCCTTGTTCATGCCTGGGCATAGGTCAAGCTAGCTTTGGAAGGAATTTAGTTCATAGTTTAACTTTGAAAGAAAGAAGGTAACAGCCTATTCTTGCAACAAACTCCCTCGGTGCTTGGTGATCAAACTGCATGTATAAAACTAATAAATTATCCACAAGAATATAAATTATGGCTCAGGAGTCATGCAGCCAGAGGCCGCACAGTTCCTAAACTCCCTAATTGCTCCTATAGATAACATCACTATTGTAAACCTGAGATTAGGGTTTGAGGTATTTTTCAGACCCTGCATTCTGGTGGACCAGCTGGCACCACTGAGACTGGTAAACAGGCTCATCTGGTCTTGCTGGCCCCATTCAGGAACTGATTCAGTGCAAGAAGACAAGTTATTACTCCCTATGATTTCATCCCAACCCGACAAATAAGGATTCTCTAATCCCAACCCCCATCTGCCAAATTATTCTTAAAAATCTCTAGCCTCAAAATTCTCAAGGAGGCTAATTTGAGTAAAAATAAACTCCTGTCCTCTCACTTAGTTGGCTGTATATTTATTACATTCTTTCTCTATTGCAAAAACCTGCTGTTCTCAGTACATTAGCTTTTCCGGGCAGAGGGTAAGATGCAATCTGGACATTTATATCTCCTCATACAGTGCTTTCTTTCCAGGCTTAATTGAACATTGTAATCTCTGATATAATGATGTTTTAAGAAATTATTTGTCCAAGAAAAAAATCTGTAAATAATTGTGCTTGAAACAGCTGTTTTCTTATAGAAGTTACTCTTGTTTCAAAGCCATTTTCTCATGAGATGATTATTTTTCCATTTTCTTTCACATTCATAGGGGGAAACTAAGTCTGTTTTATAATGTTCCAAAATCTCTAAGGGTAGGTAATAATTTATAAAGTTTTGTGTGAATCAATAAAACAGGTTTTGGGTTTTATTTCATTTTAGTGAAACCAACTGGATTTTACATTAACACGATAATTTTCATAGTTTTATCATTTCTCAATCCTAGTACTGCTCTTTTCACAATAAAATAGCAGTATTTTTAAATAGTAAGAATAATCCATGATTTAAATACATCCTTCTGTTTATACTATAGGAAATGGATTTTTAAAAAGACTGGCCATAAGCAAAGAACAAAAAGAAAAAAACCAACACACATACAGAGATAATTTTATTATTTATTCTAAAATGCAATCTGTTTGCTTAGCTTAAATACTGATATTAAAGAGATAAAGATAAGACAAGATGCTACATGCTACATTTAGCACAATGGTAAACAGAGTAGTAGCAAATATTCTTTTGATTTTATAAAGATATATTCATGCTTTTTCTTTCCAGGTTTATTATTCACCCTCCTCTGTAATGAACTCCTAAATATGTCATATTGATTTCTTTGAAAAAATTAATACTTGCTTAAAATTTTATTGTTAATGTATGATATTTTGGACTAAGTTTATTCTATTCATTAGCCTGCTTTTCTTAGAATCCTTTTCTTTTGTAAACTGGCCAAACTTCTAAAATTCTTTTTGCAGCTATATGGTGGATGTTATTCCTCTATGATACTTAACATATCTATCAGTTAAGCATATAACACTAGAATTAATTATAATCATTTTAAAGACTCCCTGTCAACTTCACAATAGAGCAAGATTTAAAAGGGGCATTTTATAAAGCAAAATTTATAGAAATACAGATTATATTTGAACCCTATGTGTCTGCATATGTGTGTATTTTTGTGTATAGAAATTGATAAAGCTTACTTAATAAAATTAGAATGATGGTAACTCATTCCTTCATACATTATCACACAGAAAATAAAAATATTTCAGAGCTCAGCCTCTGATAATGATACTGTATATATGTTCTGTGAATGTTTGTGTGTATATGGGCACAAATCTTTATATGTAAAATATTCTGAATAAAATACTTCTTTTCTTAACCCACTAAAATCAAGTCTTCCAATCACAACTTTATTTTCCAATATGGTAAAGGCAAATCTTAATTTACTTCAAAGCTTACATCCTATGGGTCTTCTTTTTCTATTAAAAATACCACTCTAATCTTTTAAGAGAAATTCTGTGTATTTTGGTGGGCCTATGTGTCTGTGGATGCGTATATGCTTAGCAGCATAATATTCCTGTCATATAGGTATAGAAAAGAACATTTCAATAATTGTAATTGTCAGAATAAATGACTCTCTTTTTAGATGAAGGGCTTTTCTTTTCCAAGTTTTTTTTTTTTTTTTTTTCAATCAACTGAGTTTCAATTAACACAGCAGCAGGACAAATTAGCTGAAGGGTTTTTTCAACCAGAAGCATACATATCTAAGCTGAGCTGCAGCTCTAAACTTCTTCATTTTGTAGGTGGAGGATGGGTTAATTGCTTTTAATTAGTCTAATTACGCTAAGTGGGCCCAATATTTGTCTGTGTGTTGCTTATACCAGGGACCTGAAAACCTCAAGGCAAAATTTCTCTCATCATATTATTTCTCTCTGCAATTCCTTGCCCTTTTATTCTCCTAATTGGCTACTGAGCACTGCTTCTATAACCCTGTTGGACCAAAGAACATGGAGACACATATTCAGTGATTTCCACTATATTTTTCTCTTCACATTAGAAGAACGTCTTTGTTCTTCCAGCATATGGCTCCCTACCAGAAAGGTCATTTCCCATGATGGTATCTGCTCGTTACTTCTTCTCTCTGGGGCCTCTTCCAGCCACCCTATTTAGCATTGACACCTACCCACCAACCGTCTACCTCTTTTTAAAAAATTTGCATAGCACTTATTGTCCTCTAGTAAGCCTTATTTTCACCTATTAATTCTTTATTCTTTACCGTTCATCTTCCCTCTCTATATCTCAATTGAAGGATTCTTTTTTAAAACTTTTTATTTACTGTTAAATTGTAAGATCCCCAAAAATTCCATCATACACATAGACTCAATAAAATTTCAGTGTATTATTGAATGAATCATTCCATATTTTGTTAAAAATCAAAGAGCTGTTATTTTACACCACCAACCTGTAGATGTGTTAAAAGGTTATTGACCTCAGGGGAACTATGTGACTAGCCTGGAAGTTACAGTTACAGCTTCCACCTTACAAGCTGGACTAATACAGCTCGCATTGATTGCCAAATGTTAGAGAAGAGTTAAAAATGTGTAAAGCTTTATTCTCACTCCTGCAATGCCCTTTAAAATTATAGGAGTTACTTATTTTCTAAAGATATGTTACTTATTTTTGATAAGTTCAAAGGCAGCAAATAATATGACAATTTTTTAAAAAGTAAAAGGACAATATAACAGAATACGAGGAAAGATATTTTTTCTTTTTGAAGAGTGCACCTGATCCTTTATATGCCATGACAGACATTTAAATATATAAACCAATTGCTTCCACTGAAAGAGTAATTTTAGAAGCACTTTATTATGTAATTAAAAGAAGATGATCAAGACAAGCTTTTTGAAATATTGATTGGGCAGCATTAAGCTTAAATTTTTACCCCAACCAGGAGGAAGAGAAATATGTAACTAGGTCCTAAATTAACTTGCTATAAAAAAAATCTGGGCTAGAATTTATTACTTAGTATCATTGGAATTGTTAAAAAAATACACTATTTTTTTCTAGCTATATTACATTATTTTAAAAGTGCCATTCATTCTAATTTGGTTATTTTTTTAATACTACATTTTCTTGTTAAGAATTTATTGTGATGATATAAACAATTAATTCCTTGTATTTCTGTTATTCCTATGGATTAAGTGACAAAATGTTTTTCCTCTCAGTTTTAGCTAAGATTTTTTTTTGTGGGGGGGTTATTATTATACTTTAAGTTTTAGGGTACATGTGCACAACGTGCAGGTTTGTTACATATATATACATGTGCCATGTTGGTGTGCTGCACCCATTAACTCGTCATTTAACATTAGGTATATCTCCTAATGCTATCCCTCCCCACCTCCTCCGACCCTACAACAGGCCCCGGTGTGTGATGTTCCCCTTCCTGTGTCAGCAAACTATCGCAAGGACAAAAAACCAAACACCGCATGTTTTAGCTAAGATTCTTATCCGAAAAGTTGACTCACTAAATGATGTAACAGATAAATATGTTGTGAATTAGTTTCAGATAACAAATCTCTGTAAATCACAAAACTGATATGGTTTGTACCTTATTTTTAAGAGACCTTTTTACAGCAGTTTTATGTTCACAGCAAAACTGAACAGAAAATACAGAGATTTCCTATATACTACCTGCTCTTACACAGGCATAGACTCCATTATCAATATCCCCCACCTGAGTGGTCCAGTTGTTAGAATTGGTGGACCTACACTGACACATCATTATCACTCAAAGTCCATAGTTAACAATAGGGTTCACTGTCCATATTATATATTCTACGGGTTCAGAAGAAAAGTATAATGACGTAACCGCCATTGTAATATCGTACAGAATAGTTTAAAACTGCCTTAAAAATCCTTTGTATTCCACCTATTTATCCTTCCCCCCACCTCTAACCCCTGACAACCACTGACCTTTTTACTGTCTCCATAGTTTTGCCATAGAGTGTCAGATAGTTGGAATTACATAGCCTGTGCCCTTTCAGATTGGCTTCTTTCGCTTAGTTATGTGCGTTTAAGTTACCGCCATATCTTTTCATGGCTCGGTAGCTCATTTCTTTTTATTGTTCAATTATATTCCATTGTCAGGTGGTACCAGTTTATTTTTCTCATCATCTAGTAAAGGATATCTTGGTTGCTTTGAAGTTTTGACAATCATGAATAAAGCTGTTGTAAACAACTTTGTGTAGGTTTTTGTGTGGATGTAAGTTTTCAACTTATTTGGGTAAATACCGAGATGTGTGATTGCTAGATCACATGGCAAGAGTAGTTTTGTCTCATAAGAAACTGTCATATTGAATTCCAAAGTGTCTACCATTTTGCCTTTGTGTCAGCAATGAATGAGAGTTATTGTTGCTTCACCTCCTCACCAGCGTTTGGTGCTGTCAGTGTTCTGGATATTGGCCATTCTAAGAGGTATGTGGCTGTATCTCGCTGTCATTTAAATTTACATTTCTCTAATGACATATAAAGTGGAACAACTTTTCATATGCTTATCTGTCATTTATGTATTTTCATTTGTGATGTGTCTGTTAAGGTCCTTCACCCATTTTTAAATCAGGTTTTTAATTTACTTATTGTTGACTTTTAAGAATTTATTGCCGATTCAATTGTCAGAGCCCTATATTGGTCTACTCATGGTTTCAATCTCTTCTTGATTCAATCTTGGGAGAGTGTGTGCTTCCAGGAATTTATTCATTTCCTCTAGATATTCTAATTTGTGTGCATAGACTTGTTCATAATAGTCTCTGAGGATCTTATGAAACTCTGTGGGATCAGATGTAATGTCATTTTGTCATTTCTGATTGTACTTATGTGGATCTTCTCTTTTGTCTTTGTTACACTAGCTAGCAGTCTATCAACCTTGCTGTCAGGTTGCAACCCAAGCTGGGGTCCGAGGGGAGTCGGTGGACGGGTGGCGGGTAGCTGAAAGAACACTCAGGGGACCATAGGCAGGTGGGAAATGGTCTCCTACAGAGTCAGCAATGCGGTTATATTTTTCACAGACAACAGTGGCTCAAAGCCAGGTATGAGCTCACAAAAACAGGTTACATCAAAATGGCTACATAAATGTGATTACGTAATGCACAGGGTGTTGCACCAGCGCTGTGTCATGGTGTACCGATGTCTGCCTCCACCTACTCCTGACTGAAGCACACCCATTTTCCTTACACTCCACTCCCTAGGCCAAGGGAGTTCTCCTAGTGGGGAGACTTGCCCACAGGGCAGAACCTTGGACCCAGAGGCCACAGCAGCAATACAGGGAGCAACAGCTCACTAGTAATATTCCCACTATGCTGCCCATAATTATTAGGGTGCAATATAAGCCAGAGCCCAGAGATGCCTACCATGTCTGTAAGGGGTCATCAGTAAGGCTCTCAACTGCCTTGATTTTCTGGGAAACTCCTTGCAAAGCTACTGTTATGTTTTGTTGATTGTCATGGATGAAGGTAAAACATTGCATTCCCAAAAGAGCACAGGTGCCACCTTGGGCAGCAGTTAATATGTCTAGGGCCATCTGGTTCTGCAGTACCACCTACTGGTTTGATCAGCCTCATCTGTCTACAGAAGGAGGGCAACTAGGGTGTAATTCAAGACTCCAGTAGTGTGCTCCGCAAGGGCCGTAACTTGCATTTCTACAGTTCTGACACCTGCTCCAGGGATGATTAATGCTAAGGTGTAGAGCCACCGGGAGCTCGTCGCACTCGCAAAAACAGGGACTGTAGCACCTCCCAGTTATGTGGGTGTCTAGGCAATGTTGGAATAACAGTGACAGGCACATAAGGCCGCCCCCCAGTACAGCAGTCAGTCCAGTTCACTGGTAAGTATGATGATCCCATGTCTCCACACACCTATAAACTCCAGGGGGCACAAAGTCCATTAGGGCCCAGCCTTGATGAGGCCACCTATTCCACCACGCCTTTGGTGTGGTGACATATGTTATATTAGTGCAGGCTATGCGTGACATTACCCCAATGTTGCTCCATCCATCATGGTACCTGTAGTGGGGGCACCAAGTGTTCTCCAACTAACCAGCCCCATCCATCATAGATGCTATAGGTCAGCCGGGAGGCAGGCATGCCATGGGTTTTGCAGCACCTCCTATCCGAAGCTTGCTGTGTCATGTTCCAAACGTTGGCCATAGTACCCTAAGTCTCTAACCATGTCCAGTTTTCCGCAGAAGCTGGATGTATGTGCAAGGGCAAGCTGTCCAGAGCTGCTGCTAGAAGGGCAGTGTAGATCCAACAGTTGGAAACATTGGTCACCTCAGCATAGGTGTGGGCCCAGTCCACAATGCTGTTGGAGCATGTCAACCTATGGTTGAAACGACAAAGCAGGCACCGGTACTGACGGGTATATCACACCCCTCAGGCAAAATACAGGCCAACCTTTCATCTCTGGATAACAATGCAGCTGCCAAGGGCTTCTGCCCTGAGCGATGGTACCATACCTTTTCAGCTCCCCATTGTTCGTTTGGGTCCTGTATCCATTCCAAAGTCACTGGGGAGCTCATAATAGGCTGCACAAACAATACATATGTCCCCTGGAGAAGGGTTCCTTCCCTGGTCATTTCCCTATGAATGGTCAATTGTAGAGGTCATATATTAAATACCTAAGGAGTGACATGTAAATCATACTGTACGCACTCCCCCCAGGGGTCTATGATAGCCAACCATTGGCAATGGGAGGCTATGAGGGTCCATGGCCAAAGCCAGGCTTTTTGTTCCCATGCCTTTAGGGGCATTGGGGCAGGCAACAACAGATTACCATTCGTCCTCATACCTGGTTGGAAGAGGTCCTCCTTAGTGTGTATCTGTAACAGGATGGGAGCAGTGGCCCAGTGTCACAGTGACTCCACCGGGTCTGGGCCACCTTTCCGTAGCCATTCATTCATGTTTTAGAGCATGAGGTCCAACCTTGAACTCCAGCCCTGTAAAGAAGGGGGAGTAACATGCAACTGTAACCCATTTTTCAGGAGTCCGTTAAATCACTCAATCATGCCAGTGGGTTGTGAGTTATATGGAATATGGAACCTCTACTTTATGTCCATCCATTGCACCCGCTCTTGTACCTGCTGTCCGGTAAAATGTGTTCCCCTATCACTTTCAATGGTCAGGGGGTGACCGTATAGGGCACACAACTGTTGCAGGGCCTGAATGGTATGCTATTGGTCAGCCATCCTGCAAGTGTAGGCAAACAACAGACTGGTGGCCGTGTCTACAGCTGTCAGCACATGCGTATGCCCCCGCGACCTTGGCAGCGGCCTGATGTGGTCTGTTTGCCACCTAATCAAGGGCATCCACCCTACTGTCATTTGTTGTGTAACACTGGGCAGCTAGCTGTCTCCACCTGGGGGTATGCCGGTGCACACACTGGGCACTTCCGGCAGGCCTCCCAGATATCTTGCTTGGACATGGACAGATCCCAATGCTTCTTGACCTGTTGCATTAGTTTACGCCTTGCACGACCCAATTTTCGGTGCAGTCATGGGGCTACATATCATGTAAGTGCTGACTCCAACCATTGGACCTTGGCTAAGGCACCTGCCTTATCATTGCCAGGGGCAGCCAAAGGCACATGGCCTGACACATGATAAATAGTTACATCCTTTTGGTGATTTATGGGTGATCCCTTGGTTACACCCATTTCCCATAGGTCTTGCCATATGGCCTGGTCCCAAATGGCCTGGTGGCCAACTAGCCAATTCTGTAACTTCCAGGTCGTTAACTGCAAGGTTAGGCCTCTACAAACTGCCCGGCTATTGGTGCAGATTAGCCTAGGTGTCTCTTCCTTGGTGATCACCATCCACAATGCCCTAAGTTCAGCTCATTGGCTGCTTTGTCCACACCCAGTATCAAACCATATGGTATCAGTAATAGGCTGGACCATGACAATGGTCCAGGCAGCAGTAACACTCCAGCTGGACCCATCTGTATACCATGCCCCATTGGGAATGGAGGAGTGCCCTTCTAAATGCTGATGGCTCAGGGTTTAAGGGTGCCTCAGGCTGATCCATGGCCTTATCATGCATCAGGACTACAGGTCCCCTGACTTCTTATAATTCTGCTGCTAAGGGGCTTATACTCAGGGTATTCTGCTGTTCTAAGTAGGCACCCCACTTTGCTAAGGTGGATGTCTGTGCTGTCCTGTCTGGGGGGTCATTGAATGTACCCACCCCACTATTGGGTAAGTCATCCACACGATGACTTCAGCCCATCCCATCACACTCTCACAAGACTGAAGGGCAGCATATGAAGCTGCTAACTACTTCTCTATCAGTGACTATCGGAGCTCACCTCCCTTCCAAAGCTGGGACCAAAAGTCTACCAGTGTTCTGAAGTGCTCCATGGACTGCCATAGGCCCCAGCCACAGTCATCTGTGGTCACATGCTCATCCATTTCAAATGGGCGCCCCAGGTCAATCACTCATAGGGCCTGTGCTTGCTGTATGGCCTGCTTGGCTGCCAGAAAAGCCATCTCAGCCTCATCAGCCCAATTCCAGGTAGTTCCTTTTTTTGTCAACCAATGCAAGTGTTTCATCAACTGAGCCAAATAGGGTGCGATGCTTGCCAATATCCCAAAAGGCACACAAAAGTCTGTAGCTGCCACATCGTTGTGGGCCGGGGATATGCCTGAATTTTATCAGTGATGGCCTCTGGTATGGCCTTTGTCTTATTCAACCAGATAACTCCCAAGAATTTGGCAGACAATCAGGTCTTTGGACATTGATTTGTTGACAGCCCAACCGCATACTGCCAAATGTTGTCACAGGAGGGATGCTGCTGCTTCTAAATCTCCAAGAGAATCAGAGGTTAACATAACATAATCAATATAATGGAATAAGTGGACCCCCTTTGGACATTTCCAGGTCACTAAATCCGTGGCAAGGAGACCATGACATATGACGTGGCTATGCACATAGCCCTGCAGCAACACCGTCAAAGTCTATTGTCACCCCTCCCACATGAAGGCAAACTTCCTGGCTCTCTGGAGCAATGTCAATTGAGAAGAATGCATTGGCCAAGTTCACCACATAGTGGTGCTGTCCCAATTCCATTGTCAAGTGGTCCATCAAATCCGTGATAGAAGGCACAGCTGCATGTAAAAGGGGTGTTACTTTATTTAGTTCTCAGTAATCCAACGTCACCCACCAAGGTCCATCAGGCTTGCTGACTGGCCATACTGGAGAATCGTAAGGGCTGTGCATGCCACGCACTATCTGCACCTTCACTAACTTATGAATAGTCTCAGTTATCTCCATCTGCCCACCAGCCAAGTGGTATTGACAGGTGGAATTAACCCGTCGGGGTTGTGGCAGGACCTGGGGCGGGTGATGCCCGTATGTCAGCGCAGTACTGGCTTAACCACACATAGTTGGCGTCTGAATTATCCGGCCGTGGTTTGTGAAGCCAAGCTGTGTAAAATATCCACCCCCAGAACGTATTCAGGTATGGGAGAGACATATGCGGTGTATAAGCAGGGAGCCAAGTGGCCAGTGCCAAGGTGCAAAGATACAGGTTTCATTCTCAATGACCAGCCTCCACAGCCGTCTATACATACAGCCTTGCCCAGAAACTTATCCGGGTTCCCATAGATGAGGCTGCGATCTGCACTGGTGTCTACCAGGACCAGCACACACTGTTCCTTGCTGGGGAACCAGTGGATTGCCAATTCCACATGTGGCCTTCGGTCGTTAGGAGGCACCCCAAGCCGGGCACCTCAGCCAGTTCCCTAAGCAAACACAAAGGGCTCTATACCTCCTCCCGTCTGCCAGTAGTCCTTGAGCTGGCGCGTCTGTGCGGGACTGGGTCGAGCAGCATTGTCCTGCCCCCTCTTGAGAATTTTCTAGAATTGTTGCTCCTAGGACAACTGCCTCCACAAAGTTAACAGGGCTTTATCGGGTTACCTATCAATTTTCTCTCCGGCAACCCCAGCCAAAATCATCAGTCCACATCTGCATGTGAGTCACCTGTTGGGGCCCCTTTTTGTCCCATGAGGTGGGGTCCTGTGGAAGGGCTGCCTGCCCCCTTTTTATGGCAGGGACTCCCCGGTCCCCCCAACAGCCCTCTGCTTCCCTGTGGGCCGCCACGGCAGTAGTACCCACATGTATGTGGCACCCCATGCATGGAGTGAGGACAGTGGCCAAGGAGCCGAAGACACTCGGAGGCGGAGACCCTAACACAAGGTCCCTCACGTGGGAGGTAAAGCGTTCATCATCTGGCCCTTGGGTATTCAGATCCAGCATAGCCTGCCATATACCCGTCTCCCAAATTATTTGCACCAAATTTATATATGACTCATTTAGTCAGCTTCTGGTATTTCTCCGGCATCATTCCATACGGTTCGTATGGCCACCATCAGTCATTCAATTAGGGTGTAGTCACCTTGCCCCTATGGTAACTGCCTGCTGAACTGCAATCGCCGATGGAGGGAGGAATGGGTCGTAATGGAGGCCAACTTTTCCATTTCAGAGGTGGAGCAGACAATGCTGTTGGCTCCCTCATCCCATAGGCGCAGCATCCAGGCAGGTAGGGGTTCCCCCACGTGCTGCCGGCACTGTTTACCTAATTCCTGCAACTCAGTTGGGATATAGGCACTGTGTGACATGTGCTCTGTCATGGTAGGGGGTCCCTGAGCCCGCCCCTGGGGCCCCAAAGGCTGTTCATGCTCTATTTTCTGATGGACCACTGGGCGAGCCCACAACAGGGTGTCCTTCCTCCTTGGTATCAGACCGAGCGAGGGTCTCTGACCTGGATGGTGGGCCCAGGCCCGACTAACGGCAGCCCCTAATTCCCATTCCAAGCTGTGTATCCAGGCCTCCAGGTTCTCTGCTTGTGCCTGGAGGTCCCTTACCTGCGCTGCATCCCGCAGAGACTGAGCTTGTACTTCCCATAGCGCAGCCAAAATCGTCCATCCAACTCTACTGGCAAAGGCGCCGCTCCCTCAGTGTTCTGTGCTTCCAGGTGCTTCTGCGCCTTCTCCCTGCTCATGGGGGACCTATCCACCAGGGCCCATCCTAGCAGCACGGCTGCCAGCGGGTACCACAACCCATGCTGGGGCCACATGGCTGACCGGGATCATCGGGGACTAAGGGCTGTCTCACCTTGGGATCCTGCCAACTACACCAATTGTCAGGTTTCAACCTGAGCTGGGGTCGGAGGGGAGTTGGTGGACAGGTGGTGGGTAGCTGAAAAGACCCTCGAGGGACCGTAGGTGGGACATGGCTTTATTCATCTCTCTCCCTACTACAGAGTCAGCAGTGCAGTTATATTTTTCACAGACAACAGTCGCTGAAAGCCAGGTATGAGCTCACAAAAACAGGTTACATCAAAATGGCTACATAAACATGATGACATAGTGCACGGGGTTGTGTGCCGGGCCCCAAAGCCTCTGTGTCATGCTGCACCGGATGTCTGCCTCAGCCTACTCCTGACTGAAGCCCAGCCATTTTCCTTACACTTGTTTTTTTTTTTTTTTTTTTTTTTTTTTTTAATAATCAACTTTTGGTTTCATTCATCACCAATCTATTCACAATAGCAAAGGCATAGAATTAACCTAGGTGCCCATTAATGGTGGATTTGATAAAGCATACGTAGTTCATATACACCATGGAATACAACAGAGCCAGAAAAAGAATGAAACAATGTCCTCTGCAGCACAAAAACATGGATAGAGCAGGGGGCCACAGTCCTAAGCAAATTAATGTAGGAAGAGAAAATCAAATACTGCATCTTCTCACTTTTAGGTGTGACCTAAACATTGAGCACACATGGACACAAATAAGAAAATGGTAGACACTGTGGATTACTGGAGGGTTGGAGATAGGGAGGTAGGTTGAAAAACTACCTATTGGGTACTATGTTCATTACTTGGGTGTAATTTACCCATGTAACAAATCTGCACAAGCATCCCTGTATCTAAAATAAAAGTTGAAGTTTTAAAAAAGGCAAGTCTTCCAAAATTATATCCTAAAACAGTCTGAGTTGTAACCAAAAGTAAAATACTTTAAATACAAGTTACCAATTTTTCACTGTTATTTTTACAAATTATTAAAGCATGATCCTTAAAAAATATATATAGTAACAGAATGTTTAAAGTCAGAGGATCACACCAACTCACAAGCACTCACTCCATCTTCTAGTGATGGTTATAATTAGCTTTCATAAAGCAAAATATCATGTTATACCATATAAATATATGATTATTATTTTTAATTAAAAATTTAAAAAATAGAATTTACTGTATATTTTGGATAACAATCTTTATTTGATATGTCTTATAAATATTGTCTTTTCATCTGTGGCTTGCCTTCTAATTATCTGGACAGTGTCTTTCATACAGCAGAAAATTTTAACTTTATTGAAGTCCAGCTTACTAGTTCTTTGTTTCATGGATTATGCCTGTGGTGTACAATTATGAAGTCTAAGATCATGTAGATATTTTTCGGTTATATTCTTAGGAGTTTTTAAAAGTTTTGTGTTTAACTTTAGATATGTGATTTATTTTAAATTAAATTTTGTGAAGTTTCTATGTCTAAATTCATTTATTTTTGCATGTGGATGTTCGGTTGTTCTAGAACTATTTGTTGGAAAAACTATCTTTGCCCCATTGTATTGTCTTTGCCCCTTTGTCATAGATCTGTTGACAATATTACATGCTCCCATTTCTGGGCTCTTTATTCTCTTCCATTGATGTATTTGTCTATTCTTTCGTCAAAACTGCACTGTCATGATTATTGTAGCCTTATAATATGTCTTTAAGTCAGTAATGGCAGTCCTCCAATTTTGTCCTTCTCCTTGACTGTTGTGTTGGCTATTCTGGATCTTATTTCTCTCCATGTAAGCTTTCCAAGAAGTGTGTCCATATCCACAAAATAACTTGGAATTTGATTAGGGTTTCATTGAATCTATAGATCAAGCTGAGAATAACTGACACCTGTCCAATATTGGTCTCCATTTATTTAGTCCTTTGATTTCTTTCATCAGAGTTTTATAGTTTTTCTCATATAGGTCATATCTATCTATAGATAGATAGATAGATAGATAGATAGATAGATAGATAGATAGATGATAGATGATAGATAGATAGATGATAGATAGATAGATAGGGTTATACCTAAGTAGTACTTTTTTATTGCTAATCTGTTTTTAATTTCAAATTTTATTTGTTTATGTACCTTATTTTTAACCTTATATTTTTGTAATGCTTTTGAATGAAGGAGCTGAAGAAGAAATTGCATAAATATGCCTAACCCTATTTCGTACAGAGAGCACCTTAAAACAGTTAGTGAGAAAAGAAAGGGAGAAAATGATTGTCAACTTCCTAGCTGCTGACAGATGTCAACTAATCCACAGATAAAGACTAGACCAGAGTCATCAAGCCTGGGGTTTATAGCCACCAACATAAGGCAAATCCATCTCCTACCTACTGTGCATGTGGCAACACCAAAACTGAGAAGGGAGAGGTGGTACATCTCTTTCTCTGGTGGATCTTATACAACACATGAATCTCCTTTAAAACAAAAACTGTGGAAGTATATTCACTGTCGCCAACCCTGTTCTCCCATTTTTTCTTAAACCAATTTAAATCAGGCACTCTCCTCCTTTCTTGTTTCATTTGTACTACTCTCCTCATTTCTTCTGATTCCTGATTCCTGATCTTTCTCCACCCTTATGATATTATTATATCAATCCTCGAGTCTGTTATTTTCTCTGTCTTTACTCGTACCGTCATTAATAGCTTCCTGCCTTGTGTTTTTAAATCACTTGTATAGCTAATTATTAAACTCCAACATCTAATTGCGTATCTGGCTTCACTTAAATATCTAGTAGACACCTCAAACTGAACAAATCCAGGGCTGAATTCTGGATCCCCCTCCCCATATTTATTTCATTATAAGACCTTTTTGTCTGAGGGACTCTCTATTTCTAGTTGCTCAGGCCACAATAGGGATTTCCTTTTTTATGTATTTCCTTCATTTCCCACAAGCACTGTAGAAAGAAATTCTTTATGAAGGATCTACTTTGAAAAATATCCAAA
This sequence comes from Homo sapiens, assembly GCF_000001405.40. Classification (NCBI taxonomy): domain Eukaryota; kingdom Metazoa; phylum Chordata; class Mammalia; order Primates; family Hominidae; genus Homo; species Homo sapiens. The sequence goes on along the minus strand of NC_000004.12, from coordinate 178,133,960 downwards.
ATTTAGCCAATTCTTTATTGCTACAATCCTACTCTTAGCCAAGACAATCTCTCATCAGAAGTACTGCATGCAGCCATTCTGTTCACCACAGATCTGTTGGATCGGGTCTTTTAATACTATAGTTATTACATTTATATAATCACACCATTGTTCTCCTCAAAAGCCTCCAGTGCTTCCTGCTACTGTTGGACTACAATTCAAAGTCCTTACAATGACCTCATTACAGTTCTGACGTTATTCTTTCCAATTGCACCCCTTCTCTCACTCTTCTCCGGCCACACTATCCTTTTTTGTTCTTTCTAGACTATACTAGGTGCACACTCACATACCTGACAGCCTTTGCTCTGGCTGTGTGCTCTGCATGAAATGCTCTTTCCTCTAGATATGAAAAGGGGTCTCTTTTCAACCTTCTTCAAGTCTTTATTCAAGTAACACTTTCTCAATTTCTTTCCCAAACCTTCACATATAAAATTTAAACTCTTGCTCTCTACCCTTCATTACTGTTCTTTTTGTTTATTTCTCTCAAAGCATTTATCATATTAAAAAGAGATAGCATTATGTACTTAAGTACAATGTGCATGGTTTATTTTATTCCTTCTCCAGCTATAGTGTGAAATTCAAGAAGGCAGAAATGCTTGCTTCTTTTTTTTTTAATCAGTTCCAGGTGCCAAAGACATACTGAATATTCAGTAAGTATATGTTGAATTCATCAGTTAATCAATCAATATCTACTCATTTATATTCTTATAATATATGAATCAAATGTTTATAAAAAGTAATTATATGGCCTACCATAGGAAAAATCTCAATAAATTTTACCATAGGGAAAATCTCAATAAATTTTCAAAGCTAAGAACTATCATATTCTCTGTTCATAATGAAAAAATAAAAGCTGTCTCTTTAAAGTAGAAGAAAAAAAATAAACTCCACAAATTAGGGCATTTTAAAAGTTTCTCCAAAACAACTGTTTGGGAAGAATGAAAAAATAAATAAAAATAATGATAATAAAAACCAATCCTTAAGTTCAGCACCCAGGGATTTTTAGTAAGCATTAAATTTAGTAAGTTAAAAAGAGAAATGGACTGAGTTTAATAAATATAACTGCAGAAATAACTTATATTACTGAGGAAAATTAGATTTAACAAACAAAGTAAGGAGTTAGATTTTTGAAAAATATAATTAAAAGATAGTGAGCTGTTATAAGCAATAAAATCACAAGAAGGTAAAGATACAAATTTATAAATTGTTTATGAAAATAGAACAGAGAGAAAGCTGTAAATAGCTAAAAGAATATTTTAATCAAATTCAAAAACCTCTATGGAATTGATTTTTATAAAAATGCAATGGCTGCCACCAACTCTCAGAGACATACATAAAATCTCAATAGACCAATTATTATAAAATAATTATAAAAGTTGTCAAAGTCTAAGCACTTAATAAAGATAATTCCCAGAAAATTTCACAGTTTAATTATCTAATCTAAAAAGAACAAATTATTCTAATAGTATTTAAACTTTTCTAGAGAATAAAGAAAGAAAAATTTCAAACTCTTCTATAAAGCTAGAATTATACTAATCTGTATTTTGGGATGAAGCATATTTAAAAGAAAATGATTAGATAAATTTGCTATAAGACATGGTGTTTCTGATCATGAATAAATGTGATTTTGAAAGATTTCTGCAACTTCCATGAAACATTTTTTCAAAGCCAAAACACCTCTAACCTGTCAAAGTACAAATAACTGGAGGAAAAAATGCGACATAATGTAAAAGAACACTAATACAACATTTGCAGAGTAGATATGTAATAGAATCCTATTTATTTGTAACATTAGGTAATTACATTGAAATTCCATAGGCAAATATGTAGTTAAAACACCTATGACAGTATGAATAACAGCACAATTTAAAGTAGCTAATAACTGGCAATAACCAAATTGTCTATCAATAATAGTATAGATAAATACTTGTGGTATATTCTTAAAATGTAATGCTATACAAAGACATAAATGAATTATTGCTAGTTCTAATAGCATGAACACATTTCTCAAATTTAAGATTAAGTACGATTATATCTATATGAAGTTAAAAATTAAGCAATAAAAATTATTGTGTTAGAAGCAGAATAGGGCTAATCATGGAATAAAGGATGGTGGTAGTGACTGGACATTTGCCTAAAGGATTTTTCTGTATTAATGATAATTTTTAGTTTTTGATAATCATTTCATGATAATTTATTAATATAAATTATTGATTTAACTACTAATTTACTTTACTGATATAAATTACATGCAAATTTCTTGATATAAATTATCATGAAGTAAACATATTTGTGCAACCAAACAGATCAAAAACTGAAAAATAATTATTAATCTAGAAACTCATAAATACTTTTTCTAAACATAAGTAGATTTTGTATGAAGAAAGCATTCTGAACATGCACATGGCATAATTAGTAAATACGCTTTCAAAGATATGTAAGAAAGTGACCGAAGTCCACCATCTTGGTTCCTTTCCCACTTACTCCATCTAGTATCCCAGTTTCTTGTAAGGTTTATTATTTTACTTCCCACTTCATGTACTTTCCTCTCTTTGTATCCTGCTCAAATTCCTTAAGGGCATGAGCTGTAGACACAGATTGCCAGGGTTGGAGATTTAAGTCTATCCTTTAAAAGTGCTTACGCATTAGTCAAATTTCCTAACCCTTCTATGCCTCAGTGTCCTCACTGATAAAAATGGGAAAATTATAATATCTGCCTCACAGGGCTGTTATGATATTTCAATGAGTGAATAATTGTAAATAACTTAGAATAGTGCCTGGTATATGGTAAGGCCATACAAGTTACTGATATATAAAAATCTATTTTGTAATCACACCCAAACAAATACCCTAAAAATTTTCACCACTTTTATCTCATCACGTGCATTTTCTAAAATAACAACTCTCAATAAATTTAATTATTCAATTTCTCAAGGTCCATACAAGTGCAGCTGAGGGTAGGTAGCATGCACACACACACACACACACACACACAAAAGAGCACATAAACTCACAAACAAGCACGTTTGTGGAGTAATGTCACTTTGGACATATGATTACTAAATTTACTGGGCTATTGGATTTTTAGACAACCATATTTAACTTCATTCATTCTACTTGTCTCTGAAATGTCTGTCTCCTTATATTACCTTCTTTCTTCAAAATCCTTGACTATCTCATTTCCTACACTCACACTCCACTGCCTACTTTTTCCCCCTGTGAGAAAACAAAATAACCTATATAAGAAATTCTGCAAATCTGCACCTTCCACTCATGTGTGCCTGCACAAGCTATTCTCCTCTTAGACAGCTGAACTCTCCTTGCTCCTAGCTAAGGACAATATTTTCTTTTTTGCATTAAACTATACCTTCTTTTGGATAGTCAGAGACAAATGAATTTGGCAATTCTTTTATCTCATGTGTCAATATTTTTTCCTCTATTACATACCATTCTATTCAGCATAGAAGTACCCAGTTATTTCTTTTCCATATTAGATATGACACAAAGCAAAACAACTCCCCTCCCTTCTCCATGTCTTCATTCTAGCTCGTTGAAAATATGTTTTTCTCTATTCTTTCTTGAATTCATCCAATCAGATTTTTCACCCCTCAACTCTTCCAAGATCCCCAATATCTTCCATCTTAATAATTAGAATCATTAATTCCAAGTCCTGATCTTATTTAGGCCACTAATAACATTGGGCATTCCATCCTTTTGGAAACACTCCCTTTATTTGCTTATGTTACAACAGCATCACTTGATTTTTGTGTTCATTGGCTGTTTGTCCAAAGTCGGTTTTTGTCATTTATTTTTCTCTAACAAAGCAAGCATTTAAATGGTGAACAGATCCAGGCAAAGCCCAGTCATCTTACTGTTTTTCTTTTATATACGTATACAAAATCCTTAGCTGATCTTAACTATTCTCACAGCTTTAAATCCCAATATGGTGATAAATCCCAAGTTTATTTATCCTGTATAGTTTTCTCCTCTGAGATAGAATCCATATTCCGTACTCGCTACTCAAAGTGTCCTCTTTGATGTATAGTAGACACATCACATTCAACACATCCAAAAGTAATCTCTCGAAATATCTGCACAAACTAGCTTTACCACAGTCTTTCCCATTTCAGTAAAGTCAGAACTTCTCAGTTACTCTGATCAAAATATCTTGGAGTTATCCTTAACGATTTTACTTATTTAATTTTTTGTGAGATAAGGTCTTGCTTTGTTGCCCAGGCTGGAGTGCAGGGGTGCGATCATATCTCACCACAATCTGAAACTCCTGGGTTCAGGTAATCCTCCCTCATCAGCCTCCTCAGTAGCTGGGAATATGGAAATCCTTAATTATTTTTTTCTCACATTTGTCAGGTGGCTCACGCCTGTAATCCCCGCACTTTGGGAGGCTGAGGCGGGAGGATCACGAAGTCAGGAGACCAAGACCATCCTGGCTAACAGGGTGAAACCCCGCCTCTACTAAAAATACAAAAAAAAAAAAAATATCCCGGTGTGGTAGCGGGCGCCTGTAGTCCCAGCTACTCGGGAGGCTGAGGCAGGAGAATGGCGTGAACCCGGGAGGTGGAGCTTGCAGTGAGCCGAGATCGCACCGCTGCACTCCAGCCTGGGCAACAGTGTGAGACTCTGTCTCAAAAAAAAAAAAAAGAAAAAAAAGAAAAAGAAAAAGAAAGACAGATATTTTATTGGTTCAACATTGAAAAGCATCCAGAAATAAACAGGCTTTCTGTATCTCCAACCCATTCCCCAGGGTCAACATCCTTGACATCTGTTTACCACCATGTTCGGGACGGCCTCCTAACTGTACTTCCAGCTTCGGATCTCACTCCACTTCACTCTATTTTTAACATGGCAGAAAGAGTAATTCTATTAAAATATAAGACACATTATTTCGCTTCCCTCCTAAAATACCTGCACTAACCACTGATTTTGCTCAGATTGAATGGCAAATTCCTTACAATAGCTTACCAAATTCTATAAGAACTGTCCATCTCTGTGACTGCATCTTCCGTGTATTCTCCCTTTTGATCACTCCTCTCCAGTTCCATTGGTCTCTTCATTATTGCTCAAACACAGTAGGCACAATTCTATCTCAGGGTCTTTGTTCTTAATGACCCCTCTACCTGGAATGCTCTCCTGCATACACACATCTACCCAGATTATCACAGATGACCCCTCAAATCTTTTTAAATATACTCCCCTGGTCAAATCCAACAGTCTCTCTCTTGAAACTTCAATTATTTTTACCTTTACTTTTTCTCCTATAAATTCATATGTTTTACTCATTTATGTTTGTGTTGTTCTACTTGCCAACTAGAATGTGAGCTAAATGAGTGATATAATGGTAGCAACTAGGAAAATACCTGCCATCTAGTGAGCTCTAGTATCAGCCTGTGTCATGGGTAACAAGAAATGGAACGCACACCTAAATTATTATTCCTTGAAGGGCCAAATAGAGGGAATAAAAGAGTGATACAGAGAAAGCCATTTCAGTGGAGTTGTGGCTTAAGTACTAGGTCATGAGGGAAATTCTGCAATGAGGGAGTCAGGAGAGAATACATCATTTGACTGCACTCTCTTTCCCTCTCTGATGACATAACCGAACTTACAATCTCCCATTTTCAACCAGAAGGTGAATAACTAGGGAGCTCTTTGATGCAATAGAGGGAGATCTAGAGAAGCAAATTGAAAATATCTAGCACAGCATTCAATAAATAATGTTGATGAATGCTTCAGTGAATGTCTGGGTAAATGCCTTATGATACACAATTAACCCTATTTCCCTAGATGTGGAATTTCTAAGCACAAGGAAATTTATATATTAATTCTTCATATGAATGTCACAGCATGGCATTCTAAAAATAACGAAAGCAAAACACCACTATTCTACCAACAGTTTTCCCACTTAACTAACCATATTTTTGACATTGTGCTAGTTTCCTACTCCTGTTGTAACTAATTACCACAAAAGGTGATTCTGCAGAACAGTTCTCAAATGATGATCACTGGGAATTGGAATATAAACACACCAGTTTCCTCATCTCTCAAGCAAACTACTCTTAGATATGATCTAAATCATTTCCTGTAAGTCCTCACAGGGTCTAAGAGTCTATTGTTCAGAATGGCGATATGCTTATTAATGTAAACTGTATACCTTTCCTGTTCTTCCATGTTTCACTTGCCCTCTTCCTATAGGTGCCTTTTCAGATTGCTCCCAAATTGCATTCAAATTTTCTGTCTCAAAACCCACTTTTGTGGGACTCCAATATAGGACATACCTGTAATAGTGAAAAGAATAACTCTCATTTGAAAGTGCATACTGTGTGGAGCCTTGACCCCTTGACCAGCATGATGGGTTAATAGTCACATATTAAGGTTTTCCCTAATAATTTTACTTCCATTATTCTGACATGACAGAGTGTGTGTGTGTGTGTGTGTGTGTGAGAGAGAGAGAGAGAGAGAGTGAAAAGTAGGGATGGAGAAAGAGATTTTTAAAAATTACTTACACAATGTTTTATATGTTTATATTTATGTGTATGGTAATGTAGACTAATAAATGAAGAAATTTGCTCCTGCTAGTTCAGTGCTATAGAATGAGAATAACACTGAGAATGTAAGGCACTGCACTCTCATCTTGGTTCTACCATGGTGTTCCTCTTAGACTAAGCAAGTTATATTAATTCAGAGTTTTTCAAACCAAAAAAGTGCATATACTACTCTGGAAGTAAACTTAATCCTCTCAATCCCACCTTTTCAGATTATTTAAAACTTAAAGGAAAATATTACATATGAATCACATCAAAGTAATTAAAACTTCATAAAGAAACACAATCTTGTAGACTCTGAACCTACTTTTAAGATGATTAAATCTCAATAATTTGGACACAGTTTTCTTCGGTAATCAGTCAACATTTTGGTAAATTCTGGACTCATTTTAAAAAATTATTCTATTATATCCTATGCCATAATGGCTGCTATAAATACATAGAAATAGAACATAACAAAATATTCATTTGCTGTATAATTTATAATATGTCATATAGTTTACATAGAGGTAGTATTATTGCATATAGTCACATATTTACACCAACAGCTTAATATCTTAAAACAATTATCATTAATTGAAAAATCGTTACTTAGACGTGATTCAAAAGATACCTGGTTCATTATGCCAATATACCATCTTTTCTCTCTTAAATTCTTTCTTCTTCAGTCATTTGAGTGTATGTTGATTAACTATAACAATTACTTTTAAATGTATTAGGACTTAAAATTGCTTTATTGAATAACTAAACATATTGTTTTCACAAGAGAAATACAATGTTTAACTAATGCAAATGTAAATGTATGTGAAAATTCTCTAGTCTATTGTCTAATTCAGCTGAAGAATTTTGGTCAATTTAAGTTGAAATCTATCACTAATTAAATAGAATTTTTATCTCTGAAATGATAGAACATAGAGAAAGTGTCTTTAATCAACCGACCAGAAGCAGGTTTACTTCTTTTTTTTCCCCAAACTATTGTTAATCAGATCAAAGAGACTTGATATATCTTTGATTAAAGACAGAATAGTTCTTTGCAGATAACTAGTTTACCTTTTGAAGATTCTTAAGCTCATAAGTTAATAATTAAAGAATTGTGGACAAGTATCAATTCTTCATAAAAAGATATGTAAAATATGAACAGCATTAAAAATATATAGGTACAGGAATATGATGTTTAGCTTTCTTAAATTAAACTTGGCTTATATTTGTGTGTGATACAATAATAAAATAAATTAACTTGGCTCTAAATGTATTATTTCCAGGAGATAAACAAAAAATAATTTTCTTCATGTAATGCTTCCCTAATCTTTGATAGATATTTTCTTCACTTTAATAGTTTCTATATCCTTGTCTTTGGAAAACTGATTAAAAGGATGGAAGATATTGAACTTATGATTATATGTATCTAGAGATATATGTGTGTTCAACTGCTAAGTATAAACATGTATATATATATAGATGCATTTAAACAGTCCATTCATTCCATATTTATTCTTAAGGGAGCTATGAGTAAAGCATTAATTAAAAACCTGTTTATTTCTAATAAAATGAAATTTATGACTATGATTCAGGTAATAATTAATTTAGATTTACTATACCCATGATTTAATCTAGATAACCAATCATTGTGTACTATCATGTAAACAGTACTACATTCTAACACAAATCCATCAATTGACACAAAATATGTAAGGCAGCTATGTGTACTTCATGAATTGATTACATTATACCTCAATTTACAGCATCACACTTAAACTCTATTTTGTATTTTGTAGAGAAAAACATCACTTCATTTTACTCCTGATAATTCCTAGTGAAGTATGTTTCGTTTGAATGCTTGGTGTCTCTGAAACAATAGCCTTGCAGATTAAGCAAATAGCACTTTAGTGCAGCTGTTCTCTTACAACTATACGTTTGCATTTTAAAAGCCTTAAATTAATTGAACAGTAGTGATTTAGCTTTGAAAATATGGAGTAAAATCAGATCATTAACAAAGTTGTAAAAAAGAGAAATGTTTGCATTGAGGATTTATAATTCCACTGGAGTCAGGCTACCAGTTAATTTCCTATTTTGTAGACTCTGGACCTATCTTTAAGATGTTTAAAGACACTAGAGAGTAATAAAGAAAAAGTAATATCTAGGTACACTATGCAGTCTGCTTTGGAAAAACATTTACACAAACAAGAAATAGTGTGAGCCTTCCATGTTATCTGAGGACATAGAAATTATAGAAAAACACTGTGGGCTATTAGCAAAAGAAAAGAAAGTTTTAAAAAATTAATTTATCTAATTTATAACTTTCAACAAATGATTTAAACAGCCTACATGAAACTATTTATCATGGCTTTCTGCCAACAAAAGCAACACATACCCATATAAGTGATTTTCCTGGTGTCCTAATGTGCACATCCTGGGGGTAGTGAGGACTGAGGCCCATGACTAATGTGGGAATATAAAAGCCAGACCCTTTGTATGGAGACATAACAATCGTGAAGAGCCATTCAAACTACAGGTATACCTGTAAAATCAGGCTGAGCCACACCTCTTTGTTCAACTTCCTTTTCTATTTGGTTTTGCTTCTATTACCTCCTTGCATGATAGCACTTCCTTAATAAATAATTCATACAGGAACTTCTTCTTCTGTCCCTGATTCTAGGGAACCAAGACCTAAGAAGATCCAGAGGATGAAATTAAACATTTAAAGTATACATATTATAGAATGGCCTCTAAAGTAAACTATGCCTAATTATTTTAAGAATATTCTTTATAGTTTTATTTCCATGTATCAATAAATATGTGGATATTATTTCTTTCAACATTGCATTATACTGCCCTTACTGCTTAAGAACATGATTCCGATGAAGTTATTTTTCTCAAAATAACTATTTCGTTTAAGAGTAGCCTTAGATTTATAGAAAAATTCTGAAGATACTACAGATCCACATTTAACATCTATTGTTAACATATTACTAACATAATTTTGATATTACTCTAGGTACTTCAGCAGTTTTAAAATTCATGTTAACATGGCATTTCTTTCTATATTCCTTTACTTTTAACCCATCTGTGTCTTTATATTTAAAGTGGATTTCTCGTAGACAATATAGAATTGGTTCATAATTTGTATGTGCTATAACAATCTCTGTCTTTTAACTGGCATATTTAGACCATTCACATTTATAGTGTTTGTAACTGATACATATTCATTGCGTTTGCTTTTGTTTCTTTTCTCTCTTTTTCTGCCCTCTGGGGTTTTAATTTCACATTTTATATGATTCCATTTCATTTCCTCTCTTAACATTATATTTTTATTTCCCTTTTTTTAGCTGTTGCCCTACAGTTATAATTTACATTTTAAATAATCTAAGTCCACCCTTAAGTGATATTATACCACTTCCCATGTACTGCAGATACCATGTGATAGAATATTACCAATTCCTCCCCACTATCTTTTGTGACATTACTGTCATTCATTTCACTTATCCATATGCTATCATTACTTAGTACATTCTTATTATTAATGCCTTAAACAAACAGTAGTTATTTGTACATTCTTACTTATTAATGTTGTAAACAAACACTAGTTGTTTTAGGTCAACTAAACAGCTAGTGTTTGTTTAGTTCAGGAATAAGAAAAATAAAGGATTTTATTTCATTTAATTCATTTCCAAAGGTCTTCCTTTCTCTATGTACCTGAGTTTCTGACCTACATAATTTTCCTTATGTCTAAAAAACTTATCATCTCCTTCAGGGAAAGATTACTGGTAATGAATTTATTCATTTTTTCCTTGAGAAAGGCTTTATCCTTCTGTTTTGAAGAATAATTTCACTGGATATACAATTATAAATTGTTGGGGTTTTTTTCTTTTAATGTGATAAATAATTCATTCCACTCTCTCATTGCTTTGCGTGACTTATAGCAAGAAATTCCCTGTAATTCCTATTTCTGTTCTGTAGGTGACATGCCTACCATCCCTTACCTCCCCTGTCTTTCAAAATTTTCTCTTTGTTTCTTGTTTTCTAAGTTTTGAAAACAATATATCCTTGGTGTGGCATTTATGTTTCTTTGTTTCTTATATTTATCCTGCATGGTGTTCTCTGAGCTTACTGAATTTGTTGTTTGGTGTTTGTCATTAATTTTAAAATGGTCTCGGCCATTATTACTTCAAATATTTCCTCCAGATTGTTCTTTGCTTTTCCTTCTGGTATTACAGTGATGATATATTATACCTTTTATTGGACTACAGTTCTTAGATACACTGTTTTTTTGTTGTTATTTGTTTTTTTCTCTCTTTTACATTTATTTGGGGAGGAAATTTTTATTCGATTATTTTAAATTAAATTCTTTCTTTTCTCAGCTATGTTGAGTTTATTGATAAGCCCTCAAAGGTATTCTTCATTTCTATTACAGTGTTTTAAATTTCCAGCATTTTCTTACCATTTTTCTTTAGAATTTCACCTTTCTACTTACATTGCTCATTCACTCATGCATATTGAATTATTTTTTCTACTAAATCATTTAACATATTCATAATAGTTATTTTAAATTCTCTACTGATAATTCTAACATGAGTGTCATATCTGAATCTGGTTCAGATGCTTGTTTTGCTCTTCAGACTATGTTCTCTCTTGCTTTTGTCATGCCTTCCAACTTGGTAACATTTTTGTTGAAAGTAAGATATGATGTTTTGGTGATAAGTGCTGAAGCAAACAGGCCTGTAGTGTGCTAAGCGTTGGGCTGTGTTTAATATTTGTGGTAGCTGTCAGTTCCAGAAGTCTTTCATTCTCCCAATGGCCTTGTTTTTGTCCTCCTTCTTGACTTTGAACTTCCCTAAGTACTTTTTTTCTAAGAGAGGCTGTATCTTACTTCTTTTCAGCTATAATCCACTACTTTTACACTGGAGCCCTACTATATCGTTGTAAACTGTGGGAAAGGAGAAGTGTTCTGTAATTTTCTGATCACATCTCAGTCTTTTAATGGTCTTATGTCTTGGGGCTGTGACCTTCAAAGTGTTTCTGCCCCCTATGAAATAGCTTAGCTCTCCTTCCTCCAAATTCGTTCCCTGGCTGCAGTATCCTCTGTCCTTCACTTTCAAGCCTAGACTTGTGAGGTTTAGGCCTTCATGAGACAGGAAGAATAGAAGGGGCTGAAGTAGTATAATTCAACTTCTTCCAATTGAGATAACCCTCAATGCCTAAACTGCCAAAGTTTTCTCCTCCAGAAGACTATGTTTGCTGTGGAGAAGGCTCGGATATATTTCACAATGATTACTCTCACCCTCTTCCTTCTGGAGATATAGAGAAGAATATATAGGATCTTCCTTATGAGCCTCTGGTGTTTTTTCTGGAGGTAAAGCCCCACAAGCATATGGAGACAACTCTGAGACTGCTGTCCTCAGGCGTTACTTTTTTTTTTATTTTAACACGAATATACATTCATCCTACAGCTGTTCATCAAAATTACCATTTTTTTATACTTTAAGTTTTAGGGTACATGTGCACATCGTGCGGGTTAGTTACATATGTACACATGTGCCATGTTGGTGTGCTGCACCCATTAACTCGTCATTTAACATTAGGTATATCTCCTAATGCTATCCCTCCCCTGTACACCCACCCCACAACAGGCCCCAGTGTGTGATGTTCCCCTTCCTGTGTCCATGTGTTCTCATTGTTCAATTCCCACCTATGAGTGAGAACATGCGGTGTTTGGTTTTTTGTCCTTGCAATAGTTTGCTGAGAATGATGGTTTCCAGCTTCATCCATGCCCCTACAAAGGACATGAACTCATCATTTTTTATGGCTACATAGTATTCCATGGTGTATATGTGCCACATTTTCTTAATCCAGTCTATCATTGTTGGACATTTGGCTTGGTTCCAAGTCTTTGCTATTGTGAATAGTGCCGCAATAAACATACCATTTAAATATTCCTACCAGTTATGATTTCAGCAGCATCTGCTCCAGATAGGCAGATCTTAGCTAAGGCTCACTGGATGATCCTGTAGCTCCAAATTTCAGACTGGACAGTTCTGCCACCTGAGTTCTCTTATGGGTTTAGGAAAAGCTGGTAACTTTTAGTTTGTCCCATTTCTTGTTGTAAGGAAAAGGGTACTCACTTTTTTTTTACATGAAGCTGAAACCAGAAGTGATATAGTAATTATTTTAGGTGATTTTTTTTCTTTCTTCCTATAGTATGAAATGTGGTCATATTTGTAAATACCATATATATTTTCTCAATTTTATAGCACAATATCTTCTTTAAATTCTAAGGTATTATACATTGTTAAGGTCAACTATTCCTATATAACAGATCAGCTACACATTATGTTCTTACTTTTGTGTTGTTTATTTCTAAGCTTTATGGAGAATGTGTAAATAGTTTAGTTTATATTACACATTGAAACATAAAGCCAGTAATATGGGGATATAAGGAAATTTATCGGCTATGAAAAAGATTAATGCATTCTGCAATAATATTCACAGAATGATTTTTTTCTAAAATTATTCAGAATATTCAACTAAATTCTGTATAGTACTAGAATTGTAAATTATAAGCAGTTAGAAAAATTAGAAATCAAATGAAATTATTAAGAATGTGGAGAAATGGATTTACCTATAAAGATGAAACTCTTGCCTAGCTAAGTATCAACAAAGGGGTTAAGTCTTGATAAGCACATTTATGTTGTAAAATACAATGTATAGTTTAGGAGAATAAAGATTATCCTGACCGTATGAATAAAAATCAAAATTAAAATGAATTAAAATCAAAATAAATCAAGTGAATGTATAAGAATATGGAATCTATTTACAGGTAGATGTTGAAATGTAACACACTTAGTAAGATAATATAAAAATGACAAAAACTACGGAAAAAACCTTGGACAGATTGATCATCCCTTATCTAAAATGCTTGGGACCAGAAGAGTTTCAGATTGTGTATATTTTTGGAAATGTTTATATATAAATAATGAGATATCTTAACACTGAGATGCAAAGCTAAACATGAAATTTATTTAGGTTTCATACATACCTTACACATATAGCCTAAAGGTAATTTTATACAATATTTTAAATAATTTTGTACATGAAACAAAATTTTGACTGTATTTTGACTGTGACCTGTCACGAGAGGCCAGCTGTGGAATTTTTCACTTGTGGTGTTCTGTCAGTGTTCAAAAAGTTTTGAATTTGGGATGGAGCATTTGGGATTTTAGATTTCAGATTAAGGATGCTCAATATGTAGTGATCTCTGAAGTGTTAGATTGATAGTGTTTTTTTTCCAAATTTCTGTTTCTTCTTTCTTGTAGGTATTTTTAATGAAAAAACATTCATAAGTGTTTGCTCTTTTCAAAACTACATGTAGCTTATTTTGTAAAAAGTTGTGACACTAGCCCTCAAGAAATATCCAACTGGGAAAACAAAATAAAGCTCTTTAAATTATATATATACACATATATATATATACATATATATATACACATATATATATATACATATATATATACACATATATATATATATATATAAGTGTAAACAAAAATATCGTTTTCAGGATGTACATATATACCCATGGGGAAGCAGCAAGTGCATGCGTGGGGATGTGACTGTGTTACAAATTGAATTTAAATGTAAGGACTCCCACTAATTTGCAGTCTAACTTTATATTCAGAAACGTGTTGTAATCTAATTTATAGTTTTCTTCAAAATAAATTATAATGCTTTAAAGTTGGAATATAAAATGTTTTGGTATTACTATTTAAAAATGTCTACATCGTTCTATTTCCTTGTGTTTTTGGGGGTGTTTTTTCACCCTTTCCACTCATGCTTTTAAAAGTGATGATTAAGCAAGTGCATATTTGTGATTCTATTTTGCACTGAAAGTTGTGGCTGAGCATCATAAAGTACATAACATAAACCAACCGTTACTCAAGTGACTTACCTTACCTAAGGATTTTAAACAAATATTTGTAAAACAACAGTGGGTATCACAAGCAGCTTAAAATGAAAGCCTGATTTTCAGACTCTATCAAGTGCAAGACAACAGGAGTTTTCAGAATGGGGTTTACATACTTCTGGGGATTTCAAAAACTTTCTGGGACGTATAAATATAGAAAATATTAAGCTATTAATATCAGAGCTTCAATTTCTCTTATACTTTTCTTAAAATTAATCTGCTTGAAAGGTCACCCTTTAACTCATTTTCTAAAGAAAGACACTTCTTATTAATTCTTAGTCTAGGCATTGCTATCTATGTAATAGGTACTAGCACACCAGTCAACTAAACAAAACATCATAACACACTGACATTAGTATTGAAAAACTATGTGATAATTTTTTTTAATTTTATTTTATTATTATTATACTTTAACTTTTAGGGTACATGTGCACAATATTCAGGTTAGTTACATATGTATACATGTGCCATGCTGGTGTGCTGCACCCATTAACTCATCATTTAGCATTAGGTATATCTCCTAATGCTATCCCTCCCCCCTCCCCCCTCCCCCCACCACACAACAGTCCCCAGGGTGTGATGTTCCCCTTCCTGTGTCCATGTGTTCTCATTGTTCAATTCCCACCTATGAGTGAGAACATGCGGTGCTTGGTTTTTTGTCCTTGCGATAGTTTACTGAGAATGATGATTTCCAATTTCATCCATGTCCCTACAAAGGACATGAACTCATCCTTTTTTATGGCTGCATAGTATTCCATGGTGTATATGTGCCACATTTCCTTAATCCAGTCTATCGTTGTTGGACATTTGGGTTGGTTCTAAGTCTTTGCTATTGTGAATAGTGCCACAATAAACATAAGTGTGCGTGTGTCTTTATAGCAGCATGATTTATAGTCCTTTGGGTATATACCCAGTAATGGGATGGCTGGGTCAAATGGTATTTCTAGTTCTAGATCCCTGAGGAATCGCCACACCGACTTCCACAATGGTTGAATTAGTTTACAGTCCCACCAACAGTGTAAAAGTGTTCCTATTTCTCCACATCCTCTCCAGCACCTGTTGTTTCCTGACTTTTTAATGATTGCCATTCTAACTGGTGTGAGATAGTATCTCACCGTGGTTTTGATTTGCATTTCTCTGATGGCCAGTGATGGTGAGCATTTTTTCATGTGTTTTTTGGCTGCATAAATGTCTTCTTTTGAGAAGTGTCTGTTCATGTCCTTCACCCACTTTTTGATGGAGTTGTTTGTTTTTTTCTTATAAATTTTTTTGAGTTCATTGTAGATTCTGGATATTAGCCCTTTGACAGATGAGTAGGTTGCGAAAATTTTCTAGTGAAAATGGTGAAATTAAAACTCCTACCAATGCAGGTGAGCACAGTTCTCTGCATCAGGTAGTAAGAGACTCCTTCATTTATGTATCTCCAGTCGTCAGCTCTGTATTTCACAAATTAGAAATTGATAAACAGAAATGGCTACTGTAGTGGAAGTTGAGCTTACCGTTATCTGTAGTTGCATTAGTAACTGGATTTCCCAGGCAAGGTTGGAAGGAAATCCCAACTGGAATGAATAAGCCAGTAAAAATGTCCAAGTAATAATGACAGCTTAGTTTTAAGAGGCAAAAGGACTAAAAACAAGACTGTGACAATATAAACAAAGATTAAAGATGATGTCTGCTTATGTAAATGTCTCTAGCAAAAGAAACTACAGGCCTGGGTTCTAATGTGGTTAAATAACTGCTGCTCATCTTGACTTCATCTTTTATATCATGCTTTTTCTGAATTAAACTCCTGACAAAAAAAAAAAAAAGAAAATCTATGTGATAATTACTAGGAAACAAACTTGTGTGTAAGAAGAGTGGTTTCCAACTCTTTGCTTAGGACAAATTTGAGATAAAACCTGATTAAATTATTAACTAACAAAATGTAGAGTCTATTTCTGATGACAGAGTACAGTATGATTTTAACTTTTAAATCAGTAGGGGTTTCAATAATGTGGGGCATTGCTACATCCCAACGTTTTCTTTTCTCTTTTACTTATTTACATGAAGAAATTTTCTCAGGTGTTATGGTAATAAAGTTAAAAAGTAAGAATAGAAATAATGCCAAATTTCTTATCCAACTAATGAGTAATATTTACTCAGAGATGCATAAACAAAATTTTCAAAGGCTTATTCTTTTAACTAAGATGCATTTTGAAAAACGTTTGTTCATATTTAATAATTGGTTAGACAGGCTATAAGTGCATATTTGACTAAATTATTTTAATTTTACAATTTAATCCAGAACTAATAATTATTACAATTTAATCCAGAAAATAGATTATTTTAGCACTTGACTCATAATTACATGAAATTAAAAGAATGTATGTGTATATATACATATATTAATGTGTAAACATATATATACACATATACATATAAACATACATATTTTTATATGCCATTTTATTGCATTTTGCAGATATTGTATTTTTTGCAAGTTGGAGGTTTATGGCAACCCTGCATTGAACAGTTCTGCCAGTGCCGTATTGCCAAAAATATGCACTTCACTTAACTGGCAGGGGAGATACCGTGATCAGGAAGGTGGTTTTCCCAGGGTGAGGTTTATCCATTGCACGATAAATGTGCTCACTTTGTGTCTTTGTGTTGCCTTTTGGTCATTCTTACAATACTTCAAAACTTTTTTATTAATTTTATATCTGTTATGGTGATCTGTGATTAGTAATCCTTGATGGTACCATTGATGAAAGTCAAAATTACAACAAATTTAGATTAAAGATATGAATCAGCTTTATTTGCAATTCTAGAATCAGGCAACATTTCATTCTATAAAATAGAATAAGTCTTCCAATGAGTTGAGCAGAAGAAGTTGGCTTTACAGACAGAAAAGGGATTAAAAAAGCCGAAGCAAAGAACAGAGTGTATTAGTTACTTTGGACAGAACAATAGGAACATAAATTATTAGTTAACATCGAGTTACCTCAGGATATCTTTTTTATGTGCATAAGAATTAAAGCAGAGGAAACTTCATTGTCATGCCAGTTGAAGACTTCATATTGGTCAGTTTGGGAAAATTAGCTGTTATATCTCTCTCCTAATATGTGGGAAGGTCGGATAACAACTTAGTTTAGGTTTGATGACATGGAACTTTAGCATGAGTGACTCCATTTTAATTTTTAGTTTGGTCTGTTGGACCTAGTACAGGAATTTAGTCCAAAACAATGGCCTTCTATAATTTTTATTTAAGACTATTCTAATAGTTCTGAGGCACCATGAAGCATTCCTGTACAAAACTGCTAGCTTAATTGACAAATGTGTGTGTTCTGACTGCGCCACTTAGTGAGAAAGCCTAGTGAGAAAGGCGTCAGCTGAAAGCTAGGCTTCTTGCACCGCTTAGCCAAGCTGAGAATGCAAAGGATAAGTTATTGAAGGAAATTAAAAGGGCTACACCAGTGAACATGTGAATGATAAGAAAATAAAACAAACTTATTGCTAATATGGAGAATGTGGTCTGGATAGAAGATCAAACCTGTCAAAACATTCCCTTAAGCCAAAGCCTAATCCAGAGCAAAGCCCTACCTCTCTTCAATGAATTCTATAAGGGCTAAAAGAGGTGATGAAGCAGCAGAAGAAAAGTTTGAGGATAGCAGAGGTTGGTTCATGAAGTTTAAGGAAAGAAGCTGTCTCCATAACATAAAAGTGCAAAGTGAAGCAAGAATTTTTGTAGAAAGTGCATGGCAGTAAATTCATCTAGCTAAGATCATGGACGAAGGTGGCTACACTAAATGAAAGATTTTCAGTGTAGACAAAACAGCCTTATGTTGGAAGAAATGTCATCTGGGACTTTCATAGCTAGAAAGGAGAAGTCAATACCTGGCTTCAAAGAGGCTGACTCTCTTATTAGGGGCTAATGCAACTGATAGCTTTAAGTTAAAGCCAATGCTCATTTATCATTCCATAAAACCTAGGGCCCTTAGAATTATGCTTAATTTACTCTGTCTGTGCTCTATAAATGGAGCAACAAAGCCAAGAAAATAGCATGTATGTTTACAGCATAGTTCATTGAATATTTAAAGCTCATTTTTGAGACTTACTGCCCAGAAAAAAAGATTCCTTTCAAAAGACTGACAAGTCACCTGGTCACCCAAGAGCTCTGGTGAAGATGTACAAAAAGATTATTGTTTTCATGACTGCTAACACAACAGCCATCCTGCAGCCCATGAATAAAGTAATACTTTGAATTTCAAGTCTTATTATTTAAGAAATACATTTCATAAGGCTACAGCTGCCATAGATAGTGATTTCTCTAATGGATCCAGGTGTCAATTGAAAACCTGCTGGAAATAATTCACCATTCTACATGCCATCAAGAGCACTCATAATTCATGGGAGGAGGTCAAAATATCAACATTAACTGGAGTTTGGAGTTTGTAAGAAGTTGATTCCAACTCTCATGAATAAGTTTGATTGTTTCAAGGCTTCAGTGGAGGAAGTAACTGCAGGTAGTGGGAAAATAGCAAGAGAACTAGAATTAGAAGTCAAGCCAAAGATGTGATTGACTTGCTGAATTTTATGATAAAACTTGAATGGATGAGGATTGCTTCTTACGTGTGAGCAAAGAAAGTAGTTTTTTGTAATGGAAGCTACTCCTAGTGAAGATGCTGTGAATATTGTTGAAATGACAACAGAAGATTTAGAATCTTACATAAACTTAGTAAAATATTATACAGTTTGTAAATTATTTAAATAGTAGTTACGCAAAATATTTGAAGCCATTTCTACCAACGGTAGGAGAAGGACATACATCTGGTGTGAAGAGGGTAGAGATGAAATAAGACATATTCGTTGAAGAAATGATGCAATTAATCTGTTTCTGAAGCAGAGTGATGGGTATAAACGTGGTAATAGAAAAGAGCACAGAGACTATAAGGAGATTCAAGAAAAAGTTGGAAAGTATGTTGGAAATATTTGGCATTGAGACTGGAAAATTGGTCATGCAGAATCATGGAATTACTTTAAAATTAAATTAAAAGCTTTTGGTTTGATTTCTGAATAGGTTAATAAGTACAGAAAGTTTTACAGTTTGAAAGTCAGAAGTTATAGATCCTATATTTATAGGATTATATATTAAAATTTATGTTGTGTTTATATTATATTAATAACTATAATATTAGAAATTGTGTGACAACAAAAGTATAATACTGTGATTATAATTTAGGTTGGTGCAAATGTAATTGCGGGTTTTCCATCAACCTAATGTTAGTTTTTAGCATAATTGAAAAATTTGTGCATTTTTATCCTACTTGTAAGAAAGTGCTAAGACAGCTTTATGTTACATGGGTTAAAAGGGAATATTGCATTTTTATTTTCAAGTGATAATTTCATTATAACCTTCAAGATCATCTTCTGTCAGTTTTGGAAAAGACACATACATTACCGAAATAAATGATGGACAGGCTGAAATATTTGAGAGATATAAATCATAAAAAAGGAAAGTTGAAGAGAAGTAAAGGTATTAAAAGTGCCATTGATTACTATAAGTAATAGCAGATTTCAAACATTGTAATAAGTGAATCCTCAGGACTACCAGCATTTACATATGGAAGTTAGGATCACATGCTGTTTGAATCTACATTTGTACCTGATATCTATCACATTCCTTATGGCATTTTCCATCACACGTGTTTATATGACATAGAGTTGCTAACACTAAACGTGTTTAACCTAGTGTTTAATACAAGTTAAATTTGCTAACTATGTTATGATATACATATTATCATAATTCATTGCAACAGCTTTTTACCCAAGATGTAGGTCACTGAGATGGAAAATGTGTTGCGCTAAGTTGTCCGAGATGTAGAATAAGGATTATGGCAGTCCAAGAGACATTACTTTAATGATCTTACATGTTTGATACAGTTAACAATTTTCGACAAGTTTTTGGACAAAAACTCCTTATTGGTATAATTGCTATTTTTTTAAATCCAGCATACACGATCACTATGTTATAAGAAAATCACATGGTTTTAGGTGAAGACCCATTCATTGATTTACTCCAATTTACTTGATATGCCAGTGTTTAATTTTGTTGAGCCAAAATATTTCTTTAAAAATAGCTCCAGAGGAGTGATTTCAGCCATATGGCTGGAACCAAGAAGTTCCAGGCCCTCTTATACCAGAGGCATTAAAATAATAATAATAAAAACAAAACAGAAACGTTAAAATAAAATAAAAAACTAGAGACTGGCTAAAATAACTTTATAGGAACTCAGAAAAACAGCCAAAGGTCTACAACAAACAAATAAATATCCAACTAAGAAAAAGCCACATTCAAAAAAATAGGAAAATTCATGGTGTTTTTACTAGCCCTAACCCCAACCCATCCCCAGCTCAGAGCAGTGGGGTTTCGGGAACTAGCTCCCAGTTCCCTCCCTATATTCTGTTTCCTGAATCAGTATTTTCTATGTAGACCTTTTGTTAATATTAAGTTGTCATTTCAAATGACTTATAACATGGGTTTTTTTTTAACAAGTTGACAATTCTAAGACTGAAAACTTGAAATACTTTGTTGTTATTCTGAGAGCCTTAAGTTAGATAGATTGATATGAATATGAAGAAAGATAAGGAAATAATGATGTGTATAAAGAAATGTTACTATTTAAAATATACTGCAGATATATAAAAATAACAATAGAGACAGAAATTTGAAGAAAATTTTGGGCTTTAAAATCCTCATAATTATTCACTTAAGCAGTTAGGTGACATTAATTCACTTAAAGTCTAAACAATTAAACAGTTTTGGCCTTGGTTCGTTTCACTATAACTTCGATTTGATTCAGTATAAGCTACTTAAAAGCAGGGAAATTATAAGTAGATGACATATTGAGGCTATTATCAGAATTGATATGTTACATGTTATATTTATTTCTACATAATTATAGTGTTGACTTAAACGTCTTGAACTTTTTTTCCTCTTTTAGTCCTTTTATTCCCCTTAGAGTTTCATAGCTCCTGTGTGCACTTCAAGGCACAGCTGCTGCTAGAAACTCAGGTGAAGGCTATGTGAGAGGGCACGTATTTAAAAATCTATCTTTAGTTCAGAAATAAAGCCCTCTTCACAGGGTCTTACCCTCACCATTCTTACTTTTCATTCAATTATAGTGGCTTTGTAAATAGAACCCTAAAGGAAAGTCCTGGCCTCAATGTTGATTTATGTTATACACTGCAGAAGTTACAAACTTAGTTTTATATTTCTTATGTTTAAGATACAGTATCCAGCAATTTACGTCTCCTATAAAAGGCCAAATAACTTAGTTAATTGCAGTGCTTAAGGCAATCAATAATATTAACCAAGCATCAAGATGATTTTGTACATGTGGGTATGACTATAGAAATACTTTAAGCTTTGCAGCAACTGGGTAAGTGGAGATAATACTGAACTTGAATTTCATGGAATTATTTCAATAGAGTTATCTTGGTGCATTTGCTTAGGAACACCTTCATGTATTTTCTTTGTGAACAACGTTTAGCCCCTCTCCCAGTTTCTAAACTATCCGTTAGGCCTACTCAGTGTTTCTACAAGGAATTAGTATTTGTTTCTTTACTAAATCGGAAAGGATTTTCTTTCCCCATGTATATTAATAAATTTAAACATAAATTTTATTTTTTGTATTTACAGATGTTATTGCATTTTCATCTAAAAATGTTTAGTAAGAATTAAACATTGCTAATGAGAATCGCAATGGTAGAATATCAACTGCTAATCTTTTTTACTTTTTAAAAAATATAATCAAGATTATGAAATTATCTGTAGCATTTGATTCTTCCAAATTTTGTTTTCCTTTCCTTCACAGTTTAAGGCCCATCTGTGGATTCAGGCTTTTGCCTAATAAATATGGGAAAGAGGCAGGTGTGAATCCGTAGACTGGAAACTCAGAGAGGAAAAGATTGATGTGCTGATTTGGTTTTGTATACCTGCCCAAAAGCTGAGGGATGAGTGTAATCTAATGATCATAAATAATAGACACCGTCGTCAGCTGGGGTGGGAAAGGAAATGGTGGTAATCTCCATCAGAGGGAGGAGAACCAGCTGTTGCTGCTACTTCTGATCAGAATTAGAGGAAAGCTCTTTCCAAACCATCCAAGAAGAGCTGGGAAGGACAATGAGTATCTGTCTCTTTCACAAAAAAGTTAGCTTCCTAAGTCAAACAAAATCAAAACTTTTTTTCCAATGCACGTAGAAACTGGAGAGTACTGTTATAGTACAAGGGAAAATAGATTTATGAGAAATTCATCAATACTTCTCCCAGTCTCTTTTAAAAGGTTTAATGATTCTCTTATGTTTTCTTCTTTTCCAGAGGCATAGGATGCTGAAACCAAGCTTCCTTCTTTCCAGGACAGTTAATGGCAAATTATTCATAGTCACATATAGATTATTTAATAAATACTAATAAAAATTTGTTTTAATTACTTGGGTTATTGTTAGTTCAGTCATCACAACTATGAAATAATAAAAATACTTCTAGAATTATAAAAATAATATGTTTAATTGGTGTTTTATATAACTCTTAAAGATTTTTCATATATAGTTCACTGTTTTGTCATTACAACCAATATTGGAAGTTGGTAAGGTATGTATTATAACCAGTTAACAGCAAATCAAGAGGAAATAGAAGTTAAAATAGATAAAATAAAATAGAAGGGAAATAGATACTCAAATATATGCTTGGATCAAAAGAGAACTATAACTTTGAAAGTCATACAATATGAGTAATTACTGAAAGAGTCTATGTTAAATGTTATCTGGGTCTCCTGAGATCTTTAGTATTTCCATATCCTCTTTCACATTGTTTAATGTAATACAGTTTTTAAATCTATGCTTAGCATTCATTCCTTTTATTACAGCCTGTCATTTTCCCTTACAAATGACAATGAGTCTCATATTTATCCTTTCAGATAATTAAAGATGCCTCAGAAAAGATCTCTATACTATGATTTAGACTAACATTTACATATTCATAAACACTTCAGTGAGAAGTGGTAACTTGTTTTTGCTTTCAAATGAAATTCAATTTCCATGTTGACTCTGCACAAACACTTGAAATGCATTAACAATGTATTAACTTGGATTGAAACATATATTTCTACATATTTCAGAGTAGCTACTAAAATTGGTCACTTTTGAACAACCAATGAAGAAAACTATGTTGCAATCAAAAAGTATTTGTCATAATGCTTCGTTAAAGCAAATGCATCATGTTAAGACAATATTAGCCATCAGACTGGGTTTCAACTCATTACTAACATGTCAAAAGTATGAAGGGAAATAGATACTCAAATATATACTTGGATCAAAAGAGAACTATAACTTTGAAAGTCATGCAACTTTAAAAGGGAACCTTGTTCTATCTTTGTGGTTTGCGTTTGCTGTTTAAAAATAAATAATCTTCTTGAAAGTCAGATGTCATTCACAAAATAATAAAATAACCAAGAATTATGTATTAGAGAGAACAGGAATATCCTTTGCTTCTAAATATTTTACGCATATAGCAATATATATTAGTGGTTCAAAGAATTTTTCAGTTGTTACAAGTGGTTATTATATATTTAGTTATTTAGCACAAAGCACAGTGTTTTGTTTTGTTTTGTTTTGTTTTGAGATGGAGTCTCGCTCTGTCGCCCAGGCTGTAGTGCAGTGGCGCGATCTTGGCCCACTGCAACCTCCGCCTCCTGGGTTCATGCCATTCTCCTGCCTCAGCCTCCCGATTAGCTGGGACTACAGGTGCCCGCCACCACGCCCAGCTAATTTTTTGTATTTTTTTAGTAGAGACGGGGTTTCAACGTGTTAGCCAGGATGGTCTCGATTCCTGACCTCGTGATCCACCCGCCTCAGCCTCCCAACGTGCTGGGATTACAGGCGTGAGCCACCGCGCCTGGCCACAAAGCACATTTTTACTATGTAGTGCTTTGATTTCATGAATCATACAGAAACTTCTGTGACACAGTATGTTGCTAAATTAATGTTTTGATTTAGTGAGTTTTGAAAACATTATTTTTAAAATTAAAGTAGCATATTAACAAGTCTTACTTTGGATTTAACTAAGATTTGGTTTCAAGTCAAGTCAAGCAAGTTCACGTGTTGTAAATGTATTTAAAATTATTAAGTTGTTTTGGAATAGGTAATATACACAAAGATAAATTAAAATTCAATCTACACAGGTGTTAATCTGTTGAACAGTAAACCTTCCACTGGCCTTGTTTCCCTTGGGACTCAAATTTTCATAGTTGTTACCATAGGGGTAAAAATTATTGAGACTTTGCTTGAGTATTAGCCCAGCTATTATCATTTATCTTTTCCTTTTGTCTTTCCATCCCAGGTGCTATACATCACAGACTTTGTTCTACAAGTTGCTTTTTCATGTGGTATTATACTTGGGAGTAGTTTTCACCTCCCTGGCAGCAGTGACACACGATTTTTGTCTATTTGTTTTAGTTTGCATTATTTTCTTTGTTTCATAGTATTCTACTGCGTGAACATATACATTATTAAATCAGTTTTCTGTTGATGAACATTAAATTTGTTCATAATATTCTGTTACTACAAATATATTTCAATGAATGACATTATAAATACCTATTTTTACATGTGTGCCCATGGGATCAATGCTATGTGTAAAATAATGCCTAAAAATTGAGTTGCTAAATCAATTCAAGTGATATTAATTGTAATTATAATTATGACAAGTTGTAACCTTGAGAGTTATTAAGTAATTACTTGGAAAAAATGTATAGGAACGTTCCTTTCCTCATATACTGAGCATCACAATATTATCTCATTTAACTCTGAGATTATATCACATTTTGACATTATCTCATTTCTAGTGAAAAAATAAATCTCATGACTGTATTTTGGAAATAATGTATTAGCAATTAAAATTAGGATTTTTTAAAGTTATTTGTATTTATTTTTTCCTATGATCTGTCAGACAAGTCCCCAGTCATTTTTTAAATATTTTATGTTTATTTAATTTTTAGTTTTCATGGATAGGTAATAGTTGTATATTTTTATGGAGTGCATGTAATATTTTGATACAACCATACAATGTGTAATAATCAAATTAGGGTAATTGCTATATCTATCACTTAAAACATTTATCACTTTTTGAGTTGAGAAAACATTGAAAATCCACTCCTCTAATTATTTTGAAATACACAATAAATTATTGTTAACTATAGTCACCCTGCATTGCTACCAAAGGCTGGAACTTATTCCATCTGCTTGTATTTTTGTACCCATTTACCAATTTATCTTTAGGACTTCTGCCTCACTACCCTTACAAGCCTCTGGTCACCCTCATTCCACTCTCTACTTCCATGAGATCAACTTTTTTGGCACTCACATATGAGTGACAATATGCAGTACTTGTCTTTCTATGCCTGCATCACCTTTATTAAAAAGTAGAAATAACTCAAATAAAAATTTTAACAATGCACCTTAAAGAACTAGAAATGCAAGAAGAAATCAAACCCAAAATTGGTAAAAGGAAAGAAATAATAAAGATCAGAGAAGAACAAATGAAATAGAGACTAAAAATTACAAAGGATCAACAAAATGCAGTGTTGGTTTGTTAAAAAGATAAATACAATTGATAAATAGCTAGCCAGACTAACCAAGAAAAAATAGAGGACAAAAAATGAGAAATAAAAAGGCAATATTACAACTTCCATCAAAGTAAAAAAAAGTCATTAGAGATTATTATGAACAACTATATGCTAACAAATTTTAAAACCTAGAAGAAATGGATAAGTTCCTGGACACAGACAACCTACCAAGATTGAATCAGGAAGAAATAGAAAGCCTAAATAGACTAATAATGAGTCACAAGACTATCAGTAGTAAACATCTTCATCAAACAAAAGCCCAGGACCACATGGCTTTATGATAGAATTCTATCAAACTTGTAAAGAAGAACTTATACCAATTCTTGTCTATTAATAAAAAAATGGAGGAGGAGGGACTTCTTCCTAATTCATTCTATGAGGTCACTATTACCCTGAAAGCAAGTTACATAGGGATTCTATAATGACTAAAAGAAAACTTCAGGCCAATATCCTGATGAACATAGATGCAAAAATTCTCAAGAAAATACTAGCATACTGAATCCAACAATAATTTGAAAAGATAATACACCATGATCAAGTGGTATTTATCCCTGGGATACAAGAATGGCTCAACATATGCACATCAACAAACATGATACATCAAATCAATAGGGTAAAGGACAAAAACCATAGGATTACCTCAATAGATGTATAAAAGGCATTTCATAATATTCAAATTTCCTTCATGATAGAAATTCTCAACAAATTAGGCATAAAAGGAACATACCTCAACATAATTAAGGCCATATATTACAAATCCACAGCTAACATTATACTGAAAGGGAAAAAGCTGAAAGCCTTTCTGCTAAGAACTAGAACAAGACAAACATCCACCATCACCACTGTCATTTAATGTAATACTGAAAATCCTAGCTTGAGCAATACAGACAAGAAAAAGAAATACCATGCAGTCAAACTGGAAAAGAGGAAGTCAAATTGTCCTTCTTTGAAGACAACATAAACTCATAAAAAAACCTAAAGGCTTCACCAAAACACTCTTAGAACTGATAAATTGTGTAAAGTTGCAGAATACAAAATCAACATATAAATATCAGTAGCATTTCTATACACCAATAATGGGTCAGCTGAAAAAGAAATCAAGAAGACAATCCCATTTACGATAGCTACAAAAGATTAAATACTTAGGAATAAATATAACCAAGGAAGTGAAGACCTGTATAAGAAAAACCACAAAACACTAATGAAAGAAATTGAAGAAAACACAAACAAGTGGAAAAATATCCCATGCTCATGTTCACAAGAATTGATATTGTTAAAATGCCCATCCTCCCCAAAGTAATCTTTGAATTTAATGCAATCCCTATTTGAATGCCAATAACATTCATCACAAAAATAGAAAAAAGCAATCCTAAAATTTGTATGGAACCACAAAAGACTCAAATGACCATCGAAATACCAAGCAAAACAAAGCTGGTGGTATCGCAATACCCAATTTCAAAATGTATTATAAAGCTAGAGTAACTAAAACGCATGGCATTGTTATAAAATTAGACACACAGAAAAATGGAGAAGAATAGAAAAGCTTAAAATAAATCTGTATTTACACCTGACTAATTTTTGACCAGTTGCTATGAACATACACTGGGGGAAGGAAACTCTCTTCAATAAATGGTATTGTGAAAACAAGATGTCAATATAGAGAAGGATACAAATATATCTCTACCTCTCACCATATACAAAAGTTAATTCAAAGGGGATTAAATACTTAAACATAAGACCTGAAATTATAAAACAACTAGAAGAAAACATGAGAAAAACTTTAGGACATTGGTCTAGGCAAATATTTTATGGTTAAGATAATCAAAAGAGCAGGCAACAAAAACATAAAAAGGTGAATGGGACTATATTAAAAGCTTCTGCATAGCAACAAAACTATCAACGAAATGAAGAGACAACACAAAGAATGGGAAATATATTTTTAAACTATTCATCCAACAAGGGACTAATATCTAGAATATACAAGGAACTCAAACATCAGCAAAGATATAATCTCATTTAAAAGGTTTGGAAAAGTTTCTGAATAGATATTTCTCAAAAGAAGACATGCAATTGGACAACAGGTATATAAAAAATGCTAAACTCGCTAATCATCAGGGAAACGCAAATCAAAACCACAATGAAATATCTCATCCCAGCGAGAATGGCTGCTATGAATAAAGACAAAAAAGTAATAAATTCTGTCAAGGATATAAAGAGAAGTTTTACACTGTTGGTGGGAATGTAAAGATAGCCATTATGGAAAACAGCATGTGACATGGTTTGGCTCTCTGTCCCCATTGAAATCTACCTTGAATTGTAACCACCATTATCCCCCTGGGTCAAGGGCAGTACCAGGTGGAGGTAATTGGATCATGGGGGCAGTTTTCCCCATGGCTTTCTCATGATAATGAGTGAGTCTCACAAGATCTGATGGTTTTATAAGAGTCTGGCATTTCACCTGCTTGCACTCACTCCATCCTGCCAGCCTATGAAGAAGGTGCCTGCTTCTCCGTTGCCTTCTGCCATGATTGTAAGTTTCCTGAGGTCTCCAAGCAATGCAGAACTGTGAGTCAATTAAGCCTCTTTCCTTTTCAAATCACGGAGTCTCAGGTATTTCTTCATAGCAGCATGAAAATGGACTTATACAATATGATTTCTCAAAAAAATAAAAATAGAACTACCATGCAATCCAGTAATCCAACTATTAGGTATTTATCCAAAGGAAAGCAGATCTGTATATCAAAGAGATACTTCCCTGCCTCCTGTTTACTGTAGCACTATTCACAATAGCAAAGATATAGAATCAACCTGGATTCTATCATTAATGGATAAATGGATTTTTAAAATGTGGTATGTGTGTGTGTGTGTGTATAGTGTGTATATATATATATATATATATACACACACACACAGAAATATGTGTATATATGTATGTATGTATACATGTATACATATGTGCATATATATATGTACTTATGTGTGTGTATATATATAGTGTGTGTGTGTATATATATATATACTATTCTGTCATAAAAAGAAATAAAATCCTGTCTTTGGAAGCAACATGGATGGAACTGGAGGTCATTATGTTAAGTGAAATAAGCCAGGTGCAGAGGGACAAATATTTCATGTTCTCACTATATGCAGGAACTAAAAAAGTGGTTCTCATGGAGATAGAGAGTAGAATGATGGTTACCACAGCCTGGGAAAGGTGGTGCTGAAGGGGATGAGGAGAGGTTGGTTAATGGGTACAAACATACAGTCTGATAGAAGGAAGATGTCCTAGTGTTCGATAGTATAGTAGGGTTACTATAACTAACAATAATGTATTGTATATTTCAAAATAGCTAGAAGATAACCATTTAAATCTTCCCAACACAAAGAATTGATAAATCTTTGAAGTGATATATATCCCAAATACTCGGATTTGATCATTAAACATTTTGTGCATATATCAAAATATCACATGCCCCATATTTATGTACAATTTTTGTGTATTAATAAAAAAGAGAACATTATGAGGGTCTTGCACACAAAATCAGGTAACTTTAGGGGCCTAAAAAAGTGAAGAGACATTGATACTATAAAGGAAGTTATCAGATTTCTACATTTAAAATCCAAGAGAAGCTGCTGTCAAATTATGAGAAGGAACAAAGTAAGACTTTTTGTATGTGGCAAAATAAACATTAAACAAGTATAATTTAAATTCATTAGCAATAACCAAGTTAATTACACAAAAGAAAACTAATTCAATTATCAGACCAATAAAACTACCTAGCAATAATCTTAACACAAAATACTTAATATTTATATTTTGAAAATTGTAAAATTTACAGAATAACAGAATTTCTGATTAAATGGTGTTCTCAGATAATGAATCTTAATCACTATTTCAACAGATTTATTAGAAATAAAACAAGTTCTGTCATATTCATCTGGGAAAAATAGACACAGAATTAGCACAGGTATTTTGAAAAAAAAAAGATGAACTGTGCCAAATAGCCAAAATTATTATAAAGTTATGTTTATTAAACAGCATGTCTATTTCCTAGGGCTGGGTGTGGGGGCTCATGCCTGTAATCTCAGCACTTTGGGAGGCCGAGGCGGGCAGATCACTTGAGGTCAGGAGTTTGAGATCAGCCTGGCCAACATGGTGAAACCCTGTCTATACTAAAAATACAAAAGTTAGCCAGGTGTGGTGGCTCATGCCTGTAATCCCAGCTACTCAGGGAGGCTGAGGCATGATAATTGCTTGAACCCGGGAGGCAGAGGTTGCCGTGAGCTGAGATTGTGCCACTGCACTCTAGCCTGGGTGATAGAGCGAGAATCCATTTCCAAAAAAAAAAAAAAAAAGAAAGAAAGAAAAAA
Organism: Homo sapiens; assembly: GCF_000001405.40. Classification (NCBI taxonomy): domain Eukaryota; kingdom Metazoa; phylum Chordata; class Mammalia; order Primates; family Hominidae; genus Homo; species Homo sapiens. The sequence continues at coordinate 178,103,379 of NC_000004.12, read as the reverse complement.
ATACATATTTATATATAAACATCTAGATATCTATATTTCTTTTTCAAATATATATATTTGCCAGTAGGCACCAATATATCAATGAAATATAAGAAAATTGGAAAAATTATATGACTATATTATCATAAAAATAGTAATTCGAAAAATGAGTAGAAAGATGGAATAATCTATAGGATAATATTTTTAGTGAGATTAGACTATATATAAGATTATGAATGTCTGTTAAAGAACTAATTTCCCTTATCCTTCAGGTTCAATTATTTTCTTATTTTATCATTTAAATTTTATTTGCTTTGCTTATTTTCTAAAACAGAACATCTTTGGTGAAAAAAGTCTATTTTACTATTGTTAAAGAAAAAAAATAGGCCGGGTGCAGTGGCTCACGCCTGTAATCCCAGCACTTTGGGAGGCCAGGCGGGTGGATCACAAGGTCAGGAGATCGAGACCATCCTGGCTAACACGGTGAAACCCCATCTCTACTAAAAATACAAAAAATTAGCCAGGCGTGGTGGTGGGTGCCTGTAGTTCCAGCTACTTGGCAGGCTGAGGCAGAATGGCCGTGAACCCGGGAGGCGGAGCTTGCAGTGAGCGGAGATCCAGCCACTGCATTCCAGCCTGGGCAACAAAGCGAGACTCTGTCTCAAAAAAAAAAAAAAAAAAGAAAAAAGAAAAAAAGAAAACATGCTATTATAATAAGTAAGAACAACTTTCTAAGATTTTAATTATTAATTATATTACTAAACTTTAGTGAAGTATCAAAGTGGTCTTTTAAAAGAGATCACTCAATTCATTGTTCTATTTTATATCACATTTTTAGTTGTGTGGTTATTTAATTTTTTTTTTTTCTTTTCTTGAGACAGGGTCTTACTCTGTTGCCCAGGCTGGGGTGCAGTGGTGCCATCTTGGCTCACTGCAACCTCCACCTCCTGGACTCAAGCGATCCTCTTGCCTCAACCTCCCAAGTAGCTGAAACCACAGGTGCACACCATCACACCCAGCTAATTTTTTGTAGAGATGGGGTTTTGCCACGTTGGCCGGGCTGATCTCGAACTCCTGAATTCAAGTGATCTGTCCATCTTGGCCTCCCAAAGTTCTGGGCTTACAGGCGTGAGCCACCATGCCAGACTGCTATTTTAATTATTAAATATTGAGTTTATAATACAATTAAATTCTCTATTTTTAAAATGAACCTTCACATTCAGCTTCTAAGATAACTTTAAGAATAATTAATTTCAATATGTTAATACCAAGCTGAATTATATAATATTCTGCATCTTTATAAAATAGCATGGGAGCAGCCTTTCTTTGTGGTAAGTTTAGACTTCTGTATGGCTGTTAAAAGTAGAAAAGACGAAAATAAAAGAAAAATGACAGGGTGTTTATTTTCTTATCTCAAGCTCATAAAAATTTTAGTTTTGACTGATTATTCCACTCATGTGTGTCATTAAATGATTTGCCTTTTGTAAAAAACAAATGGGTAAAGCAAATTTTACTATGAATGAATCACACAAAACTTGAAAAGCTCATGGAGGAAAATTTGTTTTTGTTTTTTTTTTTTGCTTCTTTAGAAGGGAATAATTATTCGAGAAATTATTCATAGTTTTGTGCCTGTTGAAATAACTTGTAAAGAATTTCTGTTTTTATCCATTTTTATGGGAATAAGTATGCAAACAAACGTTGTTTATTTTGAAAAAGAGTTTTAGCCTTATATTATTAACTTTAATGAGTAGATACTGTAGTAATATCACATTTTTACCCAAAAAACAGGGTTGTATTAAAGTTAAAATTAAAATTTATAAGCAAAACCTATAAATTGTTATGTTGTAATGGTGACAACTCCAAAATAACTATTAGAGGAAAGTAATCTCAATAAAAGTAACAACTATGTTAAAATTTTAATATTATATTAAATATAAATATTATTTCCCAAAGCTGCTTCAAATCTTAAACAAATTGATGGGCAAAAGGAATGTTGAAATCTGTACACTATTATAGTACTCCAATGGTTTCCTATGACATTATTAATTTTTTGTTCTCAGGCTGAACTAATATGTTACTCATAAATACAGTTTGCAAGGACACTTTCTCTAACACTGTACAAATAATGTAGAGAAAAATTCAAAGAAGAATGACATTACTTTTTAGAGATAATAATGCAAAATTTGACAATTATTACTCTATGGAGGTTTTTTTTCAGATGAAAAAATATTGTGGATTGTTATATTCATATATTCCTCAAGAGAAATGCTGACCTTTCTAATATAAATTTATGAACTATTAAAATGGGTGAAATACCTTACACAAAATATACATTATTCCAGAATATTCTTTCATGGTCCTTCCCAGAGATAATAACAATTCTGCTTTCTTACACTACAAATTAAATTTTGTCTAGTCTCAAACTTTGTATGAATGGAATCATCTGATGATAATATGTTTGGCTTTTTCCTTCAATATATTGCCTGTGAGAATCATTCATGTTTTTGCATTCTGCAGTAATACTTTTTATTGATTTAATAACTAAACTAATTAAAAAATGGGTGAAACAGAATTGGAAGAATATTGATTAGATGGATAAATATGCTGATAATAGACCAACCATTAAATTTCATGTATTATTTTATAAATCTAAATAATAATAATTATTTTTTTTGACGGAATCTCTCTCTGTTGCCAGGCTGAAGTGCAGTGGTGTGCTCTCAGCTCACTGCAACCTCCACCTCATGGGTTCAAGTGATTCTCCTGCCTCAGCCTCCCGAGTATCTGGGACTACAGGCGCGTGCCACCACACCCAGCTAACTTTTGTATTTTTAGTAGAGACGGGTTTTCACCATGTGGCCAGGATGGTCTCGATCTCTTGACCTCATGTTCCTCCCACCTCGGCCTCCCAAAGTGCTTGGATTACAGGTGTGAGCCATGGTGCCCGGCCATAAATAATTATTTAATAGAATGATTATGATTGCTGACAAGTAAAAACAACCAAGTCTAAGCAACAGAAATCCAATTATCTAGGATGTTGAGGTTGACTAATTTGTTATAGTACTCCAGTGGCCTCCTATGACAGAATTTCTCTTTTGGTGGGACCCTAATATCTACCAACAGCTAGTCTTCATTGCCCACAAAGAATTTACCACACAGTCTCTATTCAATTCTTATTACATTCTATACATGTCAGCCCAAGTGGAATGCTTCGCCCAGGTTAAGTCTAACAAGTAATAAGTCTATGAATTGAACTCAGAACTATTAGACTCTTGATCTTAGTTCCTTATTTAAATAAAAAAAAGTTTTACTCGGTTGTCTGTCAGGTGTCGAGGAAGCAAATGAGAGTGAACAGTCTTTTGGCATATTAAATTGGTCTGCTGCAGAAAATACAAAGAGCTCTAATTTCTCTTGTGAATTCAGTCAGTAGACCCAGCAGTGATAAATAAGTCAAACGCATGTCACAAGAGCAAATAGATTGAGTTTTCACTGTCCTTTTTGCTCAATCTTCTTTAATTTGGGTCAGATTTGAACAAACAGTTTTGGATTGTGGGGAGTTTGGGTATAAGACTAGATAGCTCACATATCCTTGACTTGAATTTAGGCTTAGTTTTTAGTTGTGATCAGATGAAAAGAGCCCCCCTTTTTTTTTTCTTCACTACCTACATTTAGTGAGATTAAACCATGCCAACTCTATGGGGCATCACCTTGAGTGAACAATGGAATTTGTGTATAAGCTGCTTAGGACATAAGAAAAATATTCTGAATTCTAATTTTAACCAGAAGTTATAATATTTTGGGGGGTTTCTATTATAACTACATCTACACTAAATATAAAATGTTTAGCATTTCCCATACTGAGAAGCTTCCTCACTGGATAGTGACACATATTCTAACAAAAATCAAGGGTAACTTTTACATTATTATGTAGAATTAAGTTAGGTCAAGCATGGAAAAATAATAAATTCTACAAAACCGTTATATACATAAAATAATTCATAATTTAGCTTTTCAGTGGTTACATTGAAGTTAACCTTTTTAAAAAGGAATTATGTCCAATAAGTTTGTGCATACATGAAATGAATTGGCTGGACTTTGGGCATTTCATGGGTAGACCTGTGCTTTCATTTGTAATCACGCCATTTTTCAACTGCTGAATCAAGGTATCACGACCTTAGCTCTGAATGTGAATTTCAGTTTTACAAAAATACAAGGTAGCAAAATTTTGCATTTCAATAGCCATATAAAATGTCATGTCGGGAGGCCGAGGTGGGCGGATCACGAGGTCAGGAGATGGAGACCATCCTGGCTAACATGGTGAAACCCCATCCCTACTAAAAATATAAAAACAAAATTAGCCAGGCGTGGTGGCGGGCGCCTGTAGTCCCAGCTACTCGGGAGGCTGAGGCGGGAGAATGGCGTGAACCCGGGAGGCGGTGCTTGCAGTGAGCCAAGATCGAGCCACTGCACTCCAGCCTGGGTGACAGAGCAAGACTCCGTCTCAAAAAAAAAAAAGTCACGTCAATGTGTCAAGATTCAGCTTCTTGGGAACCTGATTCTTTCGTGTTGTTTAATTCAAATCTACTGAGATATAATTTTTATACAATAAAAAGCACCAATTTTGTGTGCATTTTAATGAATTTTGACAGATGTGTATAACCACCAGTTAAAGTCTCTAGAAACCTTTCCCTTTGTGGATAATAACTTCCCAGCTTCAGTTCTAGGCAATTTGATTTGCTCTTCATCACTGAAACAGTGTTCTGCATGTTCCAGAACTTACTATAAATGGAATCATACATGTACATTTTCGGCTGGATTCTTTCTCACAGTATAAGTTATAACACATATCACTATTTTTATGCATCATTAGGCTGTTCGTTTTTACTGCTGAGTAGTATGCATCGTATATTACCATGAGCCATTCACTTACCATAGATGAACGTCTGAGTTGTTTCCAAGTTTGGGATTTCATGAGCGTAGTTGCTATGACCACATATGAACAACTCTTTTGTTCTGATTCCTGCAGCGTAAATACTAAAGGATGGAATAGCACCATCATATGGTAAATATATATTTCCTATCGTAAGATAATGTCTTTCAGAGGAAATATATGTGAGTTCCTTTTGCTTCAAACCCTTGCCAACAATTGGTTGCCAGTCTTTCTAGTTTTAGCTATTATAAACATTGTGTAGGTTTATCAGTGTGCAACTTAGTAAATTTGGCATATGTACTCCTCCATGATTGCACTTTCTAATCACCACTATCAGGATGCTAAACATGTCCATCACTTCCCAATGTTTTCTTGTGATCCTTTTAATCTCTCTCACACTTCTCAGTCCATCTCTACCATCCCCAGGCAAAAAACAAACAAACAAACAAAAAACACAACTGTTTTTCTGCCAATATGGTTTGCATTTCTTAGAATTTTATGTAAATGGAATAATATAGAAGATGTGCTTCTTTGGTATGGCTTATTTTATTTAACATAATTATTTTGAGATTCACCCATGTCATCGTGTATAACAATAGTTTATTTATTTTTATTGTTTAGCACTATTCCATTGTATGGATATAGCACAATGTGTTTTCTGCATTTACATACTGATAGACATTTAGGTTATTTCCAATTTGAGCTATTGCAATAAAGCTTCTCTGAACAGTATTATGTAAGTTTTGTGTGCATGCAAGCATTTGCTTCTCTTAGGTAAATACCTAGTAATGGTAGCTAGTAATAATAGCTAATAATATTGTGGCCATTATTACTATATTATGTAATATATATTAACATATTATATAACAAGATACAGTGTAATACAATGTAATCATTGCTTAGTCATATGACTGATAGATGTTCAAGGTATTAAGAAACTTTCAAAATTTTTTTTGCAAATGGTTAGGCCATTTTATACTCCCACTAAGAGTGTATAAGAGTTTCAATTGTAACACAGCTTCTCCAAAACTTGATATGATCCAAATGTTTAATTTTAGCAATACCCTTAAACACGCATGGCCTTCCCCATTATCAACATCCCCCACAAGAGTGAAACATTTGTTACAATTGATGAACTTATATTGACTCATCATTATCATCCAAAGTCTACCTTAAGGATTAATTTTAGTGTTATACATTCTTTGGGCTTAGAAAAAATTATGATGACAAGAGACCACCATTAGAGTAGTGTACAGAATACTTTCACTGCCCCCAAAATCCTTTGTTCTCTGCCTATTCAGCCTTCCCTCTCCCCATAACTCCTGGCAACCACTGACCTTTTTACTATCTCGATAATTTTGCATGTTCCAGAATGCCATATAGTCAGAATCATACAGTATGTAGCTATTTAAGATTGACATGTTTCACTTAGTAATATGCATTTAGGTTTCCTCCTTGTCTTTTCATGTTTTCAAAGCTAATTTATTTTTAATACTGAATAAAACACCACTGTTTGGATGTAAATAAACCAAAGTTGCTTTATCCATGCACCTGCTAAAGGACATCTTGGTTACTTCCAAATTTTGGCAATTGTGAATAAATCCACTTTACACATCCATGTGCAATTTTTGTGTGTGTGTGTCTGTGTGAACCTAAGTTTTCAGCTCCTTTGGTTAACTATCAAGGAGCACAGCTGTGTTTGTTATTGTGGGTCTTTTTCCTCGCTATGTAAATTTTAGAATCAGTTTGTTGACATCCACAGAATAGCATGCTGGGATTTTTTATTGGAAGTGAATTGAATCTGTAGATCAGGTTGGGAAGAACTGACATTTTGACAATATTCAATCTTTCTATCCATGAACATGATATATCTCTCCATTCAGTTCTTTTCTTTCATCAGACTTTTATAGTTTTCCTTAAACATATCTTGCATATATTTTGTCAGATTTATACTTATTATTTTTCATAGTACTGATATAAGAGGGATTGTGTTTTTTTTTTAAATTTCAAGTTCTGCTTGTGCATTGCTGGATATAGGAAAGAGAAATACTTGTATATATTAACCTTATAAACCTTATAACTTACAACTTTGCTATTCTTGTTTATTAGTTCCAGTGGGGGTGGGGGTTGGTCAATTCTTTTGGGTTTTCTACGTAGACAATCATATCATCTGCAAATACAGTGCTATTTCTTCCTTCCTAATCTAAATACCTTTCATTACCTTGTCTTGTCTTATTGCATTAGCTAGGACTTGCAGTATAAAGTTGAAAGGCAATAGTAGGGGGACATCCTTGCCTTGTTCCTGCTCTCAGTAGGAAAGCTTCTAGTTTCTCTCCATTTAGTATGTTCGCTGAAGCTTTCTGTAAATGTTTTTTACCCAGTTGAAGAAGTAACCATCTATTCCTAGTTTATTGAGAATATTTATGATGCATGGATGGATTTTGTGACGCACGTGTGTGTGTGTGTTTTGTGCTTTTTTCCTGATCTAATTATATGAGCCTTCTTTTTTGAGCAACTTGATGTGATGGATTACATTAATTTTTGACGGGTGTACCAGCCTTGCATACTGGGAATAAAATGAATTTACTTCACGTACAATTCTTTCTATAAATTAGTGGTTTGAATTTACTAACATCTTGTTGAGGATTTTTGCATCTGTGTTCATGACAGTTATGTAGTTTTGGTCAGTAGTTTTCTTTTTTCTAATGTCTTTGTTTGATTTTGGCATTAGGGAAATGCTGATCTCATAGAATTAGTTGGAAAGTTTCCCCTCTGCTTCTAAGTTCTGAAAGGGATTGTGAATAATTTGTATAATTTTTTCTTAAATGTTTGGTGGAGTTCCCCAGCAAGTCCATCTGGGTCTGATGCTTTCTGTTTTGGAAGGCAATTGGTTCTAGATTCAGTATCTAACAGATACAGACTTACTCAGATCATCTATTTCTTCTTGCATGAGTTTGACAAATTGCGTCTTTTAAGAAATTTGCCTTTTTCATCAGGTTATCAAATTTGTGGGCCCAGGTTGGTTCATAATATTCCTTGATTATTTTTTAATATCCACTGGATCAGCAGTGATTTCTTCTCTCTCATTTATAATATTAATACTTTTTGTTCCTCATCTTTTTTTTTCTTAGCTAGCCTGCCTAGAATCTTATCAATTTTATTGGTCTTCTCAAAAAACCAGTTTTTGTTTTATTTGCTTTTATTTTCTCTCTTAATTTCTGTTTTTAATTTTATTAATTCATGCTATAATTTAGATCATTTCTTTACTCCTGTTTACTTTGATTTGTTTTCTTTTTCTAGTTTTCCAAATACTTAGATAATTGAATTTAGATGTTTATTCTTTCCTAATATATGAATTCAATGCCACAAATTTTCCTCTAAGCACTGCTTCTGCTGCATCCCACAAATTTTGACGAGTTGTGTTTTCATTTTCACTTAAAAACATGTTATTTAGAAATGTGTTGTTTAATTTACAAATATTTAGAAAATTTCCAGCTATCTTACTGTTACTTATTTCTAGTTTAATTTCATTGTGTTCTGAGAGCAAACATTGTATAATTTCCATTTTTAAATTTGTTAAGATGTGTTTTATGGTCCAGAATGTGGTTTTAATATGCTCTTATGTCAACATAAATTTTTGTTGAAGTATCTGTTCAACAGATAATTTTTATGAGGCTATTTATCTTATGACTGAATGTGTATATACAGATAATGTTATATGAATTTGTACACACTTATATATACATAGTCTAGTACAAATCCTTAAGTATATACATTTTTCAAATATTTTCTCGCAATATTTAATTCTGTGTGTCTTTTAAAAAGTTTATGTTTTGAGTTTGGATTAAGTCTAATTTACCGAATATTATTGTTACAGTTGTTCCACAAGTCCCTGATGCTTGGTTCATTTTTTCCCTCAGATCTTTTTCCCTTGTTTTAGTTTGAAAATTTTCTATTGCTGTATCTTCACATTCACAAAGATTTTCTTCTGCAGTGTGCTTCTAATCTTATCAGGTGATTTTAAAATATCTCAGATATTGAACTTTGCATTTCTGAAAGTTGATTTGTATCTTTATGTGTTTTTCAGAATGTGTAAAACATGCTCAGTCACTCCTCTAACTTCTGGAACATATAAATAGTTGTAATACCTGTTTCAATGTCCTTTTCTACTAATTCTATTATCTGTATCATTTCTGTCTCTCTTGATTGATTTTTCTCTTCATTATGGGTGGCATTTTCTTGCTGCTTTGCACACCTGCTTATTTTTTATTGCATAGTGGACATTAGGAATATTATTTTATTGATGTTGGATATATTTGCATTCTGATATTCTTGACTCTTGTTCCGTGACACAGTTAAGTTCCTCGAAAATAGTTGCCCCAAGACATTGAATATATTTGCATAAACTAGTATCATTTTAGTAACTCTATGATGATTACTTGTATCCTTTTGCATTCTATATATTTGCAATTTATGAATTTTCTTTACATTTTTTTGAGGTCATTTGTTTTTAGAGATTTACGAATTATTTTGTCTTTTCCAGGAAGCAATTTTTGTTTCTGTCACTTACTTATATTTATTATTCATTTTTCTTCTCATTAATTTCTGCTCTTTTAATTTTCCTTATTCAAATTATTCTGAGTTTACTTACTGTTTTTTTGCAGTTTTTTGACCTTACAGTGGTGAAGATTTTAACATATAATATCATGCCAAAATATGAAAAACTCACTTGACTGGCAACATATTCTTTAAGATAAATAACGTATAATAAATCAAGTGTTGCTATGAAATGACAAAGCCATTAGCGATCATCATAATTCCCTTATAAATTCAAAAAGTAACATTTAGTAAAAAAACTTAAACAACATACAAACAGATGCTAAGACTAATATTTTTTGCTTGCTTGTATATTTAAATATCTGAGAAGTTTGAAGAAATAGAACATAACTTTGTAGTTTGTAGGAGACTATTGAAACTGTTGTTATGTTCTAAAACTATGCTGAGGATAAAACAATTTATATATAGATATAAAAACCTGTCTATCAACTAGTATTTACTGACTATATTTATCTGTAGTTATGATGTAGTTTCATACAAATTAATGCCTAATTCTGTCAAGAAGTGCTTTGGGTGCCACACATTAGTTATGTGGGCTGGTAAATTACTTAATCATTTATTTTTTCACTTTGCTCATCTGTCAAATGGAATTCCTTGTAGTGATTCTGTAAGAATAACATGGTATATTACATATAAAAGTGTTTCATGTCCTAAAAATAATTTGCAAATTAAATATATTAATATTAGAGCCAAAATCCTTTAAGTGCCAAGCCGGATAAATATTAACACTTCCCCTTATGACTATAACTTTGAAATAAGCATATTGTTTTGGTAGTCATTTTATAAATACAGCTAAGAATAAGCTATTATCAGACTTTCTTGCATTTTCAGGATAATGTTACAAAGAATAAAATAAATAAGCTATATAACAGTTATCTTAATTTTATTAATATAGTCATCCAAAATGAGTGACCACAGACCTCCAAAGATGATTTTGTTTTTACCTAATTATTATTGTATACCTGTCTAAGTAAATTCAAAAAATCATATAATTTTCAGTTCTTCACTTTTTAAAATTATCATGGTTTGGCTAAAGAGCTTGGAATTACAATTTTACATGAAGCAGAACATTTAATTTAAATTGCAAAAACTGAGGACACAGCATTTTAAAATGATATAGTCAGAAAGCATAGCACTGAATGGGATAGATTTCAGTATTAAACATCTAAATAACAGAAACAACATAAAATAGAAAAACAAAAGGAATTTCACCAGTATTATTCTGGAAATAGCTTATTTTCATTGTTATTTGAAGAAACCCTACGGTCCACTTCTTGGGTTCAAGCGATTCTCCTGCCTCAGCCTCCCGAGTATCTGGAATTACAGGTGCCAGCCGACACGCCTGGCTAATTTTTGTATTTTTAGTAGAGACAGAGTTTCACCATGTTGGCCAGGCTAATCTCCAACTCCTGATTTCATGGGATCCGTCTGCCTGGGTCTCCCAAAGCTCCCAAAGTGCTGGGATTACAGGTGTGAGCCCCTGCGCCTGCCCTCCTATAGCACATTCTATTAAAATAAAAAAAAAAAAGAGCAAAAAACATATGCACTACAAAATGCTAAGGAAGTGTTATAAAGTTCATTTTAAAGTGTGAGTTTACCTAGATATTAAGACCTACTTTTACATTTGATCTTTTTATCCTTTTTTGTACAGATCATTCAGTTCTAAGTTAATGCAGTAATCAGTTTTGCCTTTAAAATTTCTGACTAAGAATATCAATTCTCATTATTTTAAATATTATTGAAAAATAAACTATAATACATTTGAAAAGCAGTAGAAAATGAAATGTTTAATTTGAGGATGCATATATTTCATCTAAAAAATTAATATTTTATTATCAATAATGTGTAGCACCTTCAAGGCAGTGATTAAATCTATTGTTCTTTGATCAGATGCACAGCTGCAGTAATTTTTAAAAACACATGTTTTTTCTAGATGCAAAAATCACATTACTAGATGCAAAAAATATATTGAATATTCTTAAAATAAATAATTTTAGTAAGATGCATTTGATACTAACCTGAGGCAACACTAGACAAATAGTACAATAATAGCATTTTAGATTATGGAATTTGATGCCATATGGGCATCTTTTTGAGCTCTAGATATTACAATATCCAACATGAATAAGTGACTTAACATTTCAGTTTCCTCATATGTAAGGAGAATAAGAAGATTATCTGCCTTAGAGAGAGATTGTGAGAATTAAGACAAAGTTTTTGTAAGGATCTGGCACATCATAAATATTCAATAAATATCAGAATAAAAGTTATATAATTATTAATAGAAAACAAATTAGTTTAAGAGCTACAGAATGGTGAGGAAAGAGAGTAGCATTATTATGTGCTACTATCATTAAATCATCACCAATGTTTATTTCAACCGCCCATCCCCCCGCAGCCAACATTCTGATAGACTCCCTCACTTTAAGGTGGAGTCCTTCTCTTCCTTCTGAATAATACTGAGAATCACCAGATGGAACATGCTCTATCCTTCATATGTGCTGGTGACTCGGAATTTTTCTTGGTCATTTTGCCAGACAGGGACCTCTGGCCGGCAACGCCCCTGCCTGGCCCTTGATTGGCCAGGCTACCTGCCACAGGAAGAAGCCCGCCCACTCGTCCTGCCCGGGCGTGCCTGGCTTGTGCACCAGCTAAATCCGTGGCTACTGTGGCTGCGCACTCAGCCCCTGGCAGGAGTGGGTGTGTGAGCAAGTGAGTGTGGGGTCCAGCTGGCTGTTCCAAGCACCGGTACACAGGCAGGTTCTAGGCAGGGCTTGCAGCTGGACCAGGCATGTCACCCCGAAGGGAATGCGGTGGCACCCCAAGAGGGGTGCTCAGACCTTGAAGCCCCGGAAGGGGCGATTCTACTTGCTAATTAGCTCTTTTAGTTCTGCCATCCGCAGCCCTAGGGATAGTGACATGTTAACAGCTCTGTCAGCCCCTTGCCCTGCTCTGGCTGGTGGCTCTGGGGCTGGCTCAGCTTTGCCACTGCTTCCTGTCATGTGGGGCAGCCGCCCTCCCCCAGAGGACAGAGGACCACAGTGTTACAGCCTTCTGAGTACTTGTGTTCAGTGAGTCCCAAGTTCTTGTCTCATGTCCAAGACGAATGAGGTCACGCTGACAGTTCAAGAGTGATGAGGACAAAGAATTTTATTGAGCGACAAAACAGCTCTCAGCGAACAGGGGAGGAGAAGGTGGTCTCTGACCTGAAGTTAGCTCATCTAGGTCCGGGATTTTTATAGGCACAGGATGGGGCAGTGGCAGGTATAGGTGGTATTGGAAAAAGCAACATTTGATTGGTTAAAAAGCATTATTCAGAAAGAACAAATCAGGAAAGCACAGGCAAACAGTAATAGAAGTTCTTACTTCAGGTCTCAGGTTTCATCTGGAACTAGCAGCCAGGTCTTTCAGGCTCAGGCTGTATTTGACTTGAAGATGGGGTTTCACTGGAGACCCGTCCCTATCTACCTAGGCATTTGTCTGCCTCCTGCCACTATCAATGGTGAAGGAAAAAGTCTAATAAACTGTGTAGTAAATCCCCAGATCAGCAGTAGGCAATAGCATTTTATAAACATTTTCAGTTGCTTTAATATCAATCTCTATTCACAGAAAGCTACTGCTGTAGTCCAGGTTTTTATAGCTCAAACTGGGCAGTTAACAAATGCAAGTGGTGTCTTCAAAATGAAACTTAAAGTAGACTAAAATGGATCATGTGTGTATGCATAAAATGTGATATTGTGTTAACAGAAAGAAAATATTCTGATATTGACAAAATTGAAAACAGTTTCTCTGTATTAAATATTTATATGTGATATATAGAGGCAAAGATATAGATATATCTGTATATCTATGTAAATATATATAAATATAGTTATACGTAGATTTTACTATACATAGGCACACACACACACACACACACACACACACACGGTGGAGAAATTCAACCTAGAATAGCATTTTGTAAAGTATTGCAATTGAAAGTTAAATCCTCATTGTATAGTTTTGTATCTGAAAAAAAATTTTTAAAAATTTACTTTGTTGTATACAAATTATGTGTGATACATACAGTGACCGAAAAGACTATATTTAACTCATTTTTGCATATAATTTATTTTATGAGTGTTTTATTTTACTCTTTTCATAAAAAGTCATTTTGACATTCAAACATCCCCACAAAAGTAGGAAGAAAAATAACCTACCTATATTTACTGAGTAAAGGTATTAAGAAACAATAACGCTCTCCAATATAAGTTTCAGTTTTTAGGCATTAAAATGGAAATTTTACTTTTAAATATATTATCTCATGAAGAGGCTTGTAAAATCAGTGCAAGCATCAAACAGTGATTTATCCTACCACCTAATTAACTTGAATTGAGTAAAGTTATTTAATTCTATACTCCAAAAAATATAAGCTGATAGTTTTTGTTTTTTTTTTTTACTTATAATCAGTGCAAAGTTGCACTTATTTTAGTGGAAAAAAGAGCAACTAGGCAAGTTTTTTACTAGAACTAGAGACACTTTCTATCAGTTTTATAACAGCATACAAGCAGAAATATATAACAGACATTTATGTAGTAGGTATTCATTCTTCACACAAACCATTTGTAGCCATCTTGATCGGCTATATCAATGGCAAGAACATTCCTATAGAATATATTACTGACTCTTTTTGAAACGTGTCTACTCAGCTTACAAGCAATTTCTTCCTTGATGCGCTCATTTTATAGCTTCTTTAAACTATTGGAATCCATTACAATTTTGATCTCACTGTAAAACAGGAAACATCATCACTTTGGCACTTCATGGATAGTACCAAAGTAGATAGTTTATAAATGATGATAGACTGATTGAAGCTTAAATAAAAGTGCTTGAAAGTTATATTTTTAAAACAGAGTATTTCATATTCTATTGAGGTATGTCTCTTAGAGGAGAATTTTCTCGCTGTAGACTCTATGCAGGTGAAAATAATCAGAGTAGGGAATGGTAACACAGTGATGGGGAATAGCCGTCTTGATTCAGTGGTGGGGTCATTACAACAGGAAACTGCAGCAATATTTTCATCCTCTAGTAGGACCTTCTATATAGAAAGTATTTGGATTTGCAATGAAAAACAAAATTGATGTTTTGTAAAACACAGTTAACTTCTAAGGAATGTGACTACTCTTAATCTGTTAAGCATATTGATGAACTCGGATGTGCAAATAGAAAATAAAGATGAGCACTGGAAAAGAAGATGATGAATTTGTCTGGAAATACAAAAGACAGTAACTTAGGGTTTTAAGGGCAAAGAAGGGACGAAGGTGAGATATGAAAGTATGAGAAGGAAAGAATAAAATGGAATTAGTGCTGTGGGAGATTTGAGCGTTATATGAAGTAAAGAAATAGTGGGAATGTTTCAATGAGTGAGCTTTTAAAGACTGCTGCTCTCATAAATGCTTTGTGTAAGAAGTTTTTTTTTTTTATTTTTGAAAAGCATTTCTTCTTCTGGAAAGAAAAAAAAATTGAGGATGAATCTAATGATTTTTTTCTGTGACTTTACCATGTGGAATAAATTTAGTAATTATAGAAGGTACAACCAAAGTCTAGGAAGACCATGATATTATAGATCCTGCGTTGATTCTTAGGTATTTATGTAGGGCTGTCTGTCTTCACAAGCATGAAATGGGCCTTGAATCAAGTAGACCAAGATTTCAAGGAACCAGAATGTGGCCATTGATTTTTTTTCTATATGAAGTGATTTGCTTCTGTTGTTTTTTGAAAAATATCGAGTAACGAAATGGAATAATAAAATAAGGTAGATGAAATTTGGGAGACCATATATGAACCCATAAATATTAGAAAAATGGAAAATTACAGAAAGTCTATTACTGTGAAGTGGAAAATGTTATACACCCCAAATGATGAACTGGTATCATTCGATCAGCTTCCAATTAATGAAAAGAAAAGGCAATAGGATGACACACTGTTACGGAAAAAGGGAACAATTTGAACATCAAAAAGTTTCGGGGAGCTATTAGAATCAGTTGATAAAATATACAAATACTATTGCAACTAAAATTCAAAAATGAACTGTGAATTAAATAATGTAGTAATGATGAATCTATATTACCCTTGATCTAAGAAGCTTTTTATGAATGCAGATCCTTCATGATCTCTGAACTTCCATGTTTAACTCGTATATCAAACGGGAATTTGAATACAGGTTGACAGTCTCCTGAGTTGCTGCTCTCATGGGGTTACTTATTTCAATCCTTATTTTGCTATTTGAAAGGTAACTGTGCCTATTATTTTTTGGATGAAGAATATTCTAATTTATATCAAAAATGACTTCCCCTAAAACTTAAAATTACTTCGCTTAAAACTTATAATTTGTTTATATTTTGAATTATTTAATAGTTTCTAATGTAATATTTTGCTAAATATAAGAAAAATATAGTATTTCATAGCATTTAATCTTCCAAAATTAGTCTCTACTAAAATTTTCTCTCATCTGTTTTGAAGTATGACTCTCTTGCGAGATGATTCAGAGGTTATCTACATTTAATTCACATGGGTAAAAAAGCTTGAATCTAAACATCTGTATCTTTACTTTGAGACCACAAAACTGGAAGAGAACCTAATACTCAAATAGTACTATTTGTTCATTTTGCACATGAGAAATGTATAATCCAATGTTATTAAGTGTTTGCCCAAGATCAAACTACAAGTTTTTGGCCAAATCTGATAGGAGATTCTATGTTTTCTATTATTAGCTATGTACTCTTTATTTCTAAACATATTAAACTGAATACAAACTCAACTGTCTATTCCAAAACAAAGAGTAGATTACCAAATACATGGATACAAGTTTAATATCCTCTAATAAAAAGTATGACAATGGATATCTCTTATTAAAATAATCTTGTTAATAAATTTATATTGGTCTGATCTTTCCCAAACACCACTTTCTTCCAGTAACTTCATCAAAAGCTGTGGAAATTGTCAGGAAAGGAGGTTTTCAAAATAGGTACATAGTCTTCAAGTTTCAAAAATCTCTTCCTATAATTTGATTCCAAATGCTTAGCAAAATCAAAGTCACAGTCTCAAATTTGAATGTATGTCCCCAGCGTCATTCCTAGTATCACATTTTATACTAATCAGAAAATCAAAAGCCACACTAAGTAATGTAAAGAGAGAGGAATTAATACCAGGACTTGGTTACACGGTATTGTCAAGCTGAAGGAGGAAAAATGGAATGCTGAGCTCACACACAGATAAATGTCTGCAGGAAGCAACTCACCTGCTAAGTCTGTTGGCACAGAAGGGAACAGGTGGGCTTCATGAAACAAAAGAGCACAGAGGAGGGCGCTGTGATGCTGGAGCTTAAACTTACATAGCTGGTGCTTATCTCTTGGAGGGAGAGTTTTTCCTGCTGATGCTGAAAATGTCAAAGGAGTCCAGGAGCTGAGTAAGTAAACAGTTTGTTGCTACTGAACTGATTCTGACAGGAACAGAAAACAGGAAAGATGTCCTATTCCTTCCACCAACTTTTCATTCCTCTCTAGCATCTTTAATGAACAGAAAAAAATCGGAAAATCCTGCTGGAAATGGAGTCAGAGTCCAAGCTCCAACAAGAAAGAAAAAGAGAAAGAGAGACAGAGGCAGGGAGACAGGGAGGAGGAAAGAAAAGGAAACGAAAGGGGGAAAAGGGGAGAAAGGGGGAGAAATGAAAGAAGACAGAGAAGGAGCTTGAAGCTGAGAGACAGTGAGTAACTGTTAAGTAATCGCATGCATACCAGGAGATTAATGTGGAAGTCTTTGATGATTCTTGAAATGGTACAGTGTTGTCGTGGAGGTAAAAATCTGATTTACGGCAATATTAGAAAGAAGCAAAGGAGAGAAAGTAGAAGCAGTGAGTGTGGACAACTATTTTTAAGTGTTTCGTGTTAAGAATTACCAAAAACTGAAGCTTTAGCTGGAGGGTGATTTGGGTTTTGTTTTAAACCCCTGTACTGAAATATAATTAACTATGATAAAATACACAACCCTCAAGATATAGAGCATTTTTTTAGCTCATAAAGTTTCCTTATGCTCCTTTTCAATCCCACCCCCACCCAGCCCAAGTTCCACGGCTGGCCCCTCTTAACCAATTTCACCTAATTGATAATTACAGAACGTTACACCCAGCACAACGGAATACACTTTTTTTTTCAAAAGCACACAAACCTTCACATTAGTCATCTTCTGCGCCATAATATGAGTGAAAAAATGAAAAAGAAATGAAACAATACAAGAAAATTAAATTAGCAGTCAGTAACACAGAGTAATTTGGGAAATCCTCAAATATGAGAGAAATTAAACACACTTCATATGGAATATGAGTCAAAAATCATTAGAGAAATTGTAAAATATTTTAACGGAACAAATAAAATAACAAAATTTTCTAAAAGACATCTAAAGAAGAGTTTAGTAGGAAATTTATAACTTCAAAAATATGTGTGTGTGTGTTTATGTGAAAGCGTATGTGTATGATATATATGTACACATTTGGATAAACTAGAAATTGTGAAGGAATGACACTAGCCATTTAACTGTCAACTTAAGTCACACTTTGTAATTTACTGTGATCTAAATCTTTTTTTTATTAATATTGAGATTGAATATGCTGGTTAAAATTTAAGGTGTTTAACTCCTTAATGATCAGTTCAGAAACTTTCCAAATTTGTCTTGTTTTAGTGCTAAACTAAATGCATACAGGAATCCATTCACACACTTCGTTCACAGAATCCAGCAGAAAAGCAGTTGGTGTCCAGGTGAATAGTACTATCCTACACTGGAGAGTGAACAATGTAAAGTTACAGTTTCTGTTTCTAAAAGTCCTTTCAGCTTCATAACCAGCTGAGAGTTCTCACCACCACTGGCTATCAAGCATCCTAGTCACTTACCTTCTCTGCTTTTTTTTCCCCCCGGTTGTTTTCTCTCTTTTCTTTTATCTTGTCTCTTCTTTCTCAGATATTAAAAAAAGTTCCTTCCATTTCCAATAAGAAGAAACTTAAGACAGTATAATTGTTTTTACCAAGTGACACAAAATTTATCCACAAATATAGTTTGAAAATCATGTAAAACACGTAGTTGGAAATATAATGTATTTGTTATGAACAGTAGCATAAATCAGATGTGTCCATTTTATCCTTATGACGAAATGTTTAAGCCACTCTAATAGTTGACTTTCATCAGGCAATTTCATCTGAACCATGAGCAGTTACATAATCATATATTTTCAATTATTTCCTTTTGTTTAGATGAGATAATTTATTCACTGTTTACAGTGGATTGATGTTAATGAAAAACAAGTTCTTTACATAAATTTTTATGTTAAGCATTTTCAACATCTCAATAAAACTTTTGACTAAATTTTGTACAGTATAAAAAGAGAAGCTGTAGTGTGTTTTCTATAAAATAAATATGAGCAAACATTTCTTTTGTCCAATATACCAGGTCTTCATAGAAATAGGAATCCCCTCTTCATAAAAGAAAGGAAGAAGCTTGTCTTCATCTTTTAGAAAAAGAGAAGCCTATGTGCCAATGTATTCGGTTGTATGCTGATGAGGATGTTAAAATATTTCTGGTGTAACCACATCCCGGGAGACCATTACGGGATACGCTGTTCTCCTGAACCGTCATATGCCACTCATCTTGAAATGATCTTGCCTGAGTCAGTCTCTGATATTTTTCTACAATGGAATCATCTAGAATGATTTGATTGCTAAAAGACTTAACCTATTCAATGGTTCTTTACCTAAGCAACCTCTATAGAGTGTTGCCTCTTACAGAGGCAATCTTAAAGACTGACAGCTGGTTAAGAAAAGTATCCATTTTGGCTTATTGGATTTGAGTAAAACTAGTGATAATGATCAGCAGGTGAGTATAGTAAACTTCATCACCCTTAGCCTTCATCCTCTCTATCAAGGAAAGGGAATAAAAACAGATATTTCAGAAACCAAATTTCATGTAAGTCTAATGATGCAGAGGTAATGCTTATTCTGAATAAAAATTGATGTCAAGATGGTATCATTGAAGAGGAGATGGAAAGGAGGGCAGGCCAACTTTACAACAGCGATGGAAACAGATGCTCTCTTTCTCCTCTCTGTGTGACAGCCGTGGGCTTCTCTCAGACTATTATTACGGAAGGTTTCATATCTTTTCGTCTCTGGCCCTATCTCTGATTCTTTTTAGATCTCCGCCGTCCTTCATTTAACAAAAGTCTTTGAGAACTTTCAATATATTGAACACAGTGCTAAAGACTTAAACTACATAAATGAATAAAACATCATCCCTGTTTTCAAGGAATTTATTTATATATGGGAAAGTAGGCAAGTGGACAATAGACAGTGACGTACAGTATAGAGGGAGAAAAAAATAAAAATTGCAACAGAGGAGGTATATAAGAGTTCCATTATAGCACTGATGAAGGAATTTAGGCAGACTGAGGGAGGTAGCAAGGGGATGCTGGAACTTTGTTTCTCTTCTTCTTGTAAGTATAGTGACCCTCAGCAGTGGACCTGTCAATCTTTAACCCACCTTACTAAGACACTGCTCTATAGAGGTTGCTTAGGTAAAGAACCACTGAGCAGGTTAATTCCCTTAGCAATCAAATTATTCTAGATGCTTCCATTGTAGAAAAATACTAGAGAATGACTCAGGCAAGAAGAGTGGCATATGGTGGGTCAGAACAACAGTGTATCCCATAATGGTCCCCCGGGATGTGGTTACACCAGAAGTATTCCAACTTAGACTCATCAGCATACAGTCCAATACCAGAGGGTTTTCAATTCCTACAGAGAGAAAATAGTTTATTCTTTTTGGCTCTGTTTCAGCATGCTAATTTTCCCAATGTTGATGTCTCAATAGGTATTCCATATTTTCCTGTGGATGTAATTTAATTTTCAATTATTTTTACTGCAACTGGCAGTATTAAAACTTCCTTAAATTACTCTCATATTCGTTAGACTAATTTCAGAACATTTCTGAAAGTTCCCACCATTATTCTCAATTAAAATGATAGTCACCATGTATTTGAGGGGCTACGTGCTATAGGGTGTCTGTGTTCTGATGAGACTGAGGCCATGTTCAGCTTGGAGGCCTTCAACAACAGTATGAATGAATGAATATATACATATATGTTAGTGTGTGTGTGTATATATATATGAAAACTGGAGTACTAAATGCTTTCCTTTTTTTCTCTATGGTTTTCTCATTTGAGAAAAACATATATAGTATATGAATAAATTTAGAAAAATATGGTATATGAATAAATTTATTGAAAACAGAGACTATGTCCTATTCATTAATATAGTTCAAGTCTTTACCACTAGTCTCATTATTCACAGATCATATGTGTGGATTTGCCTACTTGCTTAAATTGATTTGTAACTCCAAAATTAATACTTGCAGCAATTTTACAGTCATTTGAGGAAGCGTGTGTCTTAGTCCACTCAGGCTTCTATAACAAAATACCATAAACTGGATAGCTTGTAAGCAGAATTTCTTTTCTTTCGCAGTTCTGGATGCTGTTATGGTTAAGCTCAAGGTACCAGCAGACTTAGGATCCAGTGCGGGCCTGCCTTCTTGTTGTATCCTCACCTGGTCGAAGAGGTAAATTTGGGAAAGGTGGGGACACAAACATTCAGACCAGTGCATCGACTAAGCTGTGAAAATGTGAGTCACCCAGTGAGCATGTCCCCAGCTGAGGACAGACAAGGCTGCTTTCTGCCTCTTGTTTCAGCTCTCATGCTATAAGCAAGTGCATTTACCATACCACACTTGGGGCCACATTTTTCTCATTTTTGTGCTTTTTATTGGTGATTTGTCTTTTACAATGGCCCCCAAGTATGGTGTTGAAATGCTGTCTGGTGTTCCTAAATACAAGAAGGCTGTGATACACCTTACAGAGAAAATACAGGTATTAAACAGCTTTATTTGGGCAAGAGTAACAGGGCTGCTGGCTGTGGATTCAATGTTAATGACTTGATAATATATTAATAAGGTGCCTAAACAGAAACAATTATAAAGCAAGGTTGGGTTGATCAGTTGATGAAAATGTGACCAGAGGCTTACAGGAACCTAGCTCTACATTTCCCATAGGTGCAACAGTTTAGTATTCCGTAATTCATTTTCATGCCAATTTTATAGGACCTAAGTACTATGAATAATGAGAATTGAATACACACACACACTTGATGAAGCTTTGTGAAATTACCAAAATAATAAAAAGGGGGAAATGGAAAATCACTTGCTCTAGATACCTACTATGCATCAAGGTCTACAAGGCATAAAACAAATGCAAATTCATTTGTTCACAGGACTGGGTAAACAAATAATCAGATATATCAGTAACTTTCAAAAGCCATACATCTTGTAGAAGACACAGCTGAGAATGGAGACATCTATGTCTGCAGAGCTCATATGCTTTTTATTACACCCTGCTGCCTAACAAACCATTTTCTAAATTTAGACACTTACATATTCCTAAATATGAATCACATGTTTGGTGTGAAATTCAATCTGAATGCTTTTCATAACTCCCCACTAATTGTCCCTGTACATTTTTCCATAATAATTTTTAAAAATTTCTAATCGTGTTACACTTTATCTCTGGATTAAAATCCTTTTTAAAACTTCCTCTTCTCGTTCTATATTTTATTCTGTTGTCTAGCTTCTCAATGTTTAATACCAATCTTGCAGTAATTTTCTCTATTTTCTTGTTCAAAAATCAAATTCTGCAGCTGCTTATAATTCCTCTGCAGGTGCCACTGATAGATAATTATTCCCTATGGGTTTTTAGTACAGTTCTACCAGGCTCATTTGTCACATACAATTATATCTAATCTACTTTTTAAATGTTTTTTGTTTTGTTTTGTTTCTGGTAGACTTACAAGAAACACTATTATATCAATTTTCAACTAACGTCTGTGGATAGAAAGCATTATAATACAAAAGAAATGTCTTTAGGGTACAGCTCAACATAATGTTTCTTTCTTCACTGCCTAAATAGCACTACACTCATTTTATCGTCTTAAAATTTTGAAGGAAAAAGAAACAAAGCTGATTTTGCCATAATAAAACTTGAAAAAGTATGATTTGCTATCAAGGTCTTAAGGTTGTCAAGAGATAAAATAAAGAATAGTGATTTCTTGTACAGACTTCTCCCAACAAAAAGCAATGATAGTCTTAACTTTTCTTAAAGTATAGAAATAATACAAGAAACCCCCTCGTGAACTCACTTCCATTAGCTCCCAGGAATGCTATGTATTTGCATGTTGTGTTTGAGAATGACACATAATGACAAATAGGAAACAGATTATGCTTTTCCAGGTGTATATGTCAGGCCTTATGTTCAGCCTGTAAACATGAAGGTAACTAGGTTAGCACAATGTACTTATAGGGAAATCTGTCTTTATATATTGGTTTACAATCATTGCTTTTTGGATCACAAGATAGCATAAGCTATTTTGAATCAGTCACAAAGGAATGTTGCTTAAAACAGGAATTGAGTACAAGAGCTCTTTCTGATAACAGAAAAGCAGTGTAGTTTTAAGAGTTGTGTAGCCGAGTCAACTGAACTCAAAATGTATTGAGAATCAACCTTAGAAGTAAATCCTCACTGATAGAACAACAGGAGTTGTTGGCATAAGAGCAGTAATCAGATTGATCTGAAAGTGTAAATTCCAAATGAAAGGGAGAGTGTGATAAGTTCTATACTAGGTTGGAAGAAATATTTTTAAGAACAATTTCAAGAATCCACAAGGAAAGTTGACATTTGAACTTTCAGAATTAGGGCAAGCATACTATCCCAGGTTATTTTAGAGGAAATTTTACTGTCAAGATGTTTCTGATTACCTAGAAGAGTTGAAAGGTTTGATAAATTAATTTGTATCAATTGGTTTGTAAGATATGTTTAGGTTTGGGGTGGAAGAGGATATTTTTGTGAAAATTCTGGATATGTGTAAGTGAAGAGTGGACATAGAGGATGAAAAATGTGAAAACTCTATGTTCTCAAGTTTGAAACCCAGGGAAGAGGGCTGCAAGGAGAGGATGAAGGACTTTGGGTGAAACCACAAAGGGGTGGGAGGAGACATCTTGAGTCTCTGAGGTGACAGAGTGTATGGTAGAATATAGACAGATGGCATTTTTTTCCACCTGTGGGCCAACTGCAGACAGATTAATCACTTCAAATTTTGGGAGAGCATGGAGATACCATCCTTTTGTGATAATTGGTATTCTCATGTTAATCCTATGTCATTGAGAGTGGTTAGATGCCTTCAAGCAGATGTAATGGAAGCATCAGGAGGGTGGAAAGACTGCAGGAAAGAACACAGCTTATGGTCTGTTTCAAGAACTCATGTGATACATCTCCTGTGGATAGGCAACCCTTGGCTGTTGAGGCCTGAGGTCAAAAAGTTGACACTCCAATGACTTTCTACTCTAGGGAGTTGCCAGTGTTTAAAGAATTAATGCAGCTTGTCTCAGACAATACTCTAATCAATGAGTCATTGATCAAACAACAGTTGTCTGGAACTTAATGCAAGATAAAGCAAAAGACTCAGTGGCTTGAAGTGAAAATTTTAAGAATCACATATTATGAGAAACAATCAAATCACCAGCAATTAAAATAATTTCCCTATTATTACCTAATCTGCAGTGTGTTAGTTCTACCACTCTAACTACAGGTATAAACCATGCCAACACAGCTGAAAAACCAGGAAGCTCAGAGTTAAAATTATTTCTCATCATGTAAAAAGACCATAGTAACTCATTTCACATCTTTTGTGATTTAACCTCCTGAACGTCTAATTTACTTTTCTCTGACTTCTTCTGTAATTAATTTATTCCTCTTAATCATTCACATGTATTTTTTTCTGTTCCCCTAAATAATTTTATAATCAGGATAATGTACAAATAAATATATTTTAATTCTTGTTTATCTGGTATTTTCAAGTTCACATTCCTCTAATGAAAGGCAATTTATTAATGATTTGTTGTATTTTTAAAAGGTGTTTATTTTCTTGGAGCTATAATGATTTTTTACCCCATGGTATTGAAGAGCCATAATTAGCTACTACGGATGTTTTCCAGTTAGCATTGCCATCTGGTAGCAACTTCCGCAAATGTTAGTCCATACCTATAATGTGATTTAAAGATTCAAAACTAATTAAGTGTGCAAAATTAACAACTACTATTTAGCACATTGTAGCTGTTTAATACATAAATGGGTGCCACAAAGCAAAATGGGTAAACGCTAAAAAAGGTGACATTAAAGTCACCATATTTAACAATATATAAAGTCATTTTGAAAAGAAAAGCAAGTGACTTATTGCTGTATTTTCAGCTACTAGCATACACATACTAGCATATCATTTTGTATATAGAATAATTAAAATTATTTCCAATTTTAATAGCAAGAAAATTTTTCAAAACTGCTCTGAGAATTCATTAAAGAGAAAATGAAAATTTTACCAACAAGTATTTTTGCTTTTAGTTAAAAGGTAGACACTCCCAAAATATCATCACTTTATATCAAGAATATTCTGCCAAAGCAATAAAACCATAACTTTTAAATCATGAGAGATTGTTGATGTTAAGAAACTACATAAATTGAAATCCAGAAATAAACAAGGCATATGGCTGGACTCAGCCATTGAGGGGTGGTGAGAGAAAGAACAGATCTGCCATAGATTTGGATAGGAAATATCCAGACATAATTTTAATGGATGCTTCGTGGTTGCATGTGGGATTTTCTATGATGAATTGGAACCCCAAATAGAAATAAAATCTGTGTCCACTCACCAAATCTTTTCCACAGAGCCGTCACTGTGTACGTGGGATAAGGTGAGGATGGGGAAGGAAAGCTCAGAGTGCTCACTGTTCCTCCACATCCCAAAGGCTAAAGCGCCTTCCCAAACACACATTAATAGTCCACTGATGGTAAGAAGCAGAGTATCAAAGCTGAGCCAAATCACCTATAGGAGAATCTGGGCTCACTGCAATCTCTCTGCCTCCCTGATTCAAGCGATTTTCCTGCCTCAGCCTCCCGAGTAGCTGGGATTACAGGCGCTCGCCACCATACCCAGCTGATTTTTGTATTTTTAGTAGAGACGGGTTTTCACCATGTTAGCCAGGATGGTCTCAATCTCCTGACCTCATGATCTGCCTGCCTCGGCCTCCCAAAGTGCTGGGATTACAGGCGTGAGCCACCATGCCTGGCCTAATTTCTAATGTATTTAAAATTGTTGTAAATCATAAATTGCAGTCTATAAAAAAGCAAAAACCTTTCCTTTATTTTTATGAATACCTTTGCATGCTACTGAGAGTAAAATTATGTCAATATGTAAGGATAAAATATGCGTTATTCTTTTATATTTTGTTCTTGTGAAGTGGAAACTAAGTCCATGTTAGCAAATTTTTATCTAAATGTTTGATAGTTAAATGTAAATTTTTCAACGTGATAAAAAATTTCATTTTTGTAGTTTTCTCATAGACCTCCAGGGATTTATGGCATGCAGATTAATAAATACTTTCAGGTTTATTACTGGATATAGTTTTTAAATGACTTTAAAACAAAAGTGGAACTATATGAAAAAATAAATGAACATTAGAGTCCTAATCCATCAATTCTGAATAATTCTTCTTTGATGGACTTTTTTTGAACTTATGATCAATGAGCTTAAGAATAATTTTGGTTTCTTACCCAGAATCTATATGCCAGGGGTGACACTGATAAATCTATCTACTTTCATTTGGAATTAGTATCACTAAAATCTTTTTGATGACCAGAAAGCTTGCTTTCTTCAATATATGGGTCTTATACCTCATTTCCCAATGAACTGTCCTTGATTTCAGCTATTTCATTCTCTCAACACTGTGCTAGGTGCTAGGTATACAACACTGAATAAATATAGGTCATGCTCCTTCCTGTTTTTCATTTTTACCATATTACGTATACTGAGATGCTGTACTTCCATAATTTAGCATTAAGATTCTTGTTTATATGCAATTATCTTTCTTTTCATTATTAAAAAATATCTAAAATTGCAATAGAAGAATAGATCACAAGAAATAGTTATTAATCATTAGAAAATGTCACAAAATGATACAATGTAAATCTACTTTGTAATTTACCTTTACATTCCACTCACATGAAACTAATGGCATATCTGTATAGCCTTTGTCTTCAGGCTACACTAATCAAGATACATGAAAATCTACCAGTCACAAGGGTTTGGGCACTTGTATTCCCTCTGCCACATTTCAGTACATCACAAGGGTGATATCCAGCACTTCCTATTCCCAATGAGTTCAGTCAGTCTTTGAAGATTGAGGTTACTCTTTGTTTTCTTTGATTACTAGACTGTTGTAATGCTTGTGGTGTGTGACATGTTTTTAAGGCAGCATAGCAAAGTAGTTGAGAGCATATGTCTATACTCAGAGACTGCCTGTGTTTAAATCCATTTACCAATTATATGACCTTAGATAATTAAACTAATATCTCCATGCTTCAGTTTCTTTATGGAGCTAATTAAATGAATCAGTAGATGCAAAGTGCTTTGAAGACTGTCTGGCATCTAGGTGTCATATGTGTCAGTTGCCATTATGATGATGATCTCATGAGAAAATACATATAAATAAATGGGCATACTAAATATTAAACAAATATTTGTTGCTGCTGTGGTGAACATGACACCCATAAATTCCTGTGTCATAGCAATGTAGTATCAGAGATATGCTTTTCAGTGAACAAAAGCTGTTTTGAAAAACTCGAGTCCTTTACTTTCCTTAACCAGCATAGAGGAGATAAATGGACCAATTGATTTTTCCCTTCTTAGCCTGATAGATACTAATTTATTTCTGCATTTATGCTATTAAAGATAATAGTGCCTGTACATTTTTACCAACTTATGTATCAGAACTATACAGAGATTCCTAGAAATCACATTGCTGGTGTTTATTTTCGCTTTTTACTTTAAATAGATGAAGCCAAATTGCCTTCTGAAATTTTGCCAATTTAGCTTGCCCATAAACAGTAAAACAGCCACATATTCTCATTTGTTTTAATTATGAAAAATTTTATGTGGTTGTCATTCTTTTGGGTAACATTGCAATCTACAAATTTAAGACTTGGGAAAAAAACTAGATTTGGTACAAATAATATCAATAGTAAAACTAAGAATGGGTGAAATTGCTTGCACACATTACAGTTTCTATTGACTAAAAATTAATGAGAAGATCAAACTAAGAAATAATTTGGCTTGGAACATTTTAACCCATGAATCTATATTTGATTGAAATAATGGCACCAAAGAAACTTAACAATGGCCGTATTTTTTAAAAATTAGTATGCTCTGAAGAAACAATCAACAAATATTTAAATTTTTCACAAAAATAAATCATCCTAATGAAAATTGTGCCAATGAATCCAACATTGAAGAAACTGGAAACAGTTAAAATGGTGCTATCTTGAAAAAGGAGAAACAAACTAAGTCTAACAAGGGGTTTCATAAGCATGATTTGCTCTTCCCAAGTTTTGAGTCTCAAATTTTGAATACATCATTTCTACTTGCATTTTCATTTTGATTACAAATATTCTTTGTGATAGTGAGTATGAATGCAAACATGTCAATCAGATTTATTTTAAAATTGAGGTACTGCATTTTTACTGAAGATGTGTATTGTTCAGTGAACCTCATTAAGCCAATTTCCCTTTGTTTCTACTTTTTTTTTTATTATACTTTAAGTTCTAGGGTACATGTGCACAACGTGCAGCTTTGTTACATATGTATACATGTGCCATGTTGGCGTGCTGCACCCATTAACTCGTCATTTAGCAGTAGGTATATCTCCTAATGCTATCCCTCCCCCCTCCCCCGCCACCCCACAACAGGCCCCAGTGTGTGATGTTCCCCTTTCTGCGTCCATGTGTTCTCATTGTTCAATTCTCAACTATGAGTGAGAACATGTGGTGTTTGGTTTTTTGTCCTTGTGATACTTTGCTGTTTCTACTTTTAAAAAATAGCACCATTTAACTGTTTTCAATTTATTCCACATTGGATTCTTTGGCTCCCTGTAGTCTTCTGTGCTAGGACTCGAAGTCTGAGTCTGACAACACAAAGGTGGCGTGAAACTCAAGACAACAGCCTCAGGTTATGTTTATTCTCTTCCCTCCTCTTCCCATTTGTTGTCTCCCTAAAATTCATATCTTGAAGTCCTCAACCCCAGTGTGACTGTATTCAGAAATAGGGTCTTTAGGGAGGTAATTAAGGATAAATCAGGCCATAAGAGTGATGCCCTAATGCAATAGGACTGGTGACCTTATAAAAAGAAGGGGTAGTAGATGTCTCTTTCTTCCCTACCAACCCCCACTTAAGGGCACAGGGAGAAGGTGGCCATCTACAATCCAGGAAGAGGCCTTGCTAGAAAGCATCCGGTGAGCACCTCAATCTTTGACTTCTAGCCTCCAGAACTGAGAGAAAATAAATGTCTTTTATTTAAGCCACCCAGCAGATAGTATTTTGTTATGGTGGCCCTACCAGATATAGTCATCATTCTAAGATCCCTTTTATTTCTTCCTAAAACTTACGGTCATTTGCCCTCTGTCTTCATAAGTGAAGCTCCTCTATATAATTACTTTCTCTTTGATTGTCAGTGCTATCGTCATAGGGCAAATTTCACCTCCCCCATATTTTTGCTTGATACTTTTCTCTAAATTAGGCCCAGCACTAAGCTTTCCGAAGTCTTTAGAAGAGTTGTATATATTGAGACACTACAACAAATCTTAACTACAAACACTCAATTCCACTAAGTTTTATAGGCAAAATGAAATCATTTTAATAATATGGCAAAGAAAAGAGAGGTATCTCTCAAGCTTTAAAAGATACAGGTTAAAAATGAAAGCAAAAACGTGTGTAGTCTAAAAAATTTAATGAAAAAAATTATACACTAGTCTTATATATAGGTTAATTTAGGTAGTTTAAAAATCTATATCATCATACAGAATTTTTTTAAAAAAGATGTTCTTCCTTTACTATAGGAAAACCAATGAAAGCAAAGTAGAATCCTAATGGAATGGTATCTCTTGGAATCAAGAAACAAAATAAAAACTCTTTCAACATCAGAATTCTGAATAAACGTATTTCAATATACTTACCACAAATTGTCTTAAAGTTTGAGGTGGAAAATATTGAAATAAAATATTGGTATGATTACCTCTAAGCAAATACACCACTATGGAATTTTAAATAATTTATTCATGTATGATTTAATGACCTAAGCACTTTCAAAACACTTTAAAACATTTTATTATAAAGAAAATAGGTAATTAAAATGATTTTTAAATCTAGAATAATGGAAACTATATGAAATAGGCATGTATAGTTTTGGAGCTTTTGCTAAGTTTAACTTAGACTAAATATAATTATTGCTTTTGCTTATAGTCTAAGTCTGAGAATTCAGGCAAAAACAAATTGAATTCTACACTATCTATGTCCTGACCAAAATATCAAACCTGCTTTTTTTTCAAAGGAATCAAAGTTTTTCAATAATATGTTCTAAAATTAGTATGTTCCCTGGGTTCAAAGATGAGTGGCAATGAACAGAATAATGGACAGTGTCTTCAATAGCAACTTATCAACAATGCTGGAAGCATTCTTCATATGTCCACTTATTGAATCTCTACCTAATAAAAGACAAGGACATAACATTAAAAATAATGCAATGAAGGCATTTCTGTGAAAATTTGTTCAGAGGCTTGAGCCAGTCAGATAAGCATTTTGATAATCCAACTTGATATAATAGTAGAATTTACACCAATTTCAGAGGTGATAGATAGTAGAGTCCTTGTGTTTGAGTTACCTTTCTCAAATATCAATGTTCTCCTTTGCATGAAGAAAAATAACTTCAACTATACACTCTTGGATATGAGCCAGGAACTCAGGGGTTCTGGATTCCTGAGGTAGTATTCACACATTTTACAATAGAGATTGGAAAGTAGAATTAATTTTCCACACACAGAGTACTAGGGGTCAGAAAGCTA
Organism: Homo sapiens; assembly: GCF_000001405.40. Classification (NCBI taxonomy): domain Eukaryota; kingdom Metazoa; phylum Chordata; class Mammalia; order Primates; family Hominidae; genus Homo; species Homo sapiens. The sequence continues at coordinate 178,072,789 of NC_000004.12, read as the reverse complement.
GAATTATCTGAATCAGTTTTAGATCACTTTCAAATGTGCTTAACTGAGATTAATATTGCAGACAAATATCTCAATCATTCAAGAACATCAACATGGATATCACTAAATTTTTCATCTACCTACAATATTGCATTTTTCCTCAAGTTCCATGTTATTTGTTGGAACTATCATCCACTTAGATCCTCAAGACAGAAACATAATAAATATAGTTTGGTTTCTAAATTTCCTTCACTCTGTCATTCTCCACTTCTAATCACTACCCAAGCTCCATCAAATTTATCTTTTGAGAGTATGTTGATGATTTTTCTTCTCACTTTCATCACTCATACAATCCTCATTGGACCTTCAGTTATAGTGACCCTAAAGTGGTCATCCTGTTTCTTCACTTCACTTCTTTTCGGTCTATGCTGCTTCTTGCCATCAGAGATCTTTTGAAGACAGATTATTTACTGGCACTCACCAAGGCAAATCCTTTGATAAATTTGCTCCAGTCATCAGGCAAAGGTCTAAGGCCTTTAGCCTGGCACACAAAGCACTTAATGACTCAGATAATGACCTGGTCTGAAACCCGGATTACCTGCTTATAATTTAAATGCCAACAATACAGAATCTATAGAAACACTTGTTGCCTTGACTTTCCTATGTTCCCTCTATGTGTATACATGCTTCTTTCTTGTTTTCTAAAAACTTCTTGATTTGTTAAATATATTAATTAATATACTAATATATTATTACAATTAATTAATATAGTAATATAGTATTACAATGACCAAAGGTTTGCCCTGTATAAGACACCTTATTTGAAAATAACTGTCAATTGTTAGGCGGATAGAGCACCACTAAAGTATTGTATGGAGCTAGTCTAGCATAATGAAGCATAGCTAGTTTGATTATTATTTTGGTGATAAAGGTTAGGAACTTTCTATGGATAATCACTTGAAGAGGGAGAGACTCAAGGTTGAGTAAAGGAGATGCATAGTATAACAATATGATGGGCAGACTGGAATTGGAGTTAGATAATAGAGACCAAATTTGGGACAAAAAGCCATTGTAGGTAGTATTTATCAGTTAACAAAAGCGGGGACTAGACAGATTCTATCTTTGGGCAATAATTTTTTATGTGGTAGACTCTGGAGGCTGAGATAGCTTTTAAATAAAGCTGATAATGTATAAACTCTAAGGGCACATGCTCCATCCAAAGCCCTTAATTTTTTGCTTGTAATCATGTGCTTTTTTACTTAAAGACAATGCATAAAATCGTGTTAAGTTTCAGGCCCTGGAAAAATTTTACAAAAAACAGCATTAAATCAAACAGGAAAATATTGAGGTCTGCATTTCTGTCTTTGTCTGTATCCTTGGAGTGACTACATTTCGGCTCTCATAGTTTCTTGTTTATGTTTAGAGGTGAATAGTACAGGGAAAATTGATGATTTACTTTTTTATGATCTAAAGATTTCTTTGAAAGTAGCTGAAACAAAACACAATCGGGAGAATCATATTATTCCTTTGAATACATGTGGGAAGATCTATAGATTTATTTCAACTAATGTTTTTAAAACATATACTATATATATTACATAATGTATAAATATATCATACGTATATAAGTATATATACTTATATTTTATATGTAATTATATCATAAAATGTCATATATGTTCCTGTATATATGCCTAAATATGTGAGTGCATATATATCCACTTACACATATATACACACATATTCATGTATATTCTTAAATAATCTCTCAGAAATAATTCAAAATCTTGTCAATATCCTTGAAAATTCCATGTGAATGGAGTAAGGAAGATTTACCTCTCACAGATTTATTTAATTCAAAGTCAAGTGATGATAAAACTAATAACAATGAAAATCATATCAATCATTGAATACTTATTCTGTGCTTTATATATTTTTATTCTTTGTAAGTGCAAAAATACAAATATTATTTTTATTTTAAAAATGTCTAAATCCCTTCAGAGAAGTGGACTTCCCCATCTTGGCACAGCCAATAAGAGCTTGTGTGAAATTAAAACCCACTGCAAGTTGGTTCTAAAGGCTCATCTCTTTCCACTAACCCACTGAATTACCCATTTTGAAAATAAGTCTGTTGCAGCATGCTGGCACTCAAGGCATCGAAGATACTGATTTTGGACACTCTGGTGTTTACCTCCCAGGAAGGAAATGGCAGATTCAGAACTGCTTGGTTATTTATGAAAGTTAAATGCCATAGTTTACAATGAAATTTTCCTCCCTTGATGGGACTTCTTTCCCATTGGTTTATTTTGTATTGCTGTGGACTGCTCATGACAAAATTAGAAGTCACATGTTTTCATAATGAGACTGCACTGTTCACGGGTAAGAAGATAACTGTTCCAGTGGCTAAAAGTGATACTATTAATGTCAGATGAAACTTGGACTTTAATCCTGGCTTTATCATTGGCTAGCACTGTGACCACAGATAACTTGTAAGCTTCATTTTTACCATCTGTTAAAGGAGACTCCTGATACTGCCCACATAACACTCTTGCAGAAAGTTGTGTGCTCATGTACATAAGGTGTTTAAAATGTCCCTTCTCTTGAAATGTTTAAAATGTCTCTTCCTTTACTTCTGCCCCCTTGTCTTCTTGACCTCTTGTTGATTTTCGTTAAAATGTCTATTCTTTTACTTCTGCCCCCTTGCCTCTTTGACCCCTTGTTAATTTTCAGGGAAAGATTTTTAGTCACACTGCACCATATTCCTTACCAGATCGCTAGTATTATATCGAGGCTGATTTTACTGTAAAGAGTGTACCTAGGATGAAGGAAGAAGAAGAAAATAAATATGCGCCGTTGGAAAAGCCAAGTGATTCTGCTTCCCGCCCGTCATTCTAAGAGCTAAGCACTTCTTTTTCAATACTTATAAATGAGATCAAATAATCAAGCATAATAATGCTAAAAATTGATAAAATGATAAGACTTCAGCGGCAAATGGCATAAATCCAAGGGTTAAGCCCAGAGGAACAAGCAATGCTCTCTGAGTTAAAGGTACTATAAACAACTCCGGTGGTTTCTGCAACTACATCCTCAGCCTGGGGGATCCCTGCGTGAGGTCTCTCTTTGAAGAACCTGAATAGATACCAGGTAGAGAGCCAAAGTTCAAAACAACCTGAAGGCTGAGGCTCTTTAGTTTGGCAGTAAGGTCCCTCATGTAGGGGAGCGCATTCTCAACAAACTTCAGAAGACTCAGCTGAGCTCTTTACTGGGGAATATCCTAAAATAGTCAAAGAAACAGACTCAGCATTTAGACACAGAACTTTCCTGATTCTTGGAGATGTATCCAAACTGCACTGCTGCACTTTTAATTCTCCAAAGAATTCTACTTTGACCAACATCAAAGAGTCAAATAACAAGTTTTTAAACTTCTATTTCTCTTAAAATTTGAACAATAAAAAGAATCCAAAACTATGTGGAAAGTAGAATTTCTTTGTATTCTATAGAACATAAATTTATATGAGGATGCACTGAAATATCTCTATGAATGACATCACAGGTGGGTTTTACTTTTTAATTAATTGAAAATTATTTAACACAAAGATTTCTGGTCATAATCAGAAAATGATAGCATTATTTTATTGCTGTTATACACACATAAAGTATTGATGTTTTTCAAAATAATTACCTTGACTTTTAAAACTCATACTACTATGTAAAACAGCCAAAGTGTACTTTAAATTTCAATTTGAAATCCAAATTAATAATGTGCTACACTTAACTACTTAATTTTAAAATTTACTGTAGACCTATAAAGCATATATATGCCTTAATAGTCAACTATTATTTCTTCTGATACAAAACAGTACCTTAATCAGAAATGCCTTCTCTTTAAATTAAGAGTATTAATCTTACCAGAAATTTATCCTGTTGTTATATAAAACATCAAATTTAAAGTTTGATGAATACTGAGAGCAATATACTACTTGGAATTTGATGAAACTTGAAACTTACTTCGCACTGATGGACTAAATGATAGTAATGTATTGTCCAACATGTTATCACTATACAAAATTTGAGATAGCTGATGGCTAGGTGACATGAACAAAGTAGAACGTGGCCTAAGATATGAGGAGATGTATCCACAGGATAAAGAACAATTAAATGAATTTACAAACCCATTGTGTTTATTTCAGTTGAATAATATTTTCTTAGTGTGAGTAGGGGAATAAGATTAAATAATTTAATATGAAATTCTACCAACTTAAAAAAAGGAAGTTTCTACCTTAATATTTTTTTCAGTAGAATCTGAAAAAGTATGACCTCTGATGAGCCTAAGAAGAAGCCTGTGCTGCATTATGTGAGTCCCCTAGAACAGGGGTCCCCAAGCTTCGGGCCACGGACCAGTACCAGTTCACGGCCTGTTAGGAACTGGGCAGAATAGCAGGAGGTGAGCAGCCGGTGAATGAGTGAAGCCTCATCTGTATTTACAGCCACTCCCCATTGTTTGCATTACCACCTGAGGTCAGCCTCCTGTGAGATCAGCAGCAGCATTAGGTTCTCATTGGAGAGGGAACCTATTGTGAACTGTGCATGTGAGGGATCTAGGTTGCATGCTCCTTATGAGAGTCTAATGCCTGATGATTTATGACTGTCTCCCATCACCCCCAGGTGGGACTATCTAGTTGCAGGAAAGCAAGCTCAGGCCTCCCACTGATTCTACCTTATGGTGATTTGTATAATTATTTCATTAAATATTACATGTTTTAATAATAGAAAAAAGTACATGATAAATGTAATTTGCTTGAATTATCCTGAAACCATCCCTGCCCCCCATCCCATGGGTCCATGGAAAAATTCTCTTCTACAAAACCGGCCCTGGTGCCAAAAAGGTTGGGGACTGCTGTCCTGGAGCACAACCTCATAATTTTTGGTTGTAAACAAAATAACGCATATCCTTGGTAGACTGAGGTGGCTGAAATTATGATAAGAGCTGTACAATACCTGCCACAGCAGGAAAAGGCCTTTCTCAACTCCAGTTACCTGGTATGAACAGCCATAAACGGTATTTAAAAACCCACAATCTGGAAAACATTTATATAAACTGGATTTAGTTATATGGCCTTCATATAATCATTCTCATGTAAAAGAAGGCATGAAGGACTATCTAAATATCTATACTTAAAATGTCTAAAGGTCTATATTTTTGTCTAAATATATTTCTAAATGTCGATATTTAAGTGAACAAATATTATATACCTTGATTTCAACAATGTACACATCATAAAAAGTCCCTTTTAAAATAAAAATATATTTTTGCTAATTTAAGGATTTTTTAATCCTTTTGTTAGATGTAAAAGTAAAACTGAACAATAAATGAGTCATTTCTATGCCAGCATGGCACTTTATATTGACATTCTTCAGTGTGATATCTTCAAAAGTATAAAAATTGTTTTATTATACCTCTAAGTATGTAGTTTTGTACGTTTTCTATAACTTTTCCTCTAACTGATTAATGGGAACTCAAGGTCAGCCCATGCATATTAGAGCATTGGTTTCATTTATGGATAAATGTTCATGTTTGATATTTCTGATCTCAGTACAGAGAAGTTTCAAGACCTTTATTTCCTTCTGGTGTTAGCACAGTCTGCAGTTGTTAGGAGAGCTGTCAATCTCTTCTTAATACATTCAAGTCCTTTGGAGAAAAGCATGGGCCAAAGGGGAGAAGCCAGAGTGGAAAATTTCTGAAGCTGATTATAGAGAGCGCTGAATGGTAGTCAAGGGTAAATTTCCAAAGGGATCTGATTAACATTGCTTTATCAGATAAGAACTGGAGAATAAGTCATTAATTTTATGACATTTTTTTCTTCTACCTGGTTTTTCATAAGTTGGACTTCCTTCCAGGATAATTAACCACTAAACATTTTACAAGCAATCCAAGTGCGGAAGCAGTAAAAGATGGATAGCACTTACAAAGTAATTGACAAAGGGTATACTAGGCAATTTAAGCAATGATGGTGTGCATCCTAATAGCAGAAGGAAGGCTTATGTACTGCCATTTGACAGGTCATTATTAAATCTCAGACCTCAACATCAGATAATGTAAACTCAAGGCTAAAATGAACTTATACATACTAGGAAGAGGGTATCCTAGTACAAACAGCTTCTGAGAAAGCACTTAGTGTTCTTGCCTTGGCATTATCAGAATACCCCTGGAGTTATCTCAGATGAATTTCCAAGTTATTTTATTTTCTTTTGACAGGAAAGTCAGTGCTGACAAACCAAGACAGTTCTCAAAGAGATTCAATTACTGAAGTGTCTGACAGCTTGCTTTGCTTCTTCTCACTAAAGTTTCCAAAGTTGCTTGCAGCATGTGTAATATTGTTTGCTTTGCAAGACACGCATGGTATTTTATAAATAAAATAAAAAATAATATCAATAGATAAAAAATGTATAAATTTAAAAATTTTAGTTAAAAAACAATGTAATGATAAATATATGGAAATATTTACAATTTTGTACTCTGAGCTCATTAGCTTTCTAGTATTGTTCATGGCAGTCAGGAGAGAAATTGTTTCTGTATTTCATCAATGAAATCTATCAAACATTTATAGCTATGAAATCCAAAGTCACAAAAAAAGAGTTTGAATTCAAATGGTGCATTCCTACATTTAAGAATGTATTTCTGAATGAGAATATCCACATGAGTTGGATGAATACAGTGATTAGCCATCAGTGCTAGTTGAAATGACTAGGATAAATAGTGGATGGGATAAAGGACATTATCTCTGTGTGTATGGGCATTGTCATGTCATATATATTCCATATATAATAAATTCCATTATTAATATATAATTATTATGTAAAACACTGTGATTTAGATTTTTATAAATGTTAAAATGATAAAAAAGAAACATGTGCTTAGGAACAAAATCCCAAGAGCCATCTTGTTCCTACTGACTGATTACTACGTTTAAATTCAGATTATCCTCAACTAATTATAACTCAAGACTATTCTGCAAAGAAATATTAGGGTGAAATAATGATATTGCACCTGTATATCAACACTATTTCAAATATGCCTAATTCCTAGCAAATGGACCATGAAGAATTCCTTAGGCCAGGTATGGTGGCTGATGCCTGTAAGCCCAGCACTTTGAGGAGTTGTGGAGGACGGATTGCTTAAGGCAAGGATGCCAAGCTGTACAACATAGCCAGACCCTGTCTCTGCAGAAAATAAAAATTAAAATTAAAAAAAAATTAGCCAGGCATTTGGTGCATACCTGTACTCCCAGCTACTCAGGAAACTGAGGTGAGAGAATCATTTGAACCCATTGAGTCATGGTTGTGCCACTGCCTGGGTGGAGTCCTTTTAGAATTACAGGTCTTTCTGTAGACTGCCTTAAAAGATAAGAAAATATTTTGCTCTGATTACCCAGTTACCCATTAACTTTTCTCTCTCCCCAGAGTTTCCACATTTTTGAAAAAGGATAATTAGATTTATTAGACATTTCTTTTTACTGGGTTAGGACTTAATTTTCAAAGTTTCTCTAAGACCAAGTTTCTGCAGTCAAATGCTCTACCCCTGAGCTATACCTGCAAAGTCCAGGTTTTTACCAACCCAAAGATGGGTTTTTCCAAATGTAGCTGCTGTCACAAACTTAATCTGTGTGGCATTTAATGATCATCTGTTCCACATCATTGACAATAAAAGGAATTCATGGTTAAATATTCATGGTGAAATCAACTTCGAAGGCTCATACATTTGGTTTTATATGAGCTAGAGGTAAAACCAGATCTTCTTATTCTTTATCCAAAATGGTCTACAATTTTTTCATTAATTAATATGTTCATGTATTCAACAAACAATGATTATATTAATACTAAATAGCAGAAAATATTCTAGGTATTGGTGAAGCAAGGATGATATAAGAAAGCCCATGAGTATTACCTTTAAAATGTAAGAAAAAGTGGACATGCATCAAGTTATGAATTAAATAAATATTTGCCAAGTTTGATGTGTTCTAACGAAAAGCACAGGGAATATCAGAGACTTTAGCACAACGTGGTCACCAATTCTGAGGCTTGAATGATAGATTCCTTTAGAAGAATCACTTGTATCTACACTAATTCATATATCTTCAAATGCCACATGAAGTTTTAATCATATACAAAACCTACTCATGCATAGTATCATTAAAATAACTAGTGTTCTTTGAATCAATTTTAAAAACAAAACTATACAATGTGTATTGATTTTATTTGATGTATGTTTTCTAGAGAATGTTATGTAGCAAACTTTATATTTCATAATTTATTTCTGTAGTGAAATGCCCACATATTTTATTAATTTCTAGTGCTTGGCTCCAAGCAGAAGTGAAAATAATAGGTATAGTTATTTGAAGTGCTGTAAATCCTCTTCGAGAAAGTGAAGAATAATTGGATGTGACATAGATTCTCAGTTTCCATGATTCCTTGAACAATTCATCAATCCCTTTCATCTCTTTCCCCTCATCACTGATCTCCCTGGAAAAAAACTCACCTATGTTCAAAAATCCAGAATTCTGCTTATATAATGATGGACCGGGGAAGAATGCAGCTTGCCTGTTTTTACTCTGTTCTCAAAGACAAACCGCAGGTGTGTGGTACAACTGCTTTGCATAGTAATACATTTCTTAGAAAATTATTTCTTCCATTCCTGTAGATGGCTGTCTCATTCCCTTTCTTTTCTCCTCTTCCTCCACTGTTAGCACCCTAGTCCAAATCTCCATCGTCTCTGACCTGGATTATTGTGCTCTTATCCTGAGATGATTTTCTGAGTCAGCACTTGCCCTTATGTAGTATGTTCTAAATTATGTAACACGAAGTTAAAGTCAATCTAACAAGGCTGGGTATTGCATCCTCACTGCAGATATAAAAAAATTTCTTATCTCACTCAATAAAGTGTAAAGTTCTTATCAGAGCTTATCACAGTGCCTAAAGTATCTGTCCCCCATTCTCTCTCTGATCTCCTTTCACATTCCTCTTGTTTGTTGTCCTCTGTCACTTGAATACCCCAGATACTGTAGCTTCAGGAATTTCACCATGTTCTCTTTGCCTGAAATGCTCCTACTGTGGGCATCCTCATACTTGCTTCTTTCACTCAGTCATTAAAGGCTTGAATTTTAGCTTTTCAGAGAATGCTTCCTAAAAAAGGTATGACCAATAATTCTCCTTCTCTGACATACATTTAAACCTTTATCTCCACCACATATATGTTATCTTGGTTTGTCTGTATGTTTATTGTCAGTCTCCACCTCCCAAATTAGAATAGAAGCTCATGAGAGAAGAGATTTTACATCGTTTTGCTCACTGCTGTATCCCCAACAGAGACAATCCTGCCACATGGTGTATGTTTGGTTAATATGGGGTGGATGAATAACAAATGAACCAAAATGCCTCTGATTTGAAAAATCAATAGTCCAAAATTTGATAGAAGACTAAAGGTCACTATTCAGCTTTTGGTTTTACATAGATCTGCTTTTCCAATCTGGAAAAAGAGGTTCATCTTATTCACCACATACTGTAATTTCCTATCTACCAGAAACCAAGCTTCAGACTTTCAGGTGCAAAATATAAGAAAAAATAATCTTTAAAATGATGAGACATGACATAAAATCATATAAATGTAGAAACAAAATAGAATATACAATTTTAACCTGTCTCTGTGCAAATAAAACAGAGTAAAGGCAAATAATAAATCTCGAGTCTCAGTATTAACAACAAAGAAAACATTTTTGTCTGTAACACTGTAGAACCTGAAATGTGAAACCTGAACAAAAAAAAAAATTAGTGAGGAGACATTGGGAATACTTCCTCATACAGGAATTTTACCTGTGGCAGGTGGTCATCAATTTCTACTAGAAATGTTTTAGTAAAGAAGAAATCAGTACATTAACGATGAAGCCGACTTATTAGGTATGATTATCAGAAATATTTTTAATCAAAACCGAATCTACCTTTTTATTCCTTTCTTCCTGTGGTTTTTCTACCGTTAATTTTTTAAGAAAAAAACTTTCAGATATATGAATATTTAACATTTTAACTTTTTAAAGCAGACTTAAATCCTTCCTTTTTTTTCACGTTATGTATGAGCTCACAGACTTTTTAAAACTGTAACTCTGTTTTGAACCTACTAGTATCTTTAACATCTCTTTTGTACTAGGCTTTCCAGTATTCACTGCAATAAATTTGTCAGTAAGCATTTGAATTCACTAATTCAAACTAGCAATTGTAATAACCATACAACTATAAAAATAGCAAACAGCTGTACCAGCATTGGAAATTAAAGTCATATGCCATACACCTTTCAGATGCTTGAATCAATTTTTTCTGAATTTAAAATAGGTGATACTAGATAAGAAGTTTTCATTTCCTGACTTGGAAATTCTACTTACTGAAAGAGACTGCACAATGTCAGGGAAACAGGTCCTGTCAGAATCACATCATTCTGCAGGAGAGAAGCTGAGATAAATGTAAGATAAGGAAAAGTTAGGAGGTCATTATTCCTGACTCTGACTGCTCATTTGAATAAGCATTATTTGTGCAGATATCCTAGAAGACCTTACATTCATAAGATTGCGGACTTTAGGAAGGCATAATAATAGTACAGGACAGAACCTTTTCTGGGATGTAGTTGTCAGGCCAGATTGGACTCACTTCTTCACGTTTCTTCTCTTCATAATGAGAAGAAACCATGTTGAGCAGGTTTCTATAGACTAACCATGATCCATTGGCTTCCCTTGCCATATACCAGGTTACTGGCTCATTGAACTTGAGTTATAAATCTATATCAACTGCCCTTCTGAGTTAAAGTTTTAAATTCTTGAGTAAGACAAGCTAACAGAAAGTGAGGAGATTTAATAAAGCAAAAACTATCTCCATTATTGGGAGAATGATTGAAAAATGAACAGAGAAAAGAGTCAATCTAATAAACTCTCAGAAATATTTTGGGGAAAATTGCTCAAGAGCTACCTATAATAATTGTATTATGCCTAGATGGTTTTATAGATAAGATATGTCAATATATCAAAAGACCCATGATTGTCTAGCTCTTTAAACAATTTCAAAATTAATAAGGGATGAAATACTTCCAATCATTTACCCATTTGAAATAATCACCAAATCCTTCAAAGATAGCTTTCAAAAGCTAATTAAAGACTAATTTTATTTGTGCATATGTGTGAAAGATATTAAATTGAATATTTCAAAATGAAATCTGTCATAGTATTTTAAAAAGTAATAGAAGATATAATGAATAAGTTGGGACTTTTCCAGAGATGTAAGGATCATTCAACATTAAGAAATCTATTAATTTAATTAACACCATTAACAGGACAAAGAAGAATAAACTAGGTCTCATGCTTACAAATATTGAAGAGGTCATTACAATTTTTTAATATCCATTAGCATTTTGGAAAAAATATTATAGAAAGTTAATTCCTTAACTTTATAATATTTATATAAAACATACAGCCAAAATCCCACTGAAGACTGTAACACTAAGTACATTATATCATTAAAGTCAGGGAAATAGTGTCTCAACTTATTTAAATTTGCATCATTTTGCATATTTTTGCCAAAAGTAATAAAATGATATGATAACTAAGAGGAAGAAACAAAATATTTATTATTTTCAGATGACAACATTATTTACCTGTAAAACACAAATAAATCATCTATTAAGCTACAAAAATCATCAAGATCACTTAGTAAGATTTCTGTATACAAATCAATAGGCAGAAATCAATAATTCACAGTTAGCATATTTTTTATAAAAGAAGCATTAACATTAGCAAAGATCAATATAATGTGAAAAACTTTGAAAAAATCAGGTACAATATTTATTTAAAAAGACCACAGATCTTTATTAAGGAACAATAAAAATTTCAAAATTCAATATCACTCAAATATATATTAATTTCAAATTAAATAACTGATGTATTCTCAATAAAAATACCTATAATTTTTAATTCTATAAAATTATAGTCATATAGCAAAACCAGCTTAAAAATGTATGCCCTATTATGAACCTAAGAAGCAGCATAAAGTAAATGAAAAGTAGTTGGCACTCAAATTACTAAGAATTACATCAGTAATATAGCTATATGATTGAAAGATAATTAAATATTAATAAGTATTAAGAATTTTTAAATATAACTATAGCATCACAATCAAAAAATAAAGTAAGGATTATTGAATGAGTGGCACTGAATTTCATGTCAAGAAGAGAATTGTTTATGATGTTAAGTAAAGATGTAAATGATGTACATTTCAAGTATTAACTGAGTTTAAAGGGGAACGACATTCACTGGGAACTCTTGGGAGAGGATGGTGGGGAGGAGAACATTAAGGGAAAGCTAATGCATGCTGGGCTTAATATGTAGGTGATGGGTTGTTAGGTGCAGCAAATCCCCATGGCACACACTCACCTATGTAACAAATATGCACGACCTGCACATGTTCCATGGAACTTAAAAATAAAATAGTTTTTTAAAAAAGATACTGGCTTACATTAAATAAAAATTAGTATCTGGGAAAAATAATTAGAAAAAATCATTTTGTAATACTGTTATAATTTAGGATGATGAATGATATTTATTCAAATATGAACACAAAAGTGTGAAAAGAAAGGCAAATCCCCAAAACTAAAATCTTATAAGATTTTCTACCAAATATTAAATTTATACTTAAAGATTATTTTAAAAATTAAAATATAAACAACATATTAATAAAAATCTTCGATCACCACCGGTTATTCTATGGTTTGTAAATAGTAGTTTAATTAATAAGGTAATTTTTTATTAGCAAAGGACATGAATAGGCAATTCACCAGTATGAAGAAAAATGTACAATAGACATTAAAATAGTTAAATTCAGTAGCAAATGAATGTCAGTTCTTCATATTGGTTAAAGTTTTAAGAAAATAATTAAAAGCAAAAAAGAACAAAGTAGCCAGTGATAGTGATAAGTGAAATTGCATTCATATTGGTTTTGTTGTATATATACAATCTGTCTATAACATGGTCATATTCTCAAATAACCTGAAAATGTGCAATTAGATTTGAAAAAATTAATGTTTAAAAATAATTGGAAATTGACATAAGGGTATTTTTGTAGTGTTATTTAGAGTAGCAAAAACTTGGAAAGCCCATAACAACACTTTATTTGTTGATTAAAATGGAGTATATGCTATGGAATACATTTTGAAGATAAAATATTTCTGGGTAAAAATGGTAGAGTGAAACTGTATTACAGAGTCTCTTTATCCTAATACCTTACACAAAACAAAAAAAAATAGTAAAACAAACACATATTCACATGCATGCACACACGCTCACACACACACACAGTAGCAGGAGTCAAATAATAAAAGTAGCACAATTTCATTTGATAAGCATTGAAAAGTGTTGATGAATAAAAGAAACATTCTAACTTCTCATCACTCTCCACAAGCAGTTTGGGAGACTAAAATCAAAATATTATAAGTATTTATGAACAGAAATGACCTCTGCTGTTCACATACAGTAATCTCCATAACTTGCATTACTGCAAGAGGCAATATTGGAGATCATGAATGCTCTACTAGTGTGGATTCATGAGTGTCTATAATGAGCAAACGTCAAGAATGTCAATAATGAGCAAATTGCCCCCATGTTAAACCATGACATCTATAGTAGAAACAAGACCTATATTGCTAGTGGTTCTCATTTTAAGCCACTGTTATTTTGGTGATGCATATTACAACATAGTATCTTGGCTTACCCTTTTTTCTATACAGGGGATTCAGGAAGCAAATGACATGTGACCAAGTTCTTAACAACCGAATATGATCAGAAATAACAGGTGTAAATCCTGTGTCATTTGCTTAAAGAAATTGTTTGCCTCCCAGTTCTATGACCTTATAATTTCCTGAAGCAGGATCCTAGATATGGACCTACCATATCACATGAGACATAGTTCACAGAATTTTGTAGAGTAATAAAATAATAGGGATTTTCTTTAAAAACCACACCAGCAAAGATCACTCATGTTTTCACTTTATGTGATGGAGAACTACATTTTCATTTTATTTTGGGTCTCTTTATCATGTCAGTTACACCTATACCTTAAGTATCACTACCCTCCACTACATGTAAGGAGCAAAGATAATAAAATTTAGTAGGGTTGGGTTACTAGGATATTTGATATAAGAGAGCAGGGTAACTACCTAAGGTGAGGTTACTACAAAGCCTTTAAACAAAGGAAAAGTAGCCCGTATGACAATTCTTCTTGATATTATGTACCTTTCCCAAAACTCCTATACAGATGCATCTGTCAAGATGAAAAAGAGGACTTTGAAAAAAAACAATCTTTAGCTTTCTAGCCTCTAGAATGTAGTAAGATATTCTAATAGTATTAAAATCAAGTAGACTCAGCAGATCTGAGTATAGGCCACGTAGGTTTCTGGTTCATTTATTGAACTTTGAGAAAAATGAACATCTCTTCAGTCATTCTTGCAGAAGAAAATGAGATAATGAAAGAATAAAACTCAAGGTGGCTTCACACTTCTCCTGAGAAACATTAAAAGGCAGAATAAATATTTTTAAAGTATATTATATCCTGCAGGATAAGTGAAGCCAGAGGATATTATACTCAGAGAATATGGTGATCAAGTTTAGAAGCAACAAGCAAACAACTTTAAATGTGTGAATTTCAAAGAACACGATAAAATAAGCCTACAAATTGTAGCCCAAAATATAACTCTAGAACAAGTATAATGTTAAAGGGATAAATGGTAAACACTGAATGCAATTAAGTACAACTAAAACTAACATTTGTGGGATTTATGGATTAGCATAGGGAATGGTTTTAACACTAAGGATGATTATTTGAGATTTACGGATCCTTGAATTTTTTCCCCTTCTTTGTAGTGCTGTTTGATGATTTTAAATAATTATTGTACTTCTCTTTAATAAACATAATAAAGTCATTATTTCAAGATGAAAGAAGAAATCTTTCACAAGATTTATTAGTAAAATAAATCCATATTGGCATTCAGTAATTAAAACATTAAAATATGAAATTTGTATTATTTATTTAAAAATTTAATCAACCAGAAAATTTCTCTAAACAAATGCTTATAAATAAAATGAAACATATTTCTTAATATTTATCAAAGCTCATTAATTTCTAACTTTGGGCCTTCTATTAGCATTCTTAATGTTTCATATCACTCTTTTGGATTTACTCTAGCTTAGTGTTCTATTGCTATTGTTTCTTTCTAATTTGTTCTTGAGGTCTTTATCTTAAGAGCCTCATTGGCTCTTGTAATGCCCTGACCATAAAATTCAAGGGATTTGGTCATGGGTATATAGAGTGTGCCTTTCATGCGATACTTCCTAATCCTGGAAGGTTCCCTAATGTGGAAGAATCCAACCCATGGCCAAATATTCCTTTCACAGGAATCTTGTTTATACCACCAGATGCTTGTGGGGCTCTCCTATAACCCTTGGCCCATTTATTCCTACCAAGACAGCCACTTTCTAAGATAGAGAGCTGGCCTGGAAAGAAGGTCAGGTTCAAGTTTGTGCATGTCAAGTGAGACACGTGAGGCAGTAAAACCAAAGTACATGAAACAGAAGAAATGTATTACTTATAGGTCCTAGAGAGGTTGGGGTGCCAACAGGAGGCTGGCAAGAAGTCTGGAGGTATCCAGATGTTAAACAGTGAGTGGAAAGCAAGAGAGAGAGGACCTGTGTGACTCTTCCTTTCTTAAAGTTCATGGGTGTTATTCCTTAGACTTTTCCACCAGAATTACAGATTGTCTAGTTTAAAGAAAATTTGCATGTACTTTTTTACATGATTCTGTGTTGAGAACTTTTTTTACATGATTCTGATGTTGACCTCTAGATTTTATCATATATGGGAACTGTGAGTGTGTCATGTTGTGGGTCAGTAAGATGAGAAACAAGATGTTTACAAGATTGTTACACTGTAAACAATCAGATAGGGGAGGTAATTTTTCAATAGGTCTAAGGTGACAGGGTATACCTGGGTTTTAAACAATTTATGTCAGGCCTAAAAATGAATGCTGAAGCAGCAATTTCATTCAACATTTACGACATCTAATACGCCTTTGCGGGGGAAAAGGTTTCCACACAGAAAAATATTTATTGTTCTGTATTGATGGTAAGAAGTAACTACCAGAAACTGTTAATCCTTGTTCAGCTAATCATTGACAACTTAGTTCAGCAGAAATCTTTCGTAAGCCAACCCATCAGTGTCAAAATGTTGTTAATGAAAGTAAGCAATTAGGAGTAGACTTATTCCATAAACTCACTTCTGAGTGCCAACCAAACAGCATCTCACCTCAGTAAGCCTACTTCTGCAGATGTCAACATGCATCTGAACACCTGTCAACCACCAATCCCTGTTTCCATGACTCCCAAAACCTTTTATAAGATGGCCAGCCTGCCCTGTTCAGGCAGACGATATCTGATCATCACAATAAGAAATATATTTAGAACAGTTTTAATTTCACCTATTGAAAATTGGTCTCATGAGGACTTCTGGGGCTTCCACCAGGTTTGTTTGGAATACACTCAGCAGAATTCCAGGAGGCTCTCAGGCCAACAGTTGTGTTCATTGGAAGGATTATGACAAAACACCATTTTTTATTTAGATCCACTGTGTGAGACAGTCTCAATAAAGATCCATGCCCTGATTAGTTTTATTGATGTTTTGGTGCAAATTTTATTTCATTATTTTACAATTTGTAATCAAATAGGTTTTCATATAAGTAAACCTATATTTTTATATAAAAATTTCAAGCATGGATCTGTGTATAAGGTAATTTTGGTTGAAAAGTGCATCACTTGACAAATTAGACCTAGATTTTTCATGCAGATTCACTAAGGCTTTGGTTTGAAAGTTTACCACTGGCAAGTTGTTTTCTATTAAAATGCTTATCTTCTGCTGTTTGATGTGTTTTTGCTGTTGTTTCTCTATATGCACCAAGTTATAGGGCTTTGGTTTTATCCTTGCTGTTCTTGTTGAACACATATCAAGGAGTCTTTTGTAGAGGATGGATGGAGACAATATCCTAATAAGTCTCCAATCCAATCCAAGCTGACTCTGAGTAATCATAGTTGGAAGTCCATTAGACCATTGACTAGTCATGAAAAGGTATTAGTCAAACTTTATCCTAGGTCCCTTACAAAACCTTCATGAACGCATTCTCTGTTCTATAGATTTGTAAAAGAACTGCAACAGCTGGCAAGTTGTTGATCATAATGACCCCTTTCTTGCCTGTTCCTATTTGGGGAACCCACAACAACATTCTTAAGCACACACACTGATCAAATGTAGTGCACTGCTTTCTAGTTTTTCATGGGCTTGTCTTTGCCCAAATCTCAACCTCCTTCTTAAAGAGAGTCTAATTTCTATATAAAATCTCATTTTAATCCTAAACCTGCAAGTTCCTCAATTAATGACCAGAAACTAGGTTGACACAGAACAATGGCCATTACGGAGAAACTTTTTACATGTAAAATGAATTAACTAGTCTGTTTAAAAGAGAATCTGTAAAAATTAGAGGGCAGAACAACAAGAATTCAAAAGTTAGAGTTTTTAATTAGAATGCTGAAACCTTAAAACAAAGTTTTATCTTCAAAAAAACCTTTCTAAAAGATTTGTAACTTTTGAAATTTAACCTTTGTAAATCTCTCACACTTTCTACTCCACTTTACTTGATCTTCTAATGAGCTATTCCTTTTTTAGGCTTTCTTCGGGTAAAGAAAGATTGTATTGTAAAATTGCTAGATCAGAAGGCATTGTGAAATTGCAAGACTTTTCGTACAGACAAGTTAAGAACTATCATCAGTGTTTCCCCAAATTTTAATAACGCAGACAAAACATTTGCTCCAAATTTAGGATTGTATTATGTATTCACTGCTATAGAGGACAGATCTTTAGCAATTAGTTCTGTTAACTATTAGCTGCATAAAGGAGGGAAAATGTTTAATAATAGAAGGATAGGGGAAAGAAAATTTAAATGAACCCACTGAGACACATTTTTTAAGTTACCTTGAGAGGGTAAGAAAAAAATATGTACTACACAAGGCAATTTCAAAATCAATATGTAGAGTAGATTGAATAAAGATTCCAAATTATAAACTAAATTAAATCTAAATGAAGAATCCATTGCAGGAGATTTGCTGCAACAGCAAACTTATTAAGACTGTGTGTCTGTAACAAGTCATGCTCTTGGTGTCCAATATGCTCCCTTTTCCATAAATCTACACATAAAGAAATATTCCACATTGCTTTGTATGTTTATGCCTCTGAGAGCCTCAGAAATATTACCCGCCTATAACCAATCTTCAAGATATTTTGGCTCAACAATTCCTACATCAATATTAATTTATATTATAAACCCATGATGGGGGAACACTGAAGTTTTAACTCACTACAGAAATCCTTTTTTAAAAGAGTATCTTAATGCTGAGAGTGGCAGAGTATGATGGCCGAATAGAACCCTCCAGCAATTATTCCCATTGCAGGAACACCAAATTGAATAACTGTCTGCACAAGAAAGCACCTTCTCAAGAACCAAAAATCAGGAAGCCTGATTTACATATCATATCTAGGAAAGAGGCAAGAAGAGGGTGGAAAAGAAAGTCTTGATTGCTGACATCATCCCTCCTCTATTGTAAAGTCCCAGCAAAGTGATTGTGGAACTTTACATTAGAACTCAGTGCTGCTCTGTCACAGTGCAAAGCAGCACAGGGCAGAATTCGACCTGTGCCCACAGAGGAAGCATTTGGACTAGCCCTAGCCAGAGAGGAATTATCTATCCTGGCAGCTGGAACCTGAGTTCTGGCTAGCCCCACCCCTGTGGGTTAAATTGCGTTGTAGTCTTAAATAAACCTAAAAAGCAGTCTAGGCAAAGGGCTACAATTGCTGGGCTAGTCTTGGTGCTGTGCTGGACTCTGAGCCAGTGGACTTGGGGTACATGCAATCCAGTGAGATACTACTTGGGGTGGCCAATGGAGTGGTCATGTCACCCCTCCTCCAATTCCAGGCAGTGAAGATTGTAGCTCTGGGAATAAAAAGAGGAGTAAAGAGGAATTTGTCTTGCAACTTGGGTACGAGCTCAGCAACAGCAACATAAAGGAGTAACAGTAAAATAAAGCACCATTTTAGGCCATATCTCCCAGACAACATTCATTCATTCATTCATTTATATTTTACTTTAAGTTCTGAGATACATGTGCAGAACATGTAGGTTTGTTACATAGGTATATGTGTACCATGGTGGTCTGCTGCACCTATTGACCCACTATCTAAGTTCTGTCCCCTCACTTCTCACCCTGCAACAGGTGCTGATGTGTGTTGCTCCCCTCCCTGTGTCCATGTGTTCACATTGTTCAACTCCCTTTATGAGTGAGAACATGTGTTTGGTTTTCTGTTCCTGTGTTAGTTTGCTGAGGATAATGGCTTCCAGCTTCATTCATGTCCTTCTAAAGTACATGATTCATTCATTTTTATGGCTGTGTAATATTCCATGGTGTATATGTACCACATTTTCTTTATCCAGTCTTTCATTGCGTTAGGGTTGGTTCTGTGACTTTGCTATTGTAAATAGTGCTGCAGTAAACATACGTATGCTTGTGTCCCAGACAACATTTCTAGATATATAGAAGGAAACCCACTGTCCCGAATGGAAGGACCCAGCTCCGGCAGAATTCATGACCTGCTGACCCAAGTGCCCTTGGACCTTGAATAAACATCATCAATAGCCAGGTCGCAGTTGGCACAGACCCTGGCCAAGGCCTAGTAAAATGCTGGCTTCAGGTGTGACCCAGCACATTCCAGCTGTGATGGCCACAAGGACAGACGGCTGCTTGTGGAAAGGAGAGTGAAGGGTAAAAAGGACTTTGTCTTGCAACTCGGTTACTATTTCAGCCACAGAAAAATAAAGCACCAAGCCGACTCCTAAAATCCCTGATTCCAGGCTTTAGTTCTTGAAGGCATTTCCAGACCCATCCTGAGCTAGAAGGGAACCCACTGCCCCGAAGAAAGAGACCCAGGCCAGGCAGAACTCACCACATACTGGCTAAAGAGCGCTTGGGCCTTGAATAAACATCAGCAATAGCCAGGAAATAGTCACCACAGGCCTTGGGAAAGACCCAACATCGTTCTGGCTTCAAGTGTGACCGAGCACAGTCCCAGCAGTGGTGGCCATGGGAGTGTTTCCATTATCCTTCCCCTAACTCCAGGCAACTCAACACACAGAAAGACTCCATTTGTCTGGGCAAAGTAAGAGAAAATAAAAAGAAACTCTGCCTAGTAACACAGGGAATTCTTCCAGAACTTACTCAAGACTACCAAGGTGGTACCTCTACAGATCTGCAAGAGTCACAGTATTACTGGGCTTGGGGTGCCCCCTTAATGTACATATGGCTGCAGTGACCAAAGAGTTAGATTACAACACTTAACTCCCTTTGAATATGTGAAAAGCATTTTCAAGAACAATGAGTATAGACAAGGCCAGACTGTGATATGAGAATGAATGCCTCACTCTTCAATTCTGAGACATCAATGAACATCTGCAAGCATCCACACCATCCAGGAAGACACCATGTCACCAAATGAACTAAATAAGGCACCAGTGACCAGTTCAGGAGTGACAGAGATGTGTGACCTTTCAGATGGATAATTCAAAATAGTTGTTTTAGGGAAACTCGATAAAATCCAAGATAACACAGAGAAGGAATTCAGAATCCTGTCAGGTAAGTTTAACAAAGAGATTGAAATAATTAAAAGGGATCAAGCAGAAATGTTGGCACTGAAAAGTGCAATGACAAACTGAAGAATGCATCAGTCTCTCAATAGCAGAATTGATCAAGCAGAAGAAGGAATTTGTGAGTTCAAAGACAGGCTGATTGAAATAACAGAACAGTCAAAAAAGAATTAACAGAAATGAAGCACGTCTTCAAGATCTAGAAAATATCCTCCAAAGAGCAAATCTAAGAGTCATTGGCCCTAAAGAGGAGATAGAAAGAGAGTTAGGAGTAGGAAATTTGTTCAAATAAATAATAATAGAGAATTTTCCAAACCTAGAGAAAGACATTAATATTCAAGTACAAGATGTTTATAGAACACCAAGCACATTTAACCCAAATGAGACTACTGAAGACATTTAGTAATCAAACTTCTAAAGTTCACTGATAAATAAAGGATCCTAAAGGCAGCAAGAGAAAAGAAAGAATAACCTATGAAGGAGCTGTGATATATCTTGCAGCAGATTTCTCAGTGGAAACCTTATAGGTCAGGAAAGAGTGGTATGATATTTAAAGTGCTGAAGGAAAAACACTTTTTTATTTTGAAATCCAATACTTAGTGAAAATATACTTCAGAGGTGAAGGAGAAATAAAGACTTTCCCAGAAAAACAAAAGCTGAGGGATTTTTTCAACACCAGACCTATCATACAAGAAATCCTAAACGTAGTTCTTTAATCTGAAAGAAAAGGATGTCAATGAGCAATAAGAAGTCATCTGACATATACACCATGGAATACTATGCAGTCATTAAAAAGGATGACTTCATGTCCTTTGTAGGGACATGGATGAAGCTGGAAACCATCATTCTGAACAAACTGTCACAAGGACAGAAAACCAAACACCACATGTTATCACTCAAAGGTGGGAATTGAACAATGAGAACACATGGACACAGGGCAGGGAACATCACACACCAGGGCCTGTTGTGGTGTAAGGGGATGGGGGAGGGAATAGCATTAGGAGAAATACCTAATGTAAATGACGAGTTAATGGGTGCAGCAAACCAATACGGTACAGGTATATGTATATATAACAAACCTGCATGCTGTGCACATGTACCCTAGAACTGATAGTTAAAAGTTAAAAAAAAATAAATCATCTGAAGTTACAAAATTAACTGGTAAGAGTAAGTTTACAGACAAATACAGAATATTATAAAACTGTAATCGTGGTGTGTTTACTCATATCTTGAAAGGCTAAAAGAAAAACCTATCAAAAATAATAACTACAACAACTTTTCAAGACATAGACAATTTAATAAGACATGAAAAGAAACAGCAAAAAGCTAATAAGTTAGGGGATGCAGACAAAGTAAAGAGTTTTTATTAGTTTTCTCTTTGCTCATTTATTAATTTGCTTTTGCAATCATACTTGTTGCCAGTTTAAAATAACAGGTTATAAAATGATGTTGGTAAGCCTTTGGAAACCTTAAATCAAAATACCTACAACAGAAACACAAAAAATAAAAAGGAAGAAATTAAAATGTAATACCCAATAAAATTATTTTCACATATGAGAAGATAGAAAGAAAGGAAAGAAGGAAGGAAGGGAGGAAGGAAGGGAGGAAGGGAGGGAGGGAGGGAGGGAGGACCAAAAAACTACCAGAGAACAAATAACAAAATGGCAGGATTAAGTCTGTACTTATTAATAATAACATTGAATTTAAATAGTCTAAACTCTCCAGTTAAAATACGTAGATTGGCTAAATAGATTTAAAAAACAAGACCCAATAATATGTTGCCTACAAGAAACACACTTCACCAATAAAGACACACATAGACTGTAAATAAAGGGATGGAAAAAGATATTTCATGCAAATGAAACCAGAAAAGAGCAGAAATAGCTATACTTGTATCAGATAAAATAGACTCAAGACAAAAGCTATAAAAAGAGACAAAGAAGTTTATTATGTAATGATAAACAACTCAGCAAGAGGATGTAACAATGTATATATATATATATATATATATATACACATATATATATATATATATATATATATACACATATATATATATATATATGCCCAGTACAGGAGCACCTAGATAAATAATATAATTAGAGCTAGAGAGATAAACTCCAATAGGAAAATAGTTGAAACTACAACATCCAACTTGCAGTACTGAGCAGATCATCCAGACAGAAAATCAACAGCGACACTTTGGACCTAATCTGCACTATAGACCAAATGGTCCTAATAGATATTTACAGAACATTTCATTCAACAGATTGAGGATATGTATCCCTCTTCTCAGCACATGGATTATTCTCAAGGATAACTCGTATGTTAGGCCACAAACAAGTCTTAAAACATTCAGGCCTGGCACGGCTGACACCTGTAATCCCGGCACTTGGGATTATAGCACTTGGGAGGCTGAGGCAGGAAGATCACGAGGTAAAGAAATCAAGACCATTCTGGCCAACATGATGAAACCCTGTCTCTACTAAAAGCATAAAAATTAGCTGGGCATGGTGGCACGTGCCTGTAGTCCCAGCTACTTGGGAGGCTGAGGCAGGAGAATCGCTTGAACCCGGGAGGCAGAGGTTACAGTGAGTCGAGATCGCACCACTGCACTCCAGCCTGGCGACAGAGCGAGACTCTGTCTCAAAAACAAAACAAAACAAAATTCAAAAACATTAAAATCATATCAAGTCTCTTCTCTGATCATAATAGAATAACAGAAAGGAAATAATGAAATAATATGTTAATAAAATTAGAACAATTGAACTCATGGAGATAGAGAGCTAAATGATGGTTACCAGAGATTGAGAAGGGTAGTGAAGTAGGGGATGGAGAATGGGGATGAATAATGGGTAGAAAAATATAGTCAGATACAATGAATAAGATCTAGATTTGACAGAACAACAGAGTGACTGCATTCAGCAATAGTTTATTGTACATTTTAGAATTACTGGGGGAGTACAGTTGGAATGTTCATTAACACAAGGAAATGATGAATGCTTGAGGTGATGGAAACCCCATTTATCCTGATGTGATTATTACACATTGTATGCCTGTATCAAAATATCTCATGTATCCCATATATATAATTAGTATATACCTGTAAAATTCAAAGATTTTTTTAAAGAGCATCTTTGCTATCTGCCTGAGCTAGGGCACATTTTCTCCAACCCCTATTGTGAGAATGTAGCAGTGTGAAGTTTGCCACATCCTGCAGGTGATCTCAGTGCCAAATTCCTGCCACCTATGGATAGAACCAACATCTCAAATTCTGTTAACATGTGGTGTTCAATCTCAGACCTCTTACATTGAATTTCTTATAATGATTACACACTCCCTTACCCACCCCAGGTCCAGAATTTACAAGAACCCTCTGTGGAAAAATATTTTGTACAAATACTTAATCATGTGTTATACACTGATATCCTTGCCAATTCCTTTTGTGGTCAGAATGTATTCTAGAGGGGAATTAAGGAGGACAACTAAAAATGTAAAGTTATGAAGAATTTCTCTACAAAACCATAAACTACTTAAATTCGTTCAAATTCATACAATATAATTAAGGATTTGAACATGCACATGTCAGTTTTTTGTATTCCAGAAGTTATATAAAGTTTCATTATCGTATAATAAAATGTGCAGCATAGCATAACCAGCATAATAGAATATAACATAACATGAAATGAAATGTTGTAATTATTAGGTACATAAGTATGTCTTCAGATCCCAGCTACATAGCATCCTTTTCATCTGAATTTGGACAAGTTATTTAACTTTACTAAATTTCTAATACCTCATATATACAATGGAAAAATAATTATATATAATTTATATTAATGCTGTTAGGATTACATATAAAATATTTACAAAACTTTCTGTCATCTATTAAGGATAATAATCTTTTAAAGACCTTTAATCATCCCCATAAATATTATTAGTCACAATATTTTAATGTTATTGTAATCCAGCTGATATACTAATAAATATGAATTCATATTAATATAAACATCAATCTATGAAAGATTAAAAAATAGACATCTAATTTATAGGTCAGTTTTTTCTGCTTAATTTTGTCTTTATAAAATCAAGTATTTTTACTGTAACATTTTAATTTGATAAAACTTTATTTTTATATTTGATCTAAATCCTACAACATGCTTAACTGTATAGACACAAGAAATGAACAATAAACAATAAATGACTGTGTTGTTTAAAAAAAGTGAAGAAGTCTATATTTGTGAAGTTTACATTTCAGGATACTAGCATTTTTGTTTCCAGCAATCCTACGAACTTCATGTGGGGAAAAAAGGTCAAATTTTACATTTTGCAATCCCAACTCTACATTTTAAAAGCCTAAATTGTTTGACGATATTGCAAAATGACAACATGTAGAAGGAAGTGAAAGTTGATTAAATGGAAAATTTTTAAAGTTCAGGGTTTTTTTAAGGTGCCAAATAAATGTTTACTTCGGCCCTTTTTTTCCTTTCCAAATCTTCATTGTTTTCCCAACTCTTCATGGTGTCAAATGGCCGTTAGAGGCCATTGTGTTCCAAGGCAGTCAAGCAGAAGGAAAGTGTATTCTGCTATGCTCTAGCCACCAAAAATCTATCAAGATTTTACTTCTTACTTTTCTTGAATCGATCTTCCCCTCCCATAAGTAAAAGTGGACACTTGAATTTTGAATTTGCATCATTGTAACACTTACGGAGAGGAAAATTTTGGTAAGGAAAATCCAGGCTATTGACTAAAAAACAAAATTACTGTCTACGTATTCTTGTATCTTTTCCTGTTTGATTCTTGGGCATAGAACACAGATTGAAACCATCTTTGCAAAAATTGTGACAGTGAGATAAATCTGACCTAACTGACTCCATCTTGCTTTAAACCTCCAAGCTGCCTTTGTTCATTCCTGAGCATAGGCTGAGCTAACTATGGGACGAATTTAGTTTACAGTTTAACTTTCAAATAAATATAGTAACAGCACCTTCCTGAAACAAACCCCCTCCTTTTTGGGGGACCAGACTGCCTTTGTAAAGCTAACAAATTAGCCACAAGATTTGAAATTATGGCTCAGGAGTCATGCAGCCAGACCTTATAAGATTCCTAACATCCCTTATTATTCCTATGGATAACATTACTATTGTAAAACCTAAAACTGGTGTTTGAGATACTTTTCAGACCCCGCAGTCTGATGGACCAGCTGGTACCATCTACATCTGTAAACTGGCTCCACTAGTTCTGCCGTCCCACCCAGGGACTGAAGGCAGCAAAAACTCACTTTAACTTCGTATCTTTTCATTGCTAACTCCCTAGCCCCATGTCTGCCAAATTACCCTTAAAAAAGCCCTAATCTCCAAATTTTTGGGGAGATGGATTTGATTAATAAATTCATGTCTTTTGCTTAGCTTGCTGTATATTTATTAAAGCCTTTCTCTATTGCAATTCTGCTGTCTCAGTAAATCAGCTCTATCTGGGCAGTGAGCAAGAAGAACTCATCAGGTGATTACAGGGTCATTATAGTTTAAAAATAAGAAAAAATGATCTCAATTATATTATGAGGATGGAAATATAGTAAGGATACATACATAATGGTGTAGCAAATTATTTTCAGATAAGATGAAATATGTATTACAAAACCACAGAGCATGTAAATTTTAAAACAGCTTGGAAATATGAAGCACATATTTCAATGGAAGCATTTATTGAATTACATTCATGTTTCCTCTCAAATAATAAAAAAGAGCAAAATGACTACACTAAGCCTATAACATTGCATACCATAAAAAATCATTAGTTAATATTTAAGGAATCAAAAGTAAAAGCTAAAATTCTGTTCTTTTATGTAGGCTCTATGACCTATTTTTTAAAAGTCCTTCGTCATCAGTGTCACCCTTTCCTTTGCCTCATCATTTGGAAAGAAAACCTCTCTACAGAACTCCTCTCCATCTTTGTCATTTGAGTACACACTCTTCTTCATTACTTTCAATTTCTTGAGCAGAAATGTATTAAAGCCACCTGAGCCTGTGTTTTTGATGGATAGTTTCCCAGTGAATCTGAGAATTTGTTGATTTAAAGAGGCCTCTATCAGGTCACCTAGTTTATCTCTCTTCACATAGCTATTTATTTTACGATATTTTCCCTTAATAATTTATAAAATAAAATTAGTTTTGTTTTGCAACTCTCTTTTGTCACTGATTTCCTTTATTTGTTTAAACATATGTTTTGTGTGACTACATTTTTATTTAATGTTAATATGCTTTTGTTCTATTACACACCACAATAAAAATAATAAATTGTATCAGACATCGATAGTTATTTAACAACCACTATAATTTATTAATTCTTATAATCCAAAATTTGATACTTTTTCCTAAGTAGTCTTTTTCTTTATTTCACTAAGAATCATATTCAAAAACTGCAAACATGAACATATAGTACTAAAAGAAAAATATGTGTCTATGTGATTTGTAACCTACACAACATTTTTACATAACATATTTGGAAGTATTATTTAACAATTAAAAACAATTATTAAAATATCCAGAAATAGAATACTTATTACAGTATAAGTTACTATAGTATAAGTGTTTATAAGGCAATTTACAAGATTTCAAAACAAGCTTCCTGTTCCAATAATATTGCAGTAAACATTAGAAAATGATACTTTGGAAATCATAAACAGAAAATTTTTAGAAGAAATTTCTGAATAATTAGGCTTAGAGACAATATGTTGAAAGGAGGAGGAAAGATGGATTGATTAAAAGAGTTAGTGTCATTTCTGAATAAGTAGGCTTAGAGATAATATGTAGAAAGGAGGGGGAAAGATGGATAGAGTGAAAGAGTTAGAAGGAGAAGGAGGAAAAGAGAAAGACAGAATAGAAGGCTAGTAGGTGATAATACCCACATCCAAATTGATGTTGGGGTAAAAAAAGAACAAGAAAAGAGTGAGCAAGCTGGTTAAGCATGTGTTCACATATTTTGTGTTCATTTTGTCCTGTACATTCTTCTTTTTGTGTGTGACACAGGGAAAATATATTTAAGGACAAAGGGGTCCTATGCCTAGAAGAACAAATTAATGAGTTGCTTTTAGGATCTCTGCTTCTCATTTCTGTGACCTTTTTTCCTCCTTTAAATTCAATCTCAATCATGGAACTAAGCCATGTTTCAAAAAATCACAGCAAGGGGTTCTGACAATGTGTCATTATTTACCTGAGAGTTTGAATTTTTAAATATGACAGTAATTTTCACAGTCTTGGGAGATATTAAAATAAATGTCATATTCCCTATCCTTGAAAGCTTGTAATTTACTAAATGTGGAAGACCAAAAGATGATTCAAAAATGTCTAAAATAAGACATAACACTAAGGAATGGATTCTAAGCCCCTACAAATAGAGATTTCAGCAGGATTATCAACTCCAATCACAACAAATTATCCTTCAAAATAAAAATGTATACCTGGGATAAGCTGCAATAAAATTTGGGGACCATTGGATGTATCTTTAAACCTTAGAAGAAATTCACAGACCAGGACAATTATGGAGTGATATATTAGGGAGTGATGACTATTTTAGCTTGATAACAGAGACTATTTAAGGTTGTTCTTACAAAGTGGTGTTCTTTAGCATGTTTCTTGAGAGAATCATTTTAAAATTTCTTTTGGATTCCTTTCTTTCTTGGCAGTTGGTTCAGAAAACCGCACCTGTAGCAACCTCCCACTTGGAAAGCAGCTTCAGTTTAGGAAACGGGTTCTCATCTAGGTCATTTGTACCTCTGTATTCTAGGAAAATCAGCACTTGTCACTCATTTATACTTCAGCTCAGTTCTCCAGGGGCTGTCATTCAAGTTTGGTGATAGCTGCAATGGGTGATTTTGTCCACAGTCTTCATTTATGGACTTACAAGTTGCCCACAGCCATTGCAGACAAATAGAGCTCTATTCTGAAATACACAGCTAACTACAATGAACTTTGAAACTTATTATGTAGACTTCTAAATTGACTTAATCTATTAAAATTAAATATGTTCACATATCTGAAAAATTTAGTCTTCTATCTTGGTGGAGGAAGCTAGTGAAACTCCAAGAGACAGAAATGAGATAAAACATAGATAAAAGGCAGTTCAGTCAATTGCAAAATACTAATTTGAGTCAAGAAAATATCCAAGTATGTAGGTTCAGGTAATTAACTGATAATTTAATTAAATAACAAACAATTATTTTCTTTACATTTTGGTTTAATTAAATGCAAATCAAGATTAAAATATACTCCTCAGATACTCATGTATACCCATAGAAAAGGCAAATGTTACTTAAAAGAAGCATTTTTGATACACAGCAGCTAATTGTTTTCCTAAAATACCATGTTAGTGGAAATTTACTATTTAATCTCACTGATATATTCCGACAATATTGAAAAATTACATCCATACTACCTTATAGTAGTTTATTTTTTGCTAAGCGCAAGTTTACAGAATAGTCAGATTAGTTATGTATGTATTATATATTATATATATAATTTGTACAAAATAAAAGATATATCAAATATATATCTAAACAGTTACATTACCTTTTGTTAATGCTATTGGATTGAAAGTTTTAAATCTGAATATCATTACTAAACCCTACGTACAATATTGGAGTTTGACATTCATTCAAACTTCAACATTCATATAAAGAAAACAAAAATCTTGATATAGTTTTCCTGGTCCCCCCGCCCCAAATCTCATCTTGAATTGTAGTTCCCATAATTTCCAGGTGTGGTGGGAGGGACCCCCGTGGGAGGTAATCGAATCACGGGGGCAGTTTCCCTCATGCTGGTCTCCTGCTAGTGAGTAAGATCTCACAATATCTGATGGTTTTTATAAGGGGCTTCCGCCTTGGCTTGGTTCTCTTTCTCTCTCCTGCCACTCTGTAAAGATATGCCTTTTGCCACGATTGTAAGTTCCCTGAGGCCTCCCCAGACATGTAAAACTGTGAGTCAATTAAACCTCTTTCCTTTATAAATTCCCCAGACTCAGGTATTTCTTCATAGCAGCGTGAGAAGAGACTAATACAAATGTCTTAGCTAATTACCAGCTGACTAACCATAAAACCCCAAGCTAGCCTGACTATTAATATGTAGCAATTACCAATTTTCTCTGAGTTTTGCAGCTTGCACTTAACATTGCCTTGCCATTGAAGAAACTAAACTATTAAAGAAACGAAAGAAGAGAGAATGCCTAGCTTCAAGGGTCAAAGGATTTAAAATCAAGAATATTTAAAAGAAATGGAAAACTATAGCTTTCTAGATTTTGCCTTTTGACTCAACATGAACTGGCAAGAATTTAATTACATTGCTTTCTTCCCAGAACATTGAAAAGCCAATTGTACAGTTCTACCCTATATCTCGGATCTTTGCTTCACTGCCTTTCAAAGAATGAGAGTTATGATAGTAAAATGATACCAAGGGGTTACAATATATATTCATTCCCATATGGTTATCTAAGTGGCAGAAGTCCTATCTACAAAGTTTAAAAATGGCAGGATATCTCACCACTAGAGAATCTAATAATATTCCAGTAGACCTCTGGAAAAATAGACAGTGTTAATTACAGAGAAATTGAAAGATCTATTATTGGTTCATTTGGAATTATTCTCAAGCAAAGGAACAAAACTGAATGTTAATAAAAGGAAACAAAAATTATTATAACAAAGTATATAATAAGAATTTTTTTCATTTTTAGAAACTCATATGGTCAAAGATTACTTGTAAAATATGAGATTTCTCCAAAACTCTCGCTAATAAATAACTTAAAGAATATACAACCTGACGTGATATTCATGAAAAACATAGGGATTCACAGAATGACAAAACTTTCCAACTGGAGTGAAAGCGTAGTATATTTAATCTGCCAACCCATTGCTATAGCAAGATTTTGTTGTTGTTATTGTGGAATAAATTATTTTAATTATTTTTTCCGCTTTTATTTTAGGTTCAGGGAGTATGTGTGCAGGTTTGTTACATGAGGAAACTGTGTTGCTCCGGCTTGGTGTATGAATGATCCCATCACCAAGGCGGTGAGCATAGTACCGAATAATCAGCCTTCCACTAAACAGTTTCTTTAGAGCCCAAGAAAGTATTAACAGAGTAAACAGACAATCTACGGAATGAGAGAAAACATTTGCAAACTACGCTTCCAACAAAGGCCTAATATCCCCAGTCTATAAGAATTTTTTTTTTTTTTTGAGACGGAGTCTCGCTCTGTCACCCAGGCTGGGGTGCAGTGGCGCGATCTCAGCTCACTACAAGCCCCACCTCCCGGGTTCACGTCATTCTCTTGCCTCAGCCTCCCGAATAGCTGGGATTACAGGTGTCCGCCACCGCACCCAGCTAATTTTTTTTTTTTTTTTTTTTTTGTATTTTTAGTAGAGATGGGTTTTCACCGTGTTAGCCAGGATGGTCTCAATCTCCTGACCTTCTGATCCGCCTGCCTTGGCCTCCCAAAGTGCTGGGATTACAGGCGTGAGCCACCGCGCCCGGCTGAAGAATTTTTTAGACAGACACCAGAAAGGTGATCTCTCATCTCTATCTCCATGCCCCTGGAGTAGATTCCTTTCAAGAAACCCATACAATTTCCGGACAAGTCTCACTTACAAATATCTTAATGCTGTGTTAAATTTTATGTTCTTGGAACTTCTTCCACCCAGCATTTGCTTTGCCTTGAATACTCAAATTCTTTTTCAAATGAATCATAATTTACTGTACAATATATTCCTAGAATTCTTTAACCTCCCAGTTCAAGAACAGACCTGATTTAAACAGTTATTTATTGGTCCGTTATTTGTAACTGGCACTTTTCCATAAAACAATGAGATATACAGTGACCACATGCTCACTTTAAGTCCCCATACATAATCCATCCATACATATACAAATACATGCATGTATACATTCATATGTTCATAAATAAATGAAACAATACCTGGAGGCTAGTTTTGTAGAATTTAAACATTTATTTACTTATTGACCAAATATTTTAGTCCTTTATATATGCAAGGCATAATGTCAGAAGTTGATAATAACATTTATAAATTTCTCACCTGGAAGAAAGTGCATTTCAATGAGTAGATATTATGTCTGTGAGGGAAAAGGCTTTGCGGGTGCTGACGTAATCTCCAAAAATATGGCTAAGATAGCAAATAAGAAGGACTAGAAATGTCATAGTAAGAGCAGGAGCAGTTGCACTAGGTAACTCTAGAAAGCAGTCACATTGTTGTCTATGTATAACACACCCACCACTTGTGCAGTGTAAATCCAATATGGTCACACACAGCGGCCCTGAGGAGTATATCAAAGGACCGTGAAGACAAATGGGGATATCTAAAGGTGAAGTCCACCTGAGGAAGAAGCACAGAATCTGGAATTAGAAACACCTTTTTCTAAATTTTGGCAATAGTACTTATTGACTATATGAAACCTAATATGGTAATTAACAGTTCAAGAATTCTTACCTTTAAAGTAGGTGTGCAATAAAACCTCTCTCACGGTAGCTTTGAGGATAGTATAAATTAACTAAGAGTGTTCTAAGTAGGGCTGCTCCTGTCAATCTACAGAAGATGAAGGCAACAACCACTTTGACATTGTAATACTTCAAGAAGAGGAGTCCATTGGTTGTTGGAATTTTAGATATTTGACTTTCATTTATTTTTCCTATCAGAAATTCATAATATTACAGCTACCTTTTTCTCTGTTCTCTAAATCTCTCCATCAATTATTTTAAAAATATATTCCAAATTAGTTAAGTAAGGCAATTCACTTTAAAAAAATGAGTTTACAAAAAAAGTTTGTTAATTCAAGCCAGTCAATCTAAATTTAGCCTTCTAGTAAACTTGGATTTTTATTTAATTACTTTATGGTGTGTAGACTTGTAATTAGTAACAGCTGTGAATTTTCCCTTTGTAAATGTGGGGAGGATAAGTTATCGAATTAATCACATTTGGACAAATATCAAGTTTTTAAAAGAGGAAAGATCTGGGTAGATTCTTGGCAACATTTGGGAAATTTTATTAAAAGTTACAAATATATTTTCACTAACCTTGTTTTAAAGGCAAAATATGAAGAAATATCTTTCCTCCCAACCCCAAGTTAATTATGTCATTCAACTCTTTACCTCCTAAGGAGATTCTTCATTCTCTGGAACTATTCTAAACATTTATTTTATCACCTCTGTATGTCTTTAGATGCATGCTCACTCTTGCAAGGGATACTTTAATCAGATAATCTATTGTCTGCAGAGAGCTGGGATTTCAGATGAGCCCTGGAAAATCATCTTATCATTAGCCTATAAGCAATTTTGAAAATGGAAAGTCGAGCATATTTACTACACCTGGTGAGTCTCTAATTACAATAGTCTATATTCATCATTTACACACATTTGTCATTTTAATTAATTACTCAGGGCCTAATGAAATCCCTTTTCTGCATTATCAAATTCCCATTGATTTCAAAGAGGTACAATTTTTTGCTGTAAAGTAGCTGACTTTTGAAATCAGTGGTTTTTACACAAACAAGGACTATTCTAGAAAATGTATTCCCTATTTGGGGTTCAGGTTTTTGCCATTTATAATCATTTTGCCTTTTATATGACTGTGAATATAAAGGATCTATTTTGGGTATTTTAGAAGCTAATTTTTAAAATTCTGTCTTCAGTCACAATTCCCGTGTTTAACATCATTATAAGTACTCAAAAGGTATTATTATAACATATTATTAATAATTGCTTTAAGTACATATTAAAGGCTTATTTGGTAAGTAGCATATTTGCCTGTGGGCAAATTTATTCACAGCAATATCAAGATTAATGCTCAAATACAGTACAAACATTCTCAATTATTTATACAATGCCTTTTCTCTTGAATTTCATTTTTTTCAGTTTCATTATAAAGTATATTCTTGGTTTTGAATGTATTCAGTAACTTTAAAATAGAGATTTAACCAAATCATGGAAGAAGTCATTCGCAACCACCTGACAGAATTCCTCAGGCTTTGAGTAAAATGAAATTCTGGAGGAAAAACCTGAATCTTTACTTGCCTCAATTAACTAAATCAGTAGCCCACACTAAAATTGAATGGATTTAAATTGATTAAATGTGTGCTTCCCTCATGCATTACTGTTCTTTCAGCAAGCCATGCACGATTTCTAATGATAATTGTGTTTATTGTGTACTTAGACTATAGCAGGTGCTCTTCTAAGTGCTTTATGTGGAAAAAGTGAGGTTATGACCTGAGTATTTCTCCCAAAGTTCATGTGTTGGAAACTGAATCCCCAGTGTAACAGTGTTGAGAGGTGGGACCTTTAAGAGGTGATGAGGTCATGCAGACTCTGCCCCCGTGAATGATACTGTTTTCATGAGAGCAGGTTAGTTATAAAAGTGAGTTGGGCTCCTCTTGCCCTCTCTCCTGTGTTCTCTTGCATGTGGTACCTTTCACCAAACACCAAATGGACTAAGACAACTACTTAATCATCACAACAAACTTATTGAGGAACCCTATTTTTACCAGCATTTATAAAATGGGAAAACTCAAACACAGAGGGATATGCAACCGCCGAAATTCACACGGTAAGTGGCGCAGATTTGATTTGACCTCAGGGTCTATACAGTAAATTATCACTTAAGAGGTAGATAGATTCCTGCAAACTGTGACTTTAAACAGCAAAAGGACTATAATGAAACCAATTTTCCCTTAGGCTAGTTGAAACAAACTAGAGTTAAATTCTTATGGCCTATTTCCGGTCACAAACTTCTAAATAATGACCCTAAACACTTCTAATATAAACCATTGTATCATGAGTGGCATGAGGTCAGACATAACGAAGTTCATGCACCTTTATGTCTTTCCACAGTGTTAGACTTTTAGTGATGCTATTTCAATCACGAAACTCCTAAGCTACAAGGAACTCCCAAGGGGGCGGTTCTCCATCGTACTTCCCCTTCCGTCTGTAGTCGGGCGGTTCTCCATCGTGCTTCCCTTCACTCTGCAGTCGGAGCCACAGGCACACAGGCTGAAGCCACTCCACAAGTCAGTCAACATAGCAAACCATACGTAGTAGTGTACTTAATATAAAAATGTTATAGATGAAACATTTCACAACAAAGTAACATTTAACATTGAGAGAAAAGGGATAAGAAAAAGGGTTATCAGTGCAGGGAGAGACGTGGACAAAATGAATGGCCTGTGCTGGTCTGGATGGTCCATCAGTCAAAAGTCTTTGATGTGGGCACAGCCTTCAGCAGCAGATGCTGGGTGCTTATCACAAATGACAGTGAGACATTGTCTGTTAAGATGGAGGTTCAAGCTGCTGAAGTCCTGCTCTTTTTGTGGCCACAGAGCCCTCTGGTGAGGACTGATAGCGGAGGAGTATGCCTGGTGATGTCCTTATCTGATTGGATGCAGTCTTTATCAACGCGGTGACCCATCTTTTCCCTGTTGGTATGATACGTTTTGAAATGTAAGATGGTGTCATCTTCTAAGCTGGAGTTACTTATGTCTAGGGTGCTCTAAACAATCCACCTCATGATTTTAGTAATCACAATGCAAACAATATTTGAGGAAGGGGTTACAAAAGTAAAAAATTACAAGTGGCCTTGGTAATTAATTTTCTCTTGGCAGCTTGTTTACAAACTTTGTTTTACAAAGGCTAGCAATGCAGTTTTTCAGTTTATAGTTGGCAAAGAAGATGACTGCAACGAAGATAACAAAGTTCTATAAATGTTCTCAAAGATTTTAGACCAATTCTGGAATCCAGTTTTTTAATATATTTATTAGTTTTCAAGCTAACCATGAGCTGTTACAAGAAGTGTGGCTAAAGGTCTTTTTGATCGTTTGCAAGAAGGTACATCTTCAGTGTAAGCCGTCTAGGTATTTTTCAAATGTGATTTTATGTGTTTAATATTGCTATTCTATGTGTTACCGTCTCAGTAGTGCATTTTAATTGTGCTAATTCTATATGGAATTTATCATGAGCCTGTTCAAGTTTCTTTGAGTTTTCTTGTTTGTCTTCGTCTGTGTGGTATCTTCCCAAGGTGCTTCTTCTTATGTTGGAGTGCCACAATGATGAACAAAAATCTCTACTTTTTGTTTCTTCCATATAGTGGTAAGTTTTGAAGTGTTTGTGAGGGTGATGTTTATGACATACATCAGTTTGACACATTCTAATTGCAAGTGTATGTTGTGGTGCTTTCGACTTGTGTGGTTATAATCAGGTTATAATTTTTCTCTGAGCACACTATCCAAGTGAAGTTTCCTAAGACTAGAGCCATTATGGGTATTTTTGTAATGCTGATAGGTAAGTAATCTAGTTTAGGTAGTATGTCCTGAAAGATATAGTATATAGTGTTTGACTGTTGGAATATTAATTATCTTTATATAAAATAACCATCAATAAATAGTGGCTTTTCTAAGGAAGTTAGTTGGAAATTATGTCTTTCATTTGTCTGTGGATTTGTCATTGTGCCAATATGCCAATAGTGAGTCTTCTCCTCTTAATTCACAAAGGTTGAATATACATTGCCCTGAATCGTCACATCCTGATGGTTTGGATGTATCCAGTTGAAATATAGCTGCTTTGTCCCAATTTTCTATGAATGATTTTCCCGATTGTATTGTGTTTCTTATATTGTTCCAAGTCTGAGCTACTAAAGTACTTATCTAGTCCACTGTGTTCGCCCTAGTTTTTCAGCATAAGGTTTCTTAATGTAAATATGTTGACTTTTCGATGTCTACCTTGTGATCAATATTGTAACTGAATTCCTTTTGATATTCTATAAGAACATGGGTATGAGTTATCATTGATTTATTTCATTAAGTGCCTGTGAAATTGATGACAGTATAGATGTGGTAGTTGACATGTAGGAATTAAGTTTATGTTTCAAATTAAATACGTCTGTTTTAACTTCCTGAATTTCTGCTTTTTGCGTTTCTGCAGTGACTAAGTTTGAAATCCAATTGTTGCGAACATTTATAGCAGATTTCTAAATGATATTTTTCTAGTGGTGGTAAGTTTGGTAAAATGAGCTGTATGTTATATCCCTGTCCCTCAAATTGTAGACATCGTGGTTAGATATTTGTGACTTTAAATTGTTAGTTTTCAGCCAGGCACGGTGGCTCACGCCTGTAATCCCAGCACTTTGGGAGGCCAAGGCAGCTGGATCACCTGAGGTCAGAAGTTCAAGACCAGCCTGGCTAACATGGTGAAACCCTGTCTCTACTAAAAATACAAAATTAGCCGTGCATGGTGGTGTGCATCTGTAATCCCAGCTACTTGGGAGGCTGAGGCAGGAGAATCGCGTGAACCGAAGAGGAGGAGGTTGCAGTGAGTTGAGATCACACCATTGCACTCCAGCCTGGGCAACAAAGTGAGACTCTGTCTCCAAAAAAAAAAAAAATGTTTAGTTTTTGAAAAATATTTTGACTCTCCTAGGTGTTGATTTGTAAATTAATCTTAAGGGTTAATTAGCATGGGTTCAAATACATTTGATTTTAGTAATTTAGGTGGAGGTTTTATTGTCCCCTTGGTCCACTGTGGTTTCTAGTGGTGTGTCTTTTAGTGACACATGTCATTCCAGCATCCTGTCTCAATTATGCATGGTTCAGTGTCCCAAGGTTTAACATAGCTTTTCCAAAAGAGCTGACTTTAGATATAAATTTACATAAATGGGAGTCTAGTCTGGTTATATTTTTGTAAATAGGGTGTTGGGCCGACCATGTAACCATATTCTATGATTCGTGGAATGGCTGGATAATAGAGAAAAAGGAATTTGACATACCTGCATCTATTTTTGTGACTTTTCCCACATTTATTTTGGTTCCTACTGTTTCCCACCAGTCAATTAATTGAAACTGTATGTTGTCTCTATCTACATCTTCAAAATTTCAGTGGGCACAATAGAAAAATAACTTGATCTCATACATATTTGGTTTTATAGGTAAATTTGTCTAATATGATCATGTTTCTTGGATCATCTTGTGTAAAGAATGTGCTAATAATCTCTGTTGTTTTGTATGTGGGTGTAAATGGTCCAAGTACTAGTGGTGAGTTAGATAACAGCAGATTGTAGGTATCTGGTCTGTGACTACCTGTAAATATTAACTATCCCATTTTATTTGTTGTCCTTTATCAAAAATACTTATCTCCAGTGGTATCCAGGACCATAATGGGTTTCTGGAAGATGCTGACATCCAGCAATCAGTAGATTTAGTAGGGATTTTGTGTAATTGTGACTCTTCTCTTTTTCCTGTAGTCCAATATGTATTTTGTGTCTGTTGGCCAGAATGCACTATTGAGGGATAGTCTTGTAAATTAGTCTAGTACTCACTTTGTAAGGTACAATATTTGCATCATATTTTCCCTTTTCTTTTATGACCATTAAAGTCAGTTGATTAAGATGAGACTGAGGGTTGCTCTTATGGAGTCTGTCCTTTTGATTTAAATGAAAACATACCAGGTTAAGAGTTTGTTGGAATATACTCATTTGGTCTAAGGTTTTTCATCCTCTTTTTATAGTTCATTAAGTCTCTCTAGATTTCCTGCCATGGGATTATAGGTAGGTGGAAATTGCACTGTATTATATCTCACTGATCTGTCAATGCTTTTGTAGCCCTTGATGCAAAATGATTTCGCTGATCACTTTCAATTACTTTAGGTGTTTTGTAGTGAGCCACCCAATTTTCTAAGGCTGAGATGGTATATTTGTCAGATGGATGTCTGCCTACTATTGCTATGACAATCCATGTACATATACATTCACAATTGTTACTGCATATTTTTATTGGTAGTGGTGCTTTAATGGTCCTATAAATTCTGTCGGCAAAAGGCATTGGGTTTGTATGTATCTTTTTGTTTAGTATTTCTATATTCATCTAGGTAGTTTTACATTGCTCACAATTAGCTATAGGCTTTTTAACTTGGTGCCATATCACCTTTTGATTTCTGTCTGATAGCCACCCGTACAGTGAGTATATGCCCAATTGTTCTTTTTGCTTATGTAATTATAGGAGTATTTGATTACAAGCTGCTTCTGGTATCTGTTTAAAGTCATCTCCCTGTTTCATTAAAGCTACTGAGGGTACTTCTAGTATCTCCCATTCATTGTCTGATTTTCTCCTGAATTGTAGAGATGGTAATGAATGTCTCCATGAGTTGTCTGAATTTCCCTGTAGTTTTAATTTGGGTATGTTTTGTTTGTCAGTGGTTATGTTCCTTGTTAGTGCATCTACCTATTATATTTTGTCATCTCTGAATAATCTTTTTGGTGTGCTGATACATGTTTCACAAATATCTTAATTCTGTTTGATAATTCAGATATCTCCTCCCAGTAATATTTGTACCATATGTCTTCACTATTAATTTTGAAATTATTTCGTTTCCATTTATATGACCATAGGGCTATGCCACTTGCAACTATCCATGAATCTATAAAATGTAAATTTTCTTTTGATTTTCTAATACTGAGTGTCTGATGTGGAACAACTGCAATCAATTCTGTATGCTGTGCAGAGAGTGATTTGCCTGATGTCTTCGGGATTTTTTGGTCCTTGGGTCTGAGTGCTGCTGCTGTCTGTTGGGTCTGGCCTTGGGTCGTGGCAGCTGATCCATCTATAAACAAGGTATTATTCTAGACATTAGACCAGACTGGGCCCATCTACCTGGATTGGCATGGATTGTTCTTGTCCTCAGAATAAATTCCGGCGAGTCTATTTCAGTCTTGTGAATGTCCTTGGTGAGGAGGCCTGGTTGACCCTTAAAGCCTGGATGTACCATTACCATGTGAGCAGCTTTAGATCAATTTGGATACCTGTCAGTTCTTCAGAACTCAATTTTATCCAGTGAAGACAAGGCTTATGGCATCTTATTGTAATGCTGTTGCCAGTCAGAGGCTCAGTATTTTCGAGGCTTCCTGTGTAAGCCACATGTGTTTTTCAAATGGGATGTATTTGTTATTAGAGTATGGAAATTTTATTGTCCAAAATTCGACAAGTAGGATGGATTTAGTATCTGGTTTTTCTGTCCATATTGACCATGTTCCATATTTATCACTCATTAGAATTTGCAACCTAATTTGTGAATCTGGAGATGGATAATGCACTATCTGGGACATAGTGATGTACCTTTGAGTATTTCAAGTGCTAGTTTTTGTTCTTGTCCAAATGTGAAGTCTTGGAATTCTCTAGTTATGTTATCTATTGGTTTCAGGATGATGTTTAAGTAAGGCATATGTTGTCTCCAATATCCGGATAAACCTATTAGTCTTTGTCCTTCCTGTTTTTTGATGCTTTAAGGGCTTTTCTTTTATCTATCACTGTGGTCGGGATTTTTCTCCCTTCTCGTGAACATTGTACTCATGAAAATTTACAGCTGGTGTCTGGGCCTGTGGTTTTATCTATATTAATAGTTCATCCCAGTGATCTTAAGCGTGTTATTAAGGGAGGTTTTTAGAAAAGTTTTTCCTGGTTCTTGTTTATCATTATAATGTCATCTATGTATGATACTATTTGAGATGTATATTTGGACTGGTCTATGTGTGATAATAAAATGGAAGAGCTGGCCAGGTGTGGTGGCTCATGCCTGTAATCCCAGCTCTTTGGGAGGCCAAGGCAGGTGGATCACGAGATCAAGAGATCGAGAGCATGCTGGCTAACACAGTGAAACACTGTCTCTACTAAAAATACAAAAAATTAGCCAGGCACAAGCCTGTAGTCCCAACTACTTGGGAGGCTGAGGCGTGAGAATCGCTTGAACCCAGGAGGCGGAGGTTGCAGTGAGCCGCGATCATGCCACTGCACTCCAGCCGGGGTGACAGAGCGAGACTCCCTCTCAAAAAAAAAAAAAAAAAAAAAAAAAAAAAAGAAGAGCTATTCCTGAACTATTTAGACATCCCTGATGTAAACTTTTAAATCGATATCGTTTGCCTCCTCATTTGCCTCCTCAAGTAAAGGTGGTATATTCTTGGCTTGGTCTATTGGTATGCAAAGAAAATGTCCAACAGATTTATAATTACATAGTATTTGCCGTTATAGATCGTGATCTTATTGATGACTTCTGCATCTGGTAATACTTGGCATTTTAGGTGAGACTTTATTTAGATTTCTATAGTCAGTCATTAATTGATAGCTCCCATTTGGTTTTAGAACAGGCCATACTAAACTATTAAAGTTATTTGAAATTCCAATTTTAATATCTTCCTTGAGAAATTCTAGATTTTTGCTGTTATTTCTTTATGTCCTCCCTTTAATGATTAATTTTCAGTAGGGTATAGGCAGTGTTATGGGTTTCATTTTAATTTGTGCTAGATTAGAGAATTTTAGTTCCTTTAAGTTTTTTAATAGGCCACCACCGATTTCAAGGTATAGGTTTAGAGTTGTAGAGAAGTATAAAAGCAGAGATTGGGAAACCTTGAATTAATTTTCCTCCAAGTCCTTCTATATGGACATTTGTGTCAGAATGTCAGGAATTATATCTAAGAAGGCTTACTTGTGATATGGTTTCTAAAAGAAATGTGTATACCTATTTGTCAATTTGTATAGCTAATTGCACATATGGTTTGTTATCCCTGGATTTGATTGTTATAGCTTGTACTCAAGGGGGTTCCAGTTTTTTGATAAAAATTTTCTTGTAAAATTTCTTTATTGTTGCTGTTATTGTTTCTGAAGTTGTGGGTTTGGTCCTGGACCTCAAGAATGTCTTTGCCCATATATTTTAGTATCTAGCCGGTGGCCTTAGACAGCCTTATTGCCAGTTTGGTCCTTTTGTCCTTGGTTGCTAATTATTTTGCTTAGATTGACAATTGTTTTGTCTGGGTTGCTGACTCATCTGCCTTGATTTATTTTGCCAAGATGGCTTACGTCCATTTTGAGTGAACTCTGGGACTTGTTTGAAAAAAAAAAAAATATATATATATATATATATACGTGTTTGAAAATATATATATTTGTTTGAAAATATATATATACTATATATACACGTATATATATGTGTGTGTATATATATACGTATATATATATATTTTTTCAAACAAGTCCCAGAGTTGTTTGTATATATACATGTATACATATATGTATATATATACGTGTATGTATATACGTATACGTGTATGTATATATGTATACGTGTATGTATATATGTATACGTATATGTATATATGTATACTATATATATGTGTGTGTGTGTATATGTGTATATATATGTGTGTATATATATGTGTATATATGTGTGTGTGTGTGTGTGTGTGTATATATATATATATATATATATATATATATATATATATAAAAAATGGTGACTTCCTGAATTTATCTTTTGGTGTTTATATCAGGATTGTCATAAATATTACCTTATGGGTTCCTAACTCTGCAGAAAGTTTAAAAGTTTCTAGTATAATATATCTTGCAGGGTCATGTGTGCTTGAGAGAGCATTCATGTAGGAGACCTTCAGGTTTGGTGGTGCTCCTAATAGAAGTGCTCTTTTAATTTCATTTGTAGCTGGAATTTCAAGTGGAGTCGCATATTGGTTATATCTATCGTATACCATCCCTAGGATAGCTGACTTTTTTTTTGTATTCTTTTGTGCCTGTGTTAGATCATTCCACTTGAATCTGTCTCCTAATTTTGTTGGGTCTAAATATGAGTGGGCAGATTTCCAGGCTAATTGATTTAATCCCAGAGAGATAGGATGCTTCTTGGGTAGTTTTTTAGTTCTAATAGGCGATCATTTAGTAATGTGTTTTCTGCTAATGTAGGGATCTGATGCATTTTTGTGCCTGATAGTTCTGTGATGTTTGCTCCATAATCCCATAGATGGAGGAGCCAGTCTACATCTGTGGTCTGTCTTTAGCAAAAATCTGTTCTTATTTTTTGTAATTCTGCTCTGGCGTATTCTGCTTCCTCACTGATGTCCTGAGGTCTGCCATTTCCGTGATTATAATCTATAACTGTTTTCTAGTTACTATAGGTCTTGACACATATACCTCCACTGCAGGGTCATCATAATCTACTAAATTCTCTGAAATGGGACCCAGGTCCCCATTTGGTCCCAAGGGTCCTCCCTTAAAGTTACATCTGAAAGGAATTTTCCTTAAAATCTTATGAGCTATCTATTTGCCTTTCTTGGGATCCCTGTGTATCTATTAGATACTTTGCATTACAAGTACGGAAATTTCTTCTCTAGGGACTCTGGTAATTACGGGCTTAATATTTTAGGGGTCCCTCAAGTATGACAGTATATCCTCGTGGCATTCATCATACAGGAAGCCTTTTTTGACTTCCAACTCTGTTGGGTGCCTCAACACTAAGTAACGTATTTGGACAGTGAGCCCTCTATGACCATTCTTTCCTAGGGCCGACACATTATGCAATATTAGTGGCTACTCTGTTTAGTTTCTTAATATATAAATATTTCAGTTTCTCACCTTAACCAACCATATGAGTGGAGGTTATGCGATAATTCACTTTCCTTTCTTTCAGCCAAATGACAAGTTTGTTTTGACAACCACCATCTCATTGTTGAGACCCTGCTCAGTATGAGCCTTTCTGGCTCCACCAGCTTCTAGCTTGGCACCAACCAAGACCTTGTCAGCCTTCAGTCTACATGGCATGGGTACAGAAATCCTATCACCTAAGATTTCCCTAAGGAGCCGGGCTTTCAAGGTGAAGCAAGATTATGTACCTTTTTAGAGAGAGTGGCAGGTTGTTTTGCAAAACAGCTTGGTTTCTAATTTAAGTCTTAGTAGAGGCTTTGGCCTTAGGAATTTTCTTAATTTAGCTTTTATAGTCATGTGATTATAAATGCCAATTGATTTTAGTTTTGAAAATGTGTCTGTGGAGCAAAAGCACTGACTATGCCAATTATTGTGAGTGACAGAAGGTCAGAGATAACTAGGCCCATGCATGTTTTTGTCTTTCCACAATGGTCAGGCTTTATTAATCCTATTTAAATCATGAAAGCTACAAGTTCCATGGAGTTACCAAGGGAGCAATTCTCCTTAATCCGTCCTGTTCACTCAGTAGTCACAGCCACAGGCTCAAGCCACTCCACAAGTCGGTCAACATTGCAAACCATAAATAAATAGTATACTTAATCAATTTGTAAATGTCATAGACTAAACATATCACAACAAACAAAGTAACATTTAACATTAAGTAAAAGGGGACAGAAAAAGAGTTAATTTAACCAGTCCAGGGAGAGACGTGGACAAAAAGAGTATCCTGTCCTGGGTCTGGGTCATCCATCTGTCCATCAAGAGTCTGTGATGTAGGCAGAGCCTTCAGCAGCAGATACTAGGTGCTTATCACAAGTGACAGCAATATGGTGTCTGTTAACACAGTGGTTTTGAATTGGTGGCGTCCTGCTCTTTTTAAGGTCACAGAGTCCTCTGGTAAGGACTGTTAGTGGAAGAGTATACCTGGTTGTGTCCTTATCTGGCTGGATGTAGTCTTTATTGATTAGGTGAACCATCTTGTCCCTGTTGACATGATGCCTGTAGAAATGTAAGATGGAGTCTTTTTTCAAGATGTATTATAGTTACTTATCTCAAAGGTGCTCTATATAATAGGTTATTGGAAACTGCAACTAAAAGCAAAACAACTATAAGAAACCAATTTTTCTTTAGGCTAATTGACATCAACCAGAGTTAAATTTCCAGGGCATATTTGTGGTCACAAAAATATCACCAAATATCTAAATAATGACCTAAAATAGTTGTCATAATAAACATTAAAATAAATGTGAGCTATACATACATTTAAGAAAGATAAAACATGTAAAATAAGTATTTACCTGCTTACTCCAGTTCAGGGTCACAGGTGGCTAGAGCCCTTAAGGAACCAGACAGGACCCACACTGCCAGGATGCCAAAGCATGGCAGAGTGGCTCACACACACCCTAACTCACTCACACGGGGATCCTGGAGACTTGCTAGTTCACTAACGGACACAGCTTTGGGACATGGGAGGAACTCATAGTCCCCAGAGAAAACCCACACAGATGCAGGGAGAACATGCAGACTCCAGACAGACAGTAGCTCCTGGAGAGTGATGTTTTTCTCTCATCGACATGACAGCAAAATGAG
This sequence comes from Homo sapiens, assembly GCF_000001405.40. Taxonomy (NCBI): domain Eukaryota; kingdom Metazoa; phylum Chordata; class Mammalia; order Primates; family Hominidae; genus Homo; species Homo sapiens. Next base: position 178,027,888 of record NC_000004.12, on the reverse strand, counting down.
AACCTGCTGCATAACCAGAGTCTGTGCTTCTAACCACTACACCCCTGCTGCCACCATGTTTATTTATTTATTATGTTATAGCATAAAATGCTTGAAAATTAAAGCCTATTCTTAGCCCTCTTTATCTCTCTTGAAAGGTCATTTAAAAACAAGTGCCAAATGTTTTATTTTTCTTTTTTATTGACATGACACATCTTATTAAAAACCAGGCACAATTAGTGGCTAATTTAATATATAAACTGGCTCTTTTACTAAATCTACAATTTGCTTGGTTGGTTGGTTGGTTTTTTCTTCTGCTCTGTTTTTTGACAGCTTTATTGAGGTATATGTTACATCCAAAAAACGTCATTTATTTTAAATGAACGATTTGAGAAGTGTTGAGGTGTTGTATGTGTTCATGTAACAATGACCACAATGAAGATATAGAATTTTACCAGTATCTTGAGTATTTCCCTCAAGCCCCTTTCCCAGAACCCTAGCTGTAATCGATCTGTTTTGATGTCATTTGCTTTTTCCAGAATGTCATCTAAATAAAATCATGTGTAGTATGTGTTACCTGAATTCTTTCACTTAGCATGATGTGTTGCAGTTGACCCAGACTGTTACACGTGTCAGTTGTTTGCTTCTTTTAATTGTGTGTGAAGTCCATATTATGCTTATCTCAACATTCCGTTAGGCATTCATCTGTTGATGGACATTTGGATTCTTTCCAATTTCTGGCTACTATGAATAACACTGTTAGCAACTTTTTTATACAGGGCTTTTTATAGATATGTATTTTCATTACTCTTGAGTAAATCTCTAAAACTGGACTCGTTAGGTCATAAGGAATTTTAGCTTGAATTTTACAGGTGACTGCTAATCTGTTTTCCAAAATGACTGTACAATTTTGCATTCCCGCAAGCAAAGTATGAGAATTTTAGTTACTCCATATCCTCACGAACAGATGCCTTTTTAATTTTAGCTAAAGTGGGTATATAGTGTTAGGATATTGTAGTGTTATTTTGAATCTCTCAGATGACTAGCGATTTTGAGCTTGTTGGCCATTCATATATCTTCTTCTGTAATGTAGTTGTTAAACTTTTTGACCCATTTATGGATTTTGTGTCTTCTTATGTTTTGGATAATTCACTGTTTCATTGTTTGGGTTTTTTGGTTTGCTTTTGTTTTTTGTTGGTTTATTGTGTTTGTTAAGGAAGATACTTAGAACACTGAATTACGATATTTTATCTTTCCTAACATATTCATTTAAAATCATAGAACATCTTTAAGAACTAGGTTTAGTTTTCTCCAATATCTTTTAATTTGTTGTGTTGACATTTCCATTTAATTCAAAATGTATTCTCATTTGCTCGATTTTTTTGTTGACCCATGAATTATTGGGATCATTTTTGTTTAATTTCAAAGTATTTTGAAAATTTTTGATACGCTTGCTTTATTATTTTTCATTGTAATTATGGTAGAGAATTGTAACGCATCTTGTTTTGTTGACACTTCTGTCTCAGCGTATTGTCTATCATAGTTAATATATGCCATCCACTTGAAAAGAATGTGTGCCTGTGGAGTGCCCCAAAATATTAAATAGGTCACATGATTAATAATGCTGTTCAGCGGTTACATGTTTTCACTGATATTTTAAATCGAGTTGTTATATGAATTTCCAAAACAGGGGTGTTAAGATGTTCAGGTATTTTGTGGGCTTGTATAATTTGTCCTTTAATTGTGTCCATTTTTCTACATGTATTTTGAAGCTCTCTTATTAGGTCACATACACATTTACAATTGATGCAGTTTTAAGGTGAATTGACAATTTTTTTCACTAGGAAATGTCCCACTTTTCTTAAGGTGATAATTATTTTTATACTAAAATCTATTTAGCAAAAGTTGTACTACACTTCTTAAGATTTCTTTGTTTGCATAGCATATATTTCTGAGACATTTGTTTTCAACTTCTGTCTTTCATTGTACTTAAGACATGTCTTCTTTTTATCCATTATGATAATCGGTGGCTTTTTATGAGAGTCTATTATAGCTTCATGTAACAATTATTATGGTAGCATGTTAGTATATGTTATTCTATCTGATGTTTCCTCTTATTTATTGACACATTTTAATGTTCATCTAAACATTTTTATTTTGTTATTTAGCAATTGTTCAAGTGATTCCTTAGTTCTGAGTTTATTCTATGCTACTTTTCATAAAATGTAGAAAGTTTTAAATCAGAAAAGTGAACTTATCCTCATCCTCATGTTTTATATCATGGTAGAAATCAGTAACTTCACATCTCTCATTATTTTTTTTTTAAATAGGCCTTTAGGTTTTCAAATATTTTTGCCCTCATTTTCTCTTTTCTGTCTGTATGCATTTGCTAGGCTGCCATAATAAAGTATCACAAAAAGATATGAGGATCATAAATAACAGAAATTTAGTTTCTCATAGTTTTGAAGGCTAGAAATCTATAATCATGAGATGAGCAGAACTGGTTTCTTCTCAAGACTCTGATGAAGAATCTGTTCAATGCCACTACCTTAGCTTTTGGTGGTTTCTGTTAATCTTTGACATTCCTTGAATAGTAGAAGCATCATCATGATCTCAGCCTTTATCTTCATGAACAATCTCCCTTTATGGATGTGAGTATCCAAATTTCCCCTTCTGATAAGACACCAGACATATGGAATTAAGAGTTCATCCTATTTTCACATTACCTCTTCTTAACTAATTACATCTGCAACAATACTATCTCCAAATAAGGTCACATTCTGAGGTACTAGGAGTTAGGACTTCAGCATACAGGTTTTGAAGGGACAAAATTCCATAAAACTCTCCATCCAGAAATCAAATCATGTGTGTATTAAACTATTTGATATTATCTGATGGTTATCTGGGCCTCTATTCACTTATTAAATTGTTTTCTAAGTAATAGTTTTAATTGCTGTATCTTCCAGTTCACTGCCTCCTTTATCACCATTCCTTGAGGTAACAGTTATATGTTTAAATTTTCAGTTATTGTTTATTTTTATCTCTGTAATTTCCATTTGTTAATTTTTATTGTTTCTATCGCTCCATTAATGTTTCCTATATTTTTGATCTTTGGAAACTTTTTTTTTTTTTACATTGAGAATCTTCTTTTTAGCAGTTTTAAAATCCTCATGTGCTAATGTTATCTGGTTTATCTCAGGGGTTTGGTCTCAGTTAATTTTTTAATATTGAAAATGGATCCCACATTATAAATTATTTGCATATTAGATCATTGTTGCAGTGTATCACGGACATTATTCATGTTACATTGTGGAGAATATGCATTTACTCATTAACTTTCTGATGTGTCATTTCTTTTGTTCTAGCAAACAGGTTGTTTGGATGCAAAATGTGCCTCTTTTTTGGGTAGCCACTCATGATTTTAGTTTTGATCGTTTAATTTTAGCTGAATGCATTCATTCTGGTCTGTAAGTGAATGGTTGAGTCGTCAGCCAGGTATGCAAGATGTTGTAATTTAGGTATCACTTGTCTGGCTCTTTAGTTGCCTGGACTTTGCCTTTTCTGTTCAGTGGTCGTAGTTGCCTGACATTCAATTTCTTGGTTTCTCAGGCCAACAATACTGAGTTTTCCACTGATATTCACTATTTGGTGCTAACTGTTCCTGCCTTTAGTCTAAACATAGCAAAAATGGGTGCAATCACTCTGTTATGCCCTCCTCTGCGTGTGAATGTCCTACCAAAATCTATGCCTTTTGTCCATTCTCCAGTGCCTTCAAGTATTTGCTTTTTAAATTAATAATTATAGAGTATATAGGTGTGTGTGGGTCAGTCCAGCAGTTTTTTTAGTCCACCTTTACCTAAAGGGAAAGTCCTGTCTGATTGTTTTTTTATTATTATTATTATACTTTAAGTCCTATGGTACCTGTGCACAACGTGCAGGTTTGTTACATCTGTATACATGCGCCATGTTGGTGTGCTGCACCCATTAACTCGTCGTTTACATTACGTATATCTCCTAATGCTATCCCTTTACCCTCCCCCCACCCCGTGACAGGCCCCGGTGTGTGATGTTCCCCTTCCTGTGTCCAACTGTTCTCATTGTTCAATTCCCACCTATGAGTGAGAACGTGTGGTGTTTAGTTTTTTGTCCTTGCGATAGTTTGCAGCCATTTCTTCACATTAGTGACCTTTAGGCATGTGAGGATTGCTACAAGTTTACCATGTGGATTGTAGTTTTAGAGCAATAATTAGAGAAGGGGGATTAGAAATATTATAGTAATTATAGTAGCAACAGCAGTAGTATCAGTAATCATAAAGTAGTGATCAGAGAATACTTTGGGAAGGCACTGTGCTAAATGTTGTTCATACACTCCTTCACTTAATCCTCACATTAATGTTGTACGTTAAATATGATTCTGGTAACTTACCCAAGGTCAGGCTGCTTCCAAGATACAGCCTTTGAAACCAAATCAGTTTGACTCAAAAGCCTGTGCACTTTACTTCTATATTCTGTGATTGCTTTTTGCTTATATTTATATCAATGCTAATAATATATCTATAATTATTACATGGCATATGATAAGACAGTGACTGGAAATGTTTCATAAATCAAAGGCTCACATCATCTATGTCTCATTTATAATAAAAAATTAAAGAATTTCAGAAGTGGTAAGAGAGAACTCTCCAGTGTTGACTAAAAGGAAAAAAAAAATGTTACTCTAGGCAAGTAACTTTCTTGAAATAGCTGAGTTTGGGATCTGCCTGAAGACCGGAATGATTTCAAAAGGAGCTCTCAGTTGGTTACACATTTTGAAGCAGGGTTCAGAAAGTGAATTTTAATTTTAATACCACATAGATCAGCATTTTCTTTCAACTTTTGTCTTTCAACATTTCTTTCAACTTTTTTCCTAATGTATCCCCCAAAATTCCAGAAAAAAATATTCAAAATAAACTATTATAAAATATTTATTAGCTGAATAACAAGTGCTCTAGTATTCAAGTTTTGAATTAAAGTTGTGGTTCATAAAAATTTGGGTAGTCTGATCAAAACTTGAATTAATATCAGAACCTCAGTGCGTGCAATAAGCGTATGGTTAAGGAAGAATCCATTGGCCAATTCCATCGAATCTAGTCATCCAAGGAAACAACTCTTGGATGTACTCTTAATACTTTCCGCCAATTTCATTTAGACAATTTGTTTACCTATAGTGGTCACCTATGCTACGAAGAAAGAAACATTCTTTTACTCTGTTTTAAGTAAACATTATGTTAATTATGAATTATTAGAATCAAATATGGAAAGGGGGAAAGCTATCTGTTACTAATTTTCATATATCCACTCTGCTTTAATCTGAGTGTCCAAAGGCACAGCATGTTCACAAAGAAATTCAGTATAAAATGATCAATACCTCATTGCTTTAAATTATTAGCGTATTTAAGTACCTGATTTATATTTATGTTATTATATCTTAATAGATTACATATGTACGTTTCAAAAATTAATCTATCAAATATATTTTATGAGTTACACAAAAATAAGCAACAGTTTCATGTTATTTTATGCATTTTAAACTTTCTAACATCATAAAGGAAACCAAATGCAAATTTCTAACTTTGTACCCAAGTCAAAGTAAGTGTCAAATATGCTAAAGGAATAAGCAGTTCAGAATGTTCCATCTAGCTTCTTGTGATGAAGTGTAAATGTCCTTAGGGTGGAGAAGAATCAGCAATAACAGTCAAGAGAAAGTAGAATAAAAATACCTGTCAAACAAAAACAAAAGCCCTAAGACTAAAAATATTTTAAATGGTGAATTGAAAGTTATTATAGATGTTGAATCAAGTATTCTCTCATTATTAAGATTTCTTCTCTGGAAACTTTAACTGGAGTTTTAAATACCAGTAGTATACAGTATTGAGGAAAAATGCAATTCTGAGTAAATAATCAGGTTTTAAACTAAATGATTCTTTTTTATCTTTAGCGAAGACACACACAAAGATTAAATGTTGAAGTTAACAATTAAAATTTCATAAAGAAATAGAATTCTAAACTTTCTCTGAAACATTTCTACACACATATACAAAACTTGAAACACATTTTTGAAGATGGATATATTATTTATATAATGAATAAATCTCTGATTTGACTTACTTTTCCTTTTCTTAATAGACTCAAGTTTATTTTTGAAACTATGTATTTAGAAGAGCCACGTTAATGATAGGATCCTGTGGCAAACAAAATCTGAGATGCTCTCATTTTTCCAACCCATTGGTGCTTATGCATTTTTATAATCCCTTCGCTTTAGTGTGGGAAAGATAGAATTTGCTTCTAACCACTAAAATATGGTAAAGTGCTGAGATGTCACTCCCATCATTATAGGACTTTATATGATATACTATCTTTCTAGCAGATTCACCATTGTGCTCTCCAGCTGGCTCTGAAGAAGCAAGCCACCACATTGCTCACTGCTCGTGGAGAGGAACACACGTGGAGGAACTGTGCATAGCCTCCAGGAGCTGAGTGTAGCTTCCAGGTGACAGTCAGGAAAAATCTAGAGCTCTCAGTCCTACTACCGAGGTAAGGAAATAAATTTTGCCAACAACCTGACCAAGCTTGCAAGTGGATTCTTCTCCAGGTAAGCCTCCAGATAAAAATGTGGCCTGGCTGATTCCAGAAGGCACCCTTCTTAGACCCTGAGTGGAAGAATGAGATAAATCATGCTGAGATGTTTGTTCAATAGAAATAGGTGAGAGAATAAAGATGTGTCTTTTTTTTTTTAAAGCCACTATGTTTGTAGTATATTTTACAGATAATTTATATAGCACTATCTTAAAATCATAAAAATTTATATTCTTTTTTTTATTATTATACTTTAAGTTTTAGGGTACATGTGCACATTGTGCAGGTTAGTTACATATGTATACATGTGCCATGCTGGTGCGCTGCACCCACTAACTCGTCATCTAGCATTAGGTATATCTCCCGATGCTATCCCTCCCCCCTCCCACCACCCCACAACAGTCCCCAGAGTGTGATGTTCCCCTTCCTGTGTCCATGTGACCTCATTGTTCAGTTCCCACCTATGAGTGAGAATATGCGGTGTTTGGTTTTTTGTTCTTGTGATAGTTTACTGAGAATGATGATTTCCAATTTCATCCATGTCCCTACAAAGGACATGAACTCATCATTTTTTATGGCTGCATAGTATTCCATGGTGTATATGTGCCACATTTTCTTAATCCAGTCTATCATTGTTGGACATTTGGGTTGGTTCCAAGTCTTTGCTATTGTGAATAATGCTGCAATAAACATACGTGTGCATGTGTCTTTATAGCAGCATGATTTATAGTCCTTTGGGTATATACCCAGTAATGGGATGGCTGGGTCAAATGGTATTTCCAGTTCTAGATCCCTGAGGAGTTGCCACAATGACTTCCACAATGGTTGAACTAGTTTACAGTCCCACCAACAGTGTAAAAGTATTCCTATTTCTCCACGTCCTCTCCAGCACCTGTTGTTTCCTGACTTTTTAATGATTGCCATTCTAACTGGTGTGAGATGGTATCTCATTGTGGTTTTGATTTGCATTTCTCTGATGGCCAGTGATGATGAGCATTTTTTCATGTGTTTTTTGGCTGCATAAATGTCTTCTTTTGAGAAGTGTCTGTTCATGTCCTTCGCCCACTTTTTGATGGGGTTGTTTGTTTTTTCCTTGTACATTTGTTTGAGTTCATTGTAGATTCTGGATATTAGCCCTTTGTCAGATGAGTAGGTTGTGAAAATTTTCTCCCATTTTGTAGGTTGCCTGTTCACTCTGATGGTAGTTTCTTTTGCTGTGCAGAAGCTCTTTAGTTTAATGAGATCCCATTTGTCAATTTTGGCTTTTGTTGCCATTGCTTTTGGTGTTTTAGACATGAAGTCCTTGCCCATGCCTATGTCCTGAATGGTAATGCCTAGGTTTTCTTCTAAGGTTTTTATGGTTTTAGGTCTAACATTTAAGTCTTTAATCCATCTTGAATTGATTTTTGTATAAGGTGTGAGGAAGGGATCCAGTTTCAGCTTTCTACATATGGCTAGCCAGTTTTCCCAGCACCATTTATTAAATAGGGAATCCTTTCCCCATTGCTTGTTTTTCTCAGGTTTGTCAAAGATCAGATAGTTGTAGATATGTGGCATTATTTCTGAGGGCTCTGTTCTGTTCCATTGATCTATATCTCTGTTTTGGTACCAGTACCATGCTGTTTTGGTTACTGTAGCCTTGTAGTATAGTTTGAAGTCAGGTAGTGTGATGCCTCCAGCTTTGTTCTTTTGGCTTAGGATTGACTTGGCGATGCAGGCTCTTTTTTGGTTCCATATGAACTTTAAAGTAGTCTTTTCCAATTCTGTGAAGAAAGTCATTGGTAGCTTGATGGGGATGGCATTGAATCTATAAATTACTTTGGGCAGTATGGCCATTTTCACGATATTGATTCTTCCTACCCATGAGCATGGAATGTTCTTCCATTGGTTTGTATCCTCTTTTATTTCCTTGAGCAGTGGTTTGTAGTTCTCCTTGAAGAGGTCCTTCACATCCCTTGTAATTGGATTCCTAGGTATTTTATTCTCTTTGAAGCAATTGTGAATGGGAGTTCACTCATGATTTGGCTCTCTGTTTGTCTGTTATTGGTGTATAAGAATGCTTGTGATTTTTGTACATTGATTTTGTATCCTGAGACTTTGCTGAAGTTGCTTATCAGCTTAAGGAGATTTTGGGCTGAGACAATGGGGTTTTCTAGATATACAGTCATGTCGTCTGCAAACAGGGACAATTTGACTTCCTCTTTTCCTAATTGAGTACCCTTTATTTCCTTCTCCTGCCTAATTGCCCTGGCCAGAACTTCCAACAGTATGTTGAATAGGAGTGGTGAGAGAGGGCATCCTTGTCTTGTGCCAGTTTTCAAAGGGAATGCTTCCAGTTTTTGCCCATTCAGTATGATATTGGCTGTGGGTTTGTCATAGATAGCTCTTATTATTTTGAAATACATCCCATCAATACCTAATTGATTGAGAGTTTTTAGCATGAAGGGTTGTTGAATTTTGTCAAAGGCTTTTTCTGCATCTATTGAGATAATCATGTGGTTTTTGTCTTTGGCTCTGTTTATATGCTGGATTACATTTATTGATTTGCGTATATTGAACCAGCCTTGCATCCCAGGGATGAAGCCACTTGATCATGGTGGATAACCTTTTTGAAGTGCTGCTGGATTCGGTTTGCCAGTATTTTACTGAGGATTTTTGCATCAATGTTCATCAAGGATATTGGTCTAAAATTCTCTTTTTTGGTTGTGTCTCTGCCTGGCTTTGGTATCAGTACGATGCTGGCCTCATAAAATGACTTAGGGAGGATTCCCTCTTTTTCTATTGATTGGAATAGTTTCAGAAGGAATGGTATCAGTTCCTCCTTGTACCTCTGGTAGAATTCGGCTGTGAATCCATCTGGTCCTGCACTCTTTTTGATTGGTAAGCTATTGATTATTGCCACAATTTCAGATCCTGTTATTGGTCTATTCAGAGATTCAACTTCTTCCTGGTTTAGTCTTGGGAGAGTGTATGTGTCCAGGAATTTATCCATTTCTTCTAGATTTTCTAGTTTATTTGCGTAGAGGTGTTTGTAGTATTCCCTGATGGTAGTTTGTATTTCTGTGGGATCGGTGGTGATATCCCCTTTATCATTTTTTATTGCGTCTATTTGATTCTTCTCTCTTTTTTTCTTTATTAGTCTTGCTAGCGGTCTATCAATTCTGTTGATCCTTTCAAAAAACCAGCTCCTGGATTCATTAATTTTTTGAAGGGTTTTTTGTGTCTCTATTTCCTTCAGTTCTGCTCTGATTTTAGTTATTTCTTGCCTTCTGCTAGCTTTTGAATGTGTTTGCTCTTGCTTTTCTAGTTCTTTTAATTGTGATGTTAGGGTGTCAATTCTGGATCTTTCCTGCTTTCTCTTGTGGGCATTTAGTGCTATAAATTTCCCTCTACACACTGCTTTGAATGCGTTCCAGAGATTCTGGTATGTTGTGTCTTTGTTCTCGTTGGTTTCAAAGAACATCTTTATTTCTGCCTTCGTTTCGTTATGTACCCAGTAGTCATTCAGGAGCAGGTTGTTCAGTTTCCATGTAGTTGAGTGGTTTTGAGTGAGATTCTTAATCCTGAGTTCTAGTTTGATTGCACTGTGGTCTGAGAGATAGTTTGTTATAATTTCTGTTCTTTTACATTTGCTGAGGAGAGCTTTACTTCCCAGTGTGTGGTCAATTTTGGAATAGGTGTGGTGTGGTGCTGAAAAAAATGTATATTCTGTTGATTTGGGGTGGAGAGTTCTGTAGATGTCTATTAGGTCCGCTTGGTGCAGATCTGAGTTCAATTCCTGGGTATCCTTGTTGACTTTCTGTCTTGTTGATCTGTCTAATGTTGACAGTGGGGTGTTAAAGTGTCCCATTATTAATGTGTGGGAGTCTAAGTCTCTTTGTAGGTCACTCAGGACTTGCTTTATGAATCTTGGTGCTCCTGTATGGGGTGCATATATATTTAGGATAGTTAGCTCTTCTTGTTGAATTGATCCCTTTACCATTATGTAATGGCCTTCTTTGTCTCTTTTGAACTTGGTTGGTTTAAAGTCTGTTTTATCAGAGACTAGGATTGCAACCCCTGCCTTTTGTTGTTTTCCATTGGCTTGGTAGATCTTCCTCCATCCTTTTATTTTGAGCCTATGTGTGTCTCTGCCTGTGAGATGGGTTTCCTGAATACAGCACACTGATGGGTCTTGACTCTTTATCCAATTTGCCAGTCTGTGTCTTTTAATTGGAGCATTTAGTCCATTTACATTTAAAGTTAATATTGTTATGTGTGAATTTGATCCTGTCATTATGATGTTAGCTGGTGATTTTGCTCGTTAGTTGATGCAGTTTCTTCCTAGTCTCGATGGTCTTTACATTTTGGCATGATTTTGCAGCAGCTGGTACCGGTTGTTCCTTTCCATGTTTAGTGCTTCCTTCAGGAGCTCTTGTAAGGCAGGCCTGGTGGTGACAAAATTTCTCAGCATTTGCTTGTCTGTAAAGTATTTTATTTCTCCTTCACTTATGAAGCTTAGTTTGGCTGGATATGAAATTCTGGGTTGAAAATTCTTTTCTTTAAGAATGTTGAATATTGGCCCCCACTCTCTTCTGGCTTGTAGGGTTTCTGCCAAGAGATCTGCTGTTAGTCTGATGGGCTTCCCTTTGAGGGTAACCCGACATTTCTCCCGGCTGCCCTTAACATTTTTTCCTTCATTTCAACTTTGGTGAATCTGACAATTATGTGTCTTGGAGTTGCTCTTCTTGAGGAGTATCTTTGTGGCATTCTCTGTATTTCCTGAATCTGAACGTTGGCCTGCCTTGCTAGATTGGGGAAGTTCTCCTGGATAATATCCTGCAGAGTGTTTTCCAACTTGGTTCCATTCTCCCCATCACTTTCAGGTACACCAATCAGACGTAGATTTGGTCTTTTCACATAGTCCCATATTTCTTGGAGGCTTTGCTCATTTATTTTTATTCTTTTTTCTCTAGACTTCCCTTCTCGCTTCATTTCATTCATTTCATCTTCCATCGCTGATACCCTTTCTTCCAGTTGATCGCATGGGCTCCTGAGGCTTCTGCATTCTTCACGTAGTTCTCCAGCCTTGGTTTTCAGCTCCATCAGCTCCTTTAAGCACTTCTCTGTATTGGTTATTCTAGTTATACATTCTTCTAAATTTTTTTCAAAGTTTTCAACTTCTTTGCCTTTGGTTTGAATGTCCTCCCGTATCTCAGAGTAATTTGATAGTCTGAAGCCTTCTTCTCTCAGCTCCTCAAAGTCATTCTCCATCCAGCTTTGTTCCGTTGCTGGTGAGGAGCTGCATTCCTTTGGAGGAGGAGAGGCGCTCTGCTTTTTAGAGTTTCCAGTTTTTCTGTTCTGTTTTTTCCCCATCTTTCTGGTTTTATCTACTTTTGGTCTTTGATGATGGTGATGTACAGATGGGTTTTTGGTGTGGATGTCCTTTCTGTTTGTTAGTTTTCCTTCTAACAGAGAGGACCCTCAGCTGCAGGTCTGTTGGAATACCCTGCCGTGTGAGGTGTCAGTGTGCCCCTGCTGGGGGGTGCCTCCCAGTTAGGCTGCTTGGTGGTCAGGGGTCAGGGCCCCACTTGAGGAGGTAGTCTGCCCGTTCTCATATCTCCAGCTGCTGCGTGCTGGGAGAACCACTGCTCTCTTCAAAGCTGTCAGACAGGGACATTTAAGTCTGCAGAGGTTACTGCTGTCTTTTTGTTTGTCTGTGCCCTGCCCCCAGAGGTGGAGCCTACAGAGGCAGGCAGGCCTCCTTCAGCTGTGGTGGGCTCCACCCAGTTCGAGCTTCCCGGCTGCTTTGTTTACCTAATCAAGTCTGGGCAATGGCGGGCGCCCCTCCCCTAGCCTCGCTGCTGCCTTGCAGTTTGATCTCAGACTGCTGTGCTAGCAATCAGCAAGACTCTGTGGGCGTAGGACCCTCCGAGCCAGGTGCGGGATATAATTTCGTGGTGCGCCGTTTTTTAAGCCCGTCGGAAAAGCGCAGTATTCGGGTGGGAGTGACCCGATTTTCCAGGTGCCATCCGTCACCCCCTTCTTTGACTCAGAAAGGGAACTCCCTGACCCCTTGCGCTTCCGGGGTGAGGCAATGCCTCTCCCTGCTTCGGCTCGCGCACGGTGCGCGCACCCACTGACCTGCGCCCACTGTCTGGCACTCCCTAGTGAGATGAACCCGGTACCTCAGATGGAAATGCAGAAATCACCGTCTTCTGCATCGCTCACGCTGGGAGCTGTAGACCGGAGCTGTTCCTATTCGGCCATCTTGGCTCCTCCCCCCAAAAATTTCTATTCTTAAAAAAATGCATTCTTTTTAACAATTTTACTAATTGCCAAGCAATTTGGAGAATGTGCCAATTTATTATTAGATTGTTTGCCCTAAAATGACTAGCAATCACTATTGAATTAAAGTGTTTTAAAACTTAATTTTATATCTATAACTTGGTTTCTATGAATATTTAACATCTTAATTTGATTCAGATATCAGAAGCTGGTCTATGCAGCCAAAAAACAGTTTTCATTTAATTTATAGTTATGTTTTATATATATATATATATATATATATATATGCACACACACACAACTATATAGTTATCTATGTATATGATTACAAGAGGCAATAATGAATACTGGAAAGGGAGTTAAATTTGTAAATATATGTAAATATCGACTACTCAAAACAACAGTAGTGTTTTGTGGAGTTTTGAATGTATTGAGAGAGGAAATTATGCAGACAGCAAAAGCACCTGAAGGAGCAATGTGTTCTGAAGTTCCCATGTAGATTTACTGCAGAAATATTTGTATTACACTGAAAAATGTAAGAATATGTAATGTAATCCGTAACATAATTAAATTATTAAAAATGAAAGAATATCACATTATTAAATGGAATTATGGAACAATTAAAAGTATTTATTAATTTAAAAGAAGACAACATAGGAGGGAAGGTAGGATCTTAAAATAAGTGAGTCAAATGGAAAACATGTAATAAAATTATAGGTAAAACTCAGCAATTTCAGTTATATGGAATATGTGGTAAATTCTCAAAATTAGGCACTAATATTGTAGAGCTGGATTTTATTCTAAACCTAAATCTATCAAAAGTTTTGTTGCAAAGATAAAAGATACAAAAGGGTTGAAAGAAAATCTTGGAAAATGATATGCCATGGAAAGACTAAATAAATGTGACTTAAAAGCAGTTAACATTACTAGCTAAAAGAAAAAAATTTTGTAATAATTAATTATAACTATTTTGTAATCTCAAACTTCTATATATTTAGTAACATAGCTATTACCTATATATTGCAAAAATTAATCAAATTGATGGGAAAAAGTAACCTTCAATATTAAAAAATACTTTAACACCTCCTCCAGTAGCTGATAGAAGGAAGGGAAAAGTGAACAAGGAATCATTTTCTTTTATTTTTCATTTATATATGAGAGTTGTACTTATTTTGAAGGTATGTGTGATATTTTGATACGTATATGCAATGTGGAATAATGAAGTCAGGGCAATTGAGTTATCTACCACCTCAAACATTTATCTTTTCTTTCTGTTGGAAACATTACAATTATTCTTTTCTAGCTATTTTGAGATATATAATAAATTATTGTTAACTATAATTTCTCTGCTGTACTATTGGATACCAGAACTTATTCTTTTTATCTAACTGTATGTTTGACCCTTGATTACCTTCTTCTCATCCTCCTTCCTTTCCCTTCTCAGCCTCTTTAATTAAAATATAATTTAAAATATTTTTATTCCTATAGAAAGAATCTGGCATCAAAAAACAACAAAAAATATATTTTTTTCTCGGTTGCCATGAAACATTTGCCAAATTTTATAGCTAAGTCAAAGGAAATCCTCAAAATGTTTAAAATATTAAAATGTTTTTATTTCTCTAAGAAATGATAACTGGAAAATTCCTAAGTGTGAAAACATCAAACCACATATCTTAGAAAATCCTAGAATTCAAAAGAGAAACAATGGAAATTAGAAAATATTTAGCTGAATACTAAACATATAAATTCTTGCAGGGTATAATTAAAGCATAGTTGGAATAAAATGTACTGGCTTAGATGAATATATCAAAAGAATATGAGTAACAAAAGATTTGAAATGTTTTCTAATTCAAATTAGAGGAAAAAAGCAAATTAAACTTATTATGTAAAAAGATGTAATAAAGATATGGGTAGAAATCTAAAAAATAAAAAATGTATAATAGAAAAGTTAGACAAAGCCAAAAGTTGATTTTTTGAAAAGATTGATAAACTTGATAAACACCTCATATCACTTATTAATTTAAAAAAAAGAAAACAAAAATAACTATATGCCAACATTTAAAAGGGGACATTACAACACTATTAATATTATCATCATAATAAATGTATGTCAATATATTTGAAAATTAGGATAAACATGCTAAAGCTGACAGAATAATAAAAGATTTGCATATTTCATCTATTGAAGAAATTTGAATGCATTATTAAACACCATCGCAAAAGGAAAATAACTAGTTTATATGACTCCATCTACAAATTTCTTGAAACACTCAAGGAATAACATCAGTTGTATACAAAGTCTTGAAGACAAGATAAAAAAAAGAAAATATTTACCAAATATTTTAATAAAGCTAGCATAATCTTGGCGTTAAAATAAATTTTAAGATAATAAAAAAATGAAATTTCCAAAATAATTTCTGGAAATAAATGTCTAGAAGTATCTCTCTTGTAAAAATAGATGGAAAAAAGAACATAAATAAATCTATAATTATGTACAAGATAATCTACCCCAGCTATTTGTAGGAAGATTGGTCATTTAGTATTTGATGTATTAATGTATTAATGCTTTAATATATTCTGCCACAATAACAAAAAAGGAGAAATCAATGTGACTATGTCAAAAGACGGAGAAAAATACTTGTCTTCAATAGATACAGAAAAGACATCTGATAAAATTTGTCAGTCATTTATATTTTGAAATTCTTAGTATCTATGTCTAATAAAAACATGTGTAAAATCTCCACTAAATACCATATTCCCATGGTGAATTTTAAGGCCTTGCCTCTAGAATTTGGGAAAAGACAGGGATATTTAAAATCATGCCTTTCTATTCAACATTACACTTGTCATTCTAGCCAAAACGAAATGGAGAATAAATATTTTAAATGTGGATACAATTTGGAAAGGAATGAAAAAAGGCACTATCTGACATAAACACAGAAAATATAAAAGAATCTATACAGCGTGACATAAAAAACTGCAATCACATACAAAATAAAGAGCAATGAACATATGAAAAGATTATTAAATGTATTTTTTATCTGGGTGATACAAATTCATTCCATGAATTATTACAATTATTAAAATTATAACTATAATAATTGTAATAATTATATATTATTGTAAATAATCATAATAACTATATATATAGAGAGAGAGATGTCAGTGTTGAAATCAACAAACTAACTCAAATGCATATGGAAATACATATGACCAAAAACAAACAAGATTGTATTGTGGAAAAAGTACATCACTGGAAGACTTAGGATCTATTATAATGCTAGTTTAATTACATTTATTATCTGAAAATTATGTTAAGTGATCAGAAAAACAGTCCTGAAATACTTCTACACAAACAGAGTCACCTGGTTTATGGCAACAGTGACATTGCAGTTTAGAGGGGAAACATGGACTTTCAACTAACGGTGATAATTCAATGGAATGTCCTAAAGTAATGCCTACTTGATATTGTGCACAAAATTCTATTCTAAATGCATTAAAGTTTTTCTTGCCTTTTAAATTTGAAATCAAACAAATGACAAAACTTAGAGGAGCATTCTTGTGATGTTAGAGTAGGCAAAGATATCTTGAAGAGGACCCAAAAGCATTAATCCTTCAACAATATATTGATGAATTACATTATATTAAAATTAAGAATTTCTATTTTTCAAAAGGCAGCTTTAAGAGAATGAAAAAGGAACCTGCAAATAGACAATCTGAATAGGCATGTCCACTTAAAAAATTGAATCAATAATGAATAACCTTCCAAAACAGAAAGCCTCAGGCCCACATGTGTTCACTAGTGAATTCTACCATGCATTTAAGAAAAAAATTATACAAATTCTCTATAATCTCCTCTAGAAGACAAAATTAGAGGGAGTAGTTTCTAATTAATTCTGTAAGACCAGAGTTAGCCTTATACAAAAATTAGGCAAGGAGATTATAAGAAAAGAAAACTACAAAACAATATCTTTCATGAACGTGGATGCAAAAATCCTCAGAAAAAAGTTAACACATTGAGATGAATAATTTATGAAAGAATTATACACCAGAACTAAGCGGACTTCATCCCACGTAGGTAAGATTGGTTCAAAATTCAAAATTAAACTAATATAATCCATCACATCAATAAACATACAAAGAAAAATCACATGATTACATCAATAGATGGAGAAAAGTCATTTGACAAAACAATACTTAATCCTGATTTTTTAAAGAAATGCAACTGTCAGCAAATTAAAGTACTGGGGAACCTCTTCAATTTGATAAAGAGTATCTACAAAAAAACCTACAGCTAACATCAGACTTCGTTTTTTAAAAATAAGTTTTTCCACTTAGATCAGGTAAAAGACAAGACTGTCCCCTCACATCATTCCTTTCCAACATCATACTGAAAGTGCTAGGCAGTAAGACATGAAAAGGAAATTAAAATATAGAGGTTGAGAAGGAAAAAATAAAACTGTCTTTGTTTGCAGATGACATGACTGTCTATGTAGAAGATCTAAATGAACTGACAAAAAAAACTGGAGTAAGAATTTATAGCAAGGTTGCAAGATACAAAGTTATTATTACAAAAGTCAATTGCTTTCGTGACTTACTACATCAATAATGAACAACTGAAATTCGAAATTAAAAACACAATGCCATTTACACTAACACCCAAAAAGATGAAATACTTAAGCATAAATCTAACAAAATATGTACAATATTTATGTGAGGAAAAACTATAAAACACTGGTGAAAGAAATCAGAAAAGAACTCAATAAATGGAGAAATTTTATGTTCAGGGATAAGAATATTCAATATTGCTAAGATGTCAGTTCTTCTCAATTTTACTATAGATTCAGTGTAATCCCAATCAAAATCTCAACAGAAATTATTTTGTGGCTATTAAAAAACTAATTCTAAAGTTCATATGGAGAGTAAAAAGACCCCCAAATAGCCAACACAATATTGATGGAAAAGAATAAAGTTAGAGGACTGACCCCACCCAACTTCAAACCTACTATAAAGCTACAGTAATCAAGACTATGTGATATTGGTGAAAGAATACACAAACAGATGAATGGAACAGGTGAAAAGACCCACTCAAATGAAGTCAACCGACTTTTGACAAAGAAGCAAAAGCAGTTCAATGGAGAAAAGAAATCTTTTCAACAAATAGTGCTGGACCAACCAAACATCCACATGCAAAACAATATGAATCTAGACATAGTTCTTACATCCTTCCCCTAAACCAAGCCAAAATAATCTACATGTAAAATGTAAAACTATAAATCTTCTAGAAGATAATATAGGAGAAAATCTAGATAACTTTGGATATGGTGATGACTTCATATTTAACACCAAAGGTATGATCTATAAATAAAAGAATTGATGAGCTGGACTTCATGAAAATTAAAAATTTTTGGCAAGAGAATGAGACTACAAGCCACAGACTCGAAGAAAATATTTGCTAAAGACATATTTGATAAAGGACTGTTAACTGTAATACAAAAATAAGTCTTAAAACCCAGCAATAAGGAAACAACCCAATTAAAAATGGGCAATAGGCCCAAACAAACACTTTACCAAAGAAAATACACAAATGGCATGTAAGCCTGTGAAAAGGTGCTTGATATCAGGTCTTGGACAATTGCAAATTAAAATAACAATGAGATACCACTACACACCTATTAAAATGGTGAAAATCCAAAACACTGACACCACAAAATGATAGTGAGGATGTGAAACAACAGAACTCATTCACTGCTAGTGGTCATGCAAAATAGTAAAGCCACTTTGGAAGTTTGATAGTTTCTTACGAAACTAGACATACGCTTACCATAGGATCCAGCAATTACACTCCTTGGTGATTATCCAGAGGAATTGAAATTTATGTCTTCACAAAAACCTGAAAAGGGATGCTTATAGCAGCATTTTTTTAAAGAATTCAACTTTTATTTTAGTTACAGGGGGTACATGTGCAGGTTTGTTACAAGGGTATATTATACCCATGTAGTGAGTATAATATACCCAGTAGGTAGTTTTTCAACCCACATCCCCTTCCCTCCCTCCCCACTCTATTAGTCCACAGTACCTATTGTTCACATGTTTTTGTCCGTGTGAGCTGAATGTTTAGCTCCTGTGTTTAAGTGAGAACATGCAGTATTTCATTTTCTGTTCCTTCATTAGTTTGCTTAGGATTATGGCCTCCAGCTTTATCCACGTTGCTGCAAAGAACATTTTATTCTTTTTTACGACTGCATAGTATTGCACGTTGTATATATACTACATTTCCTTTATCCAGGCCACCGTTGATGGGCACCTAGGTTGATTCCATGTCTTCGCTACTGTGAATAGCATGGTAATGAACATACAAGTGCATTTTTTAAAATATAATGATCTGTTTTCCTTTGGGTATATACCCAGTAATAGGATTGCTGGGTCAAATGGTAGCTCTGTTTGAAGTTCTTTGAGAAAATCCAAACTGCTTTCCATAGTAGCTGGACTAACTTACATTCCCATCAACATCGTGTACACTTTCTCTTTTCTCTGCAGCCTTGCCAGCATCTGTTGTCTTTTGACTTTTTAATAAAAGCAACTCTGACTGGTGTATGATGGTATCTCATTGTGGTTTTAATTTGCATTTCTCAGATGATTAGTGATTTCATATGTTTGTTAGCCACATGTATGTCTTATTTTGAAAAGTGTCTATACATGTCCTTTGCCCATTTTTTAATGGGATTATTTGTTTTTTGTTTGTTGATTTGTTTACTGTCCTATTCTGGATATTAGATTTTTATCTAATGTATAGTTTGCTAATATTTTCTCTCATTCTGTAGGTTCTCTGTTTACTCTGTTGATAGTTTATTTTGCTGTGCAGAAGCTCTTTAGTTTAATTCTCAATTGTCAATTTTTATTTTTGTTGTGATTGCTTTTGGGGACTTAATCATAAATTCTTTCTCAAGGCTGATGTCAAGAAGGATATTTCCTAGGTTTCCTTCTGGGATTTTTGTACTTTGAGGTCTTACTTTAAATCTTTCATCCATTGTGAGTCAATTTTTGGCTATGGTAAAACCTAGCGATCTAGTTTTTTGGGTTTTTTTTTTTTTTTTTTTTTTTGAGACAAAGTCTCACCCTGTCTCCCAGGCTGGAGTGCAATGGCATGATCTCGGCTCACTGCAACCTCCGCCTCCTGGGTTCAAATGATTCTCCTGCCTCAGCCTCCTGAGTAGTTGGGATTACAGGTGCCCACCACCATGCCTAGTTAATTTTTGTATTTTTAGTAGTGACGGGGTTTCACCAAGTTGGCCAGGCTGGTCTCGAACTCCTGACCTAGTGATCTGCCCACCTCGGCCTCCCAAAGTGCTGGTATTACAGGCGTGAGCCACCATGCCTGGCCAGTGATCTAGTTTTATTATTCTGCATATAGCTAGCCAGCTAGCCCAGCACCATTTATTGAATAGGGAGTCCTTTCCCCATTGCTGATTTTTGTCGACTTTATCATAGATTAGATAGCTGTAGATATGTGGCTTTATTCTGGTTTCTGTCTTCTGTTTCTTTGTTCTAGGTGTCTGTTTTTATACCGGTACCATGCTGTTTTGCTTACTGTATCCTTGTAATATAATATGGAGTTGGATAGTATGATGTCTCCAGCTTTGCTCTTTTTGCTTAGGACTGCTTTGCTATTCAGGCACTTTTTTGGCTCCACATAAGTTTTAGAATAGTTTTTGTTTTTTTTTTTTTTAATTCTGTGAAGAATGACATTTGTAGTTTCATAGGAATAACATTGAATATGTAAATTGCTATAGGTAGTATGGCCATTTTAATGACATTAGTTCTTTCAATACATGAGCATGGAATGTTTTTCCATTTATTTTTGTCATCTCTGATTTCTTTTCAGTAGTGTCTTGTAGTTCTCCTTGTAGAGATCTTTCACTTCTTTAGTTAGCTGTATTAACAGGTATATCATTTTCTTTGTGGGTATTGTAAATGGGATTGTATTCTTGAATTGACTCAGCCTGGAAGTTACTGGTGTAGAGAAATGCTATTGATTTTTGTAATTTGCTTTTGTGTCCTGAAATCTTGCTAAAATCATTTATTGGTTCCAGTAGCCTATGGGCAGAGACTTAAAGGTTTTCAAACTACAGAATTATATCATCAGTTAAGAGAGATAGATTGACTTCTTTTTCCCATTTGAATGCCTTTTATTTCTTTTTCTTGCCTGATTGCTCTGGCTTAGACATAAAGTACTATATTGAACAGGAGAAGTGAGAGTGGGCATCCTTGTCTTATTATAGCTCTTAGGGAGAATGTTTCCAGCTTTCGCCGGTTCAGTATGATATTGGCTGTAGGTTTGTCATAGGTGGCTCTTATTATTTTGAGGTATGTCCTTCTGATGCCTATTCTATCGAGGATCTTTTTTTTTTTTTATCAAGAAGGGTTGTTGGATTTTATTGAAAGCTTTTCCTGCATCCATTGAGATGATTATGGTTTTTTTACTTTAATTCTGTTTATGTGGTGAATCACATTTGTTGACTGGTATATGTTGAACCAACCTTGTATTCCAGGAGTAAAACCTACCTGATCATGGGGAATTAATTTCTCGGTGTGTTACTGGATTCAATTTGCCAATAATTTGCTAAGAATTTTTGCATCTATGTTCATCAAGGATATTGGCATGAAGTTTTGTTGTTGTTGTTGTTGTGTCTCTGCCAGATTTTGGTATCAGGATGAGGCTGAATTTTAGAATGAGTTAGGGAGGAGCCCCTCCTCCTTGATTTTTTTGGAATAGTTATAATAGTATTGTTTCCAGCTCTTCTTTGTATGACTCATAGAAATTGGCTGCATCCATGTAGTCTAGGACTTTTTTTGGTTGGTAGTTTTTAAATTACTGATTCAATATCAGAGCTTGCCATTTGTGTAGACAGGATTTTGTTTTCTTCCTGGTCCAATTTTGGGAGATTGTAGTTTCCAGAAGTTGATCCATTTCCTCTAGATTTTCTAATTTGTATGTATAGCGTGTTCTTAATAGTCTCTAAGGATCTTTTGTGTTTCTGTGGGATCAGTTATAATGTCATCTTTGTTATCTCTGATTGCACTTAAGCTTATTTGGATCTTCTCATTTTTCTTTGTTAATCTAACTAGTGCTCTATCAACTTTGTTTATTCTTTGGAAGAAACAGCTCTTGGTTTCACTGATCTCTTGTATGGACTTTTGCATCTCAAGTTCATTCAGTTCTTTTCTGATTTTAGTTATTGCTTTTCTTCTGCTAGCTTAGGGGTTGGTTTGCTTTTTTTGTTCTAGTTCCTGTTGGTGTGTTCCCACCCAAATCACATGTTAAATTGTGATCTCAAGTATTGGAGTTGGGTGGAAGGTGATTGGATCATAGGGTCGAATTTCTCCCTTGCTGTTCTCATGATAGTGAGTGAGTTCTCATGAGATCTGCTTGTTTAAAAGTGTGTAGAACCTCCCCCTTTGTTCGCTCTCTCCTGCCACCATGCGAAGATTTGCTTGCTTCCCCTTTGACCTTCCACCATGATTATGTTTCCTGAGGCCTCCCAGCCATGCTTCTTGTATAGCCTGCAGAACTGTGAATCAACTAAACCTCTTTTCTTTAAAAATTTTTAAGGATAGTTCTTTATAGCAATGTGAGAACAAACTAATGCAGTGTGATGTTAGATCATTAATTGGAGATCTTTCTAACTTCTTGATAACGGTGTTTAACACTATGATCTTTTAACATTGCTTTAACTGCATCACAAAGATTTTGGTAAATTTTGTCTCTATTTTCATTAGTTTCAAATAATGTTTTTGATTGTTGCCTTAATTTCATTGTTTACCCATGAGTTATTTAGAAGCAAGTTGTTCAGTTTTCATTGGCTTTGATTTTATTTTTATTGCACTGTAGTCTGAACATACTCTTGGTATGATTTTGAGTTTTTTGAACTTATTGAAAGTTGCTTTATGGCCAAGCATGTAGTCAATCTTAGAATACGTTCTGCGTGTGAGTGAGAAGAATGTTTATTCCATGGTTGTCGGGTGGAGTATTCTGTAGATGTCTCTTAGGTCCAGTTGGTCAAGAAGCTGCTTTATTCATAATTGCCAAAACTTGAAAGCAACCAAGATGCCCTTTAGTAGGTGAATGGATAAAGAAACTAGATACAACAGCAGACAATGGAATATTATTCAGTACAAAAAAGAAATTTAAGCTGTCAATCCATGAACAGACATGAAGAAACCTTAAATGCATATTATAAAGTGAAAGAAACCAATGTGAAATGGCATATTTTATGATTCCAACTAAATAATATTCTGAAAAAAACAAAACTATGGAGACAGTAAATATCAGTGTTTTCCATATCTTGTGGGGAGGGAAGGATAAATGAAAGGAGCACAGAGGATTTTTAGTGCAGTGTCACTGCTCTGGGGTCTATAATCATGTATGCATGTCATTATACATTTGTTAAAACTCGTAGCATATAGAACACTAACAGTAAACTTGAATATAAGCTATGGACTTTGGATGATGACACGTCAATGCACGTTTATCAATTATAAAAAATGTAAAACTCTAGTGCAGGATGTCAGTAGTGGGGGGTTGTGTTTATGTACAAGGAATATATGGAAATTACCTGTACTCTCCATTCAGTTTTGCAGTGAATGCAAAACTACTCTAAAAAACAGATTATTTTTAAAAACTCAACCTACCAAATGAAACCAGATAGCCAGAGTACAAATATCTAATAAGAGTTTATAAGAGAAAGATGTGATAGTAACTTCCCTAATGAATAATTCTAATGACTAAAAACACATGAAATAGGCTGCTCAACTATATCATCTTACACATTTTTTAAAACTCTAAAAACATAGGCTATTTTGTTTTGAGTAAATGTTTCAAAGGAGCACATCTTACCGGAGGCTTTGAAAATGTAAGATTCAGGGATAGGGTAAGAAGCAGAGATAAAGGGGGTTTTTACACAGTATTTTATAAGTTAAAAAAAGGTGAAATCTTTTAAGCTGTAACATGAAAAACTTCACTCAAATACAAAGTTCAAAATACATTGGTAGAGTCTAACACAACAACATGGTCAGCAGTCAAAGATGCATAAATCATTAAAAAATAGTCCCTAGATTTTTTAAAAACACAGAAGAAATGAAACTAAATTTTAATAATAAACCTGAACAGTGCACAACAGTTAATTAGAAACATTATGTCAAAATAGACTATTCTGTTGGAATTATTATTTATTAGAAATGCAAATTCTTATTATAAGCCAATACCATTACATTATTTATTGGAAAATGCAAATTCATGTTATAAGCCAATACCATTATAACCCAACCAGAATGTCTAAAATAGAAAGATGTAGAAAATAATGTTGGTGGGAAAGAGAAGCAATCCACACTCTCATCTATTGATAAAAGGAATAAAAATTTTTAACATCACTGTGGTAACTGTGAGAGCACTTTCTCAAGCTGAGAATATTAATATCCTCTAATCCAGCAATTCTATTCATTGGTGTATGTCAACAAGAGTACGTTTATATGAGAACCGAAAGACATGTCCTGGAATTTTTATAGAAGCATCATTTGTAACACTTAAAACCTAGACATAATCCAAAGGTCCATTAACACTATAATGGACATAAAATTTATGGTATAATTGTGAATTTGATCATCATCTTGGAAATGACTCATCTTTGTTAGAAATGAGATCAGTGATGACCAATAGTAGAAAAGGATGCTGATGACAAGCGTCCTTTTCTGGTAATATTTCCTGACCTGGGAGCTTATTGAATGTGCAGAGTTGGTTAAAATTTACTGAATTGCATGCGCACGTGCACACACACACACACACACATGATTTGTGCACAATTTTGTAGGTATTCCACACTTAAAATTTCACTAAGGGAAACACTATCTTCTTAGTATTTTAAGTTTGGATAGGCAAGGAATTGGCAAAAATTGATTATATAAGTTTTAGGAATCACATAGTATAGTCTACACTATTTTATTTAGGTATAATAACTAATCAAAAATGAATTTAAATTATAGACTAGCTTATCCATGCCATTGGTAGAATGTAACACAACATGGTCAGCAGTCAAAGATGCATAAATCATTAAAAAATAGTCCTCAGATTTTTTAAAAACACAGAATAAATGAAACTAAATTTTAGTAATAAACCTGAACAGTGCACAACAGTTAATTACAAACATTATGTCCAAATATACTATTCTATTGGTAACTTTCTTGAAATGTAGCAAGCTTCCTCTCGATTTAAAAATAAACTAAAGGTTGCAACACTCTGTAACTCATATTATTCTTTCCAGTGGGACATATTAAAGAATAGTCAATAGAATAGGTTTCTCTTCAGATTTACACTTTTAAAAAAATAAACATTTATCTCTAACAAACTATATATCTTGCTTTTCTTAATTTTAAAAGAATTAATAAGTAGAGAAATATCTGAATTAACATTGTATAATAGTGTGTTTTTTAAATATGAGGATTTTTCTGGAACCTGTCTTTTAAATTGAATTTTGATATAATTTTTCTTGGGATGAAAAATGGGTAGGCTTCTCTTTTCATTGAGATATCATGGCTCTTTGTAAAAATTGATCCCTTAAATTATACACAGTGAATCATTTGTCCAATTTTTATTTTGAAAAATAATAGAGACATGAAGTAAAATTATAGAATAGTAGAAAAACTCTAAACAACTCACCTGGATTCACAAGTGATTTAAAAATAATTTACACATTTGTTTGTCTTTCTCTCTGTACAATTTTTTTGTCTAAAAGTAGGAAAGTAACTGCAGATATCCTAATACTTCACACCTAAATTTTAATACACTTATGTCCCAATTACAAATACATTGCTCTCAGAACTACAGTAATAGTAAAAACCACATGCTTTATTTCATTTAAAGTATCAACTATACAGTCCATATCCAAGTTTCCCATTGTTTCTAAAAATGTCTTCTGCAGGTTTTTATTTCCCAATCTGGGTTCCAATTAAGGGTCATACAACTAATTACAATATCTCATAAATCTCTTTTAATCTCAAAATCTACTGAGGCTTTTTTTTTAATGTCCAAGAACTTGACATGTTATTAATATTTTTTACAGTCCAAATTAGTTGTAAGGTTCACAGTTGTACTTTACCACACAATGTGTATATTTCTGAGTTTTTCTTCTAACAATTAGACTCAGGGTAAAGATTTTGAGCAAGAATACTCTATAGGTGTGTAGCACTATTCCTATCACATCACATTAGGTAATAAGCAATGTCTGTTATTTATCATTATTGATGATACTAAATTAGTGAATGAACCTATTTTCTCTAAGCAATCTGTAGAAGATACTCTGAGATTGTGTGACTATCCTTTTTCTCAGTGTGTTTTCTCTCAGAGGATGCTGCCTGAATCTAATATTGCATTGTTGATTTGCTATTTCTGTTTACCTCTCTACATTCCTTAGCTGGTATTCCTTCAAGAGAACGTTCTTTTTCTCTTCCTATTTTTGTGAGTGCTATTATAGATTCATGAATTATTTTTCTAATTAAATGGGTAATAATTCAACACTGTTATGTTTTTTACCCTCCAAGTGTCCCAAATGTGGCCAATGAGAATTCCTTCCAGTTGGTTGCTGTGCTTTACCATAACTTCTCTAATGTATTAGCACTCTTGCCTCGGTTCAACTTATAATTTCCCTACACTAGTCCAGAGGCCCCCATTTCTCTAAGAAACAATGGTTAGTTATAGTGGGGAATATTATTTATAAGACTAAACTTGAGTAATAGGTGTGCTCATTGCTACTGCAGAATTCTGTTTTCTGCTAAAAATATGAATCATACTTATATCTCTATTTCAAAACAAGGTAAAGGACATATTCTTATTTTCTCTCATTCCATACGTTTTCTGGCTTTCTTTCAGAGTGAGAACTTTAGCTACCAACAATGAGAACATGTTTACTCATTTGTCTTTTCTTTTTTTTATTTTATTATTATTATACTTTAAGTTTTAGGGTACATGTGCACAATGTGCAGGTTAGTTACATATGTATACATGTGCCATGCTGGTGTGCTGCACCCATTAACTTGTCATTTAGCATTAGGTATATCTCCTAAAGCTATCCCTCCCCCCTCCTCCCACCCCACAACAGTCCCCAGAGTGTGATGTTCCCCTTCCTGTGTCCATGTGTTCTCATTGTTCAATTCCCACCTATGAGTGAGAATATGCGGTGTTTGGTTTTTTGTTCTTGCAATAGTTTACTGAGAATGATGATTTCCAATTTCATCCATGTCCCTGCAAAGTACATGAACTCATCATTTTTTATGGCTGCATAGTATTCCATGGTGTATATGTGCCACATTTTCTTAATCCAGTCTATCATTGTTGGACATTTGGGTTGGTTCCAAGTCTTTGCTATTGTGAATAATGCCGCAATAAACATACGTGTGCATGTGTCTTTATAGCAGCATGATTTATAATCCTTTGGGTATATACCCAGTAATGGGATGGCTGGGTCAAATGGTATTTCTAGTTCTAGATCCCTGAGGAATCACCACACTGACTTCCACAATGGTTGAACTAGTTTACAGTCCCACCAACAGTGTAAAACTGTTCCTATTTCTCCACATCCTCTCTAGCACCTGTTGTTTCCTCACTGTTTAATGATCACCATTCTAACTGGTGTGAGGTGGTATCTCATTGTGGTTTTGATTTGCATTTCTCTGATGGCCAGTGATGATGAGCATTTTTTCATGTGTTTTTTGGCTGCATAAATGTCTTCTTTTGAGAAGTGTCTGTTCATGTCCTTCGCCCACTTTTTGATGGGGTTGTTTGTTTTTTTCTTGTAAATTTGTTTGAGTTCATTGTAGATTCTGGATATTAGCCCTTTGTCAGATGAGTAGGTTGTGAAAATTTTCTCCCATTTTGTAGGTTGCCTGTTCACTCTGATGGTAGTTTCTTTTGCTGTGCAGAAGCTCTTTAGTTGAATTAGATCCCATTTGTCAATTTTGGCTTTTGTTGCCATTGCTTTTGGTGTTTTAGACATGAAGTCCTTGCCCATGCCTATGTCCTGAATGGTAATGCCTAGGTTTTCTTCTAGGGTTTTTATGGTTTTAGGTCTAACGTTTAAGTCTTTAATCCATCTTGAATTAATTTTTGTATAAGGTGTGAGGAAGGGATCCAGTTTCAGCTTTCTACATATGGCTAGACAGTTTTCCCAGCACCATTTATTAAATAGGGAATCCTTTCCCCATTGCTTGTTTTTGTCAGGTTTGTCAAAGATCAGATAGTTGTAGATATGCGGTGTTATTTCTGAGGGCTCTGTTCTGTTCCATTGATCTATATCTCTGTTTTGGTACCAGTACCATGCTATTTTGGTTACTGGAGCCCTGTAGTAGAGTTTGAAGACAGGTAGCGTGATGCCTCCAGCTTTGTTCTTTTGGCTTAGGATTGACTTGGCGATGCGGGATCTTTTTTGGTTCCATATGAACTTTAAAGTAGTTTTTTCCAATTATGTGAAGAAAGTCATTGGTATCTTGATGGGGATGGCATTGAATCTATAAATTACCTTGGGCAGTATGGCCATTTTCATGATATTGATTCTTCCTACCCATGAGCATGGAATTTTCTTCCATTTGTTTGTATCCTCTTTTATTTCATTGAGCAGTGGTTTGTAGTTCTCCTTGAAGAGGTCCTTCACGTCCCTTGTAAGTTGGATTCCTACGTATTTTATTCTCTTTGAAGCAATTGTGAATGGGAGTTCACTCATGATTTGGCTCTCTGTTTGTCTGTTATTGGGTATAAGAATGCTTGTGATTTTTGCACATTGATTTTGTATCCTGAGACTTTGCTGAAGTTGCTTATCAGCTTAAGGAGATTTTGGGCTGAGACAATGGGATTTTCTAGATATACAATCATGTCATCTGCAAACAGGGACAATTTGACTTCCTCTTTTCTTAATTGAATACCCTTTATTTCCTTCTCCTGCCTAATTGCCCTGGCCAGAACTTCCAACACTATGTTGAATAGGAGTGGTGAGAGAGGGCATCCCTGTCTTGTGCCAGTTTTCAAAGGGAATGCTTCCAGTTTTTGCCCATTCAGTATGATATTGGCTGTGGGTTTGTCATAGATAGCTCTTATTATTTTGAGATACGTCCCATCAATACCTAATTTATTGAGAGTTTTTAGCATGAAGGGTTGTTGAATTTTGTCAAAGGCCTTTTCTGCATCTATTGAGATAATCATGTGGTTTTTGTCTTTGGTTCTGTTTATATGCTGGATTACATTGATTGATTTGCATATGTTGAACCAGCCTTGTTACAGATATTTCTAAACTAAGGGAAACATTGCATCAAACACATATTTCCTTGGAGACTTTGCTTACTAAAGGTCTATATTTAGGTTACTGAATTCAAAGGTTTTATAAGTTAATTACTTGTGTGTAATTATATAAAATATTAATAACCAGTTGAGTTAAATTGTTTCTGCTATTTGATTTTAAGGTTTTCTTTTTCATTATTTGTGGTACAAGGTTTGTCTTGACTTACAAATATTTTCGTGGTTCAAAAGTTCTGTTTCTCTCTGATAATACTCCTTTATCTCAAGTTAGCTTTGTCTGATGGTGATAGTTACCTACCAGCTTTAGTGAAATTAGTATTTCCATGATAAATATTTTCGGTGATTTCCATTTAACCTGTTTATGCTTTATTTTTAAAGTGCTATGGGCTATATCAAAAACATGACGGTACACCAAAAACACAATTTTACTGTAACTTTCTGTCAATCTAATAATGCACAAACATTCCAGAACATTTTATATGTGGATCAAAAATACATCCATATGCAATTCACAAACTTTGTTTGTGAAGTAAAGACCTATCAGGGGGCAACTGATTCTCTTTATTTTACCATAATTCTTTCTTTTCACCCCTGTCCTTCATAATTTTGTGGAAAATTCTTTTATTTTACCATGGCTTTGCAAAAGGTGTTTTCTGCAGTAACCTATTTTTTCATAATTTGTGAAGAAATATAAATTTTTATAAAACTGCACTGGGAGCTTTGAAATGTCATTATATTTCACTATTAGAATATTGCCTATCTCTACTAAATTACATTGAAATCTTT
The DNA here is from genome assembly GCF_000001405.40 of Homo sapiens. NCBI lineage: Eukaryota > Metazoa > Chordata > Mammalia > Primates > Hominidae > Homo > Homo sapiens. The sequence continues at coordinate 177,997,905 of NC_000004.12, read as the reverse complement.
AATTGCAATACAACTTCTCATTTTTATTTTCAAAATACCTTATTCTAATGCTCATGGGAGGAAAAGTATAGTGCTTGAGGTGATTTGAAAATGTGCTCATTTGAATTCAAACCCGAATGTTGTTGAGAGTCTGCAGAGCCATTCAACTTGTCACCAATTAATCAAAATTTAAATATAACATGCTACTTTTTCTACATTACAGACAATGAGCAACAACATCTTAAGTCTTCCTAGGGAATAGATATATCTGATTACTTGCAATACAATTTGAGCACAGTAAAACAATACTAAGATATCAATGTTTCCTACCTTTTAATCATTCAGATTTAACCCAACTGTAATAATAATAGAACAACTGCTAAAGAATGGGAAGAAGAAATAATAGTAAATATTTACAATAAAGAGAAAAGGAATGAATTTCTAAAATGAGAAAGACAAGCCAAATAAGCCACATGAGAAACAATAATCTTAATAGAAATAACACAATCTGTGCCTATTGTAGGTCAGTGACTGCGGGTGGTTAATAGTGTCACTTTGATTGGATTGAAGGACGCAAAGTATTAATCCTGAGTGTGTCTAAGGGGCTGTTGCCAAAGGATATTAACATTGGAGTCAGTGGGCTGGGGAAGGCAGACCCACCCTTAATCTGGTGGGCACAATCTAATCAGTTGCCAGTGAATTTAAAACAGACAGGAAAACATGAAAAGGCGAGACTGGCCTAGCCTCCTAGCCTTCATCTTTCTCCCATGTTGGATGCTTCCTGCCTTCAAACATTGGACTCCAAGTTCTTTAGTTTTAAGACTCACACTGGCTCTCCTTGCTCCTTAAGCTTGCATCACGGCCTTGCGATCCTGTAAGTTAATACTTAATAAACTCCCCTTTATATATATAAATCATACACACACACACACACACACACACACACACACATCCTATTAGTTCTGTCTCTCCAGGTAACCCTGACGAATACAGTGACTTAGGTGGCTTGTTTTTCTATGATACATGACTACCTGTACACATGGGCAGTGTGTCTAAACTTCTGTTTGGTTATTTGGTTCTGAATAGAAAGTAGATTAATCAACAGAAAAAGATCAGTAGCAGACTTCTTTCTATTGGTCTCCTAATTGCAATGCTGTGACTCTTTATTAAATTGTTTTTGTATCCCCACTTTATTATAATTTGGTAAAAGGCCCCAAACGGAAAGCAAGAGATGATTACACTCTAGACATTAGAAAGAGATACGCACCCTACACTAGAGAGATATAAGTTGTTGCTAAACACTTCTTCCAAGGCTTCTTAAAGGTAAAAAAAAAAACAAAAAAACAAACAAAAAAAAAACCAAAAAAAAAAAAACAGTTCTATGATGCACACTCTCGTCCTCCCAGTCTATATTTTAAAGACTAGAAATCTAGAGTTTGTGGAAATTAACACTGAATAAAATTGAAAAGAGTTGGATAGAGCAGTGAAGTTTTAGCCTAGTGCTCCTTGGGAGAATTGGGGATAAGGTGGCTTCTTCGGAAAAAAGAAGGTGATATTCAAAGGAAATGCTCAGAGATCTCTACAAAAGGAAAGACTTGCACCCAACTTTTTGGGCAGATGTGCACCAAGTTGCATAAACTTTTAGGTACAGCGTGGAACAGCAGTGGGAATGCTGTGAAAGGTGTTTTCAAAGAATGGAGCATTTTATTTTCCCCCAGGACATTGAAAGGGACATGTATGGACATAGAAACTAGTGCTGCTCCTTTCCTGTAGAATCCTGAGGGCAGAACAGTAGCCGGAAGAGGCAGAGGGCAGCAGTCAGACAGACTGAATCCCTTTTGTGGACATATGAAGGATGTGTGGGTCAAATGGACACTATGGAAGACAGACAAGATTGAGCTGTCCTAAAAATAACCAGCCAAGGGGGCAAACTTTTCAAGCAAGAAAATCTTAGTAATTAGGTTCTCTATGCAGGATTTGCAGGAGAGTCACAAGAGTTCAAATTAAAGAGAAAGAAATGAATCCTATGGGAGACATAGCATGTGAATGTCTGCCTCGAAAAGGTTATTGAAAGCAGAGTAATAATAGCCCCAGTTATAAAGCACTTTGTTTCTTTTCCTCCATTCCAATTTACCTGACATCCATCCTGAAGATTCTACCAGCATGACATGGAAGACATAGAAGAAAGAGTGAGGAAAAGACCACAACCCTTGTCCCTACTGCAGGCCCCTGAACTGAGGGGAGAGGAAAAATAATAATGTTGTATGATACTTAAGCTTTAAATTCCATATTGAGATTTTTCATTATTTAGCTTTGATATGTGTTTTAATTCTCAAAGTGAGACTTCTTTTGACTCAAAGTGGCTGGAAATCTGTGAGCTATGCATAATATTCCAAAAAGAAGCTGAGACAAGAGATCCTGAACAGCATATTGGAAGACAATAGTTTAAAAATTTTATTCCAGTTCCTCTTTGCATTCAACACATTCAAAATTTATGATAAACTAGTTTTAAAGCAAACAAAAATATACATGCTTGCCTTATTTTGTTTCATTGTAAAATCTAAATGTGCATGTTTACCAATCCTTATAAATTCAAGGTTTTCAAAATAACTGGTAGTTTCTACATACAAATTTTAAGTAAACATTTTTAATTGACAAATATATATATATATATATATATAGATAGATATATATATATAGGGCAACATTATTTTTGTAGAGTATACATTATGAAATGGCTAGTTAATATGCAGTACCTTACATAATTTTTTGTGGTGAAAACACTTAAAACCTACTCTCAGCAATTTTCCAGTATACAATACATTGTTATTAACTATAGCCACTATGCGGTACAATAGATTTCTTGAACTTATTCATCTCGTGTTCCTGAAATTTTGTACCCTTAAACCAACATCTCCCCCAGATCCCCACCTGCCATCCCCTGGTAGTTCACCATCCTACTCTCTGCTTCTGTGAGTTTCATTGTTTTTGTTCCCACATATGAGAACATGCTGTATTTGTCTTTCTGTGCCTGGATTATTTCACTTAATATAATGTCCTTCAAGTTCATTCATGTAGTCACAAGTGACAATTTTTTAAGGCAGAATAGTATTCCATTGTGTATGTATATCACATTTTTTTCTTTCTTTTCTTTTTTTTTTTTTTTTTTAAGGTGGAGTGGGTCTTTCTCTGTCATCCAGGCTGGAGTGCAGTGGTACCATCATGGTTCACTGCAGCCTCAACTTCCTAGTCTCAAGGGATCCTCCCGAGTCATATAACTGGTATTTTCTACATACAAATTTTAGAATTTGTATAGTAGTACTTGAAACTGTAGGTACATACCACCATGCTCAGCTAATTTTTACGGTTTTTTTGTATAGATGGGTTTTCACTGTGTTGCCTAGGCTGGTCTCGGACTCCTGGCCTCAAGCAATCTTGCAGCTTCAGTCTCCCAAAGTGCTTGGATCACAGGCATGAGTCACTGTACCCAGCCTGTATATCACATTTTCTTTATCCATTTATCCATTGGTGGATGCTTAGGTTGACTCCATAACTTAACTATTATGAATAATGCCACAGTGAACACAGCAGTGCAGATATGTCTTGGATATACTGATTGCCTTTTCTTTTAGATACATATCAAGCAGTGGGATTGCTGGATCATATTCAGGTTTTGTTATATAATTTTTTAAGGAATTTCCATACTGCTCCCATAATGGCTGAATTAATTTGCATTCCCACCAACAGTGTTCAAGGATTTCCTTTTCTGTACATCCTCACCAACACTTCTCTTTCATCTTTTGGAAAATGGCTATTCTAATAGACATGAGGTGATTCTCATTGTGGTTTCCATTTGCGTTTCCCTGATGATTAGTGATAATGAGCATTTTTAATATGTCTTTTGGCCACTGTATGTCTTCTTTTAAACAATCTTTATTCAGGTCCTTTGCTCATTTTTTTAAATGCATTATTTATTTTCTTGCTGTAATGCATTTGAGTTCCTGATATATTTTGAATATTAACCCCTTGTACAAATACACAATGTACACATATTTTATCCTATTTTGTAGGTTGCCTCTTTTCTTTATTGATTGTTTCTTTTGCTGTGCAAAATCTTTTCAGTTTGAAAAAATCCCATTTGTTTATTTTTGCTTTTGTAGCCTGACTTTTGGGGGTTAAATAAAAAAATTATTGCTCAGACACATATTGTTTAGGTTTCCCCTGTGTTTTCCTCTTGTAATTTCAGTTTCAGGTCTTTCATTTAAGTCTTTAATCCAATGATTTTTCAACAAAAATGCCAAGAACACACCATGGGGAAAAGAATCTCTCTTTAGTAGGTGGTCTTGAGAAAACTGAATATCCCCATGCAGAAGAGTGACATCAGACCCTTAACTCACTCCGTAGATTTTAAATCATCTCTTTATGACAACATAAAATTTTAGCTAAAAATTAGTGTGAATTTTATCTAAGCAAAGCAGGCTTTCTGCTTTAATTATCATTTATTTTGGTTTGTTATAAATAAATAAGACATGATTATATATGTAATTCAGAATAGACAATATAGGACTCCTAATATATTCTATGTTATTATTATACATTTTCTATCATATTTCATATCTATATATTATACATTAAATATATCCCACATTATATATTACTTGGCATATATTACCGATTATATAGAACATATTTTAAGGCTTTAATATTGTAAACATATAAAGTATATAAAATTACATTTTTATGTTTGTTATGGTTACCAACAAAAAAACGATGTTGGTGATATACACATGTATATATATGCATGCATATACACACATATATATACATATATATGAATGTAGAGAACTCTATCACAACTAAACATTTACAGAAATAGAAAATCATAAGAAAGAGCCAATTTGAGATGTTAAAAGAAATATCAAGACATGATTTCTAAAAAACATATCACACTATAAAAGAATGAGCAAAAATAAAATTAGAGGTATCATTTTTAAAATTTATCCAATCTTATTTTCTTTCTCTTCCTGAGAGATGTCATTGTTTCTTTGTATTTACTTGAATAAGTGTATGTTTTATTGTTGCTTAACAGTGCAGATTTGTTACATGTTTAGCCTAAATTCATAGACCTTATAAATTCATAGACCAGCTTAAATGCATTTAAGAATTTCTATTGTTTCACATACTTCAGTAATACCTATATCAAAGAGACAGCCACAGTAACAAAACATAGAAACTCTGTTTGGATATTTAATCACACTTTTTTTTTACAGCTTTGAAGGATCAAGTTAGGCTTATAGTCTTTGAATTTTTGTTGTTGTGGTTGTTTTTTAATTAACCAGGATCACTTTGAAAATAGCACAAATGTGAAATGTACTATTTCCTTGGACACATTAAATAAATTGGTCTATACGTCCTTGCTCATTTATATTGATCCACTGTATCTTACAAAGCATAGGAATTTGAAGTAGCTTTTCTTTAAAAAAAATAGCATGGTTTATTCCTTTAACATTGTTTAAGGAGTCAAAATTAGGATCATTCCAATTTTATACGATGAAAACTAACTCAGAAACAAAATGAACACAAATTATTTTATTTAACTTGGGGAATGAGTGAACAGAATACAGCTGGACCAGAAACATAACATTTTCCTAAAAATCATACATTTTTATTCCATAAACCCAAGTCCAGAACATACAGTATATGCTTTCATGCTTTCAGGTCATCAAATGAGGTGTGTGTGTGTGTGTGTGTGTGTGTGTGTGTATGTGTATATATATATTTATATTTATATATATCTCATTTATATATATAAAACTCATTTGATGAGTTATATATATATAATATACATATAAAACTTTTTAAGTTTTTTAAAATGTCAAATATAAGATTGATTATGGACCAAGGAAAATCAACAGGCTTAAAAATAATAATAAGGGCTAGTACATCAGGACTAGATTAAGTCAAGGAACCACATAACACCTAGAGATTATGTTTTCTACTTGACAAAATATTAGGATTTACAACTATAACAATACAGTGAGAGTAATGTCGTTTCACATAAAAAGAGAGTAAAGTGATTCTTTCCCCTTAGTTTAAATTTTTGTAGTCGGTAACATAACCACACAATACAATCAGTTAACAAGAACACTGTTCCCACATTGCAATAACTCTTATGTAAATTATCTAAATTATTAAATAATCAACCAATCCTTATTATATTTCTTAATATTAAGAACCATTCATTTCTAGCAATTTTTGCAGGTTGTCAAGATGTCACATTTGAACTAAATTATATGCCTTTAATCTTACTCTTACTATTTTAAATTCATATTAATACTCTGCTTGCCTTGGTAATTACACAGTATAATTCACACAAATTCTAATTAACTTTTACCATACTGGGAAGTTTTCACCACTCAAGAAGTGTTCTTTTTTCTATTTTCATGAATTCTATGTTAATAGTATCAAATACTACTTCATTCTGTGGAGAGACAACACACATTATTTTGTAAAGCACCATGGATTCCATGTTGAATTTTGCATTATGCTCATAAAATTTCAGTCAGATGGGTATCATTATCCTTATTTTAGAAAAAAAGAGTAGAGAAGAAAACTAAGTTGCTTAGAGTTTTGAGCTACAGAAAGTCAGAAATCTCTTTCCAAAGCCCAAGTCAGATCAAAACCTTTGTAATGGATTCAAGTTGTTTATATTACTAGGTTTCAAATGGAATAACTGAGAATCCAGAGCTGGAGACAGTTTGTCTCAGTTCTAAGCTTTACTTTTCACGGTATCTCTTCCTAAACCCTGTTCTTCAACCATCTCAGACTTACAACCATTGCCCTGGTGCAGTATGCGTTTCCATAGCCCTGACATTTATCTCATGCTATTGTTTCCATTAAAAAGCCATAGGGCCTTCTCCACTCTCTGAAGTCCTACTCACCCATCAAACCTCAGTGCACATTTTCACCTTCCCTTCAACACTTTCTTCTTCCCTCAGTTGTATTTAGACAGTTTTCTATCATGCCTTCCCTGTCAGTATACCCACTGTAGCACAGCATTCATTTAATCCTCCTTTATTAAACAGCAAGTAAAATTTACTAGTACCATATAACATGCTATCAAGTGGGAGCACATGGTCACAGGATTTAGCAAAAAGTAGAAACTGGACAAACATGTATTCGAAACAAAGGTTTGTTATTTATTATCCGCCATGCCAAAACTAGTATTGGTAGTGCACTGACCAGTGAAAATTAAAACATTTCTTGGGAGATTATTTTTTGACAAGCATTACACATGCTAATGACAGGTTCTGCATCACTATTGCTTGTAAGTCCGGCAGAGCCATAGCAATCCCCACAAAGTCCCGAATGTTGGGCTGGTGGTTACTCAAGTCAGTTTTGCTTTATAACTTCTTCTCTCAAAACTGCACAGTGCTTAATGCTTGAATCTAGAATAAAACATGTACATTATTAGGTTCTGCAAGTTTGAACATAAGAAAAATTGTTGAGTTGGTGATCAGCTCAGGAATAGAGTCACATGCAGCTCACAGGGTAAACAATTGTGCATCATAATCTTTTGATTAATGTTACTCAGTATTTTAGAAAACAAGTTATTCAGCTTCAAAAATAGCATTCTAGTTACCTCAGAGTGATGTTTATCTTCTGCCTACCATTTACAAATACACTTGATTTGTTAGAACAGGTTTATGTTGACAGAAAAATTGAGAAGTAGTACAGAGAGTTCCCATTTACCCCGTACCCAGTTTCTCCTAATAGTAACATTTTACATTAGTACGAGATATTTGTCACAATTAGTCAGCCAATATTGATGCATTATTATTAACTCTGGTCTAGACTTTATTCACATGTCATTAGTTTTCCCCCTAATGTCCTTTTTTCTGTTAAGAGAGCCCATCCAGGACACCACATTAAATTTAATTGCCATCTGTCCTTAGGCTTCTGTTAGCTATGACAGTTTTTCAGACTTTATTTTGATGACCTTGACAGCTTTGAGGAGTAATGGTCAAGAATTTTGTAGGATGTTCCTCTATTGGAATTTGTTTTTTTCATGATTGGATTGGGGTTATGGGTCTGGGGGGAAAGGTCAGAGAAATAAAGTGCCATATTCATCGCATTATGTGAAGAGTGCAAACTAACAACGTGATTTATCACTGTTAATGTTGACCTTTATCACCTGGCTGAGAAGGTGTTTGTCATTTTTCTGCACTGTAAAATTACCCCTTTTCTATCCTGTTTCTGTGCTGGGCTCTGGAAGGAAGTTACTTTGTGCAGCACACATTTAACAAGTGAGGAGATGTGCTTTCCCTCCTTGAGGATGGAGTACCTACATAAGTTATTTAAAAATATTATTCTGCATGGGAGATTTTAAGTTCTCTCTGTTAATTTGTTCAATACTTTACTGTAAATATATAGAGTCAGGAATATCCATTTTATATGTTGACATAATCTAATACTATTTTATTTATTTTGTTGCTCAAATTCCTCTAGCATTGCACTTTGGACATTGGGAGCTCTTTAGTTTGCTCTTGTGCTCCTTTGACATACTCCCAATCAAAGTTGTGTGTGTGCGTGTGTTTAGAATTTTCTGAAATTACAAAGTACTACAGACACATTTTGTATATTTACTATCACAGCCCTATAATCAGCCATTTCTCGTAGGTCCAATGGGTCATTTTTTATTAAAGAATGTTAGGAGAAACTAAGATCTGAGCACTAGGCATGCTCATTGCTACTGGTGTGTCATTTCTTACAGATCCTCTCATTTAAATGGACAGAGAAATCCATACGTGTATACTAACCTGTGTATATACGTTTATCTAAAGTATTTCTCTATGAAATCATCTGTATTAGGTTAAACATGTGTACTTATGGCTTCAAATTAATTTCATTACCACGTGGATTATTTTACCCTCCTTTCCTTGCTTATCTGTAAATTCACACTTCAGCCATGGGAATCCCGCCTCCCACCATGTGTCATCCATTTACTTAATTGATCAATTCTATATCCCCAAAAAGCAGTTTCAGAATGAAGCTCTACTCCCATGAAAAGTAATTTTGTTAACTATGGTACAGGTTTATGTGAATTTCCTTTTGCCTTTTTGGATTTCATTTTTTTCAAAGTTACTTACATCAGTATCTCCCCAAACTGAACCTCTTCATCGAGGCTGTTTCATACAATTGCAATACGCTTAGATTCTCATGTCTCAACCTGTATCTTTCCTGGGATTCCTTGACTTCCCAAATGGTTGTTTTCTTTATTAATGTTCACTCTTTGTGCTATAAAGGTCTGAGGGTTTTGACACAGGCAAAATGCCATGTATCTACTATTAAAGCATCATTGAGTATAGATTCACTACCCTAAAGACCCCCTATGCTCTACTTTTTACCTACCCCCTCCCCTTGGTCTCTTGGCAAGCAACTGGTCTTTTTATGGTTTCTGTAGTTTGCGTTTTCTAGAATACCATATAGTTGGATTATACAGTATGTGACATTTTCCAGACTGGCTTCTTTCATTTACCAATGTGCATTTAAGATTTATTCTTATCCTTTGGTGACCTGATTACACATTTCTTTTTAACATGGAATATTTCATCACTGTGTAAATGCACAAAAGATATGTAGGCATGCAATTGTTAAATCATATGAAAAGACTATATTTCTAGCTTTGTAAGAAACTGCCAAACTCTTCCAAAGTGACTATACCATTTTACATTCCTACCAGTAATGAATGAGAGTTCTTGTTGCTCTGCACCATAGCCAGATTTTGGTATTGTCAGGGTTTTTTGGTTTATTTGTTTTTGTTTTAGCCATTCTCTTAGGTGTATAGTGGCATCTTATTGTTATTATAATTTGCAAATTCCTAAGGATAAATGTTGAGCATCTTTTCATATGCTTATTTCCATTCGTATATCTTTCTTGGTAAAGCAGATCTTTTGACCACTTTAAATTAGTTTGTTTTCTTACTGTTGAATTTTAAGAGTTCTTTGTATATTTTGGATACACTCTTCTCTTTTTTTAAATTGTAGGAGTAAAACCATCAAAGCCTTAAAATTATGTTTCAGGGAGAGAGCATTACCAGATTAGAGTCTTGAAATAAGCTCATAATTCACCCTACTCACTACTTCTTATAGTAGTAACTTTTCAAATGTTTCTGTAATATATGTGGGACTTTTTCACACATTATCTTTGATTCTTTCTTCTGACAGATTTATGCAGGAAAACAACTGACTAAGTGACTAGGCAGTATTTCTTCTGTGGTTCCCTTTCCCAGAAATAAAAATGCTCTACTCTCTGCTGACTTCCTTAGTATTGGTATTGCCTACTCCATCTCTATTCTTACCTCTTTGGGGAATAGTATGTATTATATATTATATATCTTTGAGGCATCTTTAAGTTTGCTATTGTTCCTTCAAAATATAAGAATGTGAACATAATGCTACATAAATATGCACATATATATGTAAAGTTTAAAAATAATAAAAACCAAGTAAAAGATATAATTATTGTAGCTTTAAAAAAAGCATAATAATAATAATGACATATAATTTTGGAAAATTCCAGAAACTAAAATTGTGAACCCTGTTATATTTTCTTCATAATTTAATATTTACTTAGCACTACGTGCTAGGAATTTTTCTGAACATCTTAGATAGAGCATTGAACAGGGCAAAAAATGTCCATACCCTCATGACACTTACTTACATTCTAGAAGGATATAGACAATAAGAAAATGGATAAATAAGAAAATGTCAAGTAGTGATAAGTGGTATGATAAAAATAAAAGAAAAAATAAATGATAAATACTTGAGGTCATGAATATCCCAATTACCCTGATTTGAGTATGACACATTGTTTGCTTGTGTGAAAATATCACATGAATCCCATAAATATGTACAACTACTATGTACCCAAAAAAGAAAAAAGAAAGAAAAAAGTGAAAAGAAAAAGAAGTGGTAGCTACTAGTCTCTATTTCCAAATAACAGTAAGTTGTAATTACCTTTATAACTAAAATTATTTATTAACTTGGAAAGCTCTTTGTTTTAATGCTACAGTCTTTGTCTTCTTTTAGCTTGTATGTATCTCAAACCTTAATATATAGAATGCATTGAGTACGTATTGAATCTATTGCTTCTGTATATAAACATGAAATTCTCATGTAAGACTATATGTGAATATCAGTGTTCTTGTTAGCAGTTACAATTTACATAGATTTTCAGAGAGGATAAGAGTATTAGAAAGTATCCTTCATGTGTAAATGTGTCACATCTTCTGATCTGAGAAATCTACTTTTTATAGCCTTTGAAACATGAAATAATATCACACAATAATTATATATATTCATACCTCTGAAAACTATTGATTTAGAGTTTCATCTATGAAGCAGTGCAGTACAGCTAGCTCTGTGGCTTGCTTCAAGAACACTCAAGGATTCAGAGGTAAATGTATGCTTGAATGCACTTATAACTGAATCATGTCACTTGACATAGCCAAATGCATGCGTGAGGCCTGCAAATAGAGCTGGTTTATCACCAGCTGCATGAATCAAATGAATGCCTGCATGATTTTAACAAATGGGTGGTAAAAATACTTGTTAGGAAAAAGTAGCCTGTATCAGGATATTTATACAGAATAAATATATAAGCAAGCAAATTATGTGTATGTGTGAATGTGTGTGTGTGTGTGTGTAGCAAATTAGTATGTAAAGTAATTACTACCTGGGAAAATACAGGCCAATCACAAAACAAATGCCATGATGACAGGATACAAAAATATGCTATATAAATTTAGAGGAATGGCACTGCAACATGAATAGGGGCATATTTATTAAAAAGAAGAAATATTCCTCCAAATACACATTTCTTTCTAGACGTAGTGATAAAGGTCTAATACTTTCAGGAGAATACGTTAAAATGCATGAAGGTTTAATCTGTTCTAAGGAGATACCACTGTATTGAAATCAGTAAATGATAAAAATCACACCAGAGGTTTAAAAAACACACTTCTATGATGTGACAAGGTGGAACTGAAAATGTTTAGGTAGAAGCTCAAGTTCCATGAGTTATCTGTCACCGTAACATAAAAAGTTGGTTACAAAACATAGGTAAATTTGTTTTTAGAGAGTCTCTTAATGATTTAGTTCGTTGACTTTGGCTCTAAAATGCTTGCACAGTGCTATATCACTTGCCTAAACCTGGATATTGAAAAAAAAATGGCTCTCCCAAGGATTGTATATCTGCTTGCTTTAGATATTTCAATCAGGGAACAGAAATCTAGGGTCTTATATATAGTACAAGGTGGGGTAACAGGCAAGTGCCATATTTCTGCTGAGCAGATCGTGCTGATAATTATCCTCGATAATTTGACATTACATGATTTTTTAAATTTCAAAACTATACCTTTATACAATATTTTATAAGTATTATCAAACTACCATTCTGTGAAGCAGGTAAGATATTTCCTTCATTTTACATATGTGAGTAATCTTTTCTCAAATAGAGGTTAAGTGCTTGGCTTCAGATCCAACAACCACTATGTAGTTTACAGATAGACAGGTCTTCTGTTCCCAGGCCCTGTCAGCATGACACCACAGAGCACCTTGTTCTAACAGGGAGTATGGAGGCCCAGGCATTCTCTGCTTCAGCTGTTGTCCGTTGATCAGATAACAGCATGATTTTAATTGCTCTATATAGGAATTAAGATTTGTGAAGAGAGTAATAAAGTCATGGTTTTCTTTATTATTGACATTTTAGGGAATCTCCTAATATAATATCTTTGGAAACCCATTTTTGTTTGTAAAATGTACAACCTAGTACAGCAGAAAACAATGTTAGAATAGAACTGAAGACAACTCTAGCTGGACCAATAACATGCTAAATATTCTTGGGACATTCCTCAATTGATTTAGCGTCAGCTAAATAGGTATAGAAAAAGGCAAGTTCCAAGATACTGTTTGGCTATGAAGTAGTGTAATTAAAAACATAGGAATTACTCCCCTGTCAAAATCTTCTAAAATAAAAACCCCAAAACATTAAGGTAAATGCCACAATTCATTAAAATTATTTTTAACATTAGAAGGATTTCATGATACCAGTCTTCAGTCTTCTTGGGGGTACTGCAAAACTCGAACATTGGACTTTACGTGACTACACCCATGATTAGAATCAACATGATAAAAATGGTCTTGGGTGAAAGCATGCAGAGTGACCAGAATCCCCTGGCCTGCTTTTACAGTAGCAGGCACATTTCCATTCAAAACCTGGTCAGCTTGTTCCTTGGTATAATTATTCCACTGAAAAGGGAGCACCAAAACTGCTGAGGCTTAAGGCCACAGTTTCAAATACTGGTAACTTCTATAGCACAGGTGGGGAAAAGATGGAAAACGACTAAATTGTTTGCTTTTAGATTGGTTTAAAATTATCTGGAGAATAGCCATTTTACTTAACTATTTCAGGAAAAATGAAGTATATTTTTGGGGAGAAGGCAGTGGCAGTGTGCAGAATGGGAGATGTTGGTGTCACAATGCTGCCTAAGGGGAATCTCATCCCATGCTTGGGGCCTTGAATTCCTGACCTTAAATAAAAACCACAAATATATGTGCAATCCAAGAAATAGCAATGTGCATGCCGTTCAGTGAGGAAAGTGATAATTCATGCCACATAAGGTAAAATATCCAATTGAAAACGATGCCATGTTCTCACATTTTTATAAGAAAAAAAAAAAAACAAGACCTGAAATGAATAAAAAGAATGTTGGCCAAAGACTGAATTTATAGCTGTGAAAAGAATGTCACTTTTCCTCATCACTTAAAGAATATCAATATCTTCTCTACTTGATAGACCTTTTCAATGGCACTCTACCGAACAACTATTATGTGAAAATCCCTTTAGAAAATTAGGTCATTTTTTTCTTTCACATCCTCATTCTGGATCCTATAAGACATGTTTTGTAGCTAATAGGAAGAGTTCCAAAACTCACACTGACTTTTTATTTAATGAGAGATACATTTGATTTTCTCCTGCTACTTGAAGAGGAGATTTATTCCAACACTCTCTTTGATTCTGAACAAAAGTCAGCCCAGGCTCATTTTTGGAGATGAAAAATATCATTTATACGAGAGAAAACCATCAAATCAGTGAACCACTCCAACATACATGAGTGTGGTTTGGGTCACTGTGCAGCTTGCTTCCCCAGGAAGTGTGAAGGGCTGCATTGTGCCTGGGAATTTGGAGACGGAAAAAAGGAAGGACATTCCAGCAAATAGAAATCAGAGGGACTAGATCTTTTGCAAATAACACAGATTTTTTTAAGGAAAAAATATGTGCTTCAGAAATGTCATGTTCCTTATCTGTATCTGAGACCTAAACTGACTTGAAATCTGAAGACAACATGGTTTTTAAAAACATCATCTGTTCCCTAAAAAATAAAAATATATGTTACTGGGATTTTTTGTTGTTTGTTTTAAGGGATGGTTTCATGATTTCTCAAGGTCCATTTCTTAGTTTGTTTTGTGCTACTATAATACAATGCCACATATCAGGTAATATAACGAACAGAAACTTATTTCTTATATAGTTCTGGAAGTTCAGAAGTCTAAGATCAAGGTGCCGGCAGGTCAGGTGTCTGGTGAGAGTCCAGTCTCTGCTTTTCCAGGTGCTGCCTTGAACATTGCATCCTCAGTATGGGAAGGATGCTGTGTCCTCACAGGGCAGAAGGTGCAAAAGGAAAAGCGATACACTCTTTCCAGCATGCCCTTTTATAAAGGTATCTAATTCCACTCAGGTAGGCTCTACCCTCACGACTTAATCACCTCCTGAGGACCCCACCTCCTAGTACCATCACTAGGGCCACTAAGTTTCTTTCTTTTTCTTTCTTTTTTTGTGAGACGAAATCTTACTGTTGCCCAGGCTGAAGTGCATTAGCACCACCTCGGCTCACTGCAACCTCCACCTCCCAGGTTCAAGCAATTCTCATGCCTCAGCCTCCCTAGTAGCTGGGATTACAGGCGCACACCACCACACTTGGCTAATTTTTGTATTTTTAGTAGAAACAGGGTTTTGCCATGTTGGCCAGGCTGGTCTCAAACTCCTGACCTCAGGTGATCCACCCACCTCAGCTTCCCAAAGTGCTGAGATTACAGGCATGAGCCACCATACCCAGCTGTCCACTAAGATTCAACATCTGAATTTAGGGACATATTTAAACCATAGCAGTCCATGTTTTAGTGCCATCACTCTAATAATGTAACTATTAGTCACATATTTAGAAGCAACTCATGTAGCTTTATATAAGATAATTTTAAAAAAAGGATCTGGTGACATACAGGAAATGCACAATAAAAAGCCTGTAATATTTATATTTATATATGATATATATCATATTTTAATTTTGCGTGCCTTTGTTTTAATGGGAAGAAAATAAATATTACCTATTTGTGAGATATAAGTCCAAAATTTACTTGAAAAATATAATTTTAAACTCTAAATTTATTATAATGAGAGAATACAAAAAATACTGGATCACATTTGTTTTAATGAGATCGGGACTTGAGGAAGAAAAGTCTGGCACAAAGATTTACTTTTCCTAGATAAGGTTTCAACAAACACTAATCAAATTTCATACAAAATCATATTTTCAGTTCACTTTTATAACTCTCTAGTGTTGTTCTGTCTTTCAATAAGAGGTAATTGGAAAAGGCACTATGCATTTTACAAATGTTTTCCCTTGGATTTCTGAAAAGGTGACTTTTTCAAAAAGTAAAAGTCAAAGCATCTCTAAGTCAGAAATCTCATATAATTGAAGCTTCCAGCTGCATGCATTTTTAATACCACAGACAACATAGTAATTGACATATGTGATTCTGGATCACACTTCACTTCAGATTTTAAATTATTTTAGTCTGCCGAAATGTGTTTAAGTGCACTAACCAGATATGCTTTCAGTAATTCGGCTTTTAATGACTATCCTTCACTTCAGAGCTTTGATGTTAAAATAGTCTAAGAAATAATGTAATTTCTCCACATGCTGGTTGGGTTATAGTCAGATGTTTCTTAAATATTTCATGTAAGAACTCTCCCTGACCCCTACCACGGTGAAAATGTGAGGAGATTTTACTTAAAATAATTTTATATCTTGTAGTTCACTAAATTAACTGGAGTGATCAGGACCTCAACCAAAATTTATTGCTGAACCTAAAATAAGATCAAAGCAATAAATCAAAAGGATATAGCAGATGTAAAAATACAAATTACAAGGATAAGTTCAGAATAATTAATATTGGCAAAATTGCACTGCAAAAGACCTTAGAAGGTGTAAAGCTCATAGTACATTAAAATCTAAAATTTTAAATCGGCCTCTGAACCCAGAAAAGACTACTAATTCCTACTTATTTGCTGTGAAGCCACTAGGCATGGTACCACAGAGCTTTATTAACAATTGCAGTGTCTAATTTCTCTGTGTATTTCCTCTAGTGCCTTAAACTTCTTGCAACCAGGCTGTTCAATGGGTAGGCACATATATGAACATTCAAAAGATTCCAATATCAACTGTCATGTATATCAGCAAACATCCTGGCTTCTATACTCTTCTTAAATTGTTTACACAAAATATTTTTTAAAAAATTTTCTAATCTGCACATCCTGCCCATGTACCCTGGAACTTAAAAATAATTTTTTAAAATAAAAAGTAGGCTGTGTTATGTCACCTATAGTATTGAGTGAGAAGTGATGATGATTTCCAGTTAACATATGTAGAAAATGAAGCTAAAATACATTAAAGAATTGGTTCCACAGGAACAGAAAACCAAATACCACATTTCTCACTTATAAGTGGGAGCTAAACACTGAGTATACATGGACACAAAGAAGGGAACAACAGACACTGGGACCTATATGAGGATGGAGGGTGGGAGGAGGGTGAGGACTAAAAAACTACCCATCAGGTATTATGCTGATATTGTGGGTAACAAAATTATCTGTACACCAAACCCCTGTGACTTGCAATTTATCCGTGTAACAAACTGGCACACGTACCCCTTGAACCTAAAATAAAAGTTGGAAGGAAAAAGCTGATTCAAGTTTGCACAGTTAGTTAGTATTTCTGAACATGGAGGTTCAGACTTTGAGTTCAGTCTTTCCAACTGTACAACTGGAAGAGAGTGTGCTTGATACCTGGTCATGAAAAGCAGGAAATAAGTCAGATAAAAGTAGCGGACTAGTTCCAGGGAATCTGTAACAGGAGCCAAGAAACAGATCAATGAGAGTGCAAACTAATTGTAACTGTAAATGAATGCAAGAATCAAAGTATTTTAAAAAATGAATTATAAGAGTGTTACCAACAAAATAATGAAGAGACAGTAAAAGAAAGATGCAAAAATATTATCTGGCTAAAATTATGACACATCAAGTGAGCATCAATAGAAAAGTTTAAGAAAAAAACAGGAGATTTAACAAAAAAACAGGAGAAAAAAAATGAGATTCTTGGATGTTTGTCATACTATGACCTCTTAACTAAACTGTGGGTTCTTCATAAAAATATATTTATATATTTTTGTATTCCCAGGTAAAATTTTTTATTTTGAAAAACATTTGATACAATAATTTGATTTCAATTTATTTTAGTTGATCATTAAATATTAAATATGAATATTAAAAGATGGAAATTGGCTTGGGGTTACAAAGACACAAAGTAAAATGGTGGTTGCCAGAGCTGAGGGTAGGGAGAATAGGTAGGTATTGTTTAAAGGTTACAAATTTCAATTTGGGATAATGAAAAAGACCTGGAGATGGATTGTGGTGATGGTTGAAAAATAATAGTAAAAGTGTACTTAATGCCACTGAACTGTACATGTAAAAATTGTTACAAGGTAAACTTTATGTTATGTATCTTTACAAAAAGGAAAACTAAAAAGTCTGTTAGGGAGTAGAATAAAGTAGGATTGGCAGAAGAGGTGTTAAACTGCAATGCGGTCACAACCAGGACCTCAGCTGACTCCACAGGGAGTGCCGGACTCCAGTGTCCATTCAGAGCTGACCCACCTTGAAGACAAGAGCAGAAATCTTTATACCATCCACATCAAACAGACATTGAGTAGAGGCTGCTTTCCATACACTTGATGAAGCCACTCTGTTCTTCAGTGGGTGATTTCAATTCCAAGGTGGTAGACCTCACTTACAGTGATCAGCCAGCAACACTCCCAGCAGTTGGAGAACGAGTGCTTCGGTCTTAAAGGGGGTTTGGGCAACGTCCTGTAGCATCCATTGCAGCCCACAGTCTGTATCTATCCCTTATTCAACCCCCTGCCATACAATAGCATTGCTCCTTCATTCATAGTTGGCTCTCTCTCAGCTTTAAGAGCCATCCCGGATGCATGGTAGGATGGAACTCCTGTGTAACAGGTGGGTGCTTCCATACCAGTAACTTTCTTGACTTCTGGCATAATCTCCACCCATCTTGACCAAGCACTCTCATAATCCAGTTCTTTCCATGTTCCCTCAACTCCTCTTGTTACATTTTGGCTAAGTTGTGCAGCTCCTTCAGTTCTAAACTGCATTATTAGTGGCATGAAGTAATAACATTTGTAATATTTCTGGTAACTTTTATAATGTTTACCTGTTTCTTAGTTGTCTTTCCAGACTCCCCTCCAACCCGGTTCTGCACAAAACACTACTAATTCCTTGGTTAACCTTCAATAACTAAAGACACATCCTCTATGGGACAAGAAAATAGGAGCAACACTTTTCATAGTTTTGTTGTGCACTTTATGCTGTATATATTAATTACTGAGAGGCAAGTTTTATCTCTATTTTATAGAAGAGGAACCTGCAGCTCTGAGAAGTTAATTGACTTGAAAAGGATAAATAGCTAAGAAATAGTAGAGAAATAATTTGGCTATAGAATCTGTATATTTAACAACTACTTTCTTATTAGTAATATTAATGAAAGCTACCATTCATTGAGCATTTACCATGTGACATGAATAGTGAATGGCATTTCATAGATTTTAAATTTAACGCATCAATCCTATAAAGTAAAATTATTCCTATGTTTTATAAAAAACCTTGCACTTTTGAGAGGCAAAACTCCTTAACACAAGCAAACATTGTCTACCATCTTTGCCCTAAGTCACTCTATTTTTTGGAGGTGTCATGCCCATCATGAATCCCTCTTGGAAAGCTGAGTAGTGTTCAAAAGCACCAAAAGTTGGCTGGGTGCAATGGCTCACACCTGTAATCCTAGCACTTCAGGAGGCCAAGGTAGGAGGATTGCTTGAGAGCAGGAGTTTGAGATCAGTCTGGACAACATAGCAAGACCTCATTTCTACAAAAGTAAAAAAAATTTTAAAAATCCAAAAAAAATTACCAAATAAATTACATATATATGTACACACATATTCATGCACACATATATATGGGATCATTCATGTAAAAATCGTTCTTTGGGGAATGTCATTGGAAGCATTTCAACTTAGAAAAAAAGTCACAATAGAATAGCCAGGCTGATAAATTTCCATGCTTTATTCTCCACTACAAAATAGTTGAAATATGTCATCTTCTATTTAATATGAAACATAATCTGTTTTGAAATTAATATACGGAATGCTCTGTGCTGCCTTTAGACTGCTGAGAAAAAAAAAATCAGAAACCCCTTTAAAGGGGAGTATACTAAATACATTATTGTTTTTCCAAAAAGTCCTTAAAGTTGTTTAAGAGATAAATGGAATTTTACTACTATTTTAATAAGGCTTGTATGATTTAAATTGGTAAGCCTAAATCACTTTATTACAGCAGTTTCTAAAGTAACATTTAATTATCTGTAGTTAATAGTATAATCTAATGAACAAAGCTATTATGCTCAAGGTTCCCAAAGGTAGAGGAAAAACTTACACTGGTCAGTAAGTTCTAGATTTAATAGTATAGGGGTAATGTGTGTGTGTGTTATCTGTATGTGTGTTTAAAATATATGTAATCCTCAATATTGTATCAATTTGCAAAACAGAAACTTAATCACTAAAACTGAAACACAATCTGAGAAAATAATAGATTGGCTAGTACAGTATTTTAGATAATAACCATAAAATCTTCGAAAAATTCAGTTAAGTGTATGGTGCCAATGCACTTGATTTGAAAAGCTTTAAAATGCTGAGTTGGACCTGCATAATGAGGAGCACATTCTAAAGTCACACTTCATTTGGAAATATGTGCGACAGGCATTCTATGTCCTACCACATAGGTCTGATGGTAAAAAAAAATGGGTTAATTTTACAAAAGTCTTTCTAAAATAGGCTCAGTAATGCTTACTTCTAGAATCATGCTTTGTTTAATCTGCAAATACTTATTTGAAGATAACAAGTAGTGACTGCCACAAATCAAATTTGATCTTTTTCAATCTTGTGCATAGGACAGAAATGTCAGAAGTAAAATGCAATGAAGCAGCACAATCACTGGGGTCATTCGATGCGAGTGTACAACTGAGGCTGCAATCTTTTGAAAGGGATTTTAGAGTAATGCCCTTTTATCTAGAAATTTATACCTCAATTGTTTTAATATAACAGATCACAGGAAGTAAGGGTTCTAAATAGAATATGTGTTAATACCATTTTAGAATATTTGGAAGAGAAATCTTTTATTAAGTGACCTATAAATGTTTTGTTTCAATTTTTGGTTCTTAATAATATATCTACTGTATTGCAGAGATGAAATTAGTCAGAAAAGAAAGTAGTTAAATAGAATGGATTCAAACCTTCCCACTGATGAATACCAAGTTGAATATTACCATTGGTAGAAAGAAGTAATCTGTATTAAGATCTTTTATGTACATTTCTGTTTTATACTACAAGCGTGCACCTTTTCCAAATCTTACTTCTGTCTCTAAAAAAAGAAATCAGTCTCAATGTAATATTAAAAACCAGTCTAATGCTCACTTCACATTTCAAATATAGATGTACCTAGTTATAATTATATCAATAATGGAAAAAGAAAGTGAATTGTACTACAATGGAAAATTTCCAAACTATGTAGTTGGTATTATAGCAAAAACTTATAAATGTGGCTTGTGTTCCTGACAGGAAAGGAAGGGCATGTGTAAAGAACCTTGAGCAAAAATAGGGCATGCAACACCTTCGTGCTGAATACGCACATCTCCACCAAGCAACAGACAAGCTATTATAAGTTTATTGTTTCAGGATATAAGCCTATTATACCCTGCAAATGAAGATACTGACATGCTGCTGTATTGGTTGAAAGATTAACATTCACAAAGAACAGCAACAAGTGTGCCAAATTAAATATACTAAAATACTAAAGCTTACCATTTAATATGTCCTCTACTGTAAATGTGCATACAGTGTACTTTCAATGGCCTCCGTGGCCCTGTTAATAATGTAGTGGCATGTCAGTGTCGGAGATGTAATTTACATCTTTGCTATTTGGCAATAAACCATAGCAGGGTGTATTTTTCTTAACCATTAATAAGTACGTATGGCATTGATGAAACAGTGAAGGAGAATATGTTGAGGAGCCTGTTTGTATTTTAGTCACTCATGCCCTGGCAAAATTTATTAGACTTAGGAAACTCTATTCAAAATACTTCATTAATATATTTTTTAATTGTAATACATAGCAAATTTTTTAAAATGTATCTCCGATCCCGATAGCATTTTTGCACTCCTTTTCATTTAAAGTTTTATTTAGTCACACTTTCCCTTTGTTTAAAATAACCAGTCTCCTTGTATATATCAATGGTTGATTAATTCCATGGGTACGAGTTATTATATCTCTCTCTTCCGACTTTTCCAAATATGTTAACTATTGCTAGCAATACCAAACTCACAGGCTTGTTGTGAGAATCAAACCAATATAATATTTTAAAGCTTATATCGTAATGTGTAGCATATAAGAGGAAAAACATGTTAAGTAATAATGCTTATGACAATAATCTCTACCTCACATTAGCATTGCATACTCACCTGGCATTTAGAAAAAATATACTTCAGAGAATCAGACACATTCTGTAGGCTCTGGAAAACATACATTGACTTGCTCAACCCCTTTCCCGTGCCCCAGTGATGACAATCCATCATTCTAGCTGACCTCATTGTCTTCTCTCCTAAGAAAAGAAAATTCAACAGCTTGTTTTGCTTTCTCTGCAAGGAATGCACACTATCCCAAAGGCCCTCACTACTTTGATGAATAACACAGAGCATAATAAAATCAGGTTTTCTGACTCACATGTAAAAGGAACATGCATGCTACCTGTAGCTACGGCCAGACTGTGTGTGTGTTTCTGCATGTAGATTTCTACTTGTAGTACAGAATTCTTTACTTTTAAATACAAGGATGCTTTTACCCCACTGCTTATATGCACATCCATACCAAAGGTCATATTTGTGTATTTATTCAACATGATGACTTATCTTAGTAAAACTTTATATTTAGTCTTTTTAGAGTCAACAATGTTAACTGGCTTCAAATGGGCTATTCAAAAAGGTTAAGAAGTAAGTTAACTGACTTGGTAAAACATTTGGACCCAAAAGTTTTTGTAACTGCTCATTATAAGATGAAAAAATGAGAAAATAAAGTAGAAGGGAGAAAATTATGGTTATCATTTGGAAGGGACTGTGGTTTCAGCTTCCCAGGCTAGCAACAGAACTGATAAGGATGAGACTCAACTTCCCCACAAAATGACAAGCAAGGGATGACTCAGGCCATGCTTTTGGGTTCTTACTCTTTCTATTCATAACTGTTCAACATTTCTCTGAGAAAATGCAACATAAAGACTGTATAGCCAACATACTGGCTTTTTCCCTTCTATTTAGAAGAGCAGGGGAGAGACAGAATATAAAAATTTTAAAAGTAAAATCCTGGTACTCAGCCTCTGTGATAATAGGACACATATGAGAGCTCTTTCATTTGGTGGCTTTAAAGTCTGACTCTGCTTGAAAGTCTCAATATATGCAAGTATATATCTTAAAGGGATTAATTCTTTATTGGCTTTGAGTGGCATTTGTAAAGAATGGTTTGCATTTTTAAAATAAAATCACCTGTCTAAATGTAACTATAATGCTAGGAAAAGCATATTATAAAAGCTAGGTGTTAGAATGAGAGAGGAGATAAAATAATGTGACACAGAGTATCACGGTTGTGAGCTGAATAAGTGAGCAATGGCCACATGTGAGATTCTTTATACATTTATTCATTCATGCATGCAGTAATGCATGAATTCACTGTGTGGGTCACTCTTGTAGGTACTAGAGATACAGCAGCAAACAAAACAGAGAAAATCTATGACATCACAAATTTTACAGTCTGGTGGAATCTGTAAAAACTGAAGGCAAGTTTTTGTTTCCCATCTGATTCAGAGAACTTTAAATTCCATTTTCAATAATCACTCATTATTTTCATCTGAAAATAATACATGACAGTTGATGAATTTCAAAGGGCTAGATTTAAAAATAAGAAAATGAATGTAAAAAGCCAGATTATGGATAGTAAATAATTCTTTAAAACACTTTGAAACATCTATTCTTTTCTTTTTTGAGACAGAGTCTCACTTTGTTGCCCAGGCTGGAGTACAGTGGTGCTATCTCGGTTCACTGCAACCTCCGCCACACGGGTTCAAGCAATTCTCCTGCCTCAGCCTCCTGAGTAGCTGGAAGTACAGGCGCCCACCACCATGCCCAGCTAATTTTTGTATTTTTAGTAGAGATGAGGTTTCACCATGTTGGCCAGGCCAGTCTTGAACTCCTGACCTTAGGTGATCCACCCACCTCAGCCTCCCAAAGTGCTGGGATTACAGGTGTGAGCCACCACGCCCGGCTGAAACATCTATTCTTTACTGTAGGCTATTATTATACAAGTGCCCTGATTTATGCCCATTTACTATTACAAAGCACTAAAATGATTCAAAACTGAAGACTTTCTCTATGTTGGTGAACTTGCACATCTCTCAAAGCAAAACAAGAAACTATTTTGGAATGCTTCATATAAATGCTTAAGTTGGAGACCCAATGCCCACCTACCTTCCTGTGTATCAATGAAGTTACCAATATTTTAAGAAATTTTGTTAGTTCACTTTTTGTGGGCCATATTGTTTATGAAAAATACTGTCAAACTGTTAACATTGTTTTTGAAAAATACTGTCAGACTCAATCATTTTGGTGGGTTTCACTATAAAAGCTAAAAGTAATTTTTCTTCTTTATAAGATATAAGATGGTGCTAGGGCTTTTATTACATTTATATTTTAACAATTCTGACCAAGACAGCCATATAAGGAGTAGAATTAAATTTTTAAAAGATGTTTAGGCCGGGCACGGGGGCTCATGCCTGTAATCCCAGCACTTTGGGAGGCTGAGGCGGGCGGATCATGAGGTCAGGAGATTGAGACCATCATGGCTAACACGGTGAAACCTCGTCTCTACTAAAAATCCAAAAAAAATTAACCGGGCGTGGTAGCGGGCGCCTGTAGTCCCAGCTACTCGGGAGGCTGAGGCAGGAGAATGGTGTGAACCCAGGAGGCAGAACTTGCAGTGAGCCAAGATCACACCACTGCACTCCAGCCTGTGCAACAGAGTGAGACTCCGTCTCAAAAAAAAAAAAAGCTTATATGACTGTTGTTATGTATTATTTATAAATGTACTTTCTGGAATTATATTTTTTAATCAAATGCCAGAACAAAAATATACTTACAAATATTAATATAAAATTAAATCTTAGTGTTTTATACATATTATAATAGCTTTGTAAACAAATAAGAATTTCTCTTCACAAAGATTCTGGGATCACTAGAAATCTTGCCAAAAGAGCCACCTCCTCTCAAGTTTGGCTTGATGAGTCTTAAGTATCATGTAATCTGAGCAAGATGTGGTTACAGAATGTGCCACATCCACATGGCAGAGTGCTCTCTAGGCCCCCCATCCTGACTGACAGACCCTGGAGCTCTGAACAACTACTGAGATCTGGCGGATCCATCTATAAGATCCAGTTTGGTAATGATGTCTTTCTAGCTGTAAACTGATTCCATTTTAGGACAAACAATAATAATGAGAGGTACATAATCTAACCATCTATAAGAATTTATTTACATAAGAAATCTGGAGGCAGTAATTAAAATTAGAACAAAATAGATATAAAATTTGTGATCTGAAAATTAAATTTTGAGTGGTAAAGTGATGCTACATATTAAATCTGTAGTTTCTATGTTAAATCTCAATTTTACCCTTGCTTCCCCCACTGAAGACCATTGTGCATTATTAACATGAACTTAGTCATTCCATGTATTATCAAACAACAGTTTGAAGAGTATTACCTGTTATTATAGTCATTAACCCATTGTGCCTTAAGCATTAAACTTGAATATCTCATTTCCCTACTTAACAAGTCTACCACCTAAGCCTTGTACAAAGAAGGCAGGGGAAAAAGGTTTTGACAATCTTTAAAAACTTTACTACAATTATTAAATTTATTTTTAGTATGTTAACATTATTATTATTTTTAAATTACTTACAATTTAGAAATTTTTTCACAGTATACCATGAACACCCTTAGGTATACCCTCATATCTCAGATCAAATAAAATTTGAACATACTCCTGTGTGAAATGCTCTTTGTAAAAACCATTGTAATATCTTCCTGAAATGGAAGATGCCGCTAATAACATTGTTTATATCCTTGGTGGAGAGCTGACTACGAGGTTCTCACACTAACCAGGCCTCTCAAAGGAAGACAAAGTGGTACCACGTTGTTAGGAATTCATGGTCCTCAAGTGAAGCAGGAGACACATTTTCTCCACAAGAAAGTCTCTTCAAATTAAGGCCCTGATGCCTGCAAATTAGGATCAAGTAAGCTTTTTAATCCAGCAAAGCAAGTATTCAAGACTAAAGGAGAAATAAATGCACTTTCAGAAAAATAAAAACTGACTCATCAACACGGTAAATACAATTTCACTGAAGGAACCTACAAAGGCATACTTCAGGAAAAAGGAAAATAATCTTATAAAGAAGCTGAGATGAAAGAAGAGTTAACAACAAAAATAAAATTGTTTAACATACAGGTAAATCTAAAACATTTTCTCATAATAATCATGTGTGCTACCTGGAATTAAGAAAAAGACAAAACTAAAATACAAGATCAAAAATAGCATATTGGCATGCCTTGATCCAGAGCACTTAATGCAAAATAGGCTGTAGAATTAAGATATATTCAAGTTATAAAAGGACATTAACAATATATAAATGCAGTGCAAAAACAGTTAAGAACATGGCCCTTTTGAAAAAAAATACACAAATAACATTCCCCCTTAAGATACATTTTCTGAGGCATACTTTTTGCATGTCATATTCTCAAGAATAAACTATGGAGAATAGGATTTTTTTTCTTGTTGTTTTTGGTTTGGTTGTTGCTATTATTTATTCTTTCTTAGCACTCTCAGCAATCCTCATGCTATTTCTACAAAATGTGAGTTGGATTTTACATGATGCCCTTTTCTAACTTTATGAATTGCTTTTCTCTGTAAAGAAGATCATAGGTTCTACAAACACAATGTCTCATTCCAGCTAGTGCAGCCCTTGCAGGGAGGGATCAGTTTTATCTTCCAGATCAGCAGGACAAATATGAATAGAACTAGCTTTGTATTGTCTGAGCAATATTACTAGATAGCTTTGCATTGCCAAAATATTACTGTTTAAAATAACTTTCTTAGATTTCTGTCTTAACATCAGTTACTTAATACTTCACACCAAAATTGAAAATTGCACTATTATAAACCATTTAACAAAGAAAAACACTATATATATGCACACACACATATATATACACACATATATGTATACATATGTATATCTTTTATGCACATATATGTGCATATATATACACCTATACGTATATGTGCATATATATACACCTATACGTATATGTGCATATATATACACCTATACGTATATGTGCATATATATACACCTATACGTATATGTGCATATATATGCATATATATACACATATACGTATATGTGCATATAGGAGAATTTTATGCACATATGCATATGTGTGTATATATATACATATGCATACATGCATGCATATGTATATACATATGCATACATGCATGTATATGTGTACATATATTCATATACATGTATATGTGTACATATATTCATATACATGAATATGTGTACATATACATATACATGCGTGTATAAACATATACATATATACATATAGATATCTATGTGCATTTGTAATTTCCAATGAGTATTTTATGCACATATATTGTTTACAGTTTTTAACCATTAGAATGAGGCATGAGGACAATGCTATCAATATGATTTCATTCTATCTTTCCAAATACTATGAAATTTTGATTCATGAGCAAATTGCGATGTGGATGCTTCCGGTAATCACAAATGGCATCTTAGATATTTAGACTCAGGCCCCAATTGACAATAAATGTCAGTTATCCGAGTAAATTCTGAGCCTACAAAGGTACAGATTTTGAATGTAGCTCGGCATATCAGTTTGAGAGAATGGAGATTGAGAGATTACTTTGGAGAGTGTTGCTGCTGTGCTGAGTTCCAATATTCTCTCCAAATGTGGATGACCGGAAAGATGCTACCTGCTTAAGCCTAGAGACAGGTGACTCACAAAGGTCACCTTGATCTGTGTTTCATGGAGTTTGAAGGTTAGCCATCAAGAAGAAAGAAATTCTGCCATAATTCTTTGGTAGGAAATTCACTGCTAGAATCTGTCAAGATAAATGATAGGTAAATGTTTCTTATAATTCAGATAATTTGTCATGCAGGGAAGTGTCGGCCTGGAGCCAATGTGATTCCTGCTCAAGAGTATCATGTGTGTATACAGTGAGACTCAAAAGAGTTTTTCCATGAAAGGGACCCCTGAAAAACCAGAGGTATACAGGGAGTAGTACTCAGGGGAAGGGTGCCTGTAGCCACGTCATGGCAGGGAGTCCAAGCAGAGGCGCTTTAGTGATACCACGAAACCTTAAATTAGGCTAGTAACTGGAAAAGTCCATGCTAACAACCTGCCAGAC
Source organism: Homo sapiens (assembly GCF_000001405.40). NCBI lineage: Eukaryota > Metazoa > Chordata > Mammalia > Primates > Hominidae > Homo > Homo sapiens. The sequence goes on along the minus strand of NC_000004.12, from coordinate 177,969,868 downwards.
ATAGTGAATGCAGACCCATTCTAGAGCAGCACCTCTAAGTAAAAGTCTACCCCCTGACCATGCCCCTCTCTCTGTTTCAATTTGAGAGGCTTTGCAAAAAGTCAAATGGAAAAGAGAGAACAAGCTGGTCACGCCTATTTGCAGGCAACAGCCTTCCTGAAGCCAGTCTTACATGTCACGGTGAAGATTTAAATCAAATGCATAGCTATACATATTATGAAGTCAGGGCATTCTAATAGCATGTATGACTTAAAGTTATCACAGCACTCTCCAAGAGTGAACAGAAGAGTCATAGGCCTACCCAGATTCTCTTTTAGTGGCAAAAAAAAAAAAAAAAAAAAAAAATCTTTCCTCTTTGAATAATGTCAAATGGTCCATAAGGGCAAATAATAAGCAGATCTATTAAAAGAATCTCACATGACATGTCTGTTCACCATTTAGGCGCCATTTGCAAGAAGGAATTATGTCTTCTGCTTAAAGTAGGGTAGAACAAACATTAGACTAACTTATTTAGCCTATGAAGATAGAATGAAATGAGAAAAAAAACACACTTTTTTTTCATGTTGTGCTTCTCAGTATTACCATCTGGCAGCTATCCTGTGACAATTACTGTAGGAACAAGTGGCTCGTATCCCAGCAGTCACTGAAGCACACAATGGGTATTTAGAAGAAAGAGAATTTCCAATCATATGTAACACAGATGTCAGAAATGTAGAATGGTTGGATAGAGCTTTGTTTTTTTTCTCCAAATTTCACAAGGCAAACAACACATTTTGCTCACTCTATACTTTTGAGTACAATGATTAATCTAAATCAGTGTTTCTGTACCTCAGCACTGCTGACATTGTAAGCCAGATACTACAAGACTGCCCTGTGCCTTGTAGGGCATGTAGCAGTATCCCTGGCCTTTACATACTAGATTCTGGCACCAGTCTGCAATTGTGACAATTAAAATATTGCCAGACGTTGCCAACTGTCTCCCACACAGTACAACTTCCCCTCTCCCTCACCAACCTTAGAACCACTGGTCTAAAAATTCAGATCGCATATCAAAATCTTGATTGGCAATGAAATTCTAACATACTTTATTTCTTTTAGCATCTTTTAAAAACTCATGGTAATTCAACACAAAATGACATTGCTTGGTAAATCCCAGTTGGAAAGAACTGATAAATTAGAGGAATGTTGAAAATCAAGAGATTTTGTTTCACTGAGACTACCAGGACTCTTAAAAGGCGGAGAAGTCTTTATGGTACTATTAAAATGTGCTGGATATGTTGATTACCTTGATTGCGGTGATGATATGATGGGTGTTTGTGTATGTTCAAACTCATCAAATTGTACATATTGAATATGTGCAGTTCTTTGTATATCAATTATAACCCCATAAAGCTGTTAATTTAACAGCTTTATTAAAAGCGTCATGAAATTTGAAAAACACTGAATTACTTTCATAAATACATATTTCATTGAGTATTTAACACACTAAGAGCAGATAAATGGTGCTAATCCTAGCATAAATTTAGCAGTCAAGCATCTATCACACCCAGATTACTTGAATGTCACTATAAATGACACTAGTCCTTCCTGCCACAATGCACTTTAGCTTCTTTTGATGCAGCCATAACAAAAACAATCTCTTAGGATAATCTGTTTTATTATCACTTTATAAAAATGATTTAGGTTATTAAATATTAATAATCTCAATAATTTTATGAAAAATGGCTTAAATATACTTTGATTCAAATTGAATAAGCATGGTTCTAATTTGCATGACCTTTTAACAATATTCAGATCACGTTTTATACTTTGTGGTATTTTAAACAAACTTAAACTTCTTAACTATAAAAATAACTTAACGTGTAGATTTTTTTAACTCCTAAAATGGAAATGGGAAGTGTCAAATTCTCTCCCAATTAGGCACCTGTTCTTGAGGACATTTTTATTCCTGATATCATAGTTGTGATTACTCTATAAATTAGAATAAAAAAACAGAATAGAAAGGGTACAGATCCAATAGTATATCATTATACCAATCCACTTTTAATTAAGAGAGACAGCCACTATTTTGATAGGTAATTTCTAATAAAAGAAAAATAGCTCAATGTTTAATGAGAAATAATTTTAAGAGATCCTGTTTTACTGAAAAATTATTTTAAACTAGGAAGAAACATTCAATATAATTTTACTTACGTTAAATGCACATTTTCTTTTCCAAACTCGATTTCCTCAAGTGAGATCAAATACATTAAGTCATGTATCAGGTCAGCAAATGGTCAAGGCACAGTTCGTGCATGTACTGTACATTCCTGCATTCTTGATTGCTAATATGAGTGTGAATAAGTTTAAAGTTGTGTGTAATGTGCATATTTTTCTTTGAATAAGAACACAGTGGTACAAACAAAAGGCAGTACAGTCATGTCTCTCCTTGATGGAGATATATTCTGAAAAATTCATTGTTAGGAGAGTTTGTCAATGTGGGAACATCATAGAATGTACTTACTCAAACCTAGATGGTATAGCCTACTACACACCTAGGCTATATGGTATAGCTTATTGCTTCCAGGCTACAAGCCTATACAGCATGAACTCTACTGAATCCTGTAGGCAATTGTAACACAGTGGTAAGTACTTATGTATCTAAACATAGAAAAGGTACAGAAAACATATAGTATTATAATCTTATGGGATCATTGTTGTATAGGTGGGCTCTCATTGACCAAATCATCTAATGAGGCACGTGGTGTATATAAAGTTGTATCTTAACGGTCTTTAAAATTTTGATCTACAGCATCCAAGGAGCAATTAAGTTACTAACAAAAAGCGATCTTATATAAAACTTTATTTTAAATTTAAAAATGCTTAAACTCTCAATATCTGCTTTCATGGGTCAGAAAACTGACCCCTCACTCCCTCATAAAAAAATGAATACTGGCCAGGCGTGGTGGCTCACACCTGTAATCCCAGCACTTTGGGAAGGCAAGGTGGGTGGATTGCTTGAGCTCAGGAGTTCAAGAATGCCGTGGGCAATATGGAAAAACCCTTTCTCTACTAAAAAGACAAAAATTAGCCAGATGTGGTAGCTTATACCTGTAGTCCCAGCTACTTGGGAGGCTGAGGTGGAAGGATGCCTTGAGCCCAGGAGGCAGAGGTTGCAGTGAGCCAGGATTGGGCCACTGCACTCCAGCTTGACCCTGTATTAAAAAAGAAAGAAAGAAAGAAAGAAAATGACGAGAATACTTAACTGAGACCCTTTGAGTTAAACTGACTTTAATAAGGTCCTATTAAATTCAGTTGTAGCCAGGACTAGAAAGAATCCAGAGTCATTTGCCTTATCCAAAGGATTTTCCTATAATCACTATGCTGAATATGATATTTTGAATAGATAGAAAAATGCTCACTTTAATAAAACTTGAAAAACGTGCATTATGATGTGTTTTAAAGTACAGGAGTAAACTGGAGGGGACATCAAACATTCATGGGTTTATTTCTATGAGGTAATGTCTCTTGGCACACTTATTATAGACTTTTTTTGAAACAGCTGATAAATCTTCCAGTTCTTATGAACCTCACCTAAATCTTCTACATTGAAAGCAAATGAATGACCAATGAATATACAGTAATCATATTTTTAGATGCTTTTAGTTTTTTGGTGGCATACACCAATGCACAATGGATTACTGTGTAAATTAATGCAGAAGTCATTTAAAGGTAGAACAGATAATAAAGTGGTAAAGAGTGAAGTAAAAGAGAATATAGGTCTGTATGAAACATTGTCATGGCAATGCAACAAAAGGACAATAGAATAAGCTAAACCCACTTTCACTAAGCTCATACAAAATTTTGTCACCAGACAAAGGCAGTGTTACAGACAAAAATTCAGGCTTAAATTAGACAATCACCATCCACCTCTGTGACAAGGCTTAAAGCTTATTTAATAAATTTGCAATGAAATATTTATAAATGGATACGATTCTAATTAACTGAGAGACATTTTACAAAGGAAAACTAATAACAAGGCTTCTGGACCACACTTTTTCCATTCAACACTAAAATAAAATTATATAGAGCCCATTTTTATTTGGGAGAAAAAATAATAGATGTTCAGCAATACCATAACTGACATAGTCTAATGAGGAAAATGACCCACAACCTTTTTCTTTAATCAAAATAATTGGTATGTTATTTTAGGCTTCCTGGAACCAGACTCAAAAACACTTAACTTCTGTCTTCAAAACACAGTGTGTGAGGAAGAAATGGTTTTAGAGACTAGAAATGGAATTGGAAAAATATGATACAGCTTTTCACCATAATATCACCAGTTAACTATGACCAGATCACACTAAACAAATTTTGCCCCATCTAATTACAGTGCTTGTTAAATAGAAACCAGACTATACAGAAAAAAATTTAAATATAGAAAAAAGTTTTAAATTAGCCAGGCGTGGTGGCAGGCACCTGTAATCCCAGCTACGCGGGAGGCTGAGGTATGAGAATTGCTTGAACCCAGGAGGTGGAGGTTGCAGTGAGCTAAGATTGTGCCATGGGTGAAAGAGCGAGACCCCATCTAAAAAAAAAAAAAAAAAAAAAAAGAAAAAAGAAAAAAGTTTTGTTTGTGTTAGTCCCAGTAAGAAAGAGTTGTTCTCACAGAAGTAAAACTGTGATTGAACATTTTGCAAATAAAATTAGGGAAGAACAAATATTGCAGTCTCCTTACTGAGAAGATTGCATCACTTTTCCTGGTTTGATGTCTTCCACAGGCACTAAGAAATCAGATCCTATTTCTGAGCTTTTGGCTGCTAAGGTCTCAGCACCACTGTGAGTGACCCTATTGGTCAGGATGGAATATAATCACTTGCTATCTCTTCCCCAATGTTTCCTCATCCACCACCAAGAACCATTCATGCATCCCTTGCCCAGAATTCTCTGGCCTCTTCAATTCATGTCGTGTTTTCCTGTCTTGTCAGGGAAATTGACAAAAACAAATTTTTTTTAAAAATTAATAAGTGATTTGCGGTGATGAGTAAGAGTGAATGCAATGTGTGCATACTCTTTTGCCAGGAATACTTCTCAGAGGAGGTGATTTTGATAAGAAATCTGAATAAAGGGAAGAAGAGAGTCATATGAATATCTGCAGGGAAACAGTCTACACAGAAACAATATTAAATCCAAGGACTCTGAGGCCTGAGCATGTCTAGTGTAGCTAAGGAACATTAAGGAGCCCAGCATGGCTGAGTTGAAATAAACAAGTGAAAAGGAAGTAGGAGAAATCAAAGGAATAACAGGAATTGGAAAAGGGAAATTTGTAACAGCAAGTTATACTTTCATATAGGCTATTGTGAAGAATTTGGATTAGATTCTGCATGTCAAAGGAAGTCCCTGGAAGATTTTTAAGGAGAGAAGTGGCATTATATTACTTTTCCATAAAGGAGTCTCTCAGTTCTACACGGAGAAAATATAATAGATGAAGCAAGTGTGAATCAGAGATCAGTCAGGAGGTTGCATTAGGCCAGATGAGAGAGATGATGATGGCTGGGGATACTGATAGAAATGGGAAGACGTGGTAGAAATCCCAACATAGTTTGAAAACAGAGAAAAGATTTATTGCTGGGAGTCAGATATTTGAGAAGTTTGTGGAAAACCATTCTTCTATTAAGTTTCGGAGCTGAAATTAAAGCTGTTTCCCTGACCTGAGGCCTATGATTCAGTGGTTTCCAACCCAGGATGATCATTATCATCACATAGCAATATTTATGAATCATCAATTTCTAAGCTCTGGCTCAGTCCTATAGAATCATAGTATGTGGCAAAGGGGGTTGGGAAACTTTTTTTCCTAATATTCAACCATGTTTGCCACCCACCTCATAAACCATGCATTGATAAGTACGATGAATGTGTGTATAGGTATAGCCTTAGCATTGTAGAAAAATTACTGACTGTGTTTGGGGAGCGTGCAGAAAATTCCTGTGTCAGAAACTGTTTCACAAAAGGAAAATGTAAGCAGGGCTTTGAAGCACAAATTGTAGTTTCTCAGTGAAGAATAGATCTAAAGAAGTATATTTCAGATGGAAATTACAGAAAGAATAACCTTAAACTCTGAATGGGGCCATTTTCTCTTTGAGCCTGGAACGAAGAAGAGAAAAATGAATGTAGGAAAAAAAATACATTTGTTTATAAAGATAGGTATTAAAGCAAGTTTAAATCTGCTGGCCTCAAATCTCTCTGTAAAATAGGATATGAGGTTCTTGACAATGAAGATTATAATGGATATTGGGTAAGATATTTGAACAGAGAAGTTTTTGAGTCATGGCAGAGCAGAAATGAGAAAGTGACCAAAAAAAGAAAGAACCCAGATGAAATTTCTGAGAATACATTGTAGTATAAATATATACGATAAATTAGATATTCATCTAGCCAGCTGTGTGATTTTCTCTGTTGTACTCAGCAGCCTGGCATATGAAGAAGCAGTATTGAGAATTGATCCAAATTTAAGAATTTGTGGGTTTTAGAAGTGAAACATTCTAGGTAAAAACTAATTTAATTCTATGTAAAAACAATTAAATAAATTGCTTAAGCAATTTATTATCTGCACAAATGATCTAAACCTCAATTTATGCCATGAGGATTAAATTAATAAACCAATTGGATTATTGTTGGTAAATGGTAGAAATCTAGAACTGGCAACCATTATTACTACTGTTGACGCTATGAAAGGATGTTAAGTGGAATAAAGATAAATTTTCAGAGTTCAGAAGAAGACCAAAAATTGTGAAGATAGATTTTTGAATGTTTTTATTTAGAATCCTTGATATACCCAAAATAATAGCAGGGAGCGTCATTGGTGAATTTGGAAAATTGACATGAAAAAACGCTAACCTATATTTGTATCTTTCCAACCTATTGGGACCATTTTACATCACGATCCTGCCACCTAAATAATGTGTTTGCTAGAACTCCTGGCTTTGAGTCATTCATAGTTTCCTTTGATTTACATTTTGTATGAGTGCAGTGATCTCATGTAAGACCTTCTCCTTTGGGTTTTAATTCGCAAGGATGAAGGATCAAACAAGGGCGGTTGTTAAAAACATTTTTGTTTGTTTTGTTTGTTCCCACACAGGCTATTTCCCTTCCCCTACCTCCTATTCATTCTCTGGTGCATTTTCAGTAGGTCTCCTATCCCCACACTCCACCGAAACTGCTCTTTACAGAAGTCACTAGTGACTATGTAGCCAAATCCAAATGACCAATTGTAGTTCTCACTTTTTTGACCTTTCAACATTGACCAAGACAACCACTACTTCTTAAGACCCTTATTCTCACTCTCCAGGTTTTCCCCTGCAGCTCAGGCTTCTGTCAATTTCACACATTATAAATTCAGCAAACACTAAATGGTTACCTGGCAAATCCTTTCTATCCTTGGACTCCATAAATAATTATAAGAAACATGATTTATTCCTATGTATATGGCTATTTCTGTCCCTTTCAAGGTAGAGAAAATGTGAGTCTCAGTCTTGCTCCTCTTATGTGACCATTTTTAAGTTTTTCAGAGTATGTGTGGACCTTTCTTTCCATGCACTTTCTCCTTAAGGTGATCATCACCCAGGGATCATTAAGCATCATTTGCGGACTGACCTTCTCTAAATATATGTACCCAGATTGTCTGTTTCAAACTCTAGACTCATCAATCCAAAGGTGACTCACATGTAGGTTAAACCTGTGTTAGAAACAAACAAGCCAAACAAGCAAACAAATGAAACATATTTAAGGTTTTATGTCAAACCCATATTTTCTAACTTGAGTTTATGTTTCCAAGCTTGTTTTTAATCAGTTACACATTATAGATTTATAAAGTATAAATGACGTAATTCCATGAAGCATCTAGAATATAATACCTTTAAAACACAGACATAATCATTTGCTTAAAACCTGTAAATAGCTTCCCATTGCATGTAAGATAAAGTCTAAAGTCTAAACTCCACATGGACCCAGGGATTTCTCCACTACTTCCTTGAATTTTGGTTTGAATAGTTTCCTGTTGTACTCTTTTGAAAGGAGTGATGGCAGGAGATCTTCTATTTTATTTACCATTTTGTGGACATCACTCTCAAACTCTGTATAATATTTGATTACAACAATATTTATACTAAATTTGTTTTATGGATAAAACAAATTTTACAGTAAAATCTCCCACTCAAAGGGGGAAATTATATTAAATATTGTATATTTACAGTTTAAAATTGAACTCATTTTGGAATCTTCAAGCAAAATCACAAAATATTTAGTTTTGATTTGTTGAAACAGTGTAATTATAAAACGTCCAGTGAACATAGCTTTTCTTTCAAAATGGCAAAAAATGCATCCATTTGATTATAATAATCTATCCTGCCATTGGAATTTATTTTTGTAATATAATTTTTCCAATATTTAAAATTTGTTTTGTAATTAATGTAACACTTTTGAAATAGGCAATGATACTTCTCTGAAATGTTTGTATATTATAAACAACCATGAAATAGATCATTTTATTTTTGCTGCAGATTTCTGTTTTTGTAACAGGTAAGGTCTTAATACATTTTTTAAAATTAGTTTATAAAATTGTAAAATAATAGACTCCAAATATACTTTTGTGACCTTCAAAATTATTTTCCAAGGAGACTTTTAAAATCAACTTATTGCAAGTTAACTTTTCTTAAGTAAAAATATTTTTCCCAAAATAACACATTACTCTTGCCACAGTGGGACATTGTTAAGCTGTCAGTCATTGCCCACTGTATAACTAAAATTACATGTGAAAAATATTCATATTGTAATTTCATGTTTTTTTTCTTGAACAAAGAAAATCTGATTGATTGCAATCATTTACACAGCCAGACAAGAAGAATATTTTTAAAAATTCAAATATTTCATTTCAGGCCTCTATCTACAAAGCTTTGAGAACTGAACTAAAATGAGAAATCCCGTACTTTTTCCAGATTGCATAAAGCAGCTGTGAATTCAGATTCAACACTTCATCTTTCATGTTGATGTGGATTCTTTTGATCCCCGGAAAGAAATATATTTATAATTTCCAAAAGAACTGTCTCAGAGGTAAGTGGTATCCAAATGTTCTGCAGAGATAAAAAAAGAAAATACAATGTCAGTGGTATTTGGCTGTAGATTGATGGTGCATTGCACAAGAATATAGAAACATCATTCCTGTAACACTTGTAACATTATGGTTTAGGGACTATTTAACCTTTAACACAAATCATTTTTATTTTCCCACTGGAATTTAAAGCACTTAATTTAGTTATATTGTATTTCTTTTTGTTTCCCCTTTTCCCTATACTATGCCCCTTGAAAATTTTGTCTTTGGCAAACTGTAAAAAAGAAAAGAGTAAGGAACGTGATTGCAAGACAAAACAAACTAGCAAAAGATGAAGAACCAATTTCCTCAGAAGATACATTCTAATGTAAATGAACTTAAGTCCCTATCAAAAAAAGATTTTTAAAATTTAGAAATAAATTGACTTTATGTTTTTTCTGATGAGTTCTGCCAGATAAACTTAGAAATAAATAATAGCAAATAGACAGTACGAAAAATAAACACACTGGCGGCAGTAAGCTTTATTCTGGCATTTTCCCTATTCAATGTTGCAGAATTGTTTTATTAGAATTATTTGAAAGCACATCACTGATAGCATGTAAAAGAAAGCGGAAAACTGTACGTAATTCTGAAAATAAAGGAAAGTCTGGAAGATCATTTTATTTCAGAAATATTCTGTCATCAGTGACAAATTTTGAGTCTTCATGTTCTATATTTGATGGAGATGTGTACCTTCCTAAATATTCTTCAGATGTGTTTGCACATGGATTAGACTTAACATGTCTTTTCTTTCCACCCTGACAAAATAATAATGTAGTTGGTACACAGTGCTGAAGAGAAATGCAAAGAATAAAGTGTTGCGAGTTCTATTGGGACAATAAAAATGATTTGTATTAAAGGTTAAATAGTCCCTGAACTATAATGTTACAAGTTTTATGGGAACAATGTCTCTATATGCTAGTGCAATGCATCATCAGTTCACTTCCAAACACCATGACATTGTACCTTTCTATTTCTGTGGAACAGTACTTGAATAGCATTTGCCTCTAAATAGTTCCTTCTACATATAGGAGCAATGGATATATTATCTAAGAATGAAAGAAGGGATCATGACCCTAAATGGCACCATAGGTCATATACCATAAAGGTTAGTGATGCAGTGGTTATTGAGTGGCTATATTTTCTGTTTCTCCAATTTTTAAAGCAAGATAGTTCTTTCTGCAGATGGTGGGAATAGTTTGATTTAATATAAATTAAGATTTGAAATCATTAACTTTGTCTTTTTATAAAACATCCTTGAGATGTGGGAGTTTTTCAAAGCTTACTAATTAATTGTATTTAGGAGTCAGTTTTATAAAAGGATGTGTAGAATTGTCAATTATCTGTTGAAGTCAGGTTGTAGAGAAAGTCATTCAAGGAAACTCTAAATAAATAGTTTAATTAAACGAATGTTATATTCAAATGTGTTCCATACATTGAGAGAAGTCTAAGTGAATATTAAATCATTTCTACATATGAGAAATATTATAATCTCAGACTCGTTTAAATAATTATAAGAAATAGAACTTCATAACCTTTCTTTCCATGTGGCTGTGTCTTCTTCCAAATAAGTGTACATATCCTGACCTAGTAAATGGCAATTTTAGTGGAAAGTTGGCCCTTGCCTTTTATATACATTTCTCTTAGACTATGGTTTTAGCATAGCGTACAGGATCATATCTATATCATTTCAATGGAGCATAAATGATTAAAGATATAGATGTTCAACAAGCTAAGATATACGATATACATACATATGTACATATTGAAAATGCACATACATAAACACATTTGAAAATCAAAATTAACAAGTTTCTGACAGCACCATTAAAGCCCATTTCTGGGGACTTTAAAATACAGGATAGACATCTTATGTTTAGGATGAGTTAGATTTTCTCCAAATTTTTCTCTTGTCATTAGCCTAAGAGATACTGACTCAGACATCTTTAGAGCTAAAGACAAGTATTGCGTTAATGGATAAAGCATGTAATATAAATGAATGCAATTGATGAGCTGTAAACATTGTCAACTCTCAGAAAGATGTATGAACTGTTAGTACTGAAATATAAGTATATTGCCACAAGAGTAAGTATGTTATTGGAGATATTTAAAAGCTGAAATTGAAAACTCAAAAAATGAAAATAGAAATATCTTCCAACATTGTTAATTTCTTTGATTTGGAAAAATAAACCTGACATGTCCTACACCAAGATGCCAGCTCTTATGCATTGCATTATGGTGTGCTTTCACAGTATACAGAATTCTGTTTTCAATCTCTTAACTAGCAGCATTGCTTACTTTTATTCAGTTTATAACTGGAAAAAAATAGTCACAAAGCTACATTTACATTTAAGTTAAGTAAAAGTTACATTTAATTTTTGGAATTGGACTGTGCCAGCGTAAAGTATCTTCTGATTCTGGCTCTTGACTTACCTAGTCATATTATGTGATTTAACAATGTGAGGTCATTGTCAGAAAGTTTTAATCCTGAGACTTTTCTTAACATTTTATTTCTTAACTCTATGATATTAGACATGCCATTCATGCAATCCTATTAAGCTCCACAGGGTGATTTCTGCCAAGAAGTATTTGCCAGGTTAATCCTTGACCAAGGAGCTTACCAAAGGCATAATTTCATGAGAAATCAGGTAAGCAAGTCATACTTTCCAGTTACTACTTGTAACTGGAAAGTATCCTTTAAGGCATTGAGATGGCATCCTATAAGGCATTTAGATGATGAAAAGACTATCATTGATTCCGTCTTTGCTTGTGAGCTAAGATTAATTTTTTTATCTTAGATGAAATAAACACTACATTTTACATTTCAAAGAATCTGTTCAATATCAAGTGACAAATCATCCTTCTTCCAGAGAGTTCAGAAGATGATCATTGATGCTATGGGAATGTACACAAATGTCTGGCTTAATCATTGACACCAGCATGATTTCCAGCTTAACTTCTTAAGTAAAGTAATTCATGGCGAATGATGAGCTGAATGAGAGTAGCTATTCTGTCATTGCTAAACATTTCCAAATAGGATTTAAGAATCGTATTAAGTCCAAAATTAACTGAACATCTTCAAAACACTGCCTTTAGTCATTAATCTTGACAATTTTATGTTAAACACTCCGGCAATTATACAACACACTCATGTGCACGCACACACAAAATCATTTTATGAATTTGTCTTAGTCATACACCTCATGTTCACAAGTATCTTGAGACATCATAATTCCACTGATGATGTATCATAAATGTGTAAGACATCAGCAGAGAATAAAAACAGTAAAAATCAGTTACTTCTTTTTTTTTAACTTAATATGAACTTGGTGTATTCATCCATGTTTCCAAATTTCTGGGCAACAGTTATTTCAGTTACCCTTGTATTTGCCATGTGTTACTTTTCTATGTGCAATTTTTCTTCATTTAATAAGAACAGCTCTAAAAATTACCATTTAAAAAAGTATTGATGTATGACAATTCATTATTCATTTGTGATATAATTGCTTTTCAGAGCAGCAGTGCTTGTGCTTATTTGCATTTCAAAATAAACCCTCCTGAAATGTCAGCCTTTTCCTTTGAGTTCATTAAGTTTTTCATGATATATCTTTTTGAATGTAGTTCATCTCCGTTACTATGGTTTGTTTGAATTGGGGCTTTAAATTGCAGTCTTTTTACATAGATACACTATGTTTGCATATTAAACAGATAAGAATATTATTAAGTTCTATTAAATAATAGGGTCTTTTAATTTTCCATGAATGCTTATCCTTCTTGGTTTAACTTTTATAAGCTTCCTGTTAGAGACACACAGAAAAATAGTATCTACTTGAAAAAAATTTAAAGCACAATGACAAAAGAAATTGTCTTTTAAAAAAAATGAATAAATGATTTAATAGCCATTCAATTTCTATACATTATGAAAGACTCTTAAAATGCCTACTAAAAGAGTAATTAGCTACCATAGCTGAAATGACTATTTTAATAGATGTCTAGCATATTTTTCCACTTTGAATTTCACTAATTTAACCAATAATGCCTGAAAGAAACCAATATTCCATTTTTAATAGTTTTAATCCAGTTATCTTCATATTTAGAAATTGTAAGAAAAAAATTGCCTTATCCATGCACAGGCATCACCTTGTAATTAAAAAAAATAGGAATTTTTTATGTATAGCAAAGCATTTTTCAGTATTTTGATTTCTAATTGCTTCTACAAATAAACTGTGATAAAATGTGATTTAAAGAAAGGTCATCACCAAAGTTACCTTCAGTTTCTCCTATGTTGTCTTCTAGTTTTGTAGTTTTGCATTTTGCGTATATGTTTGTGATCCATTTTGAGTTGATGTTTGTGAAAGTGTAAGGTCTGTGTTTAGAACCTTTTTATTCTTTGCTTGTGGATGTTCAGTTGCTCCAGCACCATTTGTTGAAAAAATGATCTTTTTTTATTATACTTTAAGTTTTAGGGTACATGTGCACAATGTGCAGGTTTGTTACATATATATACATGTGCCATGTTGGTGTGCTGCACCCATTAACTCGTCATTTAACATTAGGTATATCTCCTAATGCTATCCCTCCTGCCCCCCACCCCACCCCACGACGGACCCCATGTGTGATGTTCCCCTTCCTGTGTCCATGTGATCTCATTGTTCAATTCCCACCTATGAGTGAGAACATGCGGTGTTTGGTTTTTTGTCCTTGTGATAGTTTGCTGAGCATGATGGTTTCCAGCTTCATCCATGTCCCTACAAAGGACATGAACTCATCATTTTTTATGGCTGCATAGTATTCCATGGTGTATATGTGCCACATTTTCTTAATCCAGTCTATCGTTGGACATTTGGGTTGGTTCCAAGTCTTTGCTATTGTGAATAGTGCCTCAATAAACATACGTGTGTGTGTGTCTTTATAGCAGCATGATTTATAATCCTTTGGGTATATACCCAGTAATGGGATGGCTGGGTCAAATGGTGTTTCTAGTTCTACATCCCTGAGGAATCGCCACACTGACTTCCACAATGGTTGAACTAGTTTACAGTCCCACCAACAGTGTAAAAGTGTTCCTATTTCTCCACATCCTCTCCAGCACCTGTTGTTTCCTGACTTTTTAATGATCACCATTCTAACTGGTGTGAGATGGTATCTCATTGTGGTTTTGATTTGCATTTCTCTGATGGCCAGTGATGATGAGCATTTTTTCATGTGTCTGTTGGCTGCATAAATGTCTTCTTTTGAGAAGTGTCTGTTCATATCCTTCACCCACTTGTTGATGGGGTTGGTTTTTTCTTGTAAATTTGTTTGAGTTCATTGTAGATTCTGGATATTAGCTCTTTGTCAGATGAGTAGATTGCAAAAATTTTCTCCCATTCTGTAGGTTGCCTGTTCACTCTGATGGTAGTTTCTTTTGCTGTGCAGAAGCTCTTCAGTTTAATTAGATCCCATTTGTCAACTTTGGCTTTTGTTGTCATTGCTTTTGGTGTTTTAGACATGAAGTCCTTGCCCATGCGTATGTCCTGAATGGTAATGCCTAGGATTTCTTCTAGGGTTTTTATGGTTTTAGGTCTAACATTTAAGTCTTTAATCCATCTTGAATTAATTTTTGTATAAGGTGTAAGGAAGGGATCCAGTGTCAGCTTTCTACATATGGCTAGCCAGTTTTCCCAGCACCATTTATTAAATAGGGAATCATTTCCCCATTTCTTGTTTTAGTCAGGTTTGTCAAAGATCAGATAGTTGTAGATATGTGGCATTATTTCTGAGGGCTCTGTTCTGTTCCATTGGTCTGTATCTCTGTTTTGCTACCAGTACCATTCTGTTTTGGTTACTGTAGCCTTGTAGCATAGTTTGAAGTCAGGTAGCATGATGCCTCCAGCTTTGTTCTTTTGGCTTAGGATTGACTTGGCAATGCAGGCTCTTTTTTGGTTCCATATGAACTTTAAAGTAGCCTTTAGAAATTTTCTTTAGTTTCAGTGTCAGAGAGAAGAGGCAAGAGGAAGTCATAGAAACTGACCAACTAGCAAGCAGCCAGTGATCGGCTCTAGATGATTATTACTGTGTGAGAATGTTGCCTTCTAATCTGTAGCTTTTCCAATTTTCCAGACGAACCTGGGAATTCAGATTTTGAACTAAAATCTCATGATTTTTGAGTGTTGGTTCAAAATTGTTTCAATTTCTGTAAATAAAGATAGGCATAATTAAGCCTATATCTGGTTTATTATTATATCCACAACTTTGACCATTAAGCTTCCCCAACAAACCTCCATCTTTTTCTAAAAGATGGAACCAAGATTCAGAAAATTGAGATTTGCCCAAATGTATAAACCATGATAATGAATATAAAACATAAATTATAATGCTAGGAGAAAATAGTGGGAGTCATTCTATTTAAAATACATCTAAAATTAATAACTTTATTGTGATTGAATTTTGAATCCACCTGCCAGTGAAAATTAAAGCCAAAGAAGTAAACTCTACCAAAATAACACAGATCACCATCTGTCTTAGATTATTTCACATTCAACCTAAATATAGGTTTAGACCAGATGATATCTGGATTTTTTTTTGTTACTTCGTTGTTAGAAATATAAAGGCAGAACTCCCAAAAACATTTTAAACCAAGTGCCTTATAGCAAAGTAAATTTTAAAATGCGCAATTACTCTATGGTTTTACATGGACATTAACAACTAATCTAGGACAAAATTTCTCCCTGACTAAACTCTCCTAACTGGGTCTTTGGACAGAGTCAGACACTATTCAACCTACTGTATAGCTTTACCCTCTGGCACTTTCTGGCGCTTAAACAGCAAGGCCAAAAGAATCTCATTAAAAATGAAATGACTTTGGTAAACGTTCAGTGTAGCCAGTGCCAGTGGGAAATAAATGTCTGTGGATTTTGCCAAACTAATAGAATGATTTGGTGAGCATATGAAAATATTATAAAAGGGTATTTCTTATCTCTCAGAAATATTTTCCCCAAGTGGTGTTACTTCTCTAGGCAAAAGTAAATATAATTATGTTTTAACATCAATATATGTTAAACTACACAAAGACAGAGAAGAAAAACCTATTGGACACCTTTAGGTTAATTAGTTTAAAATCTTTTATGCTAAATACAAATGAAGCTTATAGCACTTCAATATTGCTTCATCCTCAGCATATAATATTAAAACAAACATTCTAAGATTAAGCATTAAGATAATGCTCTTAAATTGCCTTATATCATTAATTGATACTCAATAAATTCATGCTGCTCTATCCTGAAATTGAACATCTTAGAAGTACAACAGCAAATTTCAGCATTATTCTTTCTTCCTAAATATACTAAGTTAACATTACCTTATAATTTGTTTGGTGTAAAAGGAGACCATGCAGCATAAAGAACTTGATTTCTTACAGTGTCTCCAAAATTCATGGAAATGTTTCCAAGCATGAATTCTCCGTAAAACAATATGCACAATGAATGTACATGTGTACGCTATGAGAAGCAAAGATGAGCAGTTACAGAGTTCATGACAAACTACACAACATGTAGGCCCGAGGCATGAAGTTTCTAATAAAATTGGATTTTTGTCTTTGAAAAATATCTATCTTACTGTAAACATCATTCATTACAGATACTTATAAAGATCTGGGCACGTAGAATATTTATGACAGATCGTGAAGATCTGTGAGGAGGAGAATGGAGATCTTTCTTTGTAAACTGTCCTCCTGAGCTCCCATACTGAAACTCCTCTTTTTCCAATGACCATTCTGAGGCTGACTTCCTGGCTGAATTCAGCAAATGTTTATTGAGTTCCCATAAAGTACAGGTGCTCTTTTAGTTACTGTGCATAGAGCAATGAACAAAACAGACCAACTTCCTGTCCATGTGGGCCAACATTCCAGTGGGGAAAGGCAGATAATAAACAGGAGAATGGGTTAATATATTAAAATTGCACAGCAGTAAGTGCTACATCAAAAAATTAAACTCAGAAGAAGTATTGAATGGGCTGGCATTGATATTTGAAAACATAGGCTAAAATTTTATTAATATCATGAATCCTTAAAGTATAAATATTTGCATTTGTGTACTTTCTCCACTCTCACTCTTTTAATCTCTGTAATTGGCCTTAATTTTTTGTAAAGATAATGTAAAGATGAGGGAAAAATACCTTGAAGAAAGCAAGCCTAGAGTATCTGGTTTTAGAGTCCACGCTTAAGCATGCTCCAGTTTACTTTGTGTGCACAACAGAAAGGGAAAACTGCTGCCCTCGTATAATCTCTCTCTGTGGGTTTTCATTCTAATAAAACATGTATTTTCATTTAGTAGACACATTATGGTTGGGGGATGTTCATACTCCTATTTTCCTGCCACAAAATAGTGAAGTACCCCATCAGTCGTCCAGTTGGCGTGGGTTCCTAAGAATGCTTTTTCAAAGTGCGGGTTGAGATCTGAGGCTCTATCTATTAGTCAAGTGGAAAGAATCCTCTAGAGTTAAATTATCCTCGTCCTCACTACTAAACAGACTGATTAAAGTGATTTTTCAGTTGGATAGTGCAACTGGGCTCTTTAGAGAATATTAACACACAAAGTGGGGAGGCTGAGCAATATTTCTTGTGAAATATAGCATGTGAAATGGTACACGTGCAATGCTGGTAAAAACAATTTCCTTAATAATATATACATTAAATACAAATATGTAGGATGCGTTAAAATCTATAGATTAGATTTACTAGATTTATATTTTAACTAATTCAATTCTGAATTTTGTAGGACTATGAGCTAATTCTTTCACTTTTACTTCATGGTTTGGTCCTCAGCTAGGCCCATGTTAATTATGTTCTAGCATTTTTTAAATTTTGTATGTCATATTTCAAGGAAGAAGGTATAAATTTATTTTTCATCAGAAAAAATACTAGCTTTTTTAAAAAAATTAAGGGCACTTAAAATTTTTAACCAATACATTTCTAACAATTTATGCAAAAATGAAAAGAAAAATGATATGAGCAAAAAACATGTGAATTCCTATGTTGAAACAATCTCTAGCCAGAATTCATAAAGATTTAGAGACTCAAGGATAGCAGAATGCAGTCCATAGATCTACAGAGTAAATCCGTGTGTGTGAGTGGCAGGTGTTGGGGGGTGGAGGGGAGGGCACGCGTAAGCCAGGGCAATTGGTGAATAACGCCTCATGAAAGCAAAAAAATATATATTTCCAGGTTTTTATTATTATGAAATTACATAACTGTAGTAGGCAGGGATATAAAAGATTAATCAGCCACACCAATTAATGCTCATTGTTTTCGATAAATTCTCACATAAGAACAGAAGGAAGATGTGTATAATAATACTTTTATCTTGAAGATTTACAGCACTTTTTATTGAAAAGTAATAAATATGTATCAGAAAAATATCAGGTGGAAAAGAAGACAAGAGAAATAGCTAAGGAAGACTGAATATATTTATATCATTTGAAAACAAACATATAAATTTTTGTGAATTAATTTTAACACATCGCAATTCTCACATTAGTGACGTCACCATTTTATCTTTGCTCCCCCATCAATGTAAACTGAGAGAAAACTGATAAAATTTTTATTCAGTGTTCACTGATGCTACTATACAGTTTCATTACTAGTCACTGAGGAGACTATTGCATCAAAGTTGCAGCTGAACATGCCCTGACACTAGAGCTAAAATTCAATTGCTTAAAAGCCAGTTGGATAAAAGTTGTGTTAGAGAAAGGCTTTATTTAGGGAAAAGGTATTAGGAAAGGCAAGAGAGATGGTGGGAGCAGAAATAATCACCTGAACATTGCTCAAGATTTATTTAAGGATCATCGATTTTTTTTTTTTTAAGGAACTCAAGACTGTAGCAATTACATCAGAAGACAGACCCACAAAGAGTGAACATTTCTGATCATCACAGTCCATAACAAATTAAAGGACTAATTTTATGCTGACCCTAAGGAAACCAATACATCAATTAGACAAAGTGGTTTCCTGGAGCAAATCTTCTCAATGTACTTTTTTTATTTCAGCAAGCTTGCAGGGCCCTATATTTATGTTTATCTAACCATGAGTCCTGGAAAGAGCAATTACGAATTCTATGGCTGGTCCTTTCTGAATGTACTCATTGACTCCTTTGTCTGAAGGCAAAATGGTTATTTATTGATTCTTTTATTCATCCATATTGCTGATAAAATTAAGCAGTGATTAATCTGCTTGGTCAAGTAGGTATCATGCTAAGTAATAAACATACTAATGTAAGTGAAAAAACTCTAGATACTACCTTCTAATAGGAAAGATAGGCAAATATTGATAGTATATTTTTAGAATGAAAAGGGTTAGACTTGCAATATAAATATACAAAGTGTGATGGGAACACCAGTTTGAATGCCTGATCCTATTATTTGTTTATTTTTGATAGAGCGTAGTGCCTCAGGAACATGGGCTCAGATCTATTTGTTTCTTCAAATCCATTTGATTTTCTACCTGTGAGGCCCAGACTGTAAGGAGAGTATTAGTACAACCGTATGAAAAGTGAGGAGAGGAATGCAATGTAAAAAAAAAAAAAGGAAGGGAAAAGAAGGGAAGGAAAAGAAAGGCAAGTAGTAATGAAAGGAAGGGAGAGGGAAGGAAAAGAGCAGGGTTGAAGAGAGGGAGAAAGAAAAGAAGGAAATAAATATAGATGCAACAGGTCTTCTAGGCAAAGGATTCTCAATGCTCTTCTTAAAATAATGATTACATGCTTGATGTCTACCAGGAATAAATATCATCTTATTACCAAAGCCCTTTTGGTAGACTTTTGGAAAAGGTAAACACTCATAATTTGCTTTCTTCTAGAAATTATGAGAGCAAATAAAAAGAAATTTTCAAAAGTAAAAATAATCTTATAAATTGATTAATCATGTGGAAGGCAAAATAGAACCATTGTTTACTTGATTCGTTTACTCATTTATATTGCTAATAAAAATTAATCAAGCAATGATTAATCGCTTGGTCAACAATCTGGAAAGGTGGGGGCATTCAATGTCCCTAATAATGTGTCAGGGTAAAATAAATTGACCCAGGTATAACTATCAGATATTCTATGTAGACAAGTACCCAATCTGAGTTTTGGAGTATGGATAAAGCTGTACTTCTCTACCCAGACAGGCATAAATGAAGTGCAGAGTTAAACCATTATCCAGTAAATTTGATGAACTAAAAAAAGCAACCTAAAAAATTCTACATTTTTTTTAGAGTTGTGGAGTATCCATAAAGCTGTACATCTTTGTACCCAGACAGGCGTAATGAAGTGCAGAGTTAAACAGTTATTCAGTAAATTTGATGGATTAAAGAGCAATCTACAAAATTCTACATTTTATTTTTTAATGAATTTTATTCATATAGGTCCAACAGTCTTTATTAGAGAGACTCAATAGTATCTCTACATCTGTATCTGTAGGTTATACTAAGGTGATCTTTAGAAATTACCGACTTGTAGACAGGGAGAAAAGTAACTATTTAGAATGTGTTCAGATCTCAAACTCTATTTTCACTTTGCCCTCCATATAGAAATGCTTTGAGTAAATATTTGCCCTTCTGAGTTACCAAGTTAATTATTTTTATAATGATCCAACTTCATTTTAATATCAAAGGTTTCTAAGCATCATATATTATAAAGTGGAGCACATCAGGTAGCTATTCAACTTTACAGCCTCTAATCCAACTGCAACTTTTGGCTATCCATTTCCACTATCTTTATAGCCTCCCTAAACTTAATTTATAGTCTTTTTCAAGGTTTCTTCAGGTGCTTCAGAGAGCTTTGACATCTAATCGGTTTTCCTTTTGAGAACGTGACTCTGCAGTCTCGGGGGATGGACATATTAGAGGTATTCAGGTCAACTGGTAGTTACGCTTGCCTTAATAATATTATATACCCAGAGAACTCCCATAAAACTTTTAGATTCTTGGTTTTATTTCTCCCTTCAGTGTTTTCTGACCCCTCCTCCAAGTCTATAATTTTATATTAGAAAAAAAGAATATGAGCTAGACAACCTGAACCAGAAATTTTTTAAAGTTAGCTTTCTTTTTAGAAAATACGAATTTGTCACGTAGTAACAATTTTACTAAACGCCATAATGGGCAGAATTAACATGTCTATCATTCCCTGTTATAAACGTTAATACTTGAATCTTAATTCTCAACTGCAAGATTCTATTAAAATGTTTTAAATGGAGTATTAAAAAACATCTCTAAAGTATGTTATTAAATTGCTTGCATCATTTTCAATTTCTACAAACTTTACAATGGAAAAAGATCCTTTGCCTATATTAGCAGACTTTTATTATCCAAAAGCCAGAGAATTTTAAAACATATAGAAGCATTGATTTGGGTTTTAGCTTTTGCTTCCATAGTACTCATGTCACCAAGAAAATTAATCTGGTGGCCTCTGACTAAATACATCACAGAACGAAGTGATTGGTAACTTCTCACAAAAGTAGCTGAAAAGTAAATAATAAAGGTCTTAACGTCAAAATGGAAATGCTTTCCAGATCATTCACATATTGTGTTTTCATATAGGCAGGATTCATACTGAGTTTTGAATATCCCATTGTCAAAATCAACTGACCAACCATTTTTCTAAACATGCTTGTGTCTTTAATTGCACTTAGTCTATAATCTTACCATAATCCAACAATAGGAAATTTAGTAAGACAAGAACAGAATCTTGGAATGTCGTTGGGGCTTTTGATTTTTTTTTTTCTCCTATTTGCAGGGTAAAAGAATACTGCAGCTAATCCAAGGAGAAAAATAAGTGTGATCTCAAGGGAATGCATTTTATTGATTATAGCAAAGAAGGGGGAGTAAGTTCAATTGGCTCTCACTACTTAGTCTTGACATAGATGCAACTTTGCTGAGAAGAAAATGAGTATGAGGTAATGCCATCATAAATAATTGCTTAAATCATCCCGGCACTATGGAAGCAGAAATTTTGTAAAGGGAGAAGGGGAAAGCACTGTAAATGTAAAAGCATGGTAAAGACAAGCTCTTAAGATAATTGAGGATTTTTCATTGAGTAGTAGCTTTACACAATATATGGCTTTAAATCCAAATTTGGAGTATCCTCTAGTTAATAACTGCAGATCAAAGCAGATTTTACATTTTTTTTTTACTACTAGCTTTAGTTACTACAAAAAGAATCAAAGGGGTTAATGGATTATATACAATTAAATAGCCTCCCATCCAATATTGTACAGTGACACAAGTAGGAAATCATGTTTGTTACAAATAGCCGAAAAGCTTTTAAATATATTTCTCCTACAAATATTGAAATCAATATCAACCTCTCTATTTAAAAAAGAAAAATCCAACAATGGATTTCATGAAGAACATTAAGATGTACAGTGGTCTAGTATAATTTCCAGGACTTATTCTTGCCTTTTGGGGGAAAGCTAATATTAAAGATGGAATGGAAAATGAAATGTCATAGGATGTACTCTGTGTCTATTTTTCCAAAATACTTGCTCACATCAGTAAAACTTCTACTGTGATTAAACCTAACTCAGCGTTTTCAAAGATTTTACTTCTTTTTAACTTGTAATTTAACAAAATGAACTATTAGATAATAATAGAAGTCAGGTACCCTGCTAAATGATTTACATCTATCATTTCTTTTAATCTTATGAAAAAAAAAACAGAGTAAGTATTATCATCTCTACTTTCTGGGGAGAGTAACCATAGCATGGAGAGGTTAAGCAGTTTGCATTAGCTCCCACAATCAGTAAATTGGAGGCAGCCATCACAAGGAAGTCAGCTTTGCTGGAGGCTCAAAATAGGGCCTTAGAGGAAGAAGCTCAGGATGGGATCTTTGGTGCCATCCGCCACCTGTATGACTTTTCTGATAAATGTGTTAACCTAGCTGTGTCTAAATTTCCTCTTCAGTAAATTGGAATAATAACCTCAAAGTATAGTTATGGGTATTAAATGTGTTAATATTGCTAAGACACTACAATACAGAGTGTTTGGTAAACAAATAAAAGGTCTAACTTTTCAAAATGAGATTTTCCTTTGTATCTAACAACACTATCCCATTACTAGATTCCTAGAGAGGTTTGTTTCTGTTAGATATGTCATCCATTAAATATGTATAGGAAGCAATTTGGAAAATTATGCCATGTGCAAAATTGGTCAATCTTTGGTGAAATGGAGCTTAGCTGAGAAATAGTCAACATAACTCATGAAAATAATTTTTTAAAAAATGGTTTTAATGCCTGAACCTGACAGGCCATCAACTATAAAGATACCTAACAAAGAAAGCCTGTTTGTTGTTGTTTTTTTTAAAGCAAGAAATAGTACTTTGGAATTTACTTAAGAAACTGCAAAAGTACCTATAAAATCCCTCATGAGAATGATTCTATTTAATAGATTATTAGTTCAAGTAATTCTTATTCAAAATATGATTTTCCACCAAAGATTACCAATAGTAGTTTCCATAGCTCCACTAACAATGTTTTTCAAAATGTTATATTTTGAATGAATGTTAATCTGACATTTATATAATGTCTTTTATTTGCAAATAGGACCTTATGCTTAAAAAAACTGAGAAAGGAAACCTAAGAATTATTCCAACCAAACATAGACATAAAATAAGATTGTTAAATGCAATCTACAAAAAATATTGCCATTAAATTAGATCTTTTCAAGTGTTTGTCCAGCAATGTATTTGGTGGCATTATGTAGTAACTACATTTTTCACTGTATAGTTAAAAAGCAAGAATACTTTACATAATACAAGTCTTTACAACATAGAAAGACTAAAGCTTAGGTCTTATTTTAATTCTCCAATTCTAGCCTAAGAAATGAGACTTTTAGTAATCCGTTTGATATTTTTCAATTTCCTTTGTCCATAGGTATAAATTTTATTAAATTACTTGTGCTAGGAATTCCCTTTTACATTTAATCATAGATTGGCATAGGAAGCAGTGCATCTTGTAAATATTTAAGAACATGAAATGAGAATGAACTTCTTACTTAATAGTGTTTCCACCAAGTAATAAAAGTATGATATATTGATAAATATAATGTACTAAGAAGATTACAGATATATTTCATTTTACTCAATAGATGCCTAAAAAGTTGTGTATAAATCACATCTTTTTCAAATTGAACCATAATATAAATAAAATGGAAGAATGTGCAGAGAACTCTGCTGTGCCCCTAACCTCCCTTTTTCTTTCTTAAAGAAAAAGGCAGGTGTTCCCTGGAGGACTCGCTGGTTCCTCTAGGTGAGAGAAGCACCAAAGCACACAGATAAAGAGCAGGGAACTTCAACCCAGTGCCTAAATGGAGAACGGTAAACTGATAGCTAGAGGATCACTGATCAAAAAGAACAGAAACTACTGTGCCCCCTGCCCCTCACAGGATTTCAGCCACTCAATAAATCCCAGTAGCAGAACTAGAGAAAAGTGAGGAGTTCAAGAAGACTGACAGACCTAAATGCACATAACCTGGACAGGAAAAGCAAGTGAAATACACAGAGCTGACAGAATCTAATGAAAAATAGTAAGAATAGACACTATTTGAACACCACTGCAATAACAACACAAAGAGGCCTCAGAAGGAATTTCAAGCTCAATACACACACACACTTTCTCTATCCCTCTTTTATTTCTAATTCTTAATAGTATTTATGAACTTAATTTTACAAAGAAGTATTGGAAAATTTGAAAAAAAAAAAAAGAAAAAAGACTAAGCTACTAAAAAGGCCTACAAATCAAACTAACCATGGCTTATTCACACCGAGTAAAAAGAAAATGTTAGAACAATATAATGTCTACAGACTAAGAAGAGGTAAGGACTCTAGGTTGCAAGTAGAGCTTCAAGTCAAATATCATTGTTATCAGGGAGGAAAAAAGATGCTTTTGGAAATACAAGGATTTGAAATATATCACTCATATGCCAAATGTAAGAAAAATATTCCAGGAATAATTATAAACAAAGCAGTAAATCCCAACCTATACGGGAAAATGAGAAGATAGTGAAGAGTGGTAAATTATTAAACTTTGAGTTGTTTATGGATATATAGAATAAATGACGATGTATAGCTTAAATATTACATAGAGATTTATGAAGAAATATACTCTAGGTTAAAAATGTAATAATTGCATGAAGTAAAAGTAAAAGCCATCTAAGATGTAGGAGCTTAAGTGGCTTTGAGATTATAGAAGTCATAGCAAAAGTGTCTTAAAAGTCTCACTGGAGGAGACAGGGAGCAGGGGAATAGAAGCATCTGGCACGTCCTATCTTATTAAGAGGGATAGAAAGAGAAAAAGTGGGGGTTAGAGAATTTTATATGATAATAGAGAAATATATGTTCATTTGTAAGTACTATGAAAAAGAAGTTACCTCTAATATAATGAAAGAATTCTTGAGAAATTTCAAATTAAAAAAGGACAACTCTATACCTGAAAAACAAGGAAGTCATGGAAAATTAAAAGAAAAAACTACAATAAACAGTAAACAAAAATATGATGAAAATGTCTAGTACTGTTATGCTAAATGGAAACGGTTATTCTATTACCAGAAAGAAGCCCTATTACAAGAAAGAAAGAACACTAAAATAAAGCATGAAAATTCTAAGTTATGTTCTTCAGTTCAAGAAGAAAACAAATCAAGATTGGAAATATTATCAGTCACAGTGGGATTTAATATTAAAACCATTAAGCAAAATAACACTCTAAAATTAACCTCTGGATCAATGCAAATGGGTCACCATGAAAGTTATAGCCAAGGGAAATTTTTTAACCTTAACGTTTTCATTATTTAGAGTGCTAAGAAGGGTAGTATATAGTGTTAAAATTCACAATTTAGGAAAGAGATTAAGTCAAAACCCTTTATGTGTCAAATAACAATAACTCTATAAAAAAACTATTCAAAGTGTGAATATACATTGACAAAATTATACTGGGAAATCTCAATAGGTATTTTTCAAAATTATATGATCAAGAGTTAAATAAGTAAGATAATGAAGAATTTAAGGACTATAACCAGTGAATTATTTTAATAGATTAATTCTTCAAATTGAGAATATATTTACACATCCATAAAACAAAATAAAAGCTAATTATGCATCTGTATACAATCTCTGATATTATTTAAATACATATGAATAAACGATGTCCTACATATTTAACCTAAATGGAACTTAAATTTTCACATCTAAAGTAGCCTTTATATAAAAACCAATGCATCGGTGAAATCTTTACCTTAAAAGAAGCATTTACTCTTGAATATTTTTATTATAAAAGGAAAAAGTACAAAGAAGAATTTATGAATTATATTAAGAATTGGAAAATGCATACTAAAATAAAAAAGAAGAGGTAAATACTAATAAAAATCTTAATAGACAAAATAGAAGACAGAAAAGGATTATATAAATTAATTCAGAAAACATTGAAAACAAAAACACCAAAAGCATGTGTATGGGAAAGAGAAACTTTTGGGAATTTAAAGAAAAAGAATGAGGGCCAGCAATATTATTTAACTTGATTTATCCATTCCCCAATGTATACATATATCAAAACGTGTACATCATATTTTTTTCAGGAAAAAAATAAGGTGGCTCACGCCTATAATACTAACACTCTGGGAGGCCGAGGTGGGAGAATTTCCTGAAGGCAGGAGTTTGAGACCAGCCAGGGCTATAAAGTGAGACCCTGGCTCTCAAAAAAAAAAAACAAAAAAACAAAAAAAACAATTAGCAGAACACGGAACATGGGTGTGCATACCTTTAGTCCCGACTACTCAGGAAGCTGAGATAGGAGGATCCCTTGAGCCCAGGAGTTCAAGGCTGCAGTGAACTATCATTGATTACACCACTATGCTCCAGCCTGAGTGACAGAAGAGAGATCCCATCTCTAAAAATAAAAGAAAAAAAAATAGAAAAGAAAAAGTAGACATGAGTTTAGGAAAGAGCACCTCCAAAGAAAGACAGGAGATAATTATTTGTCCAACTGTGGCAGAGCTTGGGAGGAAAGCAGAGGTGCCTGGTAAACAGGTAAAAATAGTTAAATTTTTGAATATGCTGTTAAAGGCCGGGAAAGCCTGAGACTGTAAACCCATGGGAAGTTTACATCCACAGACATGTTCTTCTTCAGAGATCTTTAATCAAAACTCACAAGAAAAATTAGGAAGAGGGCAAGAAATCGGAACAGCCAGAAATTGGGAAAAATTAGATGAGAAATAGATAGGTCTGAAGTCATGGTGGGAGAATTTTCTCATTTCTCTCAGTAACAAAAAGAAAAAAAATCATAAGAATACAGATCTGTAAATAACACGATTTAAAAATTTGACTTAAGTAGACCTAATAGTCATTGCCTTCTAAACATGGATCTGTATATCTAATGATCCTATAATTTTTCTCTGCAGACATGAGAAATGGATGCACATGTGTGTAAACAGGGTATACACAAGAATTTTATACAGCATTATAATATTGCAAAGTGAGAACTCATTCCAAATGTTGATCATCAGTGAAATAGACAAATTATGGTACATCTATACTATACGACCCTGAAAGTTAATGAAAAAGTGTTACACACAATAACATTTAGGAATATTTGAAACGAATATTCGAAATATGCCAGATACAAACGAATACCTAGTCTATGATTCCACTAAAATTTATGAAATAAAACTGTAGTATTTAAAAATGCATGTTCTCTTAAGTAAAACTGCAAGCCAAAGCAAAGTAATTCCCATGGAACTCAGGATACTGTTTGTTTAATTTTGGGAGGTAGGGTGTAGTGGTGAGGAAGCAGCATGATCTTTGGGTTTTGACCATGTTCTAGATCCCAACCTCGGTAGACATTACACAGGTCTTTGCGTGCGCTAACCCACTGAACAATATATTTTGTTTTATTCAATCATCTGTATATGTTCAAGCAATTAAGAATGGTTCTAACACTCAAAAACATTAAAAATGTTTCAACAAATAATAAATATGCTAAATATGGCAAAGTATTAAAAATTATTAAAGCTCCGTGATATATATAGGGGTTTGTTATATTATTCTCATCACATTTTTGTTTGAAAATGTCAACTAAAAAGTTTAAAATGAATTTAGAGTATAAAACAGGTAAAAATATATTATTTTCTCTCTGCCTTGTTTTATAGATTTTAATAATATTTACCAGACTTAAGGGCTGTCTTCTGTCTCTTCTAGTAGGGCATCTAAGCAGCCAAATTGGTAAAGGAGTTTTAAAGGGAAATAATGATATCTAACTACAGATTTGCCAAACAAAAATGTCCAAAAGCACATGGAATAACTAAATGAGTCCCTATCCCAGTCAGTTTTCTATAACCTTGAAATAGAGACTACAATTAGTTTTCAAATCTTGAAAGACTTTTTCTAGTAATGGAACCATTAAACATTTAAACAATACTTATCTTCCTAGTTTTGGGATTTAAAATTAACACCTAGTTTATATTGGTCCAGAGACTGCCATTTAATAAGCTGCTTTGGGTTCTAAGACATGTGCCTTGGAAATGACAAAAGTACAATCACTAATTCCCATTGCCAATAGATAAGGAAATCTAGAAAAATTTTTAGGAAATGGCTTTTATGTAAACTCGTAAATTCTTTCATTGTTTTCATTTTTAACAAACATACTTTCAATATAAAATTCAAATATTTCTAAAAACCAGTATGGCATTTCAGCTATTAAATCTTAGAACTTTTGAACTTCATCCTAAATGGAATTCGGAAATCTGTCTTATGGTAACTCAAAAATGAGTAGTGTTAGTCTTGCCACAGTAGATACTTCTCTGTAAAACATAAGCTTGGTGTAAGATGAAATACTTTTCTGTGTGTTCTTTAGGTCTCCTAACTAAACCACCTATAATCCTCTTCCTAAACTCTTCAATAACCTATCCCCAAATTACCATCCTCCATGCCATCCTCTCCAAAACACCCTATTTTTCCTTGGAAAAAATATTCCTGCTAGTAAGCCTCTGTTGTGTTTAATGTAGTTGTATATCTTGAATATCTTCTTAAATGGCCCAGCAGTCTCTACCCGTGTGGGTATGCATATCCACAAGTCTTTAGAATGTCTTAAGGGTGCCAATGATCCCTCTAATAGTAAATGCAAAATTGTATATGCATTTGATAGTTTCATTACTTTTCAAAACACGTCTGTGACCCCAGGAAGTTTAAAATACGTATATAAAAGGAGCATAGCTAAATTGTCTGAATTAATGTACAATGACTTTTACACATATCATTTAAAGATTCAAGACATTCTTCCCATAACCTACAATGCAAAAAATAAAAATAAAATAGAAAAAAATCATAATATTTCAATCTCTTCGCCTATAATACAGAAGAGGAAACACTACAATAGAGAAGCAAGATAAATGACTATTAAGTAAAATTGGATGACCCACGACCAGATAATAGTCATAGCAAAAAGGTGGAAAATTTCAAAGGTTCTGTGAATTCAAAATGACTAAAAACTATTCACATAAATGCAGAACTAAATTGCATGGATTAATCTGAAAGAACTTATCCACCAGATATGTCACATGGAAGTTGATGATGTTCTCTGTGCAACTTGCAATGAGAATGACTAAAATATAAAAGTATCTGAAAATATTTATTCTCTTCTTACAGACAAGAGAATATTAAAACAAGTTGAAAAGCAAAAATTTTAAATAAAATTTTATAAAGCATCACCAAATAACAATCCCACCAAAAGATTTGAAAATTGTCTTTTAGATGATATGTTTTGTTTTAGCCACGTAAACAGTTTAATCATATAAATGCATAGTCTTTAGGTGCCATATATGGTTCTCAATATCAAGAAAATTTCTTGAAATATATGCTTTTTATATGACAGCCTTTAATAAACAAGTTGCAGGCCAGGCACAGTGGCTCATGCCTGTAATCCCAGCACTTTGGGAGGCTGAGGCAGGTGGATCATGAGGTCAGGAGTTCAAGACCAGCCAGGCCAACATGGTGAAACCCCCATCTCTACTAAAAATACAAAAATTAGCTGGATGTGGTGGTGCATGCCTGTAATCCCAGCTACTCGGGAGGCTGAGGCAGGAGAATTCCTTGAACTGGGACACAGGAGGCAGAAGCAGCAGTGAGCGAGATCACGCCACTGCAATCCAGCTTGGGCTACAGAGCGAGACTCTGTCTCAAAAAAAAAAAAAAGTTGCTTTTCAAGGTGTAATACTCACCTTATACTACTGCACTGTTGCTAACTATATCGCACAAAGAGAATTGAACACCGTGCCTGTTATGAAGGTGCATTATGAGTAAGATGGCAGGAATTTTTTTAGAAGTGCTTGAGTAATCAATGAGAGAACAGACAGAATCTGCAGAAACTGAACTTCAATTATATAGTGAATATACAGAAAAATTTTAATTTTCTTGCTGCCAACTTTCATCAGTCTTCCAGGCAAAGAGAATATATGTTTGCTTTGATTCACAGCTTAAATAAAGCCTGTAATCATTTCTTACTGCAGCTCATTTCCCAATATGAACACTTTTACATTGATTTTTTTCATCTCTGCTTCTTTAAAAAAACACTCTTATCAATGACCACATTAGCTAAGTACATCTGTGTAATAAAAAAGAAGTTTACCAAACTTATAGCATGGAATTCAGGTAAACCATGAAAGAAAAAAAATCTAACATTTGATTCTCTTGTATTCTTGGAACAGCAAATAGATCACCATGTTCCAGTGATTGTTCCAATAGTAGTCATTTATTGAAGACATTTTTATAAATTATGTACAGTCACCTACCTGAGGAATTGGTGTTGAAAAGTAAAAACTATGGCTGTCTTCTAGCAATAAGAAAAGTTGGAACTTCCATTATTATTCCCATAATATAAACTTTAAGAAAATTGTACAATTCTTTTCTTCTACCAGTACTTCAAAATGTACAAACCCAAATAAATAAAGGGGAAATGGCATTAGGGACAGTTTTACACCATAACAGTGAATATATTTTCATAAGCTATCATTTTGCAGACATGAAAGGGACATGTTGATTTAAGCATATATATATATATATATATATATATATATATATGCAGTATATATATATTTAAGCACATATATGCTTAAATCAGCATATGTGGTGATGATATATATCATCACCATATATGTGGACCCTGCTTCCTACTCTCAGGGAGCTTATTCTATAGTAGAGGGCACAAGCATGAATTCATTGTGTGAGAAAATTGTTCCAGAAAACTGGAACATTGACCATTGCTACCAAAGATAGCTACAGCTTCCTCAACAGGGTGTTGACACAAAGCGATTGGCATGATCTGCTGACTGTTCTGACTCAACCCTGTCAATTAATAAGAAAACTGGGATCATAGCCAGACCTTCATATCCAACAACGGTGCTCTCAGGCATACGTGTTGATATATATATCACACTAGGTATATCACACTATATATATTATCACACTATATATATATAGTGTGATATACATAGTGTGACATATATATGTATATATGTATATAGTATATGTATATGTATATAGTGTGATATACATAGTGTGATATATAGTGTGATAGATATATATATCACTATCTGTACCACACTATATATATATATATACACACACACATATACATATATACATATACACACACACACACACATATATATATATACGCATATATATATAAAATATCACCATCAGGAGAAAAATTTACTTCATGTTTATCCATGGCTGCAAGGATAGCCAATGTTCCAGTTTTACATTTTCTCTTACAGTTGATTCATGCTTGTGCCCTCTACTATAGAATAATATATAATCTATAGCTATAGAATAAGCTCCCCGAGAGCAGGAAGCAGGGTCAACATTTTGTTGTTCACTATCGCGTCTCCAGGGACCAGCATGAGAGGGAGGAATGGCAGCAGAGACACAAGAGAGATGAAGAAATCAGAAAAACAAGCCTGAAAAAGAGGAGAAAAAATCTAATTTAATGGTAATAGTTTATAAATTTTAACAGTAAAAATTTTTACAAAGATTTATATGAGTTTTATGAGACCTTCACTAAAGAGAAACAGTAAGCTTAATGCTTTATATTACTTAGTTCTCTAGTACAATTTTAAATAAATTTAAATCTTATAATAATTTTAACTTAAAACTTAATTTTCTTCTTCAGAAAATGCTTTAAATGAAATAAATATATTTTTATCAAATACCCTGCCTTCAGAACTTTCTCTCAATCATTTAAGATTATTGTTCAAATTTTCTACCCATTAATCTTTTGAAGTTGAACAAGATTGCTTCTTTTTTGGTCCAGCCTTCTGATTCCAAACTCAAAATGTTTCTCTGTAGTTACATCCTGAATAAACCCGATATTTTTTAATTCAAAGAGGCAGGAAAAGGAAACTTCTAACAAGAACTGGGAGGTGATTAACTGGAGTCGCGGCCACCTAGCATGGCCTGGGACACACCTCTCCTCTGCTTCCTGCGGCTTTTCATTAATATTGTACCAAGTTCAGCAAGAATCAGACTTGCTGGTAACAGGTTAACAGGCTCCCACAGAGAAAAAGCATCTATTCAGCTGTCAGGTGCATAACAGCAGGTTGCAAGTTAAGTTATTGCGATCTTTCCTAACACCCTCTTTCTTCCCACCAAGCCACACACAGGCCCCTGATGACACTGAAAGAGAATATTTTCTTTATAGTGAAAAACCATTTACCTGAGTTCTCTCAGAAAGAGTCCAATTACCCTATGAGCATCCAAAATATTCTACACAGGCACCGTCCTGCACAGAAGAGACTTTCTGAACTGAGCTTCCTGTGGCAGTATAAATACCAAGCACAAAGACATATGAAGACATGTATTTTAATGTGCCAAATTGTCATTGTGATGGGAGTTTCCTGTGTGTGCAGACTGTAATATATGATCAACAGAGGGTTGAGAAAAGTGGAAAAGCAAAGTCAAACACAGTTGTTTGAAGCTTCCTTGAGAAAGCATTATTTGGGAAGTCATAAGAACGTCTGACAACTTATACAAAGGCATATTTCAACCTTCTCATATACTCTCATCTCATTTACATAATAGCCATTTTATTACTGTTATCCAATTTTGAGAGTTGAAACCTCTAATTTCATGATTTCATAGATAATTATGGAAGAACTGTGAGCCAAATTCTGAT
Source organism: Homo sapiens (assembly GCF_000001405.40). Taxonomy (NCBI): domain Eukaryota; kingdom Metazoa; phylum Chordata; class Mammalia; order Primates; family Hominidae; genus Homo; species Homo sapiens. The sequence continues at coordinate 177,936,579 of NC_000004.12, read as the reverse complement.
CTTCTGTGTTAAGGCCAGTGTAAGTTTTATGTGGTCTTTTCTTACTTGCATTCCACAACCTCTCACCCCTTTCTTTTTCTAGCACAAGATAGTTACAAATTTTGAGGGTTCTTAAGCTTATTCTTTCATTTTTACTCTGGGACAAAACAACATGTATCAGAAAGCAGGAACTTATCGAAAAATTAGGCATTGTGGCCAGCCAAATTAAATTTTGGTCCCTGATTACATCCAGGCTATTAAGATCTTTTCTGAGTGTTCTTGTCCCTATTAATTTTTTGTCTAAATCGGGGACTATAGTTCTTAACTATGAGTAAATTCTTTGTATCTGAAGCAAGAAAAGACTTTAGCCACTGTGCTGAGTAAACAATCTGTTTGATATAATACCATCATAAATACATTTAAATTAAATTACCTAAACTGCCTTAATGTTTCCATTTTTAGTCCCCAGACTATCTTTGTGAAAAACACTTCAAGTGCAACAATGCTCACAATATGCTTGTTATTACCAACGTTAAAAATCCTTATCCAGTAATGAAAGTTTACATTGCTTCTGTTTGCTAAAAAAAAATAACACAAATTGAATATTTTTGTTTATGTAAATGTAAATGTGCATTGTTATTACTGGTTTCAATGATGAAAAGAACAATTACAATAACTTTTTATTTAAGGAATGGTGAGCCCTTACAACGCCCATAAAAAGAATTAATTTTGTGTTTGTTACTATTACTAAAACTGTCCTTATTTAAAATTTTCCAATTAAAAGGAGATTTTGTTTGAAATGTTGTTTTATATAACTTCACAACAACCAGAACTGCATTATTTAGCATTTTAAAATTGAATCAGAAACTGAGCTTCTCTTGTTAATGAAGATCCTAAAGCTTCACAAGATTTGTGCACCAACTAAATCATTAAAAGAAAAAAAAAAGCTAAAATTGATTAGTGCCATGACATTAGCAGGGGCAGCAGAGGAAGGACTTCCAAAAATCGATTCCTCCATGAAAACAATCAGAACACTGAAAAAATTGTCAAAATCAATTTTATCACAACTCTGAAGGCTAACCAAGGCTTTCAATAAACTGAGAAGTGTTTATTCAAGAAAAATGGCTAAACAACAAACACTGTGGTGTTTTAACATGCTCTATTTCCATCTTCCTATCCCCAGCTACGTGGTAGCCTTGAAAATCAACAGCCCTGCAATTACTGTAGTCATAAAACCAGCAGCCTAGTAGCTACCAGAGGGGGAACAAACACACATTGGGAACTATCCAGACACCCCCTTTGCAGTGCATTATGATCATCTGAACTGTCTGACAGTTCCCCAAATCATCCAGAAACAGGGCTTATCTTTATTTGACCTAACTCAAAGCTTTTCTCACAGCAACCAGATTTTTCCTTGGGGCAGTTGCCAAAAACAATTAACAGCAAATGTCTGAGAAACAAACAAACAGTAAAAGAAGGAAGCATAGACAGAGCTTCAGATACCTGTGGAAAATGATCAAGTAGACCAACATACAGTTAATTGGAGTCCCAGAAATAAGGAAAACAAAAAGAGGCACAATGAATACTTCGATAAATGATGTACAAAAACTCTCTAAATTTGAAGAAAAACATTCATTAACCAACACATTCAAAAAATTTGACTCCAAGTAAGATAAACTCAAATATATATATATGTGTGTGTGTGTAATTCGTTTACATCTCTGTAATTGAGATAGCTACATAAAGAAAAAATTACTGAACTGTATTGATATACAAATAATATACAAAGATGCAATTTTACAATGAAAACATGGAGGAAGAAATAAAAGTATATAGAAGTGAAGATCCATAGATTTTTAAATTGTTGTTAATCTGAACTAGATGATTATATATTAAGCTGTTAATTCTAATCCATAGGGCAACCAGTAAGAAAATAACTCAAAAATATATAAGAGAATTGACAAGGAAATTAAAATTGTACACAAGAAAATATCTGCTTAACACACGTACAAAAAGATGGTAATTGAGAAACAGAGGAATAAACACACAAAGAAAGGAGACATACACTGTACAAATAACAAAGTAGAAAAGGTAATTCCTCCCCTATCAGTAAACATACTAAATGCAAAGTTATCTAACACTTCAATTAAAAGCACAGATTAACAGAATGTATTTTTAAAAAGATTAAACTCTGTGGTGCCTACAGCAGATATACTTTAGACTCGAGACCAAAAAAAGGTTGAAAATAATAAAGGTATAACACACAAACTAATATTTGACAAAATAGACTTTGAAGCCAAAATTGTTACTAGAGACAAAATACTTTTTTTTTTTTTTTTTTTTTTTTTTAAGATGGAGTTTCGCTCTTGTTGCCCAGGCTGGAGTGCAGTGGGGTGATCTCGGCTCACCACAACCTCCACCTCCCAGGGTTCAAGCGATTTTTCTGACTCAGCCTCCCAAGTAGCTGGGATTACAGGCATGCACCACCACGCCCAACTAATTTTCTATTTTTAGTAGAGACAGGGTTTCTCCATGTTGGTCAGGCTGGTCTCAAATTCCCAACCTCAGGTGATCCTCCTGCCTTGGCCTCCCAAAGTGCTGGGATTACAGGCATGAGCCACCTCGTCCAGCCTGCAAAATACGTTTTATATTGATTAAGGAAAGAAGGAAAGAAAAGAGGAAGGAAGGAAAGACTCAGTAAGAATATGTAGAGGCTTCAATTACCCAGTATCAATAAAGAATAAAACAACTAGATAGAAGATCAGCAAGGATATAGGAAGCCTGAACAATGCTATAAACCAACTTCCCCTAACACACAGCTATGGAGCACTCTGCCAACAGAAAAATACACATTATTCTCAAGTGGACATGAAACATTCTCCAGGATAGACCATATGCTAAGCCATAAAACAAATCTGAATAAACTTACAAGGACTGAAATCATACAATATATATTTTCCAACATAATGGAATGAAGTTAAAGTTAATAATGGAAAGACATTGGGAAATTTAGAAATACGTGGAAATTATAGAAAACATTTCTAATGGGTCAAGAAATAATTCACAAGAAAAAATAGAAATATTTACAAATGAAAGAAAATGAAAGCAACATACCAAAACGTATGGAATACAGCTAAAGCAGGACTCAGAACAAATTTATAGCTGTAAATGTCTATATTAAAAAATAGAAAAGATTTCAAATCAATAAGCTAGTTTTCTAACTTATGAAATTACAAAATAACAACAACCTAAACAAAAAGCAAGAAGAAGGAAATAATAAAGATTAGAGTGAAAATAACTGAAATAAACAGAGAAAAATAAATGAAATGTTATTCCTTTGAATAGATCAATAAAATTTAGAAATATTTAGCTAGACTGAGCTTAAAAAAAAAGAGATGGCTCAAGTTACTAAAATCAGCAATCAAAGAGAGAAAAAGGATTATCAGAGAATAATATGAACAACTGTGTGCCAATAAATTAGATTGCCTAGAAGAAGTGGCTGGAACTGACTCAAGAAGAAATAAATTCTAATTAGATTCATACCAGAAAATGTATTGTACTAGTTATCAAGAACCTTTCCATAAAAGAAGGCCTAGAATTAAATGGCTTCTCTGGTGAAATCTAGCAAACAGTTACACAAAAATTAACACCAATCCTTCACAAACTATTTCGAAAATAGAATAGAAGGAAACATTTTCTCAACTCATTTTAAGAGTTCAATATTATCCTTATAACAAAACAAAGCAAAAACTGCAGACCAATATCTTTTATGTATATAAACTCAAAAGCCTTCAACAAAATAATGGCAAAATTTAAAACCACTCAAAGACATTATAAGGAAAAAGACAAATGAGCAAGAACTACACACCAATATCTCTTATGAATATAGACTCAAAAGCCTTCAACAAAACACTAGCAAGTCAAATTCAGTAGCATTTTAAAACATTGTACACCACAACTAACTGAGAGTTATTCCAGGGCTTCAAGGTTCATTCAGCCTATGAAAATCATTCAATATAATACACAATATTTATAGAATAAGGAAGAAAACGTAATTGTCACTTAGATGCAAAGTTCAATACACTTTCATGATTAAAAAAAAACCTCCTATCTAACAAAATTCAATACCCTTTCATGTTTAAAAAAAAAAAAAAACAAGACAAAGTAGAAATAAAAGAGAAATTTCTCACCTAATAAAGGGCATCTATTTTAAAAACAAAACAAAAAAACTGCAGGTGACATTACAAATAATACAAAAAAAAGGTAAAATACTGATAGTCTCCCCTTAAGAATATAAACAAGGTGAGCACGTACACCCTTGTCACTGCTATTCATCGTAACGTGGGTGGTTCTAGCCAGAGCATTTAGTCACATAGAAAGGAAGAAAGAGAAACTATCTCTTTTAAGACATGATATAATCTTGAATATGAAATCCAAAGGAATCCACCAAAAAAAGAGAGAAAAAAACTCTTAGAACTAATATATCAGTTTATCAAGATTACAGAATACAAGAATAATAAAAATTTATTTTTGTTTATTCATACTAGTGTATAGTGTTTCTATATACTAGCAATGGATGATCAAAAAATGATTTGTTTGACTAAACAAATTTATTCATGACATCAAAAAGAATAAAATACTTAGGAATACATTTATCAAAAGAAGTGCAAATCTTACACATTTATACTGTAAAATTCTTTTCAAAAACAATTAAAGAACTAAATAAATGGAGAGGTATCCCATGTTAATGGATTGGGAGACGTAATATTGTAAAGGTGGCAATACAACTTAAATCAACAGATTCAACGTAATCTCTAATAAGATCTCGACTGGCTATTTTATTTTCTTGTAGAAAATAAAGCAGATCCTAAAATTTACATGGAAATGGAATAAAAAATAGTCAGAAACTAAAAGAAAGAACTAAATTGAAAGACTCAAACTTTCCAATTCATAACTTAGCGTACAGCTAGAGTAATTAAGACAGTATAGTACTGGCATAAAGAGAGACAAATATATCAAAGGAGTAGAATTAAGAAGATATAAATTCTTACATTACTATCGGTTGAATTTTGACAAGGTTGCCAAGATAATTAAATGAGGAAAGACAACCTATTGTCGCAACAATTGGATAACCACATGCAAAAGAGGAAAATTGGACCTCTATATAGCACATGACATACAAACTAACTCAAAATAGATCAAAGACCTCACTGTAAGAGCTAAAAATTAAGATTTTTAGGAAATATACACATAAATCTCTGTGACGTTAGATTTGGCAATGATTTCTTAACTGTGACATCAAAACCGGAAGAAAAAAATGGATAAATTGGACTACATTTAAATTAAATATTTTTGCTTCAAAGGGCTTCATCAAGAAAGTGAAATAACTCACAGAAAGGGAACTGAGTGAAAACCCAATTAACAGAACCCTATTTAAAAATGGGCAAAAAATCATGAATAGACTTTTCTTTAATAAGAAGCGCAAATGGCCAGTAACTTGTGACGAAAAGATATTCAACATCATTAGTAATTAGAGATACTCAAATCAAAATTACAACCATTCTGCACCCACTAGGATGACTATAATCCAAAGGAAGGACAATAACAAGTTTTAGTGAGTATGTGGAAAAATTGGAACCCTTATGTAGTGCTGGTGGCAATGTAATATGTTTCAGACACTTTGATAAACAATTTGGCATTTTCTCAAAATGTTAAACATATTTATCATAGAACCCAGGATTCCACTCTTAGGTATTGAAAACATTTAAAACATGTCCATACAAAAGTATACAAGGCTGTTTACAGCGACAATATAAAAGCCTTACAAAGTTGAGAAAAAATAAATTTTTAACAATTAAATGGCAAAAAAAGGTATATCTGCATTATTCAGCCATAAAAACTAATGAGGTACTGTTACATACTACAACATGGATGAACCTTGTAAACATTCTGTTGCATGAAAGAGGTCAGATGTAGAGGCCACATGCTCTGTGATTTCATTCAAAAGTCTCAACTGGGCAAATCCATAAAGACAGAAAGTAGATTAGTGTTTTTCAGGGACTGGAGGGAGAGTGAATTGAGTAGCAGATGCCAATGGGTATGAGGTTACTTTGGAGGGTGATAAAAATATTCTGCAATTAGACAGTGATGATGTTTGCACACATTTGTAGATATATTAAAAACCTTTGTACATTTTACATAGGTGAATTTTATGGTATGAATTTATTCTGCAATTAGATAGTGATGATGTTTGCACACATTGGTAGATATATTAAAAACCTTTGTACATTTTACATAGGTGAATTTTATGGTACGAATTATATCTCAATTTTTAAAAAGTCAGTCCAGCTTTAGTGTTGGGCTTATTTTTATCATCATTTTAAAAAATTTAACCCATAATTGAATATGCAATAAATATTAACCAAACATATGTAAGGTATTGTATGATACACCTTGGATACAAAGTAAAAAAGATTTAGTAAAGTCTATTAAAATATGTTGCTGTCAGCCAGGGTAATGGTACTTCACCTAGCCAGGTAATCAAGGAGTTTCTTTGTCCATGTCCCTAATCATGATAGCTTTTATTTTAGAATGCTCGTGATAGCAAAATCTTCTAGTGCACATGCTCTTCTACAGTGCAATTTGTTCTCGTTTATGTGGGGTTTACATGGTTTTGAGACTGAAAGTCACACATTCTTAAAGCCTGACTGTGGACTACAAACGAATCTTTTGCTCTGTACCCTGCTTGAATTTCAGACCCACGCAGTCTGTGAGCTTAATGGCTATTTTCCCACCACATCTGGGGGGTGGCTTGTTAATTACCAATAGCAAACGGGACACCAGGTACCTTGCCTGCTTTCCTGTTGACCCTGGGTTTGTTTCTACAGGCACAGTGCCTCTCTTGCTCCAGTACCATGACCTGTGGTCCACTTTGCTTTACATCTTTGAGTTCTCTGCCTAATTATTGGTCTTTCTCTCCACTGCCCCATTTAAATACATTGATGTGACAGCATTGAATTAATGTTTGTCATTTCATATTTATCAAATTCAGTTTGTTCAGACCTTTTTACAGCTAGTGTAAAAGGAGGCTCAGATAACTTTAAATCATGTAGAGATTGTGCTTAAACTCTCTACCTGTGATACTGAAGGAAAAATATATACATAGACTACTTAATTCTAACTCTCTAAAAGTGGCAATGGTCTTCTTTTCTTTTCTTTTTTTTTTTTTTTGAGACAGAGTCTCGCTCTGGCCCAGGCTGGAGTGCAGTGGCGCGATCTCGGCTCACTGCAAGCTCCGCCTGACCAGTTCACGCCATTCTCCTGCCTCAGCCTCCCAAATAGCTGGGACTACAGGCGAATGGTTTTCTTTAATGTTTGTCTTTTGGAGTACTCACTTCTGATATCAAAGACAAATTGTTTGCCCTTAATTTCTTCACAATTTTTAAAGTGTTAGTCTTGGGTAGTTATTTGTCTTTACAAAAAATTATGGTTTACCTAAATATGTATACGTACATTTAACTTTAAGACACAAAAATGAAAACGCTTCATGACGTTTTTATTATTATTGTAATCCATGATAACAGCTATTTTTATATGAGTTTATGGTAAAATGTGTATTATATCTTTAAGGAAATTATCAAAAATATTACAGAAACAATCATATTGGTAAAAGTTTATTCTGATCCTTACAGCATGATTCCGCATCTTGAAACCCGAGCAGAAAAAGCAAAAATAGTGTAAAATATTTCTTTTTTTTTTTTTTTTTGCTGATTCTGATCCTTACAGCATGATTCTGCATCATGAAACCCGAGCAGAAAAAGCAAAACTATTGTAAAATATTTCTTTTTTCTTTTCTTTTTTTTTTTTTTTTTTTTTTTTTGAGACAGAGTCTTGCTCTGTCTGGAGTGCAGTGACGCGATCTCGGCTCACTGCAAGCTCCGCCTCCTGGGTTCACGCTGTTCTCCTGCCTCAGCCTCCCGAGTAGCTGGGACTACAGCCCGCCACCATGCCCAGCTAAATTTTTTTGTATTTTTACCAGAGACGGGGTTTCACCATGTTAGCCAGGATGGTCTCGATCTCCTGACCTCTTGATCCACCTGCCTCGGCCTCCCAAAGTACTGGGATTACAGGCGTGAGCCACCGCGCCCGGCCAAAATATTTCTTGAAAGTTTTTTTTTTTTTTTTTCTGTAAGAATAAATTTATTTTCTTTATAATTACTCAGCATATGGTAATCAGTTATAGCAACAGAAAACAGATTTATGCAGGCATAAGAGGCTTTTATTCTCCCACATGACGCTCTCAGGGAAATGTTTTCTAACAGTGTCATAAACCCTTGTTTTGTTCTAACCAGGTAGGTTGTTTGAACTTTGCATACTGCAGGCATGTTACCTGGGACTTATACTTCAAAATCTATTCCAGCCTCATAGAATTCTGCACTGCCCAACATTTTTACAGTGATTTCTGCCAGAATGTTGGAAACACGAGAGAACAAAAGGACCATATGAGCAAAAGTACATACTTGAAAATTCTCTTGCTGGAAACAGAGAGGTAGAAAACACTTGTCTATTTTTTCCTAAGTAGCTAATTTTGTTTTCGTTTTTTGTTTTCTTTTGTATTTTTTTTAATGCCATAAGGTCTTTCGTTTTTCATGGCTGCATTCTTGTTTGTATAGTCAAACAAATTACTGTTCTCAAAAACATGAAGCAAAAAGGAAGGTATCAACCTCCTTTGAGGATTTTGCAATAGTTATACCTAGGTAAATATGTGACTATCTTACTAGTGACCAAAGTTGAGTCCTTTCTTTACTACTTATCAACTTTCTTTCTATTTTAGGTAGATTATTTTCATGAGTAAAATAAGAATAAAATCTGTATCTACTAAGTAGTGTCCAGTTTTTAAAATGGAATAAATGCTCAATCCATCTTAGTCAATTTATAATTTTATTATTAAGCCAAAGATAAGTAACATTATTAGGTATTAGAAGACTTATTTTAAAAAAGGATACATGAATTCATAATGTTTAAAGTTTGCAACATATTACCTTCTTAAACTTTAAAGCTCAGTTTGTCTATTTATACTTAATATCATTTGAAAGAGTTGCCTGGTAAAATTAGTGAAGATAGGCTGGGTGTGGTGGCTCCTGCCTTTAATCCCAGCATTTTGGGAGGCGGAGGCGGGCAGATCATGAGGTCAGGAGTCCGAGACCAGCCTGGCCAACATGGTGAAACCCCATCTCTACTAAAAACACAAAACTTACCCCAGCATGGTGGCGCTTGCCTGTAATCCCAGCTACTCGGGAGGCTGAGGCAAGAGAATTGCTTGAATCTGGGAGGCAAAGGTTGCAGCGAGCTGAGATCGCACCATTGCACTCCAGCCTGGGCGACAGAGCGAGACTCTGTCTCAAATAAATAAATAAATAAATATAAATAAACAAATAAATAAATAAAGTGTAATCAATTATTTCTAACACTTGCTATTAAAACATCCTTTGTCCTTGATTTCAAACAGCTCATTCTTATTATTTTTGTTACTTTCATTCTATTTCTATTTTTCCTTGTACATCTGGTTTTACTTTCAGGTCAATGTGTCTGAGCAATAATTTTCTTTTCCCCAAATCAATATCACCCCCAGACTATCCTTTTCTCTCTCCCTCCTCACCCTTTCTCTCTTCCTCTTGTCACACAAAAATCAACCTATCACTCTTTCAGAGGATACATCTGTCTGGTTGCCATATATACTCAAAGGCATATTGTATTTGATCAATATAGTGTTTTTAATTAGTTTATTCGTTTTCACTGGTAGATGTTTCATAGGTTCATCAACTTATATTATTTCCTCAGTTTATTAGTTTTAATTTCTAGAGGAAGATATTTGCTATGACAGGAGTTGGTAGCATTGTTTCAATATCTATGTAATAGTCTTGCCCAATCAATAAGAGCTCTTTCAAGAATAATTCCTGGCAGACCTGTTTCAGGAACAAGAATGTGTTACTATTTATGGTAACTACTTTACCATTTCAAAAATGGTAGAATTTCTTCACTGGTTTTTCTGTGAAAGTATCCAACTAAGAGCTTGCTTTTCAATTGTATATGATTGTGTTCTAATAGACTCATCTGGGTCCATTTCCTATGTTTTATCATCTTTTAAATCTTTAGACAACTTGGCAAGTCTTGTATTACTATTCAGTTGATATTGGATATTATGCTCACTACTGGGGTGACAGGATCAATCATGCCCCACACCTCAGCATCATACAACATACCCATATATCAAACCTACACGTGCGCTGATTGAATCTAAAGTTTAAAATTTGAAATTAAAATAAATAAAGTTCAGTTGAGTTTGTACTTATAAAACATCATGCATTAGCATTTTATACGCTGGTCAAGCTCTTTCAAGCCCTAACTTCTTTCAAAATTATATTCTAAAGTTTTTAGTAGAGGACCCAATATAAAACCATGTATAGTCAACTGGTCTACATGTTCCTTCCTTTTTTTCCCTTTAAATTATATGCATAGTCAAGATAAACCCATTGTTAGCACAATAATCTGAAACAGCATAGTCCAAACCCATGATCTAAAAGTTCCACATAAAGCAAAATCTATGTATAAAGCCATCTGAAAAGGTAATGTCTTCAGGATCAAAGCAAAGAAACAAGTTTGGTGAAAATAATGTTTAAAAAATTCTCCAGCCTGGCCAATATGATGAAACCCCATCTCTACTAAAAATACAAAAATTAACCAGGCATGGTGGCAGGTGTCTATAGTCCCAGTTTCTTGGGAGGCTCAGTCAGGAGAATCACTTGAACCTGGGAGGTGGAGGTGCATAGAACTATGCACTAAAAATAAAAGTGCATATCTAAACTGGTTAAATTCAAATAAAACCTGTACCTCAGTTCACAGTATTACCTCAATGTAAGTTTCCATTTTTTAACAATGTGCTATTGTCATGTAAGCTATTATTATTATTGGAGGAAGTTGCGTGAAATGTGCATGAAAACCCTCTGTATTATTTTTTCAGCTTCTTGTAAGCAGTAAATCGTTCAAAAAGAATAGGTTATAAAATTGTAAAAATTTAGAAGATACATAGTTTGCTTCAAAAGTATTTACTTGAATTTTTGCTTCACTATAAAGAACCAAAACGGAAACATTACATATACATATAATTGATGAACTAAAAACTGTCACTATCCAGAGCAACCAGAGTGGGAAAAGAAGTTTTTGGCCTTCATAAAAGTGGTAAATAATTTAATTTTTTCTTTTTATTGCATACATTTAATGCATAAAACATGACGTTTTTATATATATTCATATAGTGAAATGATAACTACAGTCAAGCCAATTAACATATCCACATGGTTACCTTTTTTGTGCGAAGGACACCTAAAATCTATTCTCTTAGAAAATTTCCAGTATATAGTATAATATTATTAACTATACTCCTCATGCTGTACTTAGATCTCTAGATTTATTCATCTGACATAAACTGAAACTTTGTACCCTTTGACTTACATCTCTCTATTCCCCCCATATTTTTAATTTTTTAAAATAAAAATAAAATGCTTAATTTAAGTCTAAATCATGTCTTGAATTCTGCAGTTAGGTAAACTGTTTTTTTTGAATAAGAAGAATCACACTGAATAAAATCAAAATAGGAAAATAGGATTGCAATAAAATCATCTTTTGAGTTTTGTTGCCTCGTTTCTTTGATTTTTAACTAATCAAAAAAGCACTTCCACATTAATCCTCCAAAAGCATAATTTCAATTTTAATTATTGTTGATTTTTCATGGAAAAATTATACAAATTCTTAACACCTTCATATTAGAGTTCTAAATTTGACATTCAAGAGTTCTCAAAATTTGAATGCCTGGTTTTTTATGATTTCAGTAACAGCAAAAGAAATTAGTGTTGGGAAATTCATTCTTCACTAGAGTTACTAGGTATTGTAAATTTTGATTATTACATTGATGAGGCTATATTTTTCATATAATCAGAAAAATGAATATTAGAATAAATGTAAACAGGAACAGAAATTAGTATATACCACTTTTTAAATAGTAAAAAATGTCATTAGAATAACTTAAAAGTCCTGAAGTCTGGATTGCTTTTAAAACATTTTGTAGAAGTAGTAGACTTGAACCCCATATAGGAAGTTCAAAACTTGGATGTGCGAATGGGAACACGGAATAGACATTGAAGTTGAGAAACACGGCACTAACACAGATTGAAATGCATTTTGTATGTCTCAGAAAATCTGGAGAAATCAGGTTTTGTTTAGAAAAAGTCAAAAGAAATTTGAAAGATTGTGTTTGTGTTTTAACTCTCATTTGATCTTACCTCCCCTATCTCCTGCTTTCTGTCTGTTTCTGTTTCAAATATGAAGTCTCTGCAAGAGCTGAATCTTCTATTGGCACATGACTCTAGACCATAACAGTGAGATTGCATTCCAGAATTTTATGAGGTGAAAAAAGAGTCTTTTCTTGCCTAGTGACAGAAACTATGAAGTGTATGGCTCTAGAGTGGTTGGTAATTATATTACCCCCATGGGGAGACAGCTATCATCAGTGAGAAAGAGTTAAGTTCACATTCAGAAAGAAGCAGAGCTCTGTATGAGAGAGCCAAGACAAAAGATGGTTAAGGTCAAACTGTGTCCTTATGCTTCTTGTAGCTTGAGATTTAAACTCATCTTTATATTTTTTAAGCCAAAGTGTTTATCTAGCCAAAATTATTTTGCATAATTGTCATTTGCATTGTATAATGTCATATTTTGAACTGTAAGGCAAATAGAGGTCATTTTTCATGTAATTGAAAGTTTGAAAAAATTATGTAAACTTTGTATTGTGAACACAGGAATATTACATAATTTTAAGAAGGAATGATATGTAAAATAGCAGCATGTAGAATAAATGCTCAAGAAATTATAAGGCGAGATGGAAGAAGTAAATAATTTAGGGACTACTGTAATAAATTATTCCTACTGCAATAAAGATCTAAATTAGGGTACTGACAGTGAGGGTACAAAGTAATGTTGACACTGGGAATTAAAACAGGATGCGTTTGAGTATTCTCTGTACTTGTAACTCTCTCAGGTCAATCAGCTGCCAAATGTGGTAGGTTACACCCCCATATCCAGGATTCACAGGTCCAGGAATCATGGGGTGCAAATGGCTGTGGCATCACTGCTACTCCTAGTGGCCCACTAGAAAAATTCTGCTTTGTGTTCCCATGACTTTATGCTCTGCTGGCCTAACAGTCTTAGCTTCAAAGGGAGAAATGCTTCTACAACAAGACACAACAATTACACTATTTAACTGAAAGTTAAGACTGTTACTCACCCACTTTGGGATCTTCATGTCTCTGAATCAATAGGAAAAGAAGAGAGTTACAATGTTTTGATCCTGCTTACAAAGGGGAAATTGGACTACTATTTCACATTGGCAATAAGAAAGAAAATGTCTGGAATATGGGAGATATTTCTTAGTATTGCTGTGTCCTGTGATTAAAGCCAAGAACAAACCAAAACAACCCAATTAAGACAGGACTACTAATGACTTGGAATCTTCAGGAATAACCCTTTACTTCATTAAATAAAGAACCATCATCAGCTGAGGTACTTGCTGAAGGCAAAGGGAATATTGAATGGATAATGGAAGAAGGTGGTTATAAATACCAACTACAACAATGTGACCAGTTCCAGAAGCAAGGACTATAAGCGTCATAAGGATATTTTTCTTATTTTGTTATGGACACATTTGTGTGTGTTCATAGAAGATGTATTTTTCTTTCTCTATTACCTCCTTATTATATAAGTTGATTATATCATAGTATTTAAGTGTTCTTAAGATTACATCATAATATTTAAGTTACAGGATACCAAGGAAGAGAGTGAACAACACCTATACATTTTGGATTACCTTTTGGATAAAGAGTTAGTGCATTTTGAATTGTTTCATGTTAAATATAAGTATGTCCTACCTCTTATCCTTATTTAGAAATTAACTATGGCTTAGGGAAACATGTATGGGTGTCAAGTTGACAAGGGGTAGATTTGTGATGGTTAATTTTATGCATCAACTAGGCATAATGATTGATTGATACCTCCAATCATTTGGATGTCTTAAGAGAAAAAAGACTGATATCCTCAGTCTTTTGAATTATTATTTCAAAATAAATTGAAATACATAAATTGGATGACAAAGAATTCAAGGTAATTGTTCTAAGGAAGCTCAGTGAGCTACAACAGGACATAAACAACTTAATGAAATCAGAAAAATAATACAAGAACACAATGAGAAACTTAAACAACATTAATAAAACATTTTTTAAAAAGAACGCAACAGAAATTTTGGAACTGAAGAATGCAATGACTGAATTAAAAAATAAAATAGAAAGCATAAGTAGAGATTTGATCAAACAAACAGAAGAATAAGAAAACTCATGGAAATGTTGTTTGAAATTACCCAGAAGGGAAAAAGTTATTTTAAAAAAAGAAATTTTAAAAGCCTATGAGATTTATAAGATGTCAAGAAAGCTAACATTAGCAGTATAGTAGAGAGAAATTAACAAGTTTTTAAAAACTTTAAAAGTAGTGACTGAAAACATTCCAAATCTGGAGAGGGATATGGAACTCTAAGTACATGAAGATCACATATCTCCAATGAGGTTCAACCCAAAGAAGATTGCATCATAACATGTTATAATCAAACTGTCAAAAATCAAAGAAAAAGAGTGAATTTTGAAAGCAGCAAGGGGGAAGAAGCTAATCACATATAAGGTAATTCTCATGTGGCTATCAGTGGGTTTCTCTGCACAAACCTCACAGGCCAGGGCAGAGTGAGATAATATATACAAAGCGTTGAAAGAGAGGGGAAAAAAAAGCATCTCTCAACCAAGAATACTTTACCAAGCTAAGCGGTCATACAGCAATGAGGGAGAAATAAAAACTTTTACACACAAATAAAAGAAGAGGGAGTTCTTCACCATTAGATGTGACTTTCAGGAAATTCTAAAAGGAATTCTTTGAGATGAAATAAATTAATACTAATTAGTAACTTAAAGACATATGAAAGCATAAAACTCACTGGTAAAGGTAAACAATCAAATTCAGGATAGTATTATAATGGTGGCATGTGAATGATTTATAATAACTGGTATAAAAGTTAAAATACAAAAGTATTAAAATAACTATAGTTACAATAATTTGTTAATTAATATACAATGCAAAATGTAAATTGTGACATCAAAAACATAAAATGGGGGGTAGTGAAAGTGTAGAGTTCATATATATGATCTAAGTTAAGTTGTTATCAGCTCAAAATAGAGTGTTGTAAGATATTTTATGTAAGCTTCATGGCAACCACAAAGCAAAAATCTACGGTGAATATATAAAAAATAAGGGAAAAAGATTCAAAGCATACCAATATAGAGAATCATTAAATCACAAAGGAAGAGAGGAAGAAAGAAACAAAAAATCTATAAAACAGCTAGAAAATAATTAACAAAATAGCAACAGTAAGTCTTTATCGATTACCTATCAATAATTACTTTAGTTGCAAATGGACTAAATTCTTCAATAAAAAGACAGAGTGGCTAAATGGAGGGGGGGGGGCAAAACAACCAAAAATAAAATCCAACCATATGCTACCTATAAGAGAGTCACCTCCGTTTTAAGGATACAAATTAACTGCAAGTAAAGGGATGAAGAAAGGTACTCTATGAAAATGATAATCAAAAGAAAGCAGGAGTAGCTACACTGACATCGGACAAAATACTTAAAATTAAAAACTATCACAACAGATAAAGTAGGTCATTATATAATGACAAAGGGTCAATTTATCACAAGATAAAACTATTATATATTCAGCCAACATCAAAGCATATATATACATTAACATAGCTAAAGGGAGAAAAAATAGCAATGTAATAATTATAGGTAATGTTAATACCTGACATTCAACAATGGATAGATCGTCCAAATGAAAGGCAGTAAGGAAACACTGGATTTTAAATGCACTTTAGACCAAATAGACATAATAGACAGACATATATAAAACATTCCATCCAATGGCATCAGAATACATTCTTTTCAACCACACACGTAATAGTACTACAGATTTTAAAAGAAAGAAACACAAAAGTAATTATAAATCTATGTTAAGGAGCATGCATTATATATAGATGCAATTTATGACATCAGTAACATACATCGGGGGGTGCAGAGTGGTAAAGAAGTAGTGTTTTCTATGTAATTGAAGTTCAGTTGGTATCATTTTAAAATAGCTTTTGCTATAACTTTATGATGCAATATGTAACCCCCATGGTAACCCCACATATAAAATCTATAGAATGTACCCAATAGGATATTAGAAGGGAATAAAAACCTGTCATTAAAAAAATAAGCAAAAAGGAAGGCAATAAGAAAGACAATGAAGTTGCAAAGAAGCTGTAAGACATAACAAAAACAAACAAAATTGCAATAGTAACTTTTTTCCTATCAGTAATTATGTAAATGTAAATGGATTAAACTCTAAACTCGGAAGACATATATTGGCAGAATGGATAAAAAAGTAGGATCCAACTACATGCTTATACAACAGGTTCACATTAGGTCTAAGAATAAATCTATGTTGTAAGTGAAAGGATGGTCAAATATATTTCATGCAAATACCGAAAAGAGAACAGGGGCACCTACACTTATTTCCAAAAAAAAAAAAAAAAATAGACTTCAAGTCAAAAATTGTTACGCTAGCCAAAGAAGGACAGTTTATAATGATAAAAGTGTGAATTCATAAAAAGGTGTAATAATCACCAACATATATGAACTAAACATCAAAGCTCCCTAAATATCAAAAACAAATATCAACAGTATTCAACGGAGAAATAAACATCTGTAATAATAGTAGGATACTTCAATCTCCATATTCAATAATGGATGAAAAAACATAACAGAAGATCAGTAAGAAAACAGTGAACGTGAACACTGTAGATCATTTGGACCTAACAGACATATACAGAACACTGCACCCAGCAATAGAAAAACACATTTTCTTTAAGCACACATGGAACATTTTCTGGGGTACATCATATATTAGGCCACAAAAAAACTTTCAATAAATTTTAAAAGATTGAAATTATACAAAGTGTCTTTTCTAATCAATGGAATGACACTAGAAATCAAAGCAGAACGAAACTAGGAAAATCCA
Organism: Homo sapiens; assembly: GCF_000001405.40. Taxonomy (NCBI): domain Eukaryota; kingdom Metazoa; phylum Chordata; class Mammalia; order Primates; family Hominidae; genus Homo; species Homo sapiens. The sequence continues at coordinate 177,919,397 of NC_000004.12, read as the reverse complement.
CAAATTTGTTACAATCAAACAGTGCCCTTCTGAATGGGTCAAAGAAGAAATTACAGGAAAAAGTAGAATGTATAAAAGTATCTTGAAATAAATGACAATTGAAACATATCAAAATTTAGGGATTTTAGTGAAAGCAGTGATAACAGGATTTTATAGTTGAAAAATGCTTGCATTTAAAAAGAAAGGTCGAGATAGCATTGAATCTATAAATTACTTTTGGCAGTATGGCCGTCTTCACGATATTGATTCTTCCTATCCATGAGCATGGAATGTTTTTCCATTTGTTTGTGTCCTCTCTTATTTCCTTGAGCAGTGGTTTGTAGTTCTCCTTGAAAAGGTCCTTCACATCCCTTGTAAGTTGGATTCCTAGGTATTTTATTCTCTTTGTAGCAGTTGTGAATGGGAGTTCACTCATGATTTGGCTCTCTGTCTAATATTGGTGTATAGGAATGCTTGTGATTTCTGCACATTGATTTTGTATCCTGAGACTTTCTGAAGTTGCTCATCAGCTTAAGGACATTTAGGGCTGAGACGGTGGGGTTTTCTTAACATACAATCATGTCATCTGCAAACAGAGACAATTTGACTTCCTCTCTTCCTATTTGAATACGCTTTATTTCTTTATCTTGCCTGATTGCCCTGGCCAGAAATTCCAATACTATGTTGAGTAGGAGTGGTGAGAGAGGGCATCCTTGCCTTGTGCCGGTTTTCAAAGGGAATGCTTCCAGCTTTGCCCATGCGGTGTGATACTGGCTGTGAGTTTGTCATAAATAGCTCTTATTATTTTGAGATACATTCCATCAATACTAAGTTTATTGAGAGTTTTTAGCATGAAGGGGTGTTGAATTTTATTGAAGGCCTTTTCTGCATCTATTGAGATAATCATGTGGTTTTTGTCATTGGTTCTGTTTATGTGATGAATTGTGTTTATTGATTTGCGTATGTTAAACCAGACTTGCATCCCAGGGATGAAGCCAACTTGACCATGGTGGATAAGCTTTTCGATTGCTGCTGGATTCAGTTTGCCAGTATTTTATTGAGGATTTTCACATCAATGTTCATCAGAGAAATTGAGCTGAAATTTTCTTTTTTTATTGTCTCTGCTAGGATTTGTTATCAGGATGATGCTGGCCTCATAAAATGAGTTAGGGAGGAGTCCCTCTTTTTCTATTGTTTGGAACAGTTACAGAAGGAATGGTACCAGCTCTTCTTCTTACCTCTGGTAGAATTCGACTGTGAATCCATCTGGTCCTGGGTTTTTTTTGGTTGGTAAGCTATTAATTACCACCTCAATTTCAGAACCTGTTACTGGTATATTCAGGGATTCGACTTCTTCCTGGTTTAGTCTTTGAAGGGTGTGTGTGTCCAGAAATTTATCCATTTCTTCTAAATTTTCTGGGTTATTTGCATAGAGGTGTTTATATTATTCTGTGATGGTAGTTTATATTTCTTTGGGATCAGTGGTGATATCACCTTTCTCATTTTTATTGTGTCTATTATTTCTTCACAGAATTAGAAAAAGCTACTTTAAATTTCATATGGAAACAAAAAAAGAGCTTGTATAGCTAAGACAATCCTAAGCAAAAAGCACAAAGCTGGAGGCATCATGCTACCTGACTTCAAACTATACTACAAGGCTATGGTAACCAAAACAGAATGGTACTGGTACCAAAACAGACACATAGACCAATGGAACAGAACAGAGCCCTCAGAAATAACACCACACATCTACAACCATCTGCTTTTTGACAAACCTGACAGAAACAAGCAATGGGGAAAGGATTCCCTATTTAATAAATGGTGTTGGGAAAACTGGCTAGCCATATGCAGAAAACTGAAACTGTACCCCTTTCTTACACCTTATACAAAAATTAACTCAAGATGGATTAAAGACTTAAACATAAGACCTAAACCATAAAAACCCTAGAAGAAAACCTAGGCAATACCATTCAGGACACAGGCATAGGCAAAGACTTCATGACTAAAACACCAAAAGCAATGGCAACAAAAGCCAAAATTGACAAATGAGATCTAGTTAAACTAAAGAGTTTCTGTACAGCAAAAGAAACTTTCACCAGAGTAAACAGGCAACCTACAGAATGGGAGAAAATTTTAGCAATCTATCCATCTGACAAAGGGCTAATATCCAGAATCTACAAGGAACTTAAACACATTTACAAGAAAAAACAAACAACCCCATCAAAAAGGATATGAACATACACTTCTCAAAAGAAGACATTTATGTGGCCAACAAACGTATGAAAAAAACCTCATCATCACTGGTCATTAGAGAAATGCAAATAAAAATCACTATGAGATACCATCTCATGCCAGTTAGAATGGCAATCATTAAGAAGTCAGGAAACAACTATGCTGGAGAGGACGTGAAGAAACAGGAACGCTTTTACACTGTTGGTAGGAGTGTAAATTAGTTCAACTATTGTGGAAGACAGTGTGGTGACTCCTCAAGGATCTAGAACCAGAAATACCATTTGACCCAGCAATCCCATTACTGGATATATACCCAAAGGATTATAAATCATTCTACTATAAAGACACATGCACACGTATGTTTATTGCAGCACTCTTCACAATAGCAAAGACTTGGAACCAACCCAAATGTCCATCAGTGATAGACTGGATAAAGAAAATGTGGCACATATACACCATGGAATAGTATGCAGCCATAAAAAAGGATGAGTTCATGTGCTTTGCAGGGATATGGATGAAGCTGGAAACCATCATTCTCAGCAAACTATCACTGGAACAGAAAACCAAACACCACATGTTCTCACTCATCTCACTCATAAGTGGGAGTTGAACATAAGAACACATGAACACAGGGAGGGGAACATCACACACCGGGGCCTGTCAGTGGGGTGGGGGGTTAGGGGAGGGATAGCATTAAGAGAAACATCTAATGTAGATGGCGGGATGATGGGTGCAGCAAACCACCAACCTGCATGTTCTGCACATGTATCCCAGAACTTAAAGAATAATTTTAAAGAAATAAATAAATAAAAAAGAAAAGGAGAAAGATCTAAATTCACAACCTAACTTTACACCTGAAGGAACTAGAAAAAGAAGAGAAAGTAACTGTAAAGGTAGTGTAATGAAGGAAATAAAAATTCCTTTTATGGGAATTTCCAGAGATAGGAAAACAGCAGAAAACCAACAGAGAAAATCTACGAAACCAAGAGTTGGTTCTTCGCAAAAAAATACATTTGTTAAAGTGTTAGGTTTACTAACAATAAAAAAGAGAAGACAACTACAATTACAAATGAAAATATTGATTTTACAGAAATAAAAATGATTATAAGAGAGTATTATGAACCATAGTACATCAAACAAATAACATTACTAATCATCAGCAATATGTAAATCAAAACCACACTAAGATATAGCTTCACACCCATTAGGATAGCTATCAAAAAAGGAAAATAGCAAGTGTTGGCATTAATGTAGAGAAATCAGAACCTTTGTGCACTACTACAGGTGGGAATGTAAAATGATGCAGCCACTATAGAAAATAGTATGGTGGTTTCTCAATATATTGAAAATAAAATTACTATATTAACTAGAAATTCCAATTTTGGGTATAAATTTAAAAGGATTGAAGGCAGTGACTCAAACAGATACTTGTACACTCATGTTCATAGTAGCATTATTCATAATAGCCAAAAGGTAGAATAAAACCAAGTGTCCACTGATTGATAAATAAACCACACACACACGGAGAATTATTATGGATAAAAAAAGCAGGCTCCAACTACATGCTTATACAAGAGGTTCACACTAGGTCTAAGAACAACCCTATGTTGAAAGTGAAAGGATGGTAAAAGATATTTCATGCCAATACTCAAAAGAGAGCAGGGGTACCTACACTTACTTAAAAAAAATAGATTTCAAGTCAAAAATTGTTACAATAGACAAAGAAGAACACTTTAAAATGGTTGAAATTGTATGTTTTCTATCTTACCAAAATAAAATTTAAAAAACACATATATATAATCAAAGAATATAATGTGAAATTTTACTTTCATTTGACTTGCCTTTGTTTTATTAAGCACATATTCTTGCATAATTTATGTTACATAAAAATAAAAGGACTTGTTAGAAATGGAGGCACCTCCAAGAAGATCTTAATCCAGTGATTACTTGTTCACCAGCTCTGAGGCATTTTCATTATCATAATAAATTATATAATCATTATATAATTATCTATAATTATAATATAACTATAATTATAACTAAATGAACATCTCCTAAGCAAGTATAATATGCCAGGGGCTATACATAAAGAAAAGATATTTTACTTTATTGGCTTTGTCCCTTTCTAATTTTGGCAGGACTGTGTGCCTTTATCTTTTGATGCCAAATGAGCTCCCTCTTAGAGTGTAAGATTTCTCTAAACTTTTCCTCTTCTATACCTACTTTATAAACCTTAAAAGTTTTTCAAAGTATCTTAACCCATTTTTAAAAAGGAGAGAAAGAGTAGTCATCATACTAATTTTTATCTAATTTATTTTTTAAAAAACTCCCCAAGGTATTTATATTTATAGGACTCAAAATAGATGTCCTATTAAACTGTTTTGAGATTACATAAGGAGAAAAGCACAAAAGCTTGAAGGCAAATAGAGAGAGGTTTAAAAACTTGTATAACGTGCTTTGGTGAGGGGAATCAAAGGATTGCAGATTTAATCACATGCAAAACTTTAAAGTCTAATTATAGGAGTCCATCATCTGGAGCCAAAGGCCAGAAAACTAATTCTTACTTGTAAATGTAACTGAATTGAAGCTCATTTTGCAGAAGTGTCATCTGAGCTTCATGGAGCTATGGCTGTTTCAGCCCTTTGCTCCATTCACTGTGTTGGCAAAATTCTGCAGGAATATAAAACAAATTTTGGAACTCATCAATTAGAAATCCTCCGATGCACTTTCAGAAAAGAAGAACTTCTGACCTAAAGCAATTCTAATCAGTAAAATTACATATATATATTCAATAACCAGGCTAGGCTATTAAGTATAACATATTAATGGTAAATGGAGCTCTTGAAAATATTTATAGAGAATATGTAGTTTTTCTCTGAAAATTAAAAGTTAGTCTTCTTGTTAGTATAGATAGAAATCTAAGAGAAAATATATATGCAGTAACAGTAAAGAAACCCAAAAGTTAATCTGAAAATTCATGAGACAAGAACAACAATTTTGTGAATGTATGTGTTTCATTTAATGACAGATAATAAATCATGTAGTCGAAATATTTTTGTCTGTCAATGACTTCTGCATTGCTGAAAAATTGAGCTATTCCCAAAACATGAAACTAGAAAAGCAAGAAATTCTCATTGTTCTTTAGTGAAATATAGCAGGTAGACAGTGTGAGGAAAGATTGTACAAAGTAACATTTAACCCTCAACATGTTTGGATTGTGTAGCCTTCAATAAAGGGTTTCTTATGCATTTTCTTTCTCTTTAACTGACGTATCTCAACTGCCTAAACGATGCCTGAGACATATTGGGTGCCTAATAATTACCTGTACAATGAATAAATATATTGGATATGGTTATATTATTTCAGTTACAAGCAAAATGGGTAACTTTTTGTTCTTTGGTAACAGAACTTTAGTTAGTCCCTGAAAGTGAAAGTGACTTTACATTTGCATCCCTACGGTCCTCACACTATAACAATTAATTCCAAAGCCAATGATAAAATGTCTTTGTGGAAAGAGCTGCTAGAAGTTTCTTGCAGTCAAATGCCTGAGTTTCAGACTATCCTCAACTAGTTCTAGGCACAGTAACAACAGCTAAATATTTCCCGCTAGAACTTGGGAAGACCCAAAAGTTCCTGAATAGGATCAACATTTGTGAGCCCCTTCTAGAAATTACAGTACTTCCATGCATTTAGTTGATATTTATAGACTCAGAGCTGAAAGAAATTTTTATCATAGAAGATTGTGATTATGTTTTCTAAGATTAATACTCACTCATTTCAGAGAAGTTAATACAAAAAAATAAAATTTATTATCATATTTTTATCTGTAGATAGCGATTGCAGGTAACTTAGAATTTTTCCAGGTACTGTTTTCAATTCCTGTTTTTCTTTTGCATGTATTTTGCAATTTTTATTTACCTGGGAATTAATCAAAAAGCTGTACTTTTTACAAATGTGGGAACAAATTTTTGCTATAATTGAGTGTAATCCATGAAAGGGGGAAACACTGAGCTGAGCAGGTCTATGACATGGTCTGGAATAATACCCACTCAGAGAAAACAAAAAGTAGGAGTAGAGTAGTAGAGCATGAAAATGATTCTAAACCAAGGTTATGTATATCTTAATCCATACAGATGGTCCTCAAGTTAATCGTTGTTGACTTTAAGATGGTGCAAAAATGATCCATATTCAATAGAAATTGTATTTTGAGTACCCAAACAACCATTCTGTTTTTCACTTTCAGTACAGTTTTCAATAAATTACATGAGATATTCAACACTTTTTTATAAAATAGCTTTGTGTTAGATGATTTTTCCCAGTTGTAGACTAAAGTAAGTGTTCTCAGCACGTTTATGGTAGCAATAGGGAAAGGAGGCAGAGAAATTCTAGGCGAAAAGCATGGGGTCCCTGGCAAAGTCCTATCCTCAAGCCTCGACCTGTGGCCCAGAGTGAGAACATGCATTCCTATTTTCCTGCTAGAATGTTGCCTTTTCCAAAACTACCCATGGCCTGCCCTTCCCCTCATCCTGTACCCATAAAAACCCTGACCCAGGGGACAGATGCAGTGGCTCATGCCTGTAATTGAAGCACTTTGAGAGGCTAAGGCAGGCGGATCACTTGAGGTCAGGAAAAAAAGACAGCCTGGCCAACATGGTGAAACCCTGTCTCTACTAAAAATATAAAAATATTAGCCAGGTATAGTGGTGTGCACCTGTAATCCCAGTCAGTCAGGAGGCTAAGGCAGGAGAATCGCTTGAACCCAGGAGCCAGAGGTTGCAGTGAGCCAAGATTGTGCCACTGCACTCCAGCCTGGATGACAGAGCAAGACTCCATCTCAAAAAAAAAAAAAAAATCCCTGACCCAACTGTCAGAGAGCAGAGGAGGGGAGAAGAGGAGGGGAGAAGAGGAGAGGCAGCTGGACATCAGAACTGTGGTTGGACGTTGGAGAGAAGCAACTTGACTTCAGAGGGACAGCTTAACAGTGTTGCTTTGGAGTGGAGTTTGGCCTGGATGGCTGGACTCCAGGGGAAGATCACCTTCCTGCTCCATCCCCTTTCCAGCTCCCCTTCCCGCTGAGAGCCACTTTCATCAGCAATGAAATCCTCTGTATTCACCACCCTTCAATTCATTCATATGACCTGATTTTTCCTGGATGCTGAACAAGAGTTCAGGTGCCACAGGTGCAGACACTAAAGACTGCCACACTGACCCTCTGCCCTTATGAAAAGGCAGAGGGCCCACTGAGCTGTTTAACACTTAAGCCATCTGTGGATGGCAAAGCTAAAAGAGCACTGTAACACACACCCTCTGGGGCTTCGGGGGTCATAGGAACTCCCCCCAGAAGCTGCTGTTGGGCACCACACAGAGTTTTGCTCCTGCCAGCACCCAAAAGCACTGCTCCGGCTCCTGCACACACTCACCTGCGCGCTTACTCTCCCATAAGGGGTTGAGAGCTGCCGGCTGAGTAAGTGAGACACCCTTGTTGGAAAGCCTGCAAACAGGACAAGAAAAATTTCCTGTTTAAGTAGTCTAGGCTAAACTATGGTGTTTGGTATATTAGATGTATTAAATGAATTTTCAACTTTATGATATTTTCAACTTAGCTTGGGTTTACTGGAACATAACCCTATCATAAGTGGGCATGTATATATTTAAAAATACTGATATCACACCGTGATAATTAATGCAAACTTGTTTTGTGGTCATGAGTCTTTGAATTCCTTTGAGTGTATTGGTGGAAATTCTAATAAAAGAATATTCTGCTTTGAATTTTACTTAAATTCATATTTAGTGTATTGCCTTTTTTTTTTTTTTTTTTGAGATGGAGTCTTGCTTTGTCACCTAGGCTAGAGTGCAGTGGCACAATCTCGGCTCACTGCAAGCTCCGCCTCCCGGGTACACACCATTCTCCTGCCTCAGCCTCCTGAATAGCTGGGACTACAGGCACCCGCCACCACACCCGGCTAATTTTTTTTTTTTGTATTTTTAGTAGAGATGGGGTTTCACCGTGTTAGCCAGGATGGTCTCGATCTCCTGACCTCATGATCCACCCACCTCGGCCTCCCAAAGTGCTGGGACTACAGGCGTGAGCCACCGCGCCTGACCCTTTTCTTTTAAAACAAAGTTGTAATACTTAACTAGCTACATAGTATGTACTTTGGGTTAACATAATCAATAATATAGTGTAGGTGGTACATTCAAATCTTTCATTATGTTTCTTCTTAACTTTTAAAATAGGTTGTACTTGATGCCACACTGCTTGGCATACAGTAGTTTCATATGTCTTTGAAGATTATTGGTTTGACTTCAGTTTTCTTTTTTAAAAAAAAGTTAGTTAGATTCTCTATAGCAAGAATAAGACTGAAATAAATAAACCAGCTCTGAAGGAAGAATAAGAAGCAGTAAATACTCTTTGAGTAATAGACGCTATTAAAAATAGCAAAATAACTTTTATTTTCACATTGATGGAGTTGAATACGCATCCCTGCCCAGGGCTGGGAAACTTCAGGACACTGATACTTGTTTTCATTATGAAAGCTAAATTAGCTTTTCTGTGATACACGGTAGAACAACTGCATTGTTCCAAGGCCTTCTTTCACAGATTGCTTCAGGCCTCAAACTCGAGTTAATGGTGACTTGTAGAACAATAGCTCTGACCATTAATAGGGTTGATAATTTCACTTGAGCAAAAATTCATAAGGAGATAGACTATCAGAATATAGGAATTTTGAAAGGCCACAAAAGGTATGACATAGATGCTGGGCACCCCAGAATATGAGAAAGGCTGCCTTGAGCATTTTATTTAATTAAAAAAGTATATAACTTTAGAAAATAAAGTTGCTTACATAAAGTAGATTTATAAACATATACTTATGAGAAAAAAAGTGAAAAAAAATGGAATAATGCCTAAATAATGAACGTCAATAGAAAAAAAAAGTATTTTCTTCCCAAAAGAAGGGAAGAAAAACATCAGTTTAGACAAGAGAAAAGGAAAAAGGAAAATAAAAAACTTCAGAGATACATACAGTCAAGAAAAAGAGAAAAGGAAAAAGGAAAGTAAAAAACTTCAGAGATACATACAGTCAAGAAAAAGAGGCCTTCAGCAAATAAGCTTTCTCTAACTTCAGCCTTAATATAGGCACAAACTGAGATTTAAGAGAAAATTAATGTTCCTTACTTTGAAACTTTTTTTCTGAATCAAAGCCTAAAAATTGAAAATTGAAAATGAGATAGTGTGGGCTGGCATGACGAGTCAGTAACTATAACCTGTGGACCAAATCATACAGTCTATTTTTGTTTGTGTGTGTAAATTAAATTTTATTAGAACACAATCACGATCATTCATTTGCATGCTGTCTTATCTACAGCTTCTTTTATAACACAATGGTTGAGTAGTCGTAACAGAGAACAGACGGCCTGCAAAGCCTAATGTATTTACTATGTGGTAGCTTATAGGAAAAAAACGTACTGACCCCTGGCCGAGAGCATCAGGACACCATTCTTAGAGAAAGTAATCTTCAGTGTGTTCTGAAGTATAGGTTAAAAAATAACACACACACAGAAAACAGATTTATTGAATAATGATTTTATACTTCACGTTGTAATACCTTTCCATATGCTTACAAAAAGTCATGAGATAGGTGCCATTCTCATTTAAGAAATTAGGTAACTGAAGCTCAGGGACATTTAATCTGCAAACCGTAGCACAGTCCATGGCCTGTACACACAGCACACACTGTTGTGGGGGTCGTGTATTACACAAGCATGCCACAGTTTAAGGAGCTGCCATTCATTCACAAATATAATGTATTTATATATTTGTTGCAACAATTATTTGATAGATAGCAATGACATGTATGTTCCAACGAAATCAGTATGACAGTTGGAAGTAAAGCATATTGAGATAGGATGCCTTTATCTTGAATTCACATGAAGATTCCATCTGGGCTACTGATAATAATTCACAATATGATAATATGAAGTTTATTTAATGAATTAGCATATTAGGTTAGAATGAAAAATCAGGTAAAAATGTAAATAAAAGCTTTTAATCAGCAGTGAACCTGATGTGTATTTTTTCAGTTTTCTCCACACTGAAGTGATATCACAGAATTGAGATAAAAATTAACATATTAAAACTAAAGACACCCTATGTTTTGCAACATAAGATTGCTACTGATTCTTAATGGAGACTGCCTTATGCATACCTGGATTCTTGTGGTGCTATTAGAATGGAAATTTTGTAGCAACATTAATAACTGAGAATCTCTGTGACACATGTATCTCACCTAGAGCTGGTTTCCTTTTTATGTTAAATGTGCTGCTTACATTTTAATGTTTAGAATCATACAATTCAGCACTAAATATACAGACCAAATATCTGTAGTAAATAAAACCCTTTGGAGACAGTGTACCTACTTCTAAAAATGAAGCCAACCTTGTCATATTGTTAGCTTTTAAGGTCACTGTATTTTAACACTGTTAGCATTTTCACAAATTCTAATAAAAAAATCCTGGAAATAAGTCTAACTTTTAACACACACACACACACACACACACACACACACACAGAGAGAGAGAGAGACACACACACAGATATAGATATAGATATAGATATAGATATAGATATAGATATAGATATGCATATTACCAAAATAGTTTCTAACTGAATATTTAATAACTTTGCTGTTTCGGAATTGTTTCTTTTCCTTCAGTAAATTTGAAAATACTGTTGTAGTGATAAGAACACATTTAGTAAACAAATGTAAGAATAGATGTGAGAGGTTCTAAATGTAGGTAGAAAGCAGCACAAGTGAAGGAGCATTTATTGAAACTGGGGTATTTCACAGCCGGGTTGATATCGCACCTGAATTTTAGAGAGCAGTTAGGTTTGAAACTGATAAAACGGGAAGAAAGCAAGTAGCTTATCTAGGGCAGAAAACTTCTGGGGAGATAACCAGCTCAGAATTCCCAGCAGGTATTACGGAATGTGAGTCCTGGAGAAGTCAGCAAACGGATGGACAATTGGGAAACTTTCTCTGTGAAGAAACGAAAAACGCTGTGCATAAATAAGATTGGTGAAGATAACTGTGCTGGAAAAGATAAACAAGTGCAGAATATTAGAGCAAAAACTGTGTTAGGGAGTAGGAAAAAGCTGAGAAGACAGCAGTAAAAGCAGGAGGAGTACAAGAGCACATCGTGAGAGAGTGCAGGATTTCCAGGAAGTGTTGACAGTGTCACATGTTCCAGAGGAGAAAAAGAGGAGGAATGGCAAAGGCTGATTGACTTTGTCAGCTACTTACTTTAAAAAACATTTGAGAAAGCCAGAAAGCAGAGGGGAGGAAGCTCCACCGTCATGAGAATGGGAAGCAGAGGCAGCGGCAGCGTGCACAGACATCCTTTGAAGGTTTGTTATAAACACAGAAACTGATGTCTGGGAAAAGGTAAGAGTTCTTAAAATTTTTTTGTTGTTGTTTTTCTGTGTGTATGTGTGTGTGTTTACATTGGGACACAGGTGAAATTTGAACATGCTTATTAGCCAAATTGCCTCAGCAAGATAAAATTAAAGATATAAGAGACTGGGAATAGCTGATGTCAGAAAATACTGAAGATACTGTAGATAAAAACAGCTAAAAAAAACAGTAAGAGCATATTGACCAAAATTTTAAAGAAATATACTTAAGGCCTGGAATAAATACATTTGCACAGTATCTGAAATGACACCTCCTTGAACATAACAGAGAGAAAGAGTTATGGAGATTCTTCCACGTGTTTTTTAATTGCTCAAAGAGTAATTTTTTTCCTTTATACAATTGACTTCCAAAAATACAACAAAACAAAAACAAACAAAACATCCATACAAACGTATGTCAGTAGTAGCTCAGGCACACCCTCTACCATTTAGAAATAGGGTTTCCAAATAACCATCTGATCTTTTCCACACTTTGGTCTGAGATGCTTCTCAGTTTCAACATTTAATCATACTGTAAGTGGGATGGATTTGAGTATTAAAATTTACATTGAATATAGGAACTATTTCAGTTGTGTATGGGGGTGTAGTAATAGAATGAGGAGGTCCTTAGAGAAAACAATATACAAAATCACAGAGGAAAATTAAATTAATCTTATGATAGGTCAAATTTATAATGTAGCAGAATTGTATTTTTATATATTCTGCTTTCATTTTATGATTCACTGGGGCCTGTGAATTATCAGAGTATATAGTACATTTATGTTCATTGAACAGAACACCAAGCATAATTTTATCATTTAAAATTATTGCACAAATTCGTAGTTGTATGTTACTTTCAGACATATTTTCAGTCATGTCTATGATTTATTAAATGCTTGGTCTACCATATAACATCAAATTATAACATTGTTCCTATGAGAAAATATAAAATTTTTATAACAATCTGCTGTACAGTAAGGTTTCTCAGAATACATTGTGGAGACAAATGAGAACTTCCCTATAGCAGTTTTATGAACTATACTTGGCATAGATTTATGGTTTAAGGATAAACTGTCCCTGGTGAATATTTAGTAGCTTATGTAAACCTGATTTTGAAATGTTGAGATACATATTATCTTCTTAACCACAACATTTAAAGCCCTGTTTCAGGACTACCTCTCTGACACAGACTCCACTCTGTGCTCATCTTCTGATTGGTAACAGTTTCATAAAGATGCCCCACCTGCCTTATTCTTTGGACACTTCAATGTATCCTGCATTGCATTTTGACTATACTGCTCTAGCCTTTCTTCAGAATACCACCGATGTTGTATTCTTTATATATGGAGACCAGTTTTGTTAGAGTTAAAGAATGTGCATTACACTGTTTTTAGAAAAGGCAATTCCCCCAGACATACACACACACACACACACACACAATAATAATAATGTGGTGGCACATTAATTAAATCATGGCTGTAGGTGAAATTTATTTAGGAAGAGATAAACCCAAGATTATGCTGAGTTCACAGCACTTACACATACTCTAGAGAAAAGTAAAATCACTAAGCAAAATGATGAACCTGAGTCATGAAGCAAAGGTTTAAGTATGTTCATTACAATGATCACAACAGGATATTAATTTGAATATATTTTTATTTGTTCCCTCTACAGGCATGAAATATTTTGAATATTTTTAAAAGGCTATTACTGTAGTACAGAGTTGTTATATTAATACTATGGTTACATAGAAAATTAAGTTATTTAGAAGACTTCGGGTACAAAACCACATTAGATTACAAGAGTACTATCCTACAAATATTTATATTTAAGATATTTGTCACAACAGAATCTTAAAGTGTGATTCTAATTGTAAAGAAATCTTGTTAGCAAATATCCAAAGATCTAGGTTTAAAATGGAGTGATTGACGGAGAATGAAGATATCATCATAAAACCCTTACACTGCCCTCAATGGATCACTAGAGAAAAAGTTATCATAGCTAGAGTCTGACCTTATGCTGCTATAAAACTGATATATATTTCAAGATAATACTGCTCTCAGTTGGTTTAGCAACCAGATCTTCTTAGCCTTTAGCATTAGAACATTATATGAATAGACATTTAAACCCTCTTAAACATGATATTCAAATTGTTCTATCAGTTGTATCAAATACTTAAATAATGTAGAGGCTACTACATATAATAATATGTTCTGTTACTCTAGAAATTTTTCTAAAGTCTATCACTCCTAAAATAGCATTAATGGAAAATAGCATCCAATGTTTAATAGATGTTTTTCTGAGAGAGGATCCTAGAGAATTTCTATGAAAATGTGTGTTTTAGTACAAGTAATTTTTTTTCTCTCTAGCAGAATCGTTGTAGTTTCTAAATATAAAGGCACTGAAATCAATGAGGGAAACTTATTTACATAGCTATATTAATGCTCTAGATTGGAAATATCAGACTCACTAGCAGTATGTTTATGTTATTTATTCAACAAATATATACCCATTACTGTTCTGAACATTGGAGATACAATGACAAGCAAAAGTGACATGGTTTCTCCTTCACTCAGTATGTAGTTTGTAGGAGTTATGAAGAAAATGAAAAACACAAAATACAGTGAGTTTATTGCTACTTTATGGGTAAGAGAAGAGTAATATTGGGAAAGCAATAGAAAGAGATAACAAACATTAAACTTTTGAAACCTAAAAACAACTATAACCGCAGAGTAAAATGTTAGTGCGGATGGTGGAAAAGAAGGGGTTAATGACAAGGATACCAGAGAAGCAATCAAGGGCTTTGCAAGTCTTAAAGACTTTGGACTTTTTTATTTGGGAAAATTGTGTGCAAAGGCTGTTTGAACCTATCAATCAGAATTAACCAACCTCCTTTTGATGGTGTTGGGGCTTCTTTGGTGTGTTTTTTCATTTGTCTTTTTATGTGTTTTAATGAAGTCTTTATGTTATTATTGCTAAGAATCATGGTAGAAATACGGTGGGCTAGTCATTGGATTTGAATTCAGGAATGTACAGTCCTAATTTCATAACTGATCTTACCTAGATAACGTTTTGGTTGATTAACCTGTAAAAAGAGTTATGCTATGTTCTCTAATTGTAGGAGATTCCGAAAGCAAAATTAACAACACTATTCTTCCAAAGTGCTAATAACTTGGTAAAAGAACAGTATAATAAAGTGAAGATTCACGTAAAGTATTCTATTAAATGATGAATATTGATCAAAGAAAATGTTAGGTGAAAATGTAGCAAGTATGCCATAGAAATCTGTCCCCATCTAACAGAAAAGCAGCACAATTGTAATTTCTGTTGATGTAAAAGCTATAAGATGTTTATTTACTATATGTCTAATGGATCTGTGTTTTGGTTTTCCACTTATTCAATAACCTTTGTCTTTTTTTTAAACGTGCAACATTTTTAGGCATCTATAAATTGTATGCCCCAAAATAGAGAAAATAATTTAATTTTTTAAATAATGCAACAAAACATAACTTTTCTACCATGTCAATATGCATTAATATTTTTCATAAATGTTGAAAATACTTTAATAAAACAATAATTACTTCTGTAATTATATAGAGAAAATATATAGAGATTATTCCTAAAAGAAAAAATTATATCTATTAAATTACACTCTTGTAGTTTATTTAATTGAGTAAATGTGCTACAGAACAATGAGTAGTTGAATAATTGGTAGTCAAAGTTTAATTCTTGTCCAAGCTCTACTTTTTTTTTTTTCTTGAGACGGAGTTTTTCTCTTGTTGCCCAGGCTGGAGTGCAATGGCGCGATCTCGGCTCACCGCAACCTCCGCCACCCAGGTTCAAGCAGTTCTCCTGCCTTTGTCTCCCGAGTAGCTGGGATTACAGGCATGCACCACCACGCCCGGCTAATTTTGTATTTTTAGTAGAGACAGGGTTTCTCCATGTTAAGGCTGTTTTCGAACTCCTGACCTCAGGTGATCCGCCCGCCTCGGCCTCCCAAAGTGCTGGGATTACAAGCGTGAGCCACTGTGCCCAGCCCAAGCTGTACTTTTATTTAAGTATAATTTAGTTAGATATGTGAACTCACTGAAAATGTATACACAATTTTCTGTGTATGTATAAAATTTGATATTTAAATGTATTTATGGCAAGAGTATCTGTAACTTTTATGAACATATCAAGTGGACATGATCACAAAACATGCAATTTATTACCATAGAGCTTCAGAAATACCCCTTCCAAAAAGTATGTATAATGATATGATACTTACAATGGAGGCAACTATGATATTTAACTGTCAGTAAACTGAAAGAAAAAAATGACTCAAAAAGTTTGTAAAGATGATACCTTTCTCTACAAGTTTAGGCAAACACTTCAATTTTTAAACATTTTTTAACCTAATTTTGTTGCTATGGTATTTTATTTTCACTACTTAATTATTGGGTGCCACGTAATACCTCAAATGAACAAATTATCACTAAAATTAAAAAGGTAGTTGACTAGATAGGTATCCTGTAGGAAGAAAATAGGTCCCCTCAGAATAAATGAGAACTCACTGTACTTTTTAATTCTTTTCAAAAATGAAGGGGAAACAATGGTGTTCCAAGAAAAACAAAGATTCAAGGAATAAATAAAAGAAAATAAATAAAAATATTTTCAGAAAAGTTTGAGAGTATTTGTTGCCAGCAGGAATATATTAAAAAGAAAAAACTAAAATATGTGTTTCAATTAGAAAGAAAACTATTCCACATAGAAATGTAAAAATGTAAAAAGGAATAAAAAGCACTGAAAAGAGTAACTATATAAATATAAATTACTATTCATGTTAATAAATAATTATTACAGTTTCCTATGATGGCCAAAATATGTACATTGATATACATGTTCATGAAATGCAAGAGGTGGGTGCGGAGTTGATAGAGCTTAACAGTTTTAAAGATGCTAACGGTATTGTGAGAATGGTCAAAATATTCGTTTGTTTTAAACTCCATAATACATCAAAATGCATGCTGTAATATCTATAGGAAAAGGTAGAAGCATAGTAAGAAATTAATAAGACAAAATTAATTAAATCAAAAATGGAATAAAAAGAACACAGAAGAGGTAGGTCAAAGAGAAAATAAAAAGTGAGATATCAGCAATACCAATAAATATAAATGGATTAAATATGCTACATAAAACACTAAGATTATTGGCCTTAAAAAAAGCAATTTGTTGTCTTAAAAATTACAGTTGTATTCAGAAATATTGAAATTGAGTGAAAAATAACATAACAAAAAATTTATCTATATACATTAATATCATGAAAATTCAATTTTAAGGTAAAACAAATAGCATTAAGAAAGAAAGAGATGTATATTTTATAATGGCAAAGGTGTATAATTGAATGATTGTATTGGTAACCTCAACTGTGCATTTCCACCAGTATCCATGTCCTTTGCTGTGACTGTGAAATTCATTTAACTAATTTGTTCGAGTATATTTTCCCAGCCCTAAATTTGGGCTTACTGCTATTAATTGTCTTAGCCAAAAATAATGTTAGCAGCTTTAACATAAATAAAACCTTGATGAAGTGTTTGTGGGTTTTGGATTTCTCTTTTGCTTGTCTGTGATAGTCAGAAGAATATGCCCAAACTATCCTTCTGGAAAGAATTTAGAAACATGTGGCTAAAAGAAACACATGGGAAGAGATAAGTTGTCCAAACTAAGACTGTAATAGTCCAGCCAATAGTCAGACAGCTTCCAAAGAAGGAGGCAAGAGAGTGGGAGTGAGAGAACAGCCAAGATCAATAAACTAACCTACATGCTGCTGACTAGCATTGTGGTAGTGAACTGAGAAATGAATACAATCACCACTCAGCCCACTTGTAGACAGATAAAGAATAATATGTTCACTTGTTAAGCCACTGCATTTAGAAACATTATTATATAAAACAGATAACTGATACAGAAACTGGTATCAGAAGAGGAGTGATATCATAACAAAATTTAAAATATGTACTGGTTTTAGTACTTGACAGTGGACAGAGCTGAAAAAAAACTAGCAAGAAAATTGATAGGAAAGGCTAGAAAATGGTAAGAAAATTACTGAAGACCAGAAACATTACAGCCTGTGTTGGGCAGTAGTGAAATGACCATAGAACAATCATGTGCATTAAATTAGAATATAGAAAAATATACCTAGTGAACAGTTGGTTAGGACCAAAACAAAACATATTTCTAATGGAATGTTGACAGGGTCAGTTGGCCCGTAAAAGCTACATATGATAAGCTGTACTAGAACATACAGAGATGAATTTACAGAATTTATAAAGCAAAGAGAACTTGATATGTTAGATATGAAAATGTAATCTCCAAACATTCCAGAGAGCAAAAGCTTCTCAAAAGAAAATATAGAATGCAATTGCATTTAAAATAAAGGGTATGGCAGTAAAAGACTTGTGAATTAATTAAGGTAGATACCATCTCAAATATGCAATGCATAGGATACTATCTCAGTTTCAAAAATCTAGAGAACATTGTGATATAGCAGCTTATTATGGGCAAAGTGATCATGTATCTAGGAAGAGTAGCATATTTGTTAGGGAATTGTAGGAGTGGATTTTGGTTAATGGTGTTGAATGAAGTCAATTTTATTGGAAACCCGCAAAGTTTCTAAGGGAGTTTAATTGTCAAAAATGCCTCCAGCCTGGATTTAAATGGACTGATGTTGCTCAAAATGCAAAAACAAAAGCTCTCTGCCGTATCTTTCTATAGGCAGAAAGGAGAATGTAAAAGTTGATTAAGTCACAAATTTTCCAGTGTCCTTTCAGAAGTAGTTAAGGAGAAGAATAAAAATAAAATGAATGTCCAAAAAACCAGAACCAAGAAATGTGGAGGAAAATGATTTGTAGGTCTACTCTCAATTATTATAATTAAGTCCTAAATAAAATATTCCAAAATTCGGAATATCTGCCAACATTTTCCAAGCTAGATTTCAGAATACCATTGAGACAGTGACAGCTATATGGCCGTTGTTCTCATTCTTGAGTAGAAAATTAGTAAAATTTTCTACAATAAATGCATCAGGTAGTTATCTTTCTTTTGCACCATTGAAGTTACAGGTGGTGGGGGGGTCCAGATAACATCCCTCTTTCATCAAAAATTCTGCAGAATATAAGGAGCTACACAAAAGGAACCACATACGTGGATTTGAGGTTGATCAGAAGATCCTGAATTATGAATTTGATGTAACTGAATGAAATGTGAGGAGGGATCAAGGCGAGAAATGAGCATGTTTTCTACATGGAAGTTTTCTGAGTCATTATGGCTGGGGACTGACTTGTGGTTTATTACATTTTTGATTGATCACCAAAAACTTAAGCTCTATGTTTATATTTGCCCTTTGTCTTATGCTTTTGCAGTTTTCTCACTAAAGAGATGGAGTCAATTTTCCCATACGCTGAATATAAGCTTTGCCACATGACTGCCTGTGTTAGTCATCAATTTATGGTCCCTTAGCTCCAAATTCACCCTCAGTACCTACTCTGCAATATCATTGTATTTATTTCTCCTTTTCAGTAAGCATGATGTTTTGTTAGGAGAGGTCACTAGAAAGACAATGTAGGAAGAAAAAGCGTGCTCTTCTAAGTTTGAGTTGAGTTTTCTGTATTTTTATTTTTCTTGCTCCTGCTTTATGATCTATCTATCTGTGGCCATAAATGTGTGGACATCTGCTGGGTCTCTGCCCCAGCCGATGTCCAGAGTGGTAGTCCCTCAGTGGTCCTATGACTCTGGCCTGGCCTGGTGACTTCTCGGGGTCCCCAGTGCAGACACCACATGTTCCAAGCCTCCTAGTAGCACCCTGCTCTCCCTATGTGCCTTTATCTTGTCTGCAGGAGAGAGCTGTATTTCTCACAGCTCTCCTGATATAAATATTGCATGCTCCCAGCCTCATACCCACAGAAGCACCCTGTGCAATCTCCCACCAGCCTAGGTTTACCTGCATCCTGGAAGGTTGCTTCCAGGGGCCCTCCTAACATGGAAATCACATGCTTCAGGCTTCATGCACACAGCAGTGACATGATTCTATGTGCCCACTTGCTAGCCTCAGCTCTCTGTTGCCCTAGTTGCTTACTCTTCATGGCCTCCTCTATATGAACTTTGTGTTCTTTTTTTGTGTTTGCCAACGATAGTGACATTCCAACTCTCATTGCATACCTACCCCCAAGTCTCAGCTCACCTTCACGTGCATGAAAGTTATAGCCTGATTACCAGGTGACTGAACTAACTCTGGAAGATGTCATCAGTGTGTGTTACTGTCATCAAGTAAGCTAAAGCCGCAGCTTCTCTAATGAGATTGGACCCCTAGCCTTGGAAGAACACCACCCTCTATTATGTTTTCCCTCCTTTATTGATCTTCTCACAACCCTGGAGCACCTATTAACTATCTTTACATCTTTATAGGTTGTTCTCCTAATATAGCTTCATAATTATTTATATTAAACTTCTTCTACTTAAATAATGGTGTCATCTCTTTTTCCTGATTGGGTACAGACTGACAAACTTGCTTTGGCTAAAAGGATATTAGCAGATTTATTGAAAGCAAAGGCTTGAAAGAGTATCGTGTGCTTCTAATTTCTTCCTGGTTTATGTTTGTGTGTGTGTGTGTGTGTGTGTGTTGGGCCGAGGGACCACAGTTAGAATATTTCAAGAAGGCTACCAGACAACATGATAGGAGAGACTTGTGAACGTGAAAAACACATGAAGGGGAGCACAGTTTTTATGCAACTTATGAGAGCGCTAAGCCAAGCTTGGAAGAATTGCCTAAGTGTCCCCAGCGAATTGCAGTTGCATCTGTGAATCTATCTTTGACCAAAAGATTTGCCCAGTCAGTCCACTGACTTGTAATAAATATATAGCTCCTTATTGTTTTGGCTACCAGATTTGTGTCGTTATTATAAAACACTGTGTCAAAAGATAACTGCCGCAAAGGGCCAACATATCTGGAAAGTATCATAATCCTAAATCTGTATAAGACCATTAATCAAGCTTCAAGATGAATAAAGCAATAGTAAACAGAATTAAAGGAGAAATTTTTTAAAAGCCCAACTCTATATAGGTCAATCTAATGTAAAGAATCCACAAAGAAAAATAATCTCAGTGTAAAATGGCAAAAGAAAAAAACTGAACAGGATGTCACTAAAGATTATCGAAACATGGAAAGTTGCTCAGCACTATAATTGTCAGCGAAATGCAAACTAAAAGCACGATGCTCTATTACCACATGTACATCATAATGGCTAAAGCAAAATAGCGATCATAATGGCTAAAACAACATACCCTTCCAGTTATTTATTGCAGCAGAATGAACTACCCCAAAACTTAATAGATTAAAGCACTTCAATTTTATATCTCATTATCTCTTTCTCATTAAATTTCTGTTTCCTTATTTCTATCTCATGATGTCATGTGTCAAGAATCCAGCAGCCTTACACTGGTGATTCTTCTGTCACAGCCTTGTTGGAAATCATTAGCAGTATTCAAGACTAGTCTAGTGGGTGGGCTGGTGGGCAATACTCAAGACAACTTCATTCATGTGACAGACATCTAAAAAATGTTCTAGAAGGCTGGGACCATACTGTCAACAAGACCTCCAGCACATGATCTCAGGGTGGTCAGACCATTTCCATCGGGGCGTGTAGCTCTAAACAAGGGGATCTCAAGATGCACAAACAGAAAGCACAAGGTTTGGGTTTTTCATAATTTCTAATTAGCCATGAAAGTCCTACAACTTCAATTCTGTTGCAGTCTGCTGGGCCAAGAAATTTATCAAGGCCAGAGCTGATTGAAAGGGAAGAGAATCAGACTCTCCTTCTCAAGGACAAGGAACAAATAATTGCCAGCTATTATTAGCCTACACAAACACAAGTACTTTTGAGGAGTGGAAATAAACTGTTAGTGGGATTGTAAAATCATACACAAGCATACATCCGAGATATGTGGGTTCAGTTACAGACTACTTCAATAAAGCCAGTATCATAATAAACCAAGTCACATAAATTTTTTAGATTTCCCAATGGGTACAAAAATTATATTACGCTATGCTGTAATCTAAAAATGTGCAATAGAATTATGTCTTGAAAGAAACACGTACAGACCCTAATTTTAAAATATTTTATTGCTAAAAAATGCTAATAGTCATCTGAGTCTTCACCTAGTCATAATCTTTTACTGGTGGAGGATCATGCCTAGATGTTGATGGCTGCTGACTAATTAGAGTGCTGTTTGATGAAGGATGGGATGGCTGTCACAATTTCTTAAAGTAAGACAACAATAAAGTTTGCCACATTGATTAACTATTGCCTTTATGAAATATTTTTCTACAGCTTACAGTCCTGTTTGATAGCATTTTACCCACAGTACAACTTCTTTCAAAATTGGAGTCAATCCTTTCAAATTCTGCCACTGCCTTTATCAACTAATTTTATGTAATATTCTAAATCCTTGTTATTTCAACAATGCTCACAGCATCTTCACCAGGAGATCTGATCTCATGAACAACTTTCTTTGTTCATCTATAAGAAGCAATCCTTATCCATTCAAGTTTTATCATGAAATTGCAGCAATTCAGTCACATCTTCAGGCTCCACTTCTAGTTCTAGTTTTCTTACTATTTCGATCGCATCTGCAAAAACTTCCACCACTGAAGTCTTGAACCCCTCAAAGTCAACCATGACAGTTGGAATCAATTTCTTAAAAATTCCTATCTCTTTTTTTTAATTGTTCTTTAAGTTTTAGGGTACATGTGCACAACGTGCAGGTTTGTTACATATGTATACATGTGCCATGCTGGTGTGCTGCACCCATTAACTCATAATTAACATTAGGTATATCTCCTAATGCTATCCCTCCCCACTCTCCCCACCCCACAACAGGCCCGGGTGTGTGATGTTCCCCTTCCTGTGTCCATGTGTTCTCATTGTTCAGTTCCCACCTATGAGTGAGAACATGTGGTGTTTGGTTTTTTGTCCTTGCGATAGTTTGCTGAGAATGATGGTTTCCAGCTTCATCCATGTCCCTACAAAGGACATGAACTCATCATTTTTTATGGCTGCATAGTATTCCATGGTGTATATGTGCCACATTTTCTTAATCCAGTCTATTATTGTTGGACATTTGGGTTGGTTCCAAGTCTTTGCTATTGTGAATAGTGCCGCAATAAACATGTGTGTGCATATGTCTTTATAGCAGCATGTTTTATAATCCTTTGGGTATATACCCCTATTAATCTTGATATTTTGACCTCCTTCCATAAATTGTGAATGTTCTCGACATCTAAAGTGGTGAATTCTTTTCAGAAGGTTTTCAATTTACTTTGCCCAGATCCATCAAAGGAATCACTATCTATGGCAGCAACTGCCTTACAGAAAGTATTTCTTAAATAATAAGACTTCATAATCTAAATTACTCCTTCATTCATGGGCTGCAGAATGAATGATGCGTTAGCAAGCATTAAAACATTTATCTCCTTGTACATGTTCATCAGCGCTCTTGGGTGACCAGGTGCATTGTCAATGAGCAATAATCTTTTGAAAGCAATCTTTTTTTTCCTAGCAGTAAGCCTCAACAGCGGGCTTAAATTATTCAGTAAACCACGCTGTAAATAGATGTACTGTCATCCAGGCTTTGTTCTTCCATTTCTGGAGCATAAGCAGAGTATATTTAATGTAATTCTCAGGGGTCCTAGGATTTGGGGAATAGTAAATGAGCATCGCCTTCAAGTTAAAGTCACCAGTTTCATAACCCCAAACAAGAGAGTCAGTCTGTCCTTTGAAACTTTGAATCCAGCCCTTGACTTGCCCTCTCTAACTATCAAAGCCCCAGATGGCATCTTCTTCCTGCAGAAGGCTGTTTCATTTACATTCAAAATCTGTTGTTTAGTGTAGCCACCTTGATCAATTTTCTTAGCTAGATATTCTGGATAATTCACTGCTGCTTCTCCGTCAGACCTTGCTGTTTCACCTTGAACTTTTATATTATGGAGATAGTCCTTTTCTTAAACCTCATGAACCAACCTCTGCTTGCTTCAAAGTTTCTTCTGTAGCTTCCCCACCTCTCTTGGCCTTCACAGAATTTAAGAGAGTTAGGGCCTTGCTCTGGATTAGGCATTGGCTTTAAGAGAATGCTATGGTTGGTTTGACCTATCCAGACCTCTCAAACTTTCTGCATATCAGCAATAAGACTCATCATTCATATGTCCATTGGATTATCACTTTTAATTTCCTTCAGGAACTTTTCCTTTGTATTCACAACTTGTATTCACAACTTGGCTAACTATTTGGCCCAAGAGTCTTAGCTTCCAGCCTATCTCAATATGCAACATACCATCATCACTAAGCTTAATCATTTCTAGCTTTTGATTTCTAAGCTTAATCATTTCTAGCTTTTGATTTAAAGTCAGAGTTGTGCAACTCTCCCTTTCACTTGAACACTAGAGGCCATTATAGGGTTATTAATTGGCCTAATTTCAGTATCTTTGTGTCTCAGGGAAGGCCCCCAAAGAAAGACAGAGATGGGAGAAAAGCCAATTGATGGAGCAGTCACAACACATACATCTATCCATTAAGTTTGTCATCTTATATGGGCACAATTTGTGGCACCCAAAAATAATGGCAATATTAACATCAAAGATCACTAATCACAGATCATAGCATATATAATAACTTAAAGGTTTTAAATATGGCAAAAATTACCAAAATGTGACACAAAGACATGAAATGAGTGCTTGTTGTTTAAAAAAAAATGGCACCAATAGACTTGTTAGATGCAAGGTTGCCACAAACCTTCCATTTGTAAAAAAACACAGTATCTGGCCAGGTGCGGTGTCTCACGCCTGTAATCCCAGCACTTTGGGAGGCCAAGGTGGGCAGATCACCTGAGGTCAGGAGTTCGAAACCAGCCTGGTCAACATGGAGAAACCATGTGTCTACCAAAAATACAAAAAATTAGCCGAGTGTGGTGGTGCACGCCTGTAATACCAGCTACTCAGGAGGCTGAGGCAGGAGAATCACTTGAACCTCAGAGGCGGAGGTTGCAGTGAGCCGAGTTCATGCCACTGCATTTCAGCCTGGGCAACAGAGAGACACTCTGTCTCAAAAATAATAATAATAGTAATTAATTAAATAAATGAAAACACAGTATCTGAGAAGCACAATCAAATGAGGTATGCCTGTGATCCAGTTGTGAAACCTGTTTGGCATCATCTTCTAAAGCTAATCATATACAAATCCTAACATCTGATAGTTATGGTTCTAGATGGTTACACAAACGTAAATATATGTTCTCCAAAGAAATGCACTAAAATAATATTATAGCACTGTTTATCCACAAATAGAAAAATAAGGCCACATTCTTTAACAGGGAAATGGTTCAGTGGTGTGAGACTAATTATAATAATCTCCAATCCAACATACTCCTTTTAAAATAAAATTTTGACAATTTTATTCTCCAGAGGTGGAATGTATAGTATCCCTCTCCCCTTGAATTTGGGTGGACGGGTAATTATTTCTAAAGTGACACTATGTGACTTCTGAAGCTAAGTCATAAAATGACCAGATAGTTCCTACTTGATTCTCCTGAGATGTTCACTCTTAGAACCCAGGCACCATGCTATCATGAAGCCAGGCAGCCCATTGACTAACCAGCCTGGAGAGAAACTGAACCCTGGATGAGCCTACAGCTGCCTGCTTGTGCCATCATGCCCCCAACATGAGCAAGCCACCTTTAAAATTAATCCCCAAGCCCTGAATCAATCTGACTCCAGCGAACACTGGGCCTAGCAGGGATAAACTGACCCAGCATAGTCCTACCCAAATTACAGGTTTGTCACTAAAATTAAGGATTGGCATTGATTTAAGTCACTGTATTTTGAGGTACTTTTTATGTATCAGTAATAAGTGGAACAGAATTGGATACCAGAAATGAGTGCTTGAATCTGTGACACTGGTGTTAGAACCAGAAAGTGGGTGACAGCCTAAAGGCTGTCCTGACAATTGTTAGTGAGGTGTGTAGAGGCCCCAGGAGGCTGCCAGTGAACACTCAAAGGAGGGGAACTGTTATTGGAAGGGGGAGGAACATGGCCCATGTTTTGCAGACGGTGAATTGTTGACAACGCTGTCATCTGCAGTAATGAGAAAACTAGGAAAAGTGCCCATTGAACTTGATGACCCAGCTAAGGAGATTTTCAGGTAGAATATTTAAAGTGCCATCTGGTATCTTCTCATTGTCTGAGATAAAATGTGAGAGGAGAGACAAGACATAAAGAAGAGTTGAACTTGTAAAAAGCCAGGACATACTGGGTTGTAAAATAAAATTGCTTCTCATTTCCAGCCTACCCCTCATGGCAAAACATTCTCAAATTATCAAAGAACAAATCTCAGCACCATAACATCCTTTATTAAGAACCCAGAAATATTTAATGAAGTGATTCATAAAATCTTTCAGACAGAAAAAAGACCTAAAAATATCCTCAGGGAATGCCTTTCAGATCCTCTTTATGAAATAATCGGGCTTCTAAGAATCGTAAGAGCATTGTTCTACCGAAGACTTAGATGGAGAGTAAGGCAGAGGAGAGTTAGGGCTGTGGGTTTTGTCTTCTGGCATGGAATATATAATATACATATATAACTACATAAATTAACATATAAACATTTTATATATAACACAGATACATACATATAATTACATACATAATTATTGTAAGTCAGTATGTCTTTTTCAATGGTTTATAGCACAGAATTAGTATCTGTAACATTGCAGTAAATTTGTACAGTGCAATATTATATAGCAATTAAAATAAAAAAATACCATGGATAGAAGCAAAGGTTTATGTAGGAGTCTTGAGTGAAAGTAAGGCAAAAGAGTATGTATTAATCGTGATTTCATTTTTAAGGTTTGAAAGCAGACAAAACCTTTTTGTAAAATGTTAGAAGTCACATGGTGGTTTTTCTTGGAGGTGGTAAGGACTGGTAAATGACATAAGAATTTTTCCTATACTGGCCATGTCCTGTTTCTTGATGTGGGTGCTGTTTATACAGATATTTTCATTTTGTGTCAAGTTGCATACTTATGATTTGTGACCTTTCTGTAGAGTTATTATATCTATATCTGTCAGGATTCAGTCCTGAACACAGAGGCAGATAGATCAATGTGCTTAAAGTGCTCTATGTCCCTAGACTTGTCTGGAGAATATAAAAGTACCGATTTATGATACACTCTAATAATATAATAACAACAATGCCCAGGATGCACGTTTTAATCTGGAAGGTCACCACTAAAATACTAGCAGGAGGACATATCATTGACAAGCCAAGAGCAGAGAAAATTGAATAAATACAATAATCACAGTATGAATCCAAAAGATGGCAAGAGAGAAAAAGGAATAACAGCTATGACAAAGAGAACAATGGCAAATTGAAAAATATAACTGTGAATATACTAGGAATTCCTTCACATTAAGTGATCTACAGTAATTCAAATTAAAATGCAACATATATCAAAAGGCAACATGGCTTCCCTAATAACCCTGAGCCAGGTTTGTGATGGCCCCATGTGCTCTGTAGCGGGAATGCCTATGGTTGCAGGGCTGGGGGCTACAGGGGCAGTTAGTGGAAGTGGGAGGGAGGCTGGCCATCCTTGTGACTCTTCCTGGATTCAAACTAATTGCTCTGCCTCTTTCTGTGCCTTTGAAGTTGCCTTGACCACTTACACTTCCATTTTTCTTGTCTATAAAATGGAGATAATAATAGTATCTACATTCTAAAATTTTGAGAAAATTAATTGAAGGAAGTCCTTAGAAAACTATCAGGTACCTAGTAACAACAGGTAGTGCCATGTTGTTTTATCACTATTATTTCTACATATGAATGGTTTCTGTGCTCACCAAGTAACAATAACTTTGAATCCTGAGCTCATGATTTTGATTAATCTCTAATTGTCTAAATAGCCTTATTAGGAATATTTTTTTCTTTTTTACTTTAAATGCGTGGTTCATACCTCGTAAGTTCTTTCACACTTGTACATGAATACTGTTTCTGGGTTGCATTTTCTTTCCTGCAGTCCTTTGAAGACTGTGCTTCATTGTCTTGTGACTTTGACTGTTTCTATGGAGAAGTTGAAGATCACCCTAATTTTTCCTGCTTTTAGTTGATATTTATTGGTCTACTTGTCGAAAAAAAAATTCTGTCTTTATCCTTGAGTTTCAATAGCTTAACTTCAGGCCATATGCAGTCTTTATTAGAACACATTGACTTTTGTTAATTTCCCATTAGCGGTATTTATTTCAGTTAATTTAGTGATATATGTCTACTCACATAGAAGGGTACCATTAGGCTTTGGATCATTTCCCCAATCCGATATGTAGGCATATAGTCTTTAATTTATTAAAGAGAATCAGCCCTGTTCAATTTACCATGCTTTACTGTGTTTCTAGCTGTCAGTACTTTCCACTATTCCTCAATCAGACTAGGGAAAAGGTTGTTTTCTTCCTCTATACATTTGGAGATGTTAATGGCCAACTCCTCAGGACTTTATAATTTACTCTAGAAACCATCCTGGTTTCTAGAGAAATACAACAGTTTGTTAAACTGTCATTTCTTTTTGCTTTTCCTACAAGAACCAATGAAATGAATCTTGCTTTATTCCTTGGCTTGGAGTTTTGAACATGATTTTATTAGATTATCTCTCTCTTATTTTACTTTGTTGGTAGAACTTTTTATTTGTCTTGTTTCTGTCATTTATTTACTTTTACTAGTTTTTGTTCATTTCAGCAAGATTTGGTGAAAGGAAATTCTATGGTGAAGTTTAAGTCCCCCACCTCCTTATGTACACCTGACCAAGAAAGCAATTAAAAATATTATGGTGGCTAACACCTATAATCCTAGCACTTTGGGAGACCGAGGCAAGCAGATCACCTGAGGCCAGGAGTTCGAGACCAGCCTGACCAACATGGGGAAACCCCGTCTCTACTAAAAATACAAAATTAGTCAGGCGTGGTGGTGCAGGCCTGTAATCCCAGCTACTTGGGAGGCTGAGGCAGGAGAATCGCTTGAACTTGGGAGGCAGAGGTTGCCGCGAACCGAGATCATGCCGTTGCACTCCAGCTTGGGCAACAACAGCAAATTCAGTCTCAAAAAAAAAAAATTGAAGGAGTATGTGAAGAAGAAGACAGACTCAGACACCCCTAGATAAACATAAGAACTTTAGAGGAGGTCAAGAAAGAAATTTCAAGAAAATCATACTTTTTTTTTTGAGACAGAGTCTCACCGTGACTGCAACCTCCGCCTCCCAGGTTCAAACGATTTTCCTGCCTCCGCCTCCTGAGTAGCTGAGATTGCAGCCATGCACCTCCACTCCCGGCTAATTTATACTTCTTTCTTAAGAAGAATTTTCAAACGTAAGAAAACTATTTTTTAATGAATGAAAAGGAAAAGAGCCAGAAAAAGGCAAGACTTATGAGTATTTTGTACAACCACATGAAATTGTTAATTTGGTGGGTACTACTCTTACAATTTCAGTAACTGCATAGAAACCACCGTTTTTTGTTTTTGTTTTTGTTTTGTTTTTGAGAGGGAGTCTCGCTCTGTCGCCCAGGCTGGAGTGCAGTGGCACAATCTCGGCTCACTGCAAGCTCCGCCTCCCGGGTTCAGGCCATTCTCCTGCCTCAGCCTCCCGAGTAGCTGGGACTACAGGCACCTGCAACCACATCTGGCTAATTTTTTTTTTTTTATGTATTATTAGTAGAGACGGGGTTTCACCGTGTTAGCCAGGATGGTCTCGATCTCCTGACCTCGTGATCCGCCTGCCTCGGTCTCCCAAAGTGCTGGGATTACAGGCGTGAGCCACTGTGCCCGGCCTAAACCACTGTTTTCTAATTTACACTGTTTGTACGTAGTAGACAAATTTGATGTTTTTCTAAAGTGGCAGCATTAATAACCTCAAGAAAATTCATAAGCATTTTGTAGTCCTGCCAGAAAAGAGAACTGAAATATTAAATATCAATTAACACTGCAAAGAAGATTTACACATTGAAAAACTATGATTAAAAGTGTTAAGAAGGCACTACAAAGAGAAAGAAAGAAAAGTTAGAAAGTGTTAAGTTTCAATTACGTGTTGATACTTGTTCCCAATGAATACTTAATATATATTTTTATTATAATTTTGATAATGCTAATTGTTCTTTTAGTATTATGGTTAATATTCCAGATTCTGGATAATGTTGTCAAACATGATATCCGTTAAATGACTTTTTTTTTTTTTTTTTTTTGAGACAGAGTCTCACTCTTGCTGCCCAGGCTGGAGTGCAGTGGTGTGATCTAGGCTCACCGCAACCTCCATTTCCCGGGTTAAAGCGATTCTCCTGCCTCAGCCTCCAAGTAGCTGAGATTACAGGCATGCACCACCATGCCTAGTTAATTTTTGTATTTTTAGTAGAGACTGGGGTTTCATCATGTTGGCCAGGCTGGCCTTGAACTCCTGACCTCTCAGGTGATCCACCCCCGCCTGGGCCTCCCAAAGTGCTAGGATTACAGGCATGAGCCACCACACCTGGCCAAATGACTTATTTTTTATTGTAAAATGGTACCTGACTTTTTTTAAAAAATAAGCCTGTTGTTGGAGAGAAATGATAAAAGTGTGACCATAGATATCTTATGCTATAAACTTCATTCTATAGCCATGAAGAGTCTCATATACAGGAAACCTCAAAAACGTCCTGTTTCCATATACAACTAGTAACAAAAATGTATATACATACTCTCATTTTATAGAAATCATGCCTTCTATTTTTTAAATTTCCTAGAATAGAGCAAGGTACTCTGCACAGATGTGATTGTTTTCAAAATTACAGTCTAATTTTAATTTTTTTCTCACATCATAAAAAATTCATCAAATTATTCCCGCAAAAATTAATAAGTACTTTCAATGTTTACCTAATTCTTGGCCTCCAGCTTCCTAGATGGTTTGTAGTTACATAGGGTCTCTTGAGCCCTGCCAAGAATTAGCCAACATTTAGAACTAAAATGAAGATCAGGGATTTGAGTTATAAAAATTTCATCTCATAGACTCCTGATCTTACTTCCAACAGTCTGTCCAACAGCTTTCTGGAGAGTGGGAGACTAATTATATGAAACTGAGAAGCAAAATTTTTAAATAGCACATTCGTCCCAGAAACAATACGTTTTAGCAATTTAGAATGAAAGAGTGCAAAAGTTATATTTTGGCCAGTTACAACTCTTTGTTCACAAAGAAGAGAAATGGCTCAGGTTTATAAGACAATGTACAGCATTTGGAAAGCAGGAAATTTTGTTTTATGTCAAAACAAGTGTGAGCAGACATCACCTAAAACCTACCTGAATCTTGGATACAAACATTCTAGGGGCTTACTAGGAGAGTTCCTATAATGACTGCATAGGTAATCATTGGTAATAATACTGACACAGAAGTACAAAGGGACTCAAAAAATTCATAATAGTAATTCTGATAATCATGATAATAATAACTAAAAGGAAGATTAACTGCAGCCCTCTTTTCCTTGGCTTTGAATTCCAGGAAATAAGAGACCTCAGAAATAGAAGTTCAAAGCAAATTGTGTCACACGGTACTTCCTTGTTTTTGAAATCACATCAGTGGATCTGTAACAGATAATTGGTGCAACAAATGAATACATCTGTTTTCTATGGATCATTATGGGGATGTATCTTTAAACTCCAGTTTTTTCTGAACAGCCTGGCAAGCTTCCTGCTTACTTGTTGGTAAATTTCTAGTCTGTTTCTATTGATGCTGTGTACATAATGTTTGAATTATCTAAGCAGCCTGTTATTGCCCAGCTTCACAAGTTCAAGGATTTATGCTTTCATTGGACCTCCATTAAATGTTGGGACTATATAATCTTGGAATTATAAAATGTTTAGAGTTTATTGTATTGATTATGCCCTTTCCCACTTTTGGTTCATCAGCTGATTAAAAGCACAAACTTATGTTCAAATTAGTAAAGCTCAGGATAGAAAAGCTACACACTAATTATAGACTCCTAATTCTCCTTTTAATAATTCATACTCTGCTAATAAATATAGATATACTCTTTTCTCCTGCACCTCTGTCAGTCGTCACCTCTGGTAAAGGAAAAGTATTCTATTCTCTTTTTTCATCCCAGACACTAAACCGGCTTAATCTACTTCTTTTCTTCTCAATCTATAATATGGTAATCCTTCAGATGTGTACTACTGATACCTTCCTCTCACCCATGCGGTTAACAACTTCTTTTCTACTCTTTTTATACACAGAGCCAATTTTATGTGTTTAAGAATTATACTGCTTTCTCTTTCTTTCAGTTAATTTTATATATTCCTTATAATTTCACACAGTACTGAACAAAGAGCCTAGGAGGGTCTAAGTATCTAGAGGGTCGAGGACATATATAACCACCATCCATGCTTCAGTCTATCCACAGTTGGCAGAGGGGTCGTGTATGATATTGAGAAAACAATTGATTTTTTATGATCTCCAAAGCAACCTTGTGAAGTAGAGGGAATGAACATTGCATCCTCCTTGTACAACATAAAATTTAGTTTTGTTAAGTCAAATAATTTAAAAAGAGACAAAACAAAGTACAAGTATAGTATAATAGAAAGAGAAAGAGTCTTAAAGGAAGATAATATAAGCTCTATTTATGAGCCAAAATTAAGTATTTCCACCGGTTATTTAAGCACCACATCCCGGCCAATCTGGTTTCTGCTTTTCTTTGCTCCTCTGTGAGCCAGGAGGCTAACTCCTGAGTTTCATGTAAATCATTGTTTCTGCATTCTGGGGCTTTGAGATTAGAGGAAAGAAAGATGTTATTTCTTCTCTGTTTCTCCAGCTTCAGATTATTGCCTCTCATGGCAGTAGTTGCCTCCACCAGAGGCAGGAAGGTTTCCTCCACCAGGTCAGCTGTGTGGCTGGGCCTTCTGAGCTCCAGCTCTCACTGGGTTCTAGTAACATCTTTCACCACCTTGGGCATTTAGGCATGGGAATGGAAATGTCTTCCCAGTGGTATTGCTAATCTCTGGATGCCTCGATATGCCTGTGTGTCTCTTTATTTCTGCCCAAATCTTACGATAGCCTTTTCACTGTCTTCATCAGAATTTCTTTCCGTGAATTCTGTTTCCAGCCTAAACCCTGACTGATATGCTATTATACTGCCAAATGTTAAAAGTTATCACTAACAATAACTCAGAATTTTGGCTAATACTTTACTAGTAATACATTTAAAAAAAGACTGTATTATAAGTAAAGCACATTAGCCTCTATCAGCTAGCTCTGCTGGTTAACTAAACAGGAAGACAGTGAAACAAAGAAATAACTAATTATTAAGAGAATGCTTGAAAATTTGATATGCACATGTGTATATCTGCTCAAAGATTAAAAACTGGAGCTTCCTGGCATTGATTAAAGCCAGCACATCAAATGCAAGTGCATAGGTAGAATATTAGTTGACTCCGTGGGTTTTCACTGTCACTAGTAGAGACTTTGTGGTATGATGAGGTGTTCTTACTTATATACTTTTAAGATGACAATCAATCAATCAAAAAAAAAGTTTCCAAAGTGATCCTAAGGAATATTTACCATTCTCAAAATGAAACATACTCCAACATTGCCAGATATCAACATGACCTGACATTGATTGATTAAGAAGATTTGATAATCTAGGAATGAAGAATAATTATAACCAGGGCTTTGGATGAAACATGCCTGCATTGAAATCATACCATAAGAACCTGTGTTACCTTAACTAAATATTGTAACTTATCTTGACTCAGTTTCATCATCAGTAAAAATGGAATTAATATCAGATAGCTCAGTATGTGGTTGTATTAAGTGATTTATTCAATAGTATGTAGAGTTTGGAACTGATTAAGCATCAGTAAACATTAACTATTCCATATGGGGCAAGGAAAGGTATCTGGCCAACATTCCTGAACTTCTATAATATAGGTATCTGGGAAGAGTAATTCCTAGGATGATTCCAGGCAAACATTTGACAAACTTATATTAGTTGAGGTTGTCCAGAGAAACAGAATCAATAAGAGAATAGATATGTAAAAGGAGATTATGGGAATTGACTCGTGCAATTATGGAGGCCAAGAATTCCTGTGATACGTCTTCTGTAAGCTTCAGAACCAAGATGACAGTGGTGTAGTTCAGTCAGAGGCCAAAGGTCTGAGAACTGGGGGTGAGAGGGTGGCAGGGGAGCCCTAGTGTAAGTCCCAAAGTCCAAAGGCCCATATGTCAGAATCTCTGATGTTTGAGAGTAGGAGAAGATGGATGTCTCAGCTAAAAAAGAGAGAGAAAGAATTTATCCTTTTTTTTTTTTTTTTGCCTTTTTTGGTATTTGAGCCCCGAACAAATAGGACCGTGCTCACCCACATGGGTGTTGATAGGTCTTTACTCAGTCCACTGATTCAAATGTCAATCTCTTCTGCAAACACCCTCACAAACATATCCAAAAACAATGTTTTACCAGGTGTCTGGGCATCTCTTAGCAGTCAAGTTGACACACAAAATTAACAATCACAAAACTAAAGCTACCTCCCATATTTCATGAAGACCATACGTGGCTAGTAGGACAAGGTTATGGATAGGGTGCGGATGCATAGCAGCTACTGTCTACACCATGTCAGGATACTCTCATATCTCACCTCTATGTCCTGACATGAAAAGATATACTTAGCATAAACATTGCTACTTTCTGCCTGAAAAATTTCTATTTCCAAGCTGTGGAAGCAAGTTCAGGCCTCTATAGGACCAGTGAGAAATATTGGGCATTGATGTTTCCAAACGAAGATATCAACAAATCACACATAAGAATTTTGCTAAACAAACAAACCTAAATAAAAACAGTTTCCCAGTCGCTTGGATGGAACAAGTATAATGCAAAATCTAGAGTCTGCCACAGAATTCCACAGTGAGATTAACCTCACCAGAAGTAGTAGTACCTTCTTTAGTCAGTGGCATATAGCAACTACGGTTTGTTCATTTGCCTGTTTTAATTCACTTCCCTACCAGTGTTTCCTGGTACCATCTTCCCAGTTGTATACTTGAAACCTTTTCTCAGGTCTGTTTTGGTAAGAGCCCACACCAAGAAGGTGAGTTGAATGTAAATATAACTGTCTGGATGTTTGTGAATAAAATGTTATGATTAGGAAAATCACTGGAAATAGGATTATTGATCAAGTGTTACATTATCCAGTGATTTTAACCAAAGGCTTGTATTTGCTTGGATAATATTCTTACATTCCTCAGAAAGTAAAATTAAAGCTGCAAAAATAGCTGAGAATTGAGGAAGTGAGCCACAATTCCTCATGAAAATGTGTTTGCATGTCTCTCCTTTCTGTTTCGGAGACATAAAATAGGGCATAGGGCCGGGCACAGTGGCTCACGCCTGTAATCCCAACACTTTGGGAGGCCAAGGCAGGTGAATCACCTGAGGTCAGGAGTTCGAGACCAGCCTGGACAACATGGTGAAACCCCGTCTCTACTAAAAATACAAAAATTAGTTGGGCATGGGGGCAGGCGCCTGTTGTCCCAGCTACTCAGGAGGCTGAGGCAGGAGAATCGCTTGAACCTGGGAGGTGGAGGTTGCAGTGAGCTGAGATCACCCCACTGCACTCCAGCCTGGGTGACAGAGCAAGACTCCATCTCAAAAATAAATAAGTAAATGAATAAATAAATAAAAATAGTATAAAAAACAGGGCATAGACCATCAGCATGCTAACCACAGAATGGCAGAGGAAGACTCTCACATAGATTGCATTTCATTAATGGAGTTATTTGGGCAACTCTTCACATATGAGCATTGAAATGAACAAGACCAAGAGATGTCATAAGTTGAAGTCAAGATACAGTGAGTAGTTGTTGACTAGCAAAAGAAAACTAGATTTCTTTGTGTAAGGTTGTAGAGTTCCACTGGCATGCTTAGCTCGCCTCAATGACTGCAGGGAGTCTGAAGTTGAGATGACAAGAGGAAATGATAAGAGGGCTTCCAAATGTTTACCCTGTCCACAATATTTCAGTGAATTATAAACTATAAAATTCTATTTTAATTTCAGATGGAAACCTCCAAAATAAGATTTTTTAGGACAAAATCAACTTTGAATATCATCTTTGGCTTTGATTTTTAGCAAACATAGGACTAAGATTATTGTAAGGTTAAATCAGGAGAGATATTTTAAGGACTTCAAAGTCACTAATAAAAAGCTGAAATGGCAAATCTTTAAAGATAAGAAACTTGCTTCACCTTTAAGAAAAAAAACGATGCTAATAAAAGTGAAGTGCAAAATGCTGATTCAAAAGGAGATTTACAAAATATTAGGGAAACTGAAGGCAAGAATTAAATTTTAAAAAGTTGAAAATATAAGAATGCTTTTGAATTAATAACAAAAGACCAATGAGATTTTTAACAGATTACAAGTAATTTTAAAAACTTACAAATGAACAACTACAAAAGAAAACATATTTGTTTATATGTCATTTGGGTGTTCTTTTTGTCTTGAATGGCTGCTGGGTGATATTCACAAACACTTGATATCTCTCTAAGCTGTGCTTCTCATGGGAAAATGTTTAATTTCCTTCCAAATCAACTCCCTTCAGGATAGTTGTTTGTCTCCTATTTCCTTTTCCCAAAAGATAACTCAGCTTGGGTGGCTATTTTTGCTAAATTACACATCTCCTTCAGCACCACTTGTTTATTTCTAAATGGTCTTTCTCTAGGGTGGTGTATGGAACATTTGCTTTGTCTATAATAAAGAATGACTATGTTTTATTAATGAATACTGCGTGTTAGCATGGAAAAACTATAAACCAAAAACAACTGATTTCCAAAATTTCTATCTATGAAAATGGCACTTCTTGTTTTTGTGATTTGATTTGATTCTATAGCACTTTCTTTTTAGATTCTGTCACACCTGTTTTTACTAAAACAAGCAAAATAAACAAATTTCCTACTTTCAAGCTTTGCAAAATTGTTTTAATACTACAGCAAACAGTACTCTACAGAGATAATAGGCAGACAATTTCAAATGCTGGTAGGACGACCTCTAATACAGTTTTACAATGTTTGTGAGTACATAGGTAAATGACAATTTAAAACATTAAGTTCTTCAAAGAATCACCTCTAAAAAAATGCCCAAATGATTCCTACAGACTATTTTATTTGATGTAGAATTCATCCTAGTTAATTTGGCAAGAAAATCAATGGAAGTAAATCAGAGTATGGGAAAAAATTGAAAAGATAAACACATATTTTCTACAATTGAGCAGTTACTCAATTTAAACCTTGTGCATTCATTGTATAATCTGGCACTGGATTTCTTTCCAAATTAAGTAGAATTGAATGATCTGGACTCTGCCACCCACCAGACTCCTTTCTAGGATGGCTTTCATGTATCTAGATGATTTATTTTAAAAGAACCTGGACACTTGCCTGCGCTCTCCTGGCTTCCTTTTACTCTAAATTGAGATTGATATTGGCATTTTCTTGGATTCTTCTACTCTGACCAACCAATTTGAAGTCAATGCGCTTTAGGTTGTTCTAAGTAAGAAATTTTATATCAAATTAAAATCTAGTATTACCATTTAATTTACATTTATGAGTTAAGTCTTATCCATTTCCCACTTTTCTATCAGTTCTCTCTTCTTTAACTCTTGTAACAGCCTTCCAAAATGTTCTGTCTTCCTTTTATACAAATAGAGCTCTTTTAATTATAATCTTCAGATTCCCCAAAATGAGCAAATTTTACATAAGTTGGAGAAAATATTTGAGTACCTATATAAGAATTGTCCTAAATATTATTTTACTCAATATTTCAAAAATCACTTTTTTAAAACTAGTAGGGAAATATAAATTCAAAGACATTATATATCTTCCTTTACATAATATGGCTAAAAAGTGAAAAAGCTAAAGTTTAAATTCTGACTATGTTAAAATCTATCACATTTTCAGTGCCACAATGCCACTGTACATCACAAAAATATTCCTACTCATCATTTTTAAGTCAAAGGTTTATTGTTCTCCTTTGAGTATTACAAAGCTACAATGGAAATTTTTTTTGGTTGTTTTTAGGGGATCGTGGGGATGGGAAATCCTGTTAATACCACTATGATATACTCACAAGCTTGGCAAATCTCTTTGGTAAACACTACATACAAGTTCACAAATTCACATTCAGTTGAATGTGTAGGGATTATCTAATTAAAATACTAACAGGTAAGAGGACTTCCAGTTTCTGGCTCAGGATATAAGGAGCTTGAAAGTAAACACTTTATTCTAACAAAGAGGCAAAAAGCTAAACAAACTGAAAATTCAACAACTCTTCTTAGATTCATCAGATAAGTGAGGTCCCAGGACAGCCTGCTTCCCCCTCCACAAACTGGAAAGACAGATTACAGAGAATCACAACTTTCCTGAGCAGGTCCACAAGCAGAATCCTCCATGGGAGCCAGTGCCTTTGTGAAAAACATAAAACTAAGTGACAAATTGGTGGAAGCTCAGTATGGATAAGGCCGAGTTAAAAACTTCAGGAAATCTAGCCATATGGGGCCACACACACTTCTGTAAGTGTACTGCTGACTTACAGTAGAAAGGAGTTCAGCCAGATTTTCACATATCGGAGAAAAATCCCCTTGTACTTCAAGGGTGGAGGGAAAGGTCATAATTTTGAAATACATGGGAGAATTCTGTTCTTACCGGGACCTGACCTCAAGAGAAACTATTTTATTAGAGTTTACACTGTTGAGTGTTTTTCCCAAGCTTAATCAACCTACCAGAAGGGAAATACCAAACTTCAGCCCACTCTAGCCATCCTGTCCCATCTAAGTGGAAAGGAGAGAGGAACTGAGACACACTAGTGAAGTTCACAGCCTGGGGGCAAAAGCTCACTACAACACTGAGAAATAATTATAGGATAATAGAAGGCTACCTTTTCTTCCATACCTTACCACCACATTACCAAAGGCCTATTTACCACAGCTCTTTTGACCCAGTACATTATGTCCAGCTATCTAGAAAAACCCGCAATGCATACTAATAAGAAAAAAAAAACACAGTTTGAAGAGATGGAGCAAGCATCAGAGTCACAGGCATAGATGGCAGAGATGTTTGAATTATCAGACTGGGAATTTAAACAAGTAGAATTAATATGCTAAAGGCTCTAATGGGTAAAGTAGCATGCAAGAACAGATGGGCAATGTAAGTAGAGAAATAAAAATTCTAAAAAAAAATAATAAAGGCTAGAGATCAAAAAAACTGTAACAGAAATGAGGAATGCTTTTGATGGACTTAGCAGTAGACTAGACACAGCTGAAGAAAGAATCTTTGAAAACTAAAAAGAATCTTCAAAAACTCAAAAGCCAAGAGGAAAAAAGACTCAAAAAGTAGAACAGAATATCCAAGAACTTTGGACAACTACAAGGAATAACACATATGTAATGGAAACAGCAGCAGGAGAAGAAAGAGATAAATAAAAGGAAGAAATATAGGAAGTAATGACCAAGAATTCTCTCAAACTGATGTCAGACACCAAACTGAAACTGGGAAAGTTCCCTTCTCCCCCTTGAAGAGTATGCAATGGGGGTGTGGCTCGTTTCTTCGGTGCCCCACTGCTCAAACCTCTAGGGGGAGCTTTCAGATGGGCAGGTTGTGGGGCTCCGACTGTATCTAATGTCTCAGAAACCATGTAACAAAAAGGGAGTAGGGTGAAGTATTTAAAGTCTTGAGAGAAAAAAAAAATCCACCCATCTATAATTCCATACAGTCAGAAGACAGAAGAGGGAATACTCTCTACTTTATTCTATGAAGCTGGCATTAATATAATACCAAAACGAAGCAAGGACATTACAAGAAAAGAAAATACAGAACGATGCCTCTCCTGAACGTAATGCAACAATCCTCAACAAAACATTAGCAAATCAAACCCAACAATCTATATAAAGAAATATACACCATGACCAGGTGGGATTTATTTCAAGTATTCATGTCTGATTCACCATTTATAAATCAATTAATATAACCCATTACATCAACAGGCTAAAGAAGAAACACCACACGATCATATCAATAGACATGCAAAAATCATGTGGCAAAATCCAACACTCATTTGTGATTTTTCCAACTCTCAGCAAAGTAGGAATAGGAAAGAACACCTTCAACTTCAATAGCAAATTCTAGCTAATGTAATAAGCCAAGAAAAGAAAATAAAGGTGATGCTAGATGAGAAGGAAAAAATAGAACTGTTTTTATTCACATATTACATGTTTGTCTACATAGAAAATTCAAGAAAATAAACAAAAAAATGCTCCCACAATAAATGTTTATAGCAAGGTTGCAGGGTACAAGGTTAATATTTTACAAAATCACTTTTCTTTATACCAGCAATGAGTAAGTAGAATTTGAAATTATAAACACAGTATCAATTACACCCCAAAACATGAAATAATTAGAGATAAATCTAATTAAATTTGTAGAAGTTCTATGTGAGGCAAACCATAAAACACTGTTGAAAGAAATCAAAACATATATAAATGGTGAGATATTCCATGTTCATGCATAGGAAAACTTAATATTGTCACAATGTCAATTTTTCTCAAGCCAGTCTATAGATTTGATGCAACCCCAATCAAAATCTCAGCAAGTTCTTTCACGGATATCAATAAACTGAAATGTAAACTCTAAAGTTTGCATGGGGTAGCAAAAATCCAGAATAGTCACATGATATTGAAAGAGAAGGACAAAGTCAGAGGGCTGACACTACCTGACCTCAAGACTTATTGTAAGATTACTGATTAGTACAGCAATTAAGAAAGTGTGGTACTGGTGAACTAATACACAAATCAATGTAACAAATAGAGGGCTCAGAAATAGACCCACACAAATATAATTAACTGATCTTTGAAATACAATAGGTCAAAGACACTCTTCTCAATTGTGCTGGAACAACTGAACATCCACATGCCAAAGAATAAATCTAGATACAGACCCTAACCCTTCATAAAAATTAACTCAAAATGGATGATAGGCCTAACAGCAAAACTATAAAATTCTCAAACATGACAAGAAAAACAAGATGGTCCTGGGTATGGTGATGACTTCTTAGATATACCACCAAAGGTTTGATCCATGAAAAAAATAGAATTGATCAGCTGAACTTATTAGAATTAAAAACTTCTGCTCTGTGAAAGACACTGCTCAAAGAATAAGAAGATAAGCTACAGATTAGGAGAAACTATTTGCAAACGAATTATCTGGTAAAGGACTCATTCTAAATATACAAAGAACTCAAAAATTAACAATAAGAATGTGAGCAATCCAATTAAATAATGGGCCAAAGACCTGAGCTGATGCCTCACCAAAGATGTACTGATGACAAATAAGCCTAAGAAGCTCAACATCATATGTGATTCGGGAGTGGCAAAGTAAAACAACCATGAAGTAAGACTACGCATCTATTAAAATGACAAAAATTCCGAACACGGACAACTTCAAATGCTGGCAAGTGTGTGGACCAAGCTAGAACTATTGGTCCTCAGTTGTCTGAAATGCAAAATGGTTTGGCCACTTTGGAAGATTGTTTGGCAGTTCCTTATAAAACTAGATATACTCTTACCATATGATTCATCATTCATGCCCCTTAGTATTTATCCAAATGTGGTGAAAACTTTTGTGCATACAAATGCCCATATACAGATATTCATTGCAGCTTTATTCATAATTGCCAAAACGTTCATAATTGCCAAAACATTTTAAACAGCCAAGATATCCTTTGGTAGGTGAATGGATAAACAAACTCTGGTAAGTCCAGAAAATGGAATGTTATTCATTACTAAAAATAAATGAGCTATCAAGCCATGAAATGACATGGAGGAACCTTAAATACATATTATTAAATGAAAGACACTAGTCTGAAAAGTCGACATACTGTATGAGTTCAACTACATAACAGTCTGGAAAAGACAAAACTATAGAGACATTAAAAAGATTAATAACTGCCAGGGGTTACCGGAGAGGGAGGGACGAACAGGCATGGAACAGAGGATTTTTAGGGCAATGAATCTACTCTGTATGGT
The DNA here is from genome assembly GCF_000001405.40 of Homo sapiens. Taxonomy (NCBI): domain Eukaryota; kingdom Metazoa; phylum Chordata; class Mammalia; order Primates; family Hominidae; genus Homo; species Homo sapiens. Next base: position 177,877,600 of record NC_000004.12, on the reverse strand, counting down.
ACTATAATGGTGCATACATTTTATTATATATTTGGTCCAACACTAACAGCAAAAGTGAACCATAATGTAAACTACAGACTTTGAGTGCTAATATGTCAATGTAGATTCATTGATTGTAACAATTGTACCATTCTGGTATAGAAATTTGATAGTTGGGGAGGCTGGGCATATGTGGAGGCAGATACATATGGGAATGTAGTATATGGGAAATCTCTGCACCTTCCACTCAATTTTTCTATGAATCTAAAACTGCTCTAAAAAATAAACTCTACTTAAAAATTGGAAAAAGTGACACTTAATGGATCAAAAATGAGATAGAAAGATATTTTGATATGTCTACACCATAGTTAATCTAGAGTTTCTTTTGACTATTTTGTTAAGAGTTTTGTTGTTTATGTTTAGTAAACTGGCAAATCTCTGATACAACTGAAGACAAACTCCATTTATTACATAAGTATTAAAAATGCACTAGGGATTATACTATATTCGGAGGAGTGCAGGGCTAGATGAAAAAACCATTAGTGAGCCACAGTTCAGGGAGGGAAGAGTAGACAATAAACACTCTGATCTGAAACCATATAAGAAAGTATGTACCATTTCCAAATATGGGGACACTCACGGGGCTCCAATGTGCTCCCCAGCAACAGTATGGCCCTTTGTCCATTCTAGTGCTAAGCACTCAGCCAACCTAGCATAATTCGTCTCGCTTTATGGATCAAATCTTTAGGATAACCTTCGTGGTAAAAGAGCAAACAATTTCATCAGGGTCACTAAGGATACATCCTTAACATGTGATATGTGTATCCATATTCACAAAAGAAATGATTAAGTTCCTAAAAGCGGAAAAATTAAGAGGAAAGACTCCAGATCTAAGTGGCTTTACTGATGAAATTTACCAAACTTTTAAGGAAGTAGTAACAGTCCTCTATTAACTCTTTTAGAAACAGAAGAAAATTCTGTTCTTTATAACTAATTTCATGAAGCCAGCAGTACCCTCCATAAAAAAAACCAGATGAGGACATTACACAAGAAAATAATAGAGCACTACACCTTATGATGATAGATGCAAATATATCCTTGATATAATTTTAGCAAATTGAATTCAGCAATACGAAAAAAGTATAATATATCAGGATCAATTGAATTTTATTCCAGGAATGCAAGGTTGATTTAGCTTTTGAAAATTATGCAATTTACCACCATATTGACAAAATAAAAGAGTAAAGCCATATGGTCATTTTACTTTTTTTTTTTTTGATTTGACAAAATTAAACAGCCATCTTTAGCACAATGGGAATTGACAGGATCATCTTCAATCTGATACAGAGCATCTGTGAAAAACCTACACCTACCGTGTTTTAGGGAGAAAGGCTGGATACCTTTCACCTAAGATTGGTAAGGATGCAAGATGTGCAACGCCTCATGTCTCCTAGTCAACATTACCCTGGAAGTCCCCATCAATGCAATAAAGGCATAAAAATATATAGAAAGCAAGAACTTTGGAAAGAAAGGAGTAAAACTGTCTTTTCAAAAACAAAATATCCATGTAGAAAGTCCTAAGGAATCTACTCATAAGCTATTAGAACTATAAAAAGAATCTTAGCAAAGCTTTATGACACGTTGTCAATATTTTAACAATTTTATTCCTGAATGTTAGGATGCAATTTGAAATTTTAATAAGAAGATAGAACAACAGCATAAAAGTATGAAATACTGAAGGATCAACTTAACTAAATAGGTACAAGATCGGTACTCTGTAAACTGCAAAACGTTACTGAGGAACATGTAAGTATCTACTGGCAAGACTCAGTATTATTAAGATAATAATTTTCTCCAAATTGACTAACAGATTCAGTGACATCCAAATCACATTCCAGCATTCTTTTTTTGTTGGTCAAATTGAGGAGCTCTTCCTAAAATGTACGTGGAAATGCAAAGAACCAAAGCTAGTCAAAACAATTTTGAAAAAAGAAAAAGTTGGAGAACTTACACTATCAGACCAACAAAAACAATATGATATTGATGTAAGTATAGACGTATAAATACATGGAACTAAAGAAAGTGCCCCAAAATAGATTAATACATATGTAAATTAATATTTGACAAAGGTGCTCAGGTAAGTGAACAGAGAAAGGATAGTCTTTCCCAAAATTGTTGCTGGAACAATTGAATTTCCACATGTAAAAAAAATCAGGCCGGGCACGGTGGCTCACACCTGTAATCCCAGCACTTTGGGAGGCCGAGGCGGGCAGATCACGAGGTCAGGAGATTGAGACCATCCTGGCTAACACGGTGAAACCCCGTCTCTACTGAAAAATGCAAAAAAAATTAGCCGGGCTTGATGGTGGGCGCCTGTAGTCCCAGCTACTCGGGAGGCTGAGGCAGGAGAATGGCGTGAACCCGGGAGGCGGAGCTTGCAGTGAGCTGAGATGGCGCCACCGCACTCCAGCATGGGCGACAGAGCGAGACTCCGTCTCAAAAAAAAAAAAAAAAGAAAAAGAAAAATCAGCCTCATTCCTTTCCTCATACCATTTATGAAAAGTAACTTGAATTCACCTAACTGTCAGAACTAAACACATAAAATTTCGATAAGAAAACCCATGGAAAATCTTGTGACTTTAGATCAGAAAAATACTTCTTGGGATGAATTTTTAAAACACACTATACATAAAATACAATTGTTAAAATTGACACACTTAAAATTTCTTATTCAAAAGATACTGCTTAAAAAATCAAGAAAATGCAAGCCACAGATGGAAGAAAACACTTGCAAAATATGTATCTGATACAGGATTTACATTATGCTTTAGTTTTGAGACTAAATGCATACTAAAATCATAATGCAAACTAAAATCATAATGACATTACATAATCACTTGAATGACTAAAATTGTTTTAAAATCTACAATACCAAGTGTTGGTCAAAATGTGGAGAAACTGGAATACTCATACATTACTGGTAAAAATGCAGTAATGCTGGTACAGTCACTTTGGAAAATAGTTTGGTGGTTTATTAAATTAAACATATACATAGCACCTGACCCAGCAATTCCACTACTAGGTATTTACTTGGAGAAAATGTATTCTCACACAAAGACTTGTGCTGGAATATCAACACAGCTTTATTTGTAATAACCAAAAACTAGAAAGAAAATAAATGTTAAAAACTGGTTAATGGATAATTGTGATAAATCTGTACAATGAAATTCCATTCAGCAAAAAAAAAAAAAAAATGAGCATCTCATGTATGAATCTCAAAAACATCACGCTAAGCAAAAGAATGTAGACAAAAACAGCTACTATTGTATGATTCCATTCAGGTAAAATTCTAGAAAAGGCAAAATTTTGATGACAGCAGCGGATCAGTGATTACAGGCATTTAGGGATCAGAGTGTGGGATTGTCTGTAAAGTGGTATAAGAAAACTTGGGGTGATGGAAAAGTCTTATATCATGATCATCATTGTGGTATATGACTGTCGACATTTGTTGAAATTTATCGAATTGTGCTCTTGCAGCTAGCAAATTTTACTTTATGTAAATTACATCCTAATATAACAGAATAATCCCCTTGCGCCCAATTCTTTCTTTATTCCTTTTTGATTCCCTTTTGGTGTTTTTATGTTATTTAATGCTAACAGCATATCAAGAACAATGAGCCTGACGTGGAAAAAGAAACCTTAGACATATTTTTCAAAATATAAAAGAAAAGGAAATACAGTTCTTTTGAGTACAAAGATGATAATATTTAAGACAGAAAGGTTTTTGTAGAATAAGTACCTCCAAAATATGTGATTTGGCCCTATAAATTACAGACTTGAAAATACTGACATGGAGACATAGCATTTTTGAAGACTAAAGCATAAATTTGATCATGACCTTGACAGGTAAAGTCCTAAAGAGAGTCTTTGAAAAATGAGTTAGTGATCTCTTTCCTCTTGCTAATGGTGGACTGTCTGCTGCAAATTGCTAAGTTGTCGACCTCTTTCTTACTCTATAGCTTGAGGGGAAAACCATACTACTGAATTTAGTGGGTGCAATGAACTATGCTTTCCACTCTCTATGTAGCTCCACTAGGTCAATTTTACAGCCATTACTTAACCCATGTATTTTCCAGGTTGTATCAGATTATTTCAATGGCTAAAGTCCTATATTTTGTAAGTCGTACATTTAACATTTATTTCAAGTCATTTTCCCCCTAAATCAGCCACTGAATGTCATTTAGTATAACAGTGATTGGAGTCAACTACTTAGAAATATTATATGTAATTACCTTTCATCTCAATTTGTGGAGTTCTACCATGGGTCATTTTCCCAAGAAAGAGAATCTGGGGAAAAACAGGTAGTTTAGTAGACATTGCTTCCAGAAACAATTTTTGTAAGGGCATGACAGAAGCAATATTAGGTAGAAGAGGTGAACAGCAATAGACTTGCAACGCAGGTTTCAGCTGATATCCTGACTGGCCAAAATGGCCTCTTAGAGATATTTCCATTTGAGGCCAAGTTGCTTCACCCTTGAATCACTACAAAGGTAGGCAACATAACCTCTTGGGGGTTGAGTAAGGAAGCCTGCTTTAACCAGAAACAATCCTTAGCTCTACTCACCTATGAGCCCTCAGAAGCCAACACGCCTAGCACATAAGGCAATCAGTGCTTCAGTCCTAAACCGGGGATCTAGGCAGTATTCTGCATCTCTCCCTATAGGTCTCCCTACAGGGACTCTTAATTGAAAATATCTCCTCTTTCCATCCCACCAGCATCTAAGTCCAACTTTCTTTGGGTAAAACAGAAGGCCTCAATCTGTTTTCTGTGAAATTACTAAGTCTGAGGCACAGCTGCAGGGACACCTTAGGAGCAAGAAACCCCCACCATTTCCTGTATCTTTACTCTCAATGAGAGGATGTTTCAACCCCCTTTCAAACGATGTGGCTAGAGCAAATAGACCTTCATCTTGGCAATATTCATTGTGGGTTAGGTTTATTTAAAAAATTAAAAATAAAACTCCAATACAGAAGAAATTATGAAGAATGTTATAATCATAGTCATTTTTTTTTAAGAAAGGGAGTATATTCATGATACAAGAAGTTCTGTAAGGGAAAATACGTTTTCAGGTATTAAAACCTAAACAAAACTTAACTCAGCAAATTGTATCTCACAATCTACCCTTAAGCTAAACAATGAAGTACAGTAATTCTGAGTAATAATGCTTTTCTCCTCGATAACATGAATTTTATAATTTTAAAGGTTTTTCTCTTTTATTAAAAAAAAGGAAAACCACAACACCAGTATCAAACCCAAGAAAATTAATATTTTTCCTTAATATCATTTAATTTCTGTGTACAGTTTATTATGATTGCCTCAAGATGATTTTTCTGACAGTTCATCAGGATTCAAACACTTTCCACAGATGCATCTGCATAGTATATGTCTTAAGGCTTACTACCTAGACAAAAATTCTCCCTCTTCATGTCTTCTCATCCATGCTATTTTTTTGTGTCATTTGTCCGGTACAATATCTCATATTCTAGATTTGGCTATTTACATCCTTATAATGTCATTTTAGTTGCTTTTCCTTATTGCCTGTATTTCCCATAGGCGTGTTAATATAAAAGCTTGATTACATTCAGGTTCAGCTTCAAAGTTTCTTATCTGGTAGTGATATGTACTAAGGTATTTACAGATAAAATGGGATTTGCTTCAAAACATTTGGAAAAAAATAGTGGAAAAAGAAATAAAACTGGAAGAGAAGAAAATTGACAGTTTGTGGAATCTGGGCAATGGATTCAAGGAAATTCATTGATACTACTTTTTTCTACTTTTGCTTACGTTTGAATTTGAAAATAATCACATATATTTAGAAGAGAAAGAGCTAGCCCTTTAAGAAAAATGTTACTTTGTACTTAAAGGAAGCAATTACATTGAAAGTAAAATAGTATAAATAATCACATAAAGCATCAAAGTTTACTTAAATACATACTTGTCATAGGAGTATTTAAGACCTAAGCAAGCTGAATATGTATTTCTTTCATTTCTGTGAAACTGAGCTCTACATATTAATGCCATTATATATATAATTATAGCTAATATATAATTATGATATATAATTGTATTATAATGAACAAATAACATAAAATGAGAAATGATACTGAGAAAGTAACCAGGTACATATGATAAATTTAAAAAGCAAAAGAGACCATTTTACCCATCTTTATGCAAGTAATTTGAGATTCTGGTGAAATTATTTATAGGTTGATATATACTACAAACCCTAACCCCAGAAATGAGAGAAAATAAAAATAAAACTCCATAAAATAAATCGAGAAAGTAGTAAAAGAGATTCTACTCTCAACAAAATCAAGAGGACCACACACTTTTCTCAGAGAAAGGTCTCTCATCTTTAAGACAGAAATTTCAATCTATCTAGGATGCTCTAGAACTTAGAATAAGAATGAAAGTTTCTAATTTTTTTGAAAGTGAATTTTATTAAAGTGTAATTTTAATACAATAAAATGCATTCATTTTAAGAGGACAGTTTGATGAAATTTGACAAAACTCTACAAGCTTGTGGATCCTCTATATCTATTCTGCTGTTAAATCTATCCAGTGAAATTTTATTTTATATACTGGATTCTTTATCTCTGAAGATATTTGGCTCTTTTTAAAATTCTTCTAGTTCTTTCTTCATCATGTACATGTTTTCCTTTAAGCTCTCAAAAATAATTATAATAGTCTTTTTAAAGTTCTTATGCTAATCTACCATCTCTTTCATTTCTATTTTTATGACTATTAATCAATTCGACATGTTAATGGTCACATTTTCCTGTCTTTTCTCATGTCTAGTAATTTCTGATTGGATTGTGGACATTGTAATTGTGATATTGTTGAATGCTAATATTTTGTTTTCTATCTTGAAAGAGGGATGGGTTTAGTCTGGTCAGAGTCAGCTAAATGCAATGCAGCTTAATCTAGAGAATAGTTTTTAAGTGTATTTTAGAGGATTTAGATTTCACTCAAGAGTTAGCTAAGTAGTACTATATATATAATCATTCTTATAATTTCACAGTGAGGCAGTGATATCATTGTGACATCTGACTGTTTGGATAGCAAACTCCTCACAGCCCTCTTTGAGTAGTAGACATTTTCTAGCTTAGAAGTCCCTGGCACTTCTTTCTCAGAATGTCTTCTTTTGCTGGTCTGGTGGAGTCTTACTCTCTCCCATGTGTGGTTAGTGCTTAACCAGTTTTTTGTTTTTTGTTTTTTGTTTTTTTGGGTTTTTTTTTTTTTTTTTTTTTTTTTTTTTTTCAGATTTCTAGAGCTATTTATTTGGGTAGCTACCTTGCCTCAAATATTTTGCCCCAAATTTCAGTTTGCCTCAATTTCCCTGAACTCTGAGACTCATCTCTGCAATTCATTGAGACCCCTGTGCTCTGCCTGTGTTTACCCCTCTACTCCATGACCTGGGAAATGGCTGCAGTCTGTAATGTGGGGTGATTGTATGGCTTAGATTATTTGTTTCCCTTTTTTCAGGGGTCATAGTCCTACACTGCCTATCTTTCAATTTCTGAAAAATAATTGTTTCATATAGCTTGTTCATATTGCTAGAATTTTTTGGTTTTTAGTTTTATTTAACGTCAAGAAGGTATGTCCAGTAACATTCACTGTGGCATAAACAGAAGTGAAAGCCCCAAGTTCTTTTTTTTTAATCAAGTCCAAGAAAACTGACAATAAGCACCAAAGTACATATATTTTTAAAAGCTATATATCTGTTTTACTCATGCTAAGTAATGTAAAAATCCTGAAACCAATAAACAAATATGATCAACAGTAAGAAACACCACAGAGTATATCCCATACATGCAAGAACATATCAAAATCAGGAAACATATTAATATAATTCACCATAGGATAAAAACAAAATCAAAATGATGTGATCTTCTCCATAGATACTGAGGTTTTTATATAATTCAGTATCCATTCTTTATTTTTTAAATATTGTTTTAAGTATATGTATTTTTCTTTAAGAGTTTTTACAAAATCTACGTCAGCTGAAAAAGTTGTTTATATTTGGTGTCTACCACAGTTACTCTCATTTAAAGTTTTTAAGGTATTACCATAATAAAAGACATAGAGGAGGACATAAAGCTATCACAATTTGCAAATAATTGTATAACTTACATACAAAATCCAAAAGATTTGACTAAAAAAAGTCATGTAAACATTGAGATAAATTAGTGTGGCAGCTGGAGTCAAAATTAACATACCAATATCCTTCCTGTATGTAAAATAAACTTCCATATAGATATTACGGAAGAAAATACTAGATTTATGCATAATATATAAAACTAAATTTTAAAACTAGCCAGAATCTACATGAAGACATTTTTAATATCACTAAAAGGGAAAAAGATAACTTCAAATAATGGCAGGGGATACATTAAGAAAAGTATCATAAAATTTCAACTCTCCCGAAGTGCATCTATGTGCAAACCAATGTTTTAATAGGCAGGATTCATGAGATATCATTTTCAAGTGTCTTTACTGGGTTTTTTTCTCCTTTTCTCTTTTAAATGTGTTTCCTGGTACTAGTTCTTTTGGCTTTGGGGTGAAGTTAAAACAAGTCCTGTTAATTTCCTTGCCACTTTATGTAGCAAAGTATCCTTGGGTTAGTAATCAATATATGTAGTGTTTTCTCACAGATGTGGGGGTTAAAAGTCCAAGATGAAGGTGTCAGCAGGGTTGTTTCTCCTTGGCTTTTAGATGGCCATTGTCTCTCTGCCTTCACATAGTCATTCCCCCGCGACTGTGTTCTAATCTCCTCCTCTTATAAGGAGAGCAGTCCTATTGAATTAGGGTTCACCCTAAAGAGTTCATTTAATCTTAATTATCTTTATAAGACTCTATCTCCAAATACAGTTGCACTGGGGCTTACTAGATATTCCACTACTGGGGGTTAAGACTTCAACATGTGAATTTTGGGGGGGACACAATTCAGCCCATAACAATAACTAAACTTTAAACTTTTTCGTAGTCATAGGTATTCTCCCTTCTCAGAGCTTTGACTTAGTGACTGCCAACCATGTTAAAGATGGGGAGTTTATTGGCCGGTTTAATTGTTTTTGTCTTGTTCTTGTGCTGATTTACACTCTTGCTACCCATAAACTTTGGCCCTTCCAGGACCAAAACAGGTAGAAGGGACGAGCAAAAAATATACATATATGTTTTATTTGACCAACTGGCATCCTGCTTTTTAGATCTGATAGTGTTTATTGCTAACTTTTTCGCAGGGTCTCCTGGGAACTAGTTTCATCATTTTAAATACCACCTATGAGCTCTTTGGAGAACCTATGTATTGTTAGGTATCTCTTACTTGTATTTAAAAGTGAATAGTACATTCTCCGTGGTTAGCCCCTAAACATGTTCTGCTTTGTCCATGCTTCTTGGAGGGTCACCTTGATAGAGAGTCTCTATTTAGAGAAAAAAAAGGAGGAATCTCTATATGCATTGATAAAGGTATAATACCTAAGCCAAGGTTAAAAAAAAATCAAGGGGAACAGGAGTGTGTATTGCATGCTACCATTTTTGAAAGGCAAAAAGAATCCTGATGGATACAGAGAAATATGTTAAGTGGTTAAATTTTGGGAGGGGAGCTAAAAGACTGGAGGATAGAAACTTTCACAATACAACTGTTTTTATAATACCATTTTATTTTATACAGTAAGCCTGGATTACCTATTCAAAAATAAGTTGTTTTGCTATACAAGTAAATAAAATTATGCATTATCTCTTTTTTTAATTCCCCAAATTTAAGGTAGGCATATAGATATTTTTGAGTTTCAAAAGAGAGAAAATTAAGACATGGAACAATTTTTTCTAAGAAATCATCATAATAGCTACCATTTAATAAGTACTTAGTGTGTGTCAGGCGTTTCAGTTTATTATTTATATTCTCTGAAGAAAGATACTATACATTTTACTGTTTGGATGAAGTTAATGAAATTCAAAAATGTTATATACTTTTTTCAAGGTCACAAATATTAAAAAACAGAGAAAGGATTTTAATCCAAATATATCTATTTCTAAAGCAAGTAAATATTGTATTAGACACATCTACCATCCAGAAAGCAATTGGCAGAACTATGCATATAACATAAAGTCTTTTAGCAATTAGAAATTCTATTTTTGTTTGGAAAAGATTATGAAACTCTACTGTAAGAAATGGCAGGGAGGAGGGGATTTAATCAGAAAAAGATCTATGATTTTTTCCAAATCATCTCTAAATAAGTTGCTTCTGTATTATACATCACATACTTAAAACATAATCTAAAAATAGAATGCAATTCCCCAACATTCTCTATCATCAGATACTCCAATCCCATTATATATGGGGCCCAATGTAAAATTAAAATGGAAGGACTTGTTAAAAATTGAAGTATTGAATTATTCTTAAATACTAATTGAATAATTATTGAATTATTAAGCATGTCAAGACGGTGACAGCAGAGCTTTAAGGCATGTGGTCTTTGTGAGTGCTGCAGTGTGGAGCCACTGGCAGCTACTTAGGCCACAAGTCCTTCCTCTCCATCACACTCTATCAGCCTGATGGAGACTTAGTTCAGCCCTCATCCCTTCATATCAATCTACAAAAAAAATGTTATTATTGATTACACCAAAATGTACTTCAAACAACTGACTTGGCTGGTTTTCCTTCTACTACATTTCTTTACAATTTTCTTCACTATTTCTCCTCTGTTGTCTGGAACTCTATATATTGGCGCACCCCAAAGCTTCATCCTTAGTTCTCTTTACCTTTTTACCTATACTAATTCAATTGCTGTCAACTAGTTTCATCATTTAAAATACCACCTATGAACTGTTAACTCCCAGATTTCCATCTCTTGCCCAGACCTATCTCTCAAACTGCAGACATGAAGCTCCCCATCTGCCTATCCACTTCTGCATTGGCGTAAATATCCCAGAGTTGCCTTCAGTATAAGAAACACCAAACTGAACTTCTGATATCCTCTCTACTAACACAATCTAAAACCACACACACAAAAACTACTCCATCTGTGACTTCCCTTCTCAGTAGATAACAACTCAAATCTTCCAATGACATAGGCCAAAACCTTGGAGTCATTCTGTTTCTCTAACAATCTATATCCAGTCTAAAAGCAAATCAGGGGCCTTGATCTTCACAGGATGTCCAGAAACCAAGCACTCACATGAAATCCACTTCTAATTCCTGTCTATCTCTATTATCACCGATTATTTGTGTTATTGCAGTAACCTCTAACATATTGCCTTTCTTCTTCCTTTCATCCCTAAAGTTATCACTGCAGCTAAAGTGATTGTTTTTGTTGTTGTTGTTGTTTTGAGACAGTCTCACTGTCGTCAGCCCAGGCTGGAGTGCAATGGCATCGTCTTGGCTCACTGCAACCTCAGCCTCCCGGGTTCCAGCAATTCTCTTGCCTTAGCCTCCTGAGTAGCTGAGATTACAGGTGTCTGCCAACACACCTGGCTGAGTTTTGTATTTTTTTAGTAGAGATGGGGTTTCACCATGTTGGCAAGGCTGGTCTTCAACTCCTGACCTCCGGTGATCCACCCACTTTGGCCTCCCAAAATATTGGGATTACAGTAATGAGCCACCACACCCGGCCAAGTGATTGTTTGACTATAAGTGAGACAATGTGCTCTTCTGCTCAGTTCCCTATAATGAGTCCCCATCGTAAACAGAATTAGAGGCCAAGTCTTCACAACAGCCTGATGACACCTAAGGCCATAGGTAATCTGGCTCGCTGCTGCCATTCTTACTTCCTCTTCCCTCCTACTACTCCTCTCTCCTGCTCACTCCACTTTAGGCCAACTGGCCTCCATGCAGTGCCTCAAACACACTCATCAGGTCCCCACTCTAGCGCCTTTTTTCTACCTGGCCCCTCTGCAGGTATCTCATTGTCCCAGATATCCCATTGGCTAAAACTCTCAATTCATTCAACTGTCTTCAAATCCTCTTGCAAGAAAACCTCCCCTCACCACCTTATTTAATCCTGTTAGCTGTCCCCATCTGGCACCCTGACTCATGTACCTTATATCCACCTTACAATTCTCTGTTAGTCATGTTTTCATAACATAACACTACAATTTACTTATCATCATGCTTATTTTTATATTCTATTTCCCCATGCCCAGATGTGTAAGATAGGGAAGAGTGAAAAGGAGCATTTTATTCACTGATGCACCACAAATTTTGGAGATGCCTAGATAAATGCCTGAAAACTAACAGGTGCTGCATAAAAACAATCTTATTCATGAATTTTTATCTTACTTCTCATATTTCAATTTTTCATTGAACATATTCAAAAACTTTAACCCTGTCAGTGAGATAACAGTGATTTTACAACCTACTTCACTTTGGACCTCAACAGGTCTGTGAATCCTGAGAGTTCAGCTGATGGGCTACTTTATGCTTCTGATTCAATTTCTAGTTTTTCATAATATGCATTTCCTGGAAATATCACAGCAGTAGACTACTTACTATAAAGAAACAATTATTTTCATTAGAGAAAAAAAGAATCTCTGTAATGTTTGGAGAGCACTGTGAGACAGGAACATTTAATTACACAGTGAGTGGTCCAGTACAGGGCATCTCCTTGGCCACATCTGCCATAGCTCTGATTTATGCTTAATAAATAAGTTGGTATTGTATGGAATGCACTGACTTTCATTAACAGCATTACATTTGACCATGTAGGTGGTAAATCAATTCTAATTTTATCAAATAACTTCACAAAGAAAATAAATTAATTGTATGTCTTAGTGTTATATTTATCAATTTGCATTCCAAGTAAAGCTAGTTACCTTCTTGGCACACAGTCCTTTCTTAATAAATATTTTTGGTATGAATTAATGAGCGAATGGAAATGTTAATAGCTCAATGAAAATCACAAAAGTTACAAAACTGTCCTATGGTCAAACACATTTTGCAAATAGACTGTTGTGTTAAGAGACAGACTTGTTAAGAAAATGTGTTATGGTGTGGAATGTAGTTTAGGGAGAGGTAAAAATCAACAAAGAAAGATAAGCAATATTACAATATTCCCATCACAAAATTATAGGATGTTAGACTAGTAAGACCAGAGAAGATGACAACATCAAGATCTACATTGAAATTACATTGGTCTTGAATGGAAATACAAGCAAGAGGCTTTGCTGACACATTGCTAAAATAAAATAAAAAATAAAGCTGGTGTGTAATAAGAAAAAAAGTCAATATAGTGTTTGCAGGAACCATTCAACAGTTGCACGTTACATTGAAATGGCAGAAACTTGGTGATGACAAGGTGTAGAAGACAACATTGGGGATTGTATTTTGAGTTTGTTTTATTTTTTTTTAATTGAAATGACTGCAAGACATCCATGTGGAAATCTAGAGAATCTGACTTAGAGAAGAGGCCTTGGCCAGAGATCAGATTTGGGAGCCAGCAAAAAATATGAATGAGATATTAGGAAAATATAATTGAAAACCAATTATCCTCCCATCCTGGATAACCTCTCCACAAAGATAGCAGAAAACAATTTTATTATTGAACAAGTATTAAACCAGAATGTGATATACATCCCAGGCAATTTGCTAAGAAATGGCAAAGATGGAAAGAAATCTTATCCCTTTATGTAGCCAAGTAGATACAACTCATTACATTCAGGCCCTCAAGATAAAGAATGACTAGTCCTCAAGTCAAGAACTTGGCAGCGGTATTTTTCACACACAGCAATTCACCTAGCGATTGGGGTGACTAGTTAGGTGGCTTTATATAAAGGAAAATACACTTCTCATATCTGTATGATAGACAGTAGTTTTGCAACTTAGAGCCAAGCTTTAGCTGAAGTTAGGTCCTACCCTCCCACAGAACCTGGGAGATGGAGGCACTTATCTTCCTTTAATATTTACATTCCAAAGAGATGTTTTCCAGGTCCTTGATAAAGACATTCTTCTCCCTTAAAACTGGCAAGAGGTTTATTTAGCTTTTAAAAATATTTAAATACATTTCAAAGAAATGAAGAAAATACAAGTTTTCTAAAGTAATTCTATAAGAAAAGAAAGGGGCAAGAATTCTCTTTCCTTATTCTCAACAGGGGAAATTAACCCTCTTAATTTTAATTTGTGTTTGCCCTTACAGAGATCATCTAGTAAGAGATTGCAAAAACAGAAGAGCAACTGGGAGCAATTCCTAATAACCAATATTTAAAGTTTAGTTAGAAAAGGAACCAGCAGTAGCTGAGACATATTTATGAGCATTGGGGTGAGTTTTTAAAAAATAATAAAAGAAAATTGAGGGTATTTGTATAAAAAGATAATCACCCGGTGTTACAGACTAATCTGTGTCCCCGCCCCCCACCCAACCCCTGTCAAATTTATATACTCAAGGCCTCCCAAGTCTAAATATATTTGCAGATAAGACCTTTTAGGAACTAATGAAGGGTGAATGAGGTCATAAAAGTTGGGCCCCAATCCAATAGTGTCTCGGAATCCTTAGGGTGTCACTTTTCCAGCTGGAAACCTCTGTGGCCGGTGGCGCCTTTGCCCGAGTTCTTGTTCAGGCCCACTGGGTTTGTTCCGCCCACTTAGCCTAGCAGGCTGAGCTCAGTTCAGTCTAGCAGCCTGGATCCCATGCCTACCAAGGGCAAGCCAGGTGCAGAGTGGCAAGGGGTGTGTGAGCAAGCAAGCATGGGGTCTGGCCATTGCACACAGCCAGGCATGCCAGTTACTGCAGCGGGGCAGGCAGGTCCAGGAGCCGGCACAGGCACTGGCTTCGTGCAGGACTGTGACTGGATCAGATGTACTGCAAGCAGCTTCCACTGAGGGCACCCGTGTCTGGATGAGGGGAACGCAGTGGTGCCGGAACCTTGGAGACGCCAGGAACCACGGAGCCCCAAAAAGGGTGTCACACCCCTGGCTCAGGGAGCCCCTGGGTCTAGAATCCCCGAAGGGCCGCAGCTCTTCTTTCCTTCTTGTCACCCCCAACGTGGTGAGCGGAGGGTGGGGGGGCGTGCTTCGGCCCTGTTTGCGTTACAGCTCTTTCAGTCCCGCCATTCAGTGGGTCCCGAGTTCTTGTCCTGTATCCAGGAAGAATGAGATATGCAGACAACTAGAGAGTAAGCAAGACAGACAGGAGCTTTAGTGAGTGACAGGACAGCTCAGAGGAGACCCACAGTTGGTAGCTCCTTTCTGCAGGTGTGTCATTCCAAGGAGAGCCCAGCTCTCAGTGGAGAGGAGACCCATACTGGGTAGGTCCTTTCTGCAGGCAGGTCGCCCAGCAAGTGTCCAGCTCTCAGTGAGGAGACCTGTAGTGGGTAGCACCTTTCCACAGCTGGTAGTCCGAATGTCTGTCCTAGTCAGGTGGATCTGGGGTTTTTACGTGCTCAGGAGGGAGAAAGTGTGTGCTGATTGGTCCATGAGTGGCCATGGGCGGCCTGGAAAAAGCACCGTAAATTCTCACTCTGGGCCACAGACTCCATCCAAAACTGACAGCCCAGCCTCCAGTCTTCAGGCCATCCCCGGCTTGAAGGTGGGATTTCACCTGGGACCCACCCCTTTCCACTCAAGAGCCTGTCTACCTCCTGGTGCCATCAACATGCCATCCACCGCGTCCAGGCTGTTCTTGCTGAGGGTCCTCTGCAGGCCCGTGCTGAGCCGCCCTGAATATCCTCTCAGCCTTCCTCCCATGATCGTTGGTGGCCAAAGTCCAGAGGGAGCCAAGGCGGTAGGGGGCTGACGTGTCAGCATCGCCCCAAATGCGTGCACACTAGGCCAGGTCACGATGGTGCCTGGGCTCAGCCACAACTTTGCTCCGCCCGGGAGCAGCCACTGGGAGCAAGAAGAGGCTAGAGAATGGGAGCAGGCACTTCCAAGCCTGTGGGGGCAAGGGGCTTCCTGGGCCCCCGAGAGCACAGGGATCCTGGGGTCTGGAGCCGCAACCCGGTGGCTGTGGCTGAACCTGGGAGGAACTTGATAGGCGATGGGCCTCCACGGAGAAAAATGAGCCATATTTGAGATAGCTGTAGAAAAAATGTGCCTGAGTGGGGCAGGAAGGCTAAGGAAAATGCAGTATTCAAAGATCAGATTTAAAATATAAAGAAACGTGCAGGTCAAAAATTTGGTGTTTCAAGGACGGATGTGGTGGCTCATGCCAGTAATCCCAGCACTTTGGGAGGCTAAGGCAGGCAGATCACCTGAAATCAGGAGTTTGGAACCAGCCTGGCCAACATGGTGAGGCCCCATCTCTACTAAAAATACAAAAATTAGCCAGGCCTGGTGGTGCACCCCTGTAGTCCCAGCTACTCAGGAGGCTGAGGCAGGAGAATCGCTTGAACTCGGGAGGTGGAGGTTGCAATAAGCTGAGGTCGCACCACTGCACTCCAGCCTGGGCGACAGAGCAAGACTCTGTCTCAAAAAATTGGTGTTCCAGAGTCCACTGCTAAAGGACTTCAGAAGAAGGGGGAAGTGGGATACTGAGTCACCTCACAGGTCGTGCACCACGGTATGAGAACAGTCTGAGTCATGATTGACTTCTCCGGAGTCTTGGACTTCTGGCACTGGTGAAGGCAAGCAGAGAATGAGCCATATCTGGCTTACTTCTCTAAGCAAAGTTGAGAAACTAGCTGCATTGCTTTGGTCCCATTTGTGGTATGATGTCCTGTGCAATGGCAGCATTTGGTCTAGACCCTGATGAAAATTACATCCTAATAAGTGGAGTATTCCAGCAGTTTTGTGGCAGCGGTTGCTACAAGTTCACAATTCTGTACCAGGCATGCTCTATCTATGGCATATGATTCTAGAATTTCGATTTCAAAGGGATCTTCAAAACCATCAAATTCAGGGCTTTTGGCTTAAAGAATTCAGGAGTTAGCAAGTAAAATAAGGTAATAGAAAACTACAAAGATTATTCGCTAGCCATGGATATTCCCACACAAATGAAAAGCACAATAAAAATAAATGCTTATAATAATCAAACAAATCAAACTATCATGTCTTTGGATCAAGTTTGAATAAGATGCCAATCTGCAATGTTTGGTTCTTGTTCAATTTAATTTAATTTCACATCTTAAGCTACTAAATTGTAGAGAACCTGATACCAGGCTGAAAATACTGTTGGTCAAAAGTGTCATTTATCTAGAGAGAGGTGATCTACAAAGCAGCAATCCCTCCTCACTCCTCTACACCTCTTCATCATCCTTGACATGCCCTTGCAACCCTTGTGGGAAACCTGATCTAACAGACCCACCAAAAAAAGAAAAAATCCATGAGCTAACCAATGAGAAGTTTCAAAAGTACATGGTCTTTGAGACTTCTTTTGTGTTGTTCATTTCTCATGATTAGTTTATTTGAATAATGTTAATAGAGTAAGCAACTGTACCTCTCCAGCCCCCATGGATTTGGAGTATATGCACCATCTATTTATCACAACCAAGTTTCTTACCATTAAGCTACTGAAAATTAATTTTACTGGAACTTTGCCCAAGTGTTATTTTCATAACTTTCTTATGTTTTATCACCATTCATACTCAAAAATCAACTCTCTGGATTTTAGTTTTCAAAGCACTAGACTTTTGTCAACATATTAATAAAATGTAAATATATACCCAGTGAACTGAACTATTCTTTTCTTTAAAAAGCACTTTTAGGGATATTTTAAAGCCATTATGATGTAGTTCATTCCCAAGTTTATCTCTTATGCGAATTTAGATTTTCAAGCATATTCTATTAAATGTGCAACTGAAATGGCATATTATGAAATTTAAATTGGCTGATGTATTTAGAGGCAATAATTCAAATATTTGACTTTTCCCACATTTAATTTATGAGTAATATTGACAGATAAAAGAATCAAGTTTGTTTAGCTCAGATGTGTTTGATAAGAGTATCATAAAATGAAAAAATGAAAATTATTGGAAGTTTTAAAAACATCAGAATAAAAGTGATCTATTCTTCACTTGCAATCTCAGATTACAATTAATAGTCATTTGTT
Source organism: Homo sapiens (assembly GCF_000001405.40). NCBI lineage: Eukaryota > Metazoa > Chordata > Mammalia > Primates > Hominidae > Homo > Homo sapiens. Next base: position 177,859,579 of record NC_000004.12, on the reverse strand, counting down.
CTTCCACATTTTTAGTATCAGATAGTTTTGTCTACATTGTATAAAATTACTTATGGCATATCTGTTAACTAATTAGAATTTCTGTAGGGCTATTGTAAAAATCTTGGACCATACTGATTACAGCCCCAGCTTTGGCATCGAAGGACCCAGGTTAAACTCTTATTTCAACTGTTGGAAAATGATCCTAGACAAAAACTACAATCTGTTTGAGTCACAGTTTCTTGAACTATAAATGACACATTGAGATAAGACAATTAGATATGGTGAAATAATTTCTTATATTTGAATCTAATTTGCAGATGTTTATTATAATTTTCTTAAAGCCAATTGTTTGTCTGAATGTATAAAAGAATGTTATTTAAAAAATTTAAGAAGTTTGTTACTAACTGCAACAATAAAATATATTAATTCATAGCATTAATAGTAAAAATAAAACTAGGTATTAAAAACTTTTAAAAACACTGCATGCTGCATGGAAATCTAATGTCACAATTTCTCAGATTTAGGTACTCAACAAATTATTGTTTAAAATTCATGAAGTTAAGTAAGCCTAATGTATCTTTCACAAAGTAAATGTTGAATAAATCTTACTCCCATTCACATTAATGACTAAACCTCAGAATATGAATTTGACCAAAAAAAAAATTTTTTTTTTCTTTTTTTTGAGACAGAAGAGTCTCACTCTGTCACACAGGCTGGAGAGCACGGTGCAATCTCGGCTCACTACAACCTCGACTTCTTGGGCTCAATCAATACTCCAACCTCAGCCTCCCACATAGTTGGGACTATAGACACACCACCACATCCAGCTAATTTTGGGGTTTTTTTGTAGAGATGGGGACTCACTATGTTGCCCCATCTGATCCTGAACCCCTGGGCTCAAGCGATCCCACTGCTTTGGCCTCCCAAAGTGGTGGGATTACAGGTGTAAGCCACTGCACCCAGCCTTCACCTTTATTTTCTAAAAGTACAATGACAGATTCACATATAGACCTTTTAAATTCTAACCTTGGCTGCATAAGACCTCAATATTTTCACTGACCTTCACGTGTTTTACATAATAAAATGCCGTAAAGTGCTACATTTAGAAAATAGACATATTCTAAAATAGTTTTAAAAAATAATATAATTCAAAATCAACCATAAGCCAGAGCCTGTCACACCACCAAATGCAATGGTTATACACGACTGCGTGTGTCTTCATGTGGGTGAGTATAGAGTGCGGGGATGATGACAAGATAAGCATGGCTAACTCAGTCAGCGGGATGAGTTGGAATGGACTGATCCAAATCTGTGTAAATGCTGTAGAAATAAGGTAGGCCGTGGTAGCTCACACTTGTACTCCCAGCACTTTGGGAGGCCAAGGCGGGCGGATCATGAAGTCAAGAGATGGACACCATCCTGGCCAACATGGTGAAACCCCGTCTCTACTAAAAATACAAAAATTAGCTTAACGTGGTGGCAGGTGCCTGTAGTCCCAGCTACTCGGGAGGCTGAGGCAGGAGAATCGCTGGAACCCGTGAGGCAGAGGTTGCAGTGAGCCGAGATCGCACCACTGCACTCCAGCCTGGTGACAGAGCGAGACTCCATCTCAAGAAAAAAAAAAAAGAAAGAAGTTAGGCTCTCCATAACCTCCAGTTCCACATCTGCAAATTCAACCAACCACAGATCAAAAATATTTGAAAGAATAAAGTAAAAAATAGCAATAAAACAAAGAATAATACAAATTTAAAAATACAGAGTAACAACTATTTACATAGCACTTACATTGTATTTGCTATTATAAGTGATCTAGAGGTGATTTAAAGTATACAAGAGAATGTGCATAGGTTAAATGCAAATACTATACCATTTTATATTAGAGACTTGACCACAGGGGTGGGGTATCTTAGAACTAATGCTCCACATGTACCAAGGGGTGACTCTAGTTGTTATGCTGTATTTTTTAGGGAATAATGACAAAAAATAAGTCAGTAGACGTCCAGTACAGATACAACTGCCCTAGGCCTAACAACATTTTCTCTGTGGTTGTTTGAGTCCTTGGTTGGGGAACCCACGGATATAGAGGAACAACTGCCTGTGTAGTATGTGTGTGTGTATGTAGATGTAGATATATAGACATTGATGTATCTATATCCTCAGAAATTTTTTATAATCTCTCAGATTTGGAAAACAAAATGTATCAAAGTGCATTTTGTGGGCCAAGAGCATTGGGAGTTGGGCAATAGGAGAAATTCAGAATGTGAACCTAACCCAGAAGTAATGAATTCGCATATTCATTTTAACAATATCCAAAGGTGGGTCATACTAATATTAAGGTTTGAGAAACACTGTTCAAAGATAACCACAATACCTTACTGGGAAGAAATTCAGTTGAGAATGAGAGAATACTGTTATCAAGACAACATAGCAAAAGTAAACATAGGAAATTCAAGCAAAAGTCAGGAATCGAATAGCAAATGATAGGGTGGTATTGGGCATATATAATCAAGGCAACTAAAACCGTGTGTCAGACAGTGTTCAACATTCGAAGAGGTGTGCAATGGGAGATGAAGTCCTGCCAGCTATGGAAAGAAGAATGCCACGTACATGTGAAAATTCAAAATTTTTTATATCCTAGGAAACATAAGTATTAAAAATATACACATTTAAGAAAAACGCAAAAGTTGTATATAATGTAATGTAATAGAAGCTATAGATAGGTTAAAAAAACAGAATTATGGAAACACTGTAATCCAAGGAAAAACCAAGGTTTTAAACAAACACAGGACAGAGCCTATATGTAAAAATTCTCATCTGATTGGTGAGCATATTTAGCTATCTCTTGTTGGTCCTGAGTTAAAAACAGAGGCAAAAAAATAGAGAAGCTGGCAGTTTTTGAGCAAGTCCTTACCGTCCTGAGCCAATTGCCACAGAGATTGTGGCTTGGCCTTCCTGGCAGGTTGCTGAAGGGGTGTGGGTCAGGGTTCTGTTTCCAGAGATGGTCTGGACATTGTCCGTTGTTCATCCAGTATCTCCGTGTGCACAAAGTTCAGTATGGACTGTGGTTGTTCTAGCAGCTTAGAGAGTTAGACGAAGGAAGAAACTGAAAAGTCAGGGTAGTTCAAATTATATAGGCTTTCACAAGCCCTCTAAAGAATGTGAAATACATATTGAAACTTCTGGTTAAAATTTTGATTGTTTAGAACAATTTTTTTCTGTGCCAAATTAGCTGCAAAGTGAGCCTCCGTGTCTGAGTTCAAATGATAATTGCCACCTTGTCAATATCCGTATTTAATCTCCGCTAGATGTGAAAGTATCACCCAAGGTATATACTTCCAAATTCAGTGCCAAAGCATCTGTTTCACCGGCAAAATGATGTCAATATCTTGAATTTAAAAGTATCAGAGGTTGTGTTATAAAAAAGATGTGAGACGATGATTGAAATATAATCAGGGAATTTTACATCCAACACCCACCACTACCCCAGATCTGAAAAAGAATCAAAATTCATTTTACCTAATTTCCATTCAAAAAGAACCCAGGAGCTTACAGGAACTCTTGATTGTGCCAGAGAAATTTATCCTAAAGAAAGGGAGGCCACAGGTGGCTGCAGGAAATGGGGTTTTCAACTCCTTTTTGTTAATTGGAAGAAGCAATTTGGAGAGAAGAAACTGCTGAAAAGAGCAAACCTTGCTCTGAACACTGTTTTTAACTATCATTGTTGTTGCAATGATAAAAAAGTAAGCCATGATATAGCGATCTTTGTAAAAGCATATTGACATGCTAGGACTTGGAAGGAGTCCTAGCTGAAAGCAAGCAGCTTTTAGGCCTTAGATCGTGTACCCCAGGCTTCCAAAGCAGGAAAGTTCCTGTGGAGGAACAAGTCAGATGAGAGCTATGACAACAGGATGGGGCCAATGCTCAGAGCCAGAGGACAGCAGCCAAAAACGTTGAATTTTAATAAAATTCCAGATGTAACATCCATGTATCTGAATGACTCTAATGGTGTGCTTTCAGACTTTCAAGTGAAATATTCGTTTTCATATTGTTAAACATTTGGAAAATGTAAACTTCATTTAAATAGCATGGACTTTGGACAAATTAATCCACTATGTGCAATGCAAATTGGAAAGAGGTTTATTTTTATTTTAAATGCTTTCTATAGTTTCGTAACTAAGACGAATATGTTTACAGTGCATCAATGCAAAACCCTAGGCAAGCCTACCTGCCCAACTGTTAAACAGAAAGCTGAAGGAGCTGGCATGTGATGAGAATCACGTTGTTGAACACAGTCCCTTTCTTTCTGCCACTTCTCACTTATGATCAGTGCAAAGGCCATAAGGGGGAAATTTCCCACTCTGGATAAGTATGCATTTTTTTCCAAGCCAAAAGTCAACATGTTCTTCTTGCTATTTCAGACAATTTTATAGCATTTTAAGCAATTTTCTCAGGAATCAAAACATACTTAAGATGACTTGACTAAAGAAAATCTGGAGAGAGGATAGTTAGAGATAGGGTTCAAAGATGTCCTTGAAAGTTGTATAAGACTGGGGTGGTTTCTGTTCACAGCCATTTTCCGAGGAGAGGGTTCAGAGACTCCTTCACAGTCTCAAAGGGACTATGTGACCCAAAAATTCTGAAGCACTAATCTAAAGGGTAAATAATGTTTAGTGGTATTTACAATGAAGCTTCAAAAGCATCGTGCTGGAGATCAAGAGACTTGCTTCCGGCCTAGACCCACCTATGACCATTCTAATGATCCTTCTTGAGCAAGTAATTTCTCTCGTCTCGACCTCAATTTTCTCACCATTAATACATGGACAATGGAAGTGATCTCTAAAAGACATGCAATAAATTGTATTTGACATATTCCTCAGCTTCTTGCACCCATTCTGAGTTGAACTGTGCCCTCCATAAAGATGTATTAAAATCCTAACTCCCGGTATTTTAGAATATGACCTTATTTAGAAATAGGATATTTACAGGCACAATCAAGGTAAAGTGAGGTCATTAGGGTAGGTCTTTCCAATACGATTGGTATCCTTATAAAAAGCAGAAAGGTGCACGCAGAGACGCATGCACGGGAAGAACACCAAATAAGATGAAGGCAGAGATGTAGGGGTGCTACATCTACAAGCCAAAGGATTTCAAAGAAAGATGCTAACAAACCATTGAAAGCTATGAGAGTGGAATAGAAGAGAATCTTCTTTGAAGCCCCCAAAGGAACCAAACCTGCTGACATAGTGATTATAGACTTTCAGCTTCCAGAACTTTGAGGCAATTTGTTGTTGAAGATACCCAGGTTGTGGTACTTAGCACATAGCAAACTGACACTCACCGTAATCCAGATGAATAGCTCTGACGTAATCCATATTGTAAATCTGACGTGGCATGGGAGTGAGAAAAACTGACCAGGTGTCTTTCATCCCTAACTTTTCTTATGTTTACTGGTTTTCCTTGATGACGTTTGGGGCTTTCAATGGTGATTTCTGAGCATGCCTCTTCTGGCCAGTGGTGTGGGCTTACATGAACACTGTTTAACAGCCAAAGGTCCTTGGAGAAAATAAGAGGCTGTTAAATTCCAGAGGAAAACCTGATACATAGAAGTTGCATTAACAGCTTAACCGAGTTGGGTCTAGGTAGAAATACCTTTCAAAAGATAAATATCTTCAAAATGTTTTTCTTCAACTTTGTATACCACTGTCTGCATATTCTCTCAGTATTGTTTGAACAATGAGTTCACCTACACAAAACAGAGGGAGAACTGACAATAATAACAATCACTTTCCCAACCCTTGAAATTTTCACTTGTGACCCTAAGATAGGATGCTAACTGGTAATACTTAGGTTTGAGAGTTTACTTTGGTTTGACCCTCCTTGGCAGCTGTACCCTTACGAATTAGGCTGTTGGAGGACTTGCCTGCCATTCGGCACTGTGACATCTAGCTGTTGCTTTGCCTCGTGCAGACACTTAGTTTATTATTTATTTTTTATCTCAGGGACTCCATCTACCGTTTCCCTCTCACTAGTCATTTTAGAGATTTCTTCTTAGCTTTGGACATCCCAACCATCTGTCTTTCTCTGGTAATTTTCTGTGTGCTTCCCTTAGTACCATTTTGCAGCTTACCATTGCTCCCTGGAGCCTTAGAGTCAGCTCCAGTTCTGTCCCGCACGGGTGCCCCCAGCACCACCGCATGCTTTCCCTGGCCTGCCGCTCACCAGGTCTTCCAGCCTGCACTCATGGCTGCCTGCCCACTTGTAATTAGGACCGAGGCATCCCCAAAGAATGTGCTCATTAACAAGACATGATCGAAAAAAATGCCTTTCTTATCGGTATGACTGGAGGGATGGGTTGAAAAATGATTTATTTTGAATGACTCTTTACAACTTATAGCAAATCTTAAAAATAAGATCAACTACTGGAAAGTAACCTCCCTTTATTAACTTCTAAGGAAAAAGGTTAATAAATATGTCCTCAAGGTTCAGTGTCATAAAAGATCATGTCTTTTGACAATCATATCAGAAAAATAGTAAGAAGAGTAACTTATACAAAAGAAGTCAGTTTTTATATCATTGATTAAAAAATACAGTTTGTAAAAAGTAGGAAGAGGCCGGGCACAGTGGCTCATGCCTGTAATCCCAGCACTTTGGGAGGCCGAGGCGGGCGGATCACGAGGTCAGGAGATCGAGACCATCCTGGCTAACACGGTGAAACCCAGTCTCTACTAAAAATACAAAAAATTAGCCAGGCATGGTGGCGGGCGTCTGTAGTCCCAGCTACTCAGTAGTCCCACTGAACCCGGGAGGCAGAGGTTGCAGTGAGCCAAGATCCCACCACTGCACTCCAGCCTGGGCGACAGAGTGAGATTCCGTCTCAAAACAAAAAAAGAAAAAAAAAAAGTAGGAAGAAATTAGTGTTTTAAGCAATACTATTAGAAAAAAAAAATTGAAACAGTTTTCATGTGTGAAAGATGACAACAGTAAGAAATTTGAGTCTCTAGACTATTTTAAATGGAAAATATTTAAGTTACTATTTCTAAGTGACAAGACTGGAGAGATGCGATTTATTTGGGGGACTTTTGTTTATGGAGAAAATAGTGGCATATTATGTTTGACTATTGTTGTCAATATGCGCTATTTAGTACAAGCAATTTTTGAATATTTTGTATTTATTTTCTTACTCTAAGGACTCAGATTTCTGATAGCATTAAAGCCATCCCTTTGAGTTTCCTCAGGTACGGGAAATATTGCAACAGCACTTGGAATGAAGCAAATGAAGACTAAAGCTGCATCCATTCTTTATCTTTTGATAACAAAACTTATTTCGTGATCATATCAAGTAGTGGTAATATTTCTGGGAGTTTGATCCTCTACTCAATTCAAGAGCAAAATTTTGATTTATTTGAGCTAGTCGTAAAGATTGATTATGGTTTTCAATCATTTATCCCTCCCTGTAATAGGATTGTATAACCATACCATTTATCGTGTGACTTTATGCTTCCCCCTTAAGAGGTCTTTTTTCCTATACTAATACTGAACTTGTGTGACTTGCCTTGGCCAATGAAGGAGAGCTGATATAATGTATGCCAGGCCCTACGAGGGCCTTAAATGTGCCTGGGTGGTTTTATTTGCCCTCTTGGAGATCCTATCTGCCCCCATTAGAAAAGCATAACCCAATCAGCAACAGTTTCAAAGAGAGGGAATGTGGAAAGGACCTTAGCCTGACCTGTATTCTAAAGAAAAAGCTATATTATCTGACCTGCAGACCTGTGAGGAGAAATATTTCACAATAGAAGCCATTGAAATACTGGGAATGTTTGCTTCATGCCATTATTGCAGCAGAAACTTGACTTCTACATTAATCGTGACACTTACTCTTCTAGCCAGTGGCAGGTTTAGGTATGAACAGATAACACTATCTTAGATGTGAGGGAAAATGTGCAGAGGGATGGGTTCAGGAAAGGCTTTTCCTGGCTGATACACAAAAAGATTAACATTAGGAAATGATCTCTTCCTACTGTGTCTGCATGATCATCTAGCAGCCATCTTACTACCATGAACTGGAGAACAAAGACTAGCACACTGAGGATGATTCAGGAAATCAAATAAACTGTCTTTAATAATGTTGTGTAAGTTGCTGAATTAATCAGTTTATTAAATCTGGAAATGTCATGAATTGGGACTATTACGTGCAACTGAAAGCATGTTAATTGATACAAAGATGCAGTAAATGTTAAGCATAGACAATGGAGCAGATGTAAATTAGTTTTTAGTCATGTAGAACTGTCAAGGGTTGGCAAAGAATTGTCTGTAAAGGATCACATAGTAAATATTTTAGGCTCTGTAGGCCGTACGCTTTATATTACAACTACTTAAATCTATAATTATAGTGTTTAGACAATACATAAATTAATCATGTGACTGTGTTAGAATAAAACTGTATTCATGAAAGAACATTTGCTTCTGGTTGTACAGAGATGTAGGTACTCTGAGAACCTCTACAATATCAAACAACTAGATCCTAGATTTTAAAGTAACAATATTTTCAATATATAGTAAATGAAATGTGAGAAAATCACCTACAAAAAAAAAAAGCCACCAGAAACAATAAAGTAAATGACTGTGTTAAACAAATAACAGGCTGAAACTGGAGCTGGGGAAGATGAGCTTAAAGACTCAAGGGGATGCAAAAAGCCCCGAGATCAGTAGTCATCTTCAGGCCCGGGACAAGCTGGGCTGACTGAGCCACATAACCCTGAACTCCCATATTAAGACATTGCCCACAAAGTGGACTAAATTAGCTCCAAGCCTGTGCCATCCCTGAATCTGAGAAGAAGCAGACACAATTTCTTTTTTACAGGCATCCAGGGAGAAAAAAAAAATGCATATAACTTAAAATTACTGACTTTTCAATGGCAAGCATTAAGCAAGAAGACAGTGAAATCATCAAAGGGATTTTTTTTAAAGTTAACTTACAACCTGACAAGAAATTATTGTTTATAAATGACAGTAAAATAAACTCATTTTGGGATATTAAAATAAAGAAAAAAACAAGAAATGGCAGAAATGGACCTTCACTAAAGGGACTTCTAAAGCATATGTCTCCGGAGGAAGACAGTGATACCAGAAAGGTCTGACATGCATAGAGAGTGAGAAAATATTACGGTAACATGTTTGAAAATAGAAATAAATATTGTGTATACCTAGCTGTAATGAATTGAAAGTATGAAGTTTAAAGATATAAAAACTAAAACATTAGACAAAAGAACGTACAAATTTGAGGGAAAGGAAATAATCCAACTTTTTTTTTTTTTTTTGAGACAGGATATCACTATGTTGCCCAGGCTGGTCTTGAACTCCTGAGCACACGGGATCCTCCCTCTGTAGCTTCTCAAAGTGTTGGGTTCACAGGTGTGAGCCACCACGACTAGCCAAGTAATCAATCTTTAAAAAATAGTTGGAGAAACAGAAAAAAAAACACAGAAAACAAAGAAACCAATAATCAAAGCAGACTTAATTGAAATTTAAAATAACCATTAAAGATGAAAAGGAGCAATGAAGACAAATTTTTGAAGCTTAATAATATAGATAAACCAAGAAATAGAGAAGTCACAAAAAATATTAGACAGGAAATTGAAGAAAAGTAACACTACAGCAGAAATTTAAAATGAATTAGTTTCTGTCAGAAAATAGAAATTTTAAAAAATATATAAAATATTATATAAAATATATACAAAATATATGAATTATATATAATTTATGTATAAATTAAAAATATATATAATTTAAATGAAAGCAGTTCCAGAAAAAATAAACTGCCATTTATTTTCTCTAAAAGTTATAGAGCATATCAGGCTGTTTCATTATAGGTTAGTTAACCTATGTTGACCTATAACTTTAAATAAATTGAATTTCAATTTAAATCTTATTTCCTAAAAACAAACCGACCAACAAAAACCTTTGAAAAAGGTATTACCCATCGATAATAAAATTATTAACAAACCAAAAAATACATTGTTACACAATTATCCTGGAAAAGGGGTAAAGGACTTCTACTAATATATCACAGTATACAAAATTCTTATTTATGAAATGTAAGTAGAATTCTTTTTAAAATCATAAAAGAATAATTGCCACCAATTCTGTTTATTATTATACTGGAAGACCTAGCCAGTGCACTAAGATAAGAAAAATAAATTGATGACTTAAGAATTAGAGAGCCATATTTAAAAAAAAAAAAAACTGTTATGACTTGCATATTATATATTTGCTTACATGAAAAACTAAAAAACAGAAAAATAATAGGGTATAACTTGGATTGTTGTATTAATAAAATGTTGGTCATAAAATATTAGAAGAAACTATGCATTTCAAGTATGAGATACTTTATTACAGAGGTAAATAATTAGTATTTTAAAGGGGTGGTAGGACGAAAGACAAGAAAATTCACTCTGAACTCTCAAGTTTACTACAAGAATCAAGAGAGTCTGCAATTTGTAATAACAAAAGAAAATCAAAGGAAACCACCAACAATTATCACAGCTGCCTTTAGTGTGATAGTAGTGCAAGTAATTTAAAACAGTAAGCACTGCTATGCATAGTGGCTCATGCCCATAATCCCAGCTACACAGAAGGCTGAGGCAGGATTGCTTGAGGCCAGGGGTTCAAACCCAGCCTGGACAACACAGTGAGACCCCTGTCTCTAAAAACCTTTTTGGAGTAAAAAAAAGTATGTATACAGTAAGTAAAGAATCCAACACAAAATATAACATCTGTAAAGCCCACACCAGGTCTCTGCTACCAAGGAGCAATAATAACACTTGAAGACTGGTTATATTCCCTCTTCCAAATAAAACCAATGTCTCTCATTGGCAAGGATTCCATCACTTATTAAACAGAGGTAAGCATAAAAAGATAGCTCAATATTGCTGAGTTGTTAAATAATTTATAACAAGTGCCTTAAGGAAAATACATAAAAATGAATTTTTAAACACAGCGGCAGGTAGTACAAATGAAGTTTTTAAGTTGCTTTTATAGTAGCAGCTGAAACTATAAGTAGGAAGAAGCCAATTAAAATTTGTGCAAAAATGTGATGTAGCTTATTTGAAGATATTAAAATCCATGCAGATGAGAATTTCTATATTAATAGATATTTTTTTTTAAAAAAGTTTATTGTTCACCACAAAGATACTCCTCAAGAAGAGCAACACCAAGACACATAATTGTCAGATTCACCAAAGTTGAAATGAAGGAAAAAATGTTAAGGGCAGCCAGAGAGAAAGGTTGGGTTACCCTCAAAGGGAAGCCCATCAGACTAACAGCAGATCTCTTGGCAGGAACTCTACAAGCCAGAAGAGAGTGGGGGCCAATATTCAACATTCTTAAAGGAAAGAATTTTCAACCCAGAATTTCATATCCAGCCAAAATAAGCTTCATAAGTGAAGGAGAAATAAAACACTTTACAGACAAGCAAATGCTGAGAGATTTTGTCACCACCAGGCCTGCCCTAAAACAGCTCCTGAAGGAAGCACTAAACATGGAAAGGAACAACCGGTACCAGCCGCTGCAAAATCATGCCAAAATGTAAAGACCATCGAGACTAGGAAGAAACTGCATCAACTAACGAGCAAAATAACCAGCTAACATCATAATGACAGGATCAAATTCACACATAACAATATTAACTTTAAATGTAAATGGACTAAATGCTCCAATTAAAAGACACAGACTGGCAAATTGGATAAAGAGTCAAGACCCATCAGTGCGCTGTATTCAGGAAACCCATCTCACGGGCAGAGACACACATAGGCTCAAAATAAAAGGATGGAGGAAGATCTACCAAGCCAATGGAAAACAAAAAAAGGCAGGGGTTGCAATCCTAGTCTCTGATAAAACAGACTTGAAACCAACAAAGATCAAAAGAGACAAAGAAGGCCATTTCATAATGGTAAAGGGATCAATTCAACAAGAAGAGCTAACTATCCTAAATATATATGCACCCAATACAGGAGCACCCAGATTCATAAAGCAAGTCCTGAGTGACCTACAAAGAGACTTAGACTCCCACACATTAATAATGGGAGACTTTAACACTCCACTGTCAACATTAGACAGATCAACGAGACAGAAAGTCAACAAGGATACCCAGGAATTGAACTCAGCTCTGCACCAAGTGGACCTAATAGACATCTACAGAACTCTCCACCCCAAATCAACAGAATATACATTTTTTTCAGCACCACACCACACCTATTCCAAAATTGACCACATACTTGGAAGTAAAGCTCTCCTCAGCAAATGTAAAAGAACAGAGATTATAACAAACTATCTCTCAGACCACAGTGCAATCAAACTAGAACTCAGGATTAAGAATCTCACTCAAAACCAGTCAACTACATGGAAACTGAACAACCTGCTCCTGAATGACTACTGGATACATAACAAAATGAAGGCAGAAATAAAGATGTTCTTTGAAACCAACGAGAACAAAGACACAACATACCAGAATCTCTGGGACACATTCAAAGCAGTGTGTAGAGGGAAATTTATAGCACTAAATGCCCACAAGAGAAAGCAGGAAAGATCCAAAATTGACACCGTAACATCACAATTAAAAGAACTAGAAAAGCAAGAGCAAACACATTCAAAAGCTAGCAAAAGGTAAGAAATAACTAAAATCAGAGCAGAACTGAAGGAAATAGAGACACAAAAAACCCTTCAAAAAATTAACGAATCCAGGAGCTGGTTTTTTGAAAGGATTAACAGAATTGATAGACCGCTAGCAAGACTAATAAAGAAAAAAAGAGAGAAGAATCAAATAGACGCAATAAAAAATGATAAAGGGGATATCACCACCGATCCCACAGAAATACAAACTACCATCAGAGAATACTACAAACACCTCTATGCAAATAAACTAGAAAATCTAGAAGAAAGGGATAAATTCCTCGACACATACACCCTCCCAAGACTAAACCAGGAAGAAGTTGAATCTCTGAATAGACCAATAACAGGATCTGAAATTGTGGCAATAATCAATAGCTTACCAACCAAAAAGAGTCCACGACCAGATGGATTCACAGCCGAATTCTACCAGAGGTACAAGGAGGAACTGGTACCATTCCTTCTGAAACTATTCCAATCAATAGAAAAAGAGGGAATCCTCCCTAACTCATTTTATGAGGCCAGCATCATCCTGATACCAAAGCCGGGCAGAGACACAACCAAAAAAGAGAATTTTAGACCAATATCCTTGATGAACATTGATGCAAAAATCCTCAGTAAAATACTGGCAAACCGAATCCAGCAGCACATCAAAAAGCTTATCCACCATGATCAAGTGGGCCTCATCCCTGGGATGCAAGCCTGGTTCAATATACGCAAATCAGTAAATGTAATCCAGCATATAAACAGAACCAAAGACAAAAACCACACGATTATTTCAATAGATGCAGAAAAGGCCTTTGACAAAATTCAACAACCCTTCATGCTAAAAACTCTCAATAAACTAGGTATTGATGGGACATATCTCAAAATAATAAGAGCTATCTATGACAAACCCACAGCCAATATCATACTGAATGGGCAAAAACTGGAAGCATTACCTTTGAAAACTGGCACAAGACAGGGATGCCCTCTCTCACCACTCCTATTCAACATAGTGTTGGAAGTTCTGGCCAGGGCAATTAGGCAGGAGAGGGAAATAAAGGGTATTCAATTAGGAAAAGAGGAAGTCAAATTGTCCCTGTTTGCAGATGACATGATTGTATATCTAGAAAACCCCATTGTCTCAGCCCAAAATCTCCTTAAGCTGATAAGCAACTTCAGCAAAGTCTCAGGATACAAAATCAATGTACAAAAATCACAAGCATTCTTATACACCAACAACAGACAAACAGAGAGCCAAATCATGAGTGAACTCCCATTCACAATTGCTTCAAAGAGAATAAAATACCTAGGAATCCAACTTACAAGGGATGTGAAGGACCTCTTCAAGGAGAACTACAAACCACTTCTCAAGGAAACAAAAGAGGATAAAAACAAATGGAAGAACATTCCATGCTCATGGGTAGGAAGAATCAATATCATGAAAATGGCCATACTGCCCACGGTAATTTACAGATTCAATGCCATCCCCATCAAGCTACCAATGACTTTCTTCACAGAATTGGAAAAACTACTTTAAAGTTCATATGGAACCAAAAAAGAGCCCACATCGCCAAGTCAATCCTGAGGCAAAAGAACAAAGCTGGAGGCATCACACTACCTGACTTCAAACTATACTACAAGGCTACAGTAACCAAAACAGCATGGTACTGGTACCAAAACAGAGATATAGATCAATGGAACAGAACAGAGCCCTCAGAAATAACGCCGCATATCTACAACTATCTGATCTTTCACAAACCTGAGAAAAACAAGCAATGGGGAAAGGATTCCCTATGTAATAAATGGTGCTGGGAAAACTGGCTAGCCATATGTAGAAAGCTGAAACTGGATCCCTTCCTTACACCTTATACAAAAATCAATTCAAGATGGATTAAAGACTTAAACGTTAGACCTAAAACCATAAAAACCCAGAAGAAAACCTAGGCATTACCGTTCAGGACATAGGCATGGGCAAAGACTTCATGTCTAAAACACCAAAAGCAATGGCAACAAAAGCCAAAATTGACAAATGGGATCTAATTCAACTAAAGAGCTTCTGCACAGCAAAAGAAACTACCATCAGAGTGAACAGGCAACCTACAAAATGGGAGAAAATTTTTGCAACCTACTCATCTGACAAAGGGCTAATATCCAGAATCTACAATGAACTCAAACAAATTTACAAGAAAAAAACAAACAATCCCATCAAAAAGTGGGCGAAGGACATGAACAGACACTTCTCAAAAGAAGACATTTATGCAGCCAAAAAACACATGAAAAAATGCTCATCATCACTGGCCATCAGAGAAATGCAAATCAAAACCACAATGAGATACCATTTCCCACCAGTTAGAATGGCAATCATTAAAAAGTCAGGAAACAACAGGTCCTGGAGAGGATGTGGAGAAATAGGAACACTTTTACACTGTTGGTGGGACTGTAAACTAGTTCAACCATAGTGGAAGTCAGTGTGGCGATTCCTCAGGGATCTAGAACTAGAAATACCATTTGACCCAGCCATCCCATTACTGGGTATATACCCAAAGGACTATAAATCATGCTGCTATAAAGACACATGCACACGTATGTTTATTGCGGCATTATTCACAATAGCAAAGACGTGGAACCAACCTAAATGTCCAACAATGATAGACTGGATTAAGAAAATGTGGCACATATACACCATGGAATACTATGCAGCCATAAAAAATGATGAGTTCATGTCCTTTGTAGGGACATGGATGAAATTGGAAATCATCATTCTCAGTAAACTATCGCAAGAACAAAAAACCAAACACCGTATATTCTCACTCATAGGGGGGAATTGAACAATGAGAACACATGGACACAGGAAGGGGAACATCACACTCTGGGGACTGTTGTGGGGTGGGGGTATGGGGGAGGGATAGCATTGGGAGATTTACCTAATGCTAGATGACGAGTTAGTGGGTGCAGGGCACCAGCATGGCACATGTATACATATGTAACTAACCTGCACGTTGTGCACATGTACCCTAAAACTTAAAGTATAATACTAAATAAATAAATAAATAAAAAAGTTTATTGTTGTAAAACACTTAACCTGAAATCTACCCTGTTAAATTTTTAAGTATACAATATAGTATTGTTAACTATAGGTACAATAGCTGTACATTGGAAGATCTCTAGAGCTTATGCAACTTGCTGATGTGAAACTTTATGCCTGTTAATTAGATAGGCTATCTCAATGTTTTATGTATGCCAATTTTCCCAAAACTGATTCATAACTTTGATGTAATATAAAAACAAAAGCTTTTTTCATCCACATAACTTGACAAACTGATTCTAAAATTTGCATGAAAGAGTAAGGGCAAATAGTAAACAAAGTATTGATGAAGAAGAAAAAAATGTTGGTAGGAACTTACCCTACCTAATATCAATATTTATTATAATTTAGATAATAGTGAATACAATGGCACCAGCATGAACAAATTTTAAAAATGTTACAAAAACAGACCCACTCAGACATAAAACTTGGTATAGAACAGAGATATTCTATTCAGAACCCCGGGGAAAGAAAGGACTATGCAGTGAATGGCACAAAGGCAATTGGCTAACCACATGGATACAGTGAAGTTGGGTTCCTACCTTATAACTTATGAGTGTGACTCTAATTTTGATGTTTCACTGGAGACAACTTTGAACCCCACCACTCCCACTTTTCCTCTTACCCTCCATGTGGGCAAGCTGGTAAGAAAGTCCAAGTGTTCCCTCCATTGGCATCAGCAGGCGGGAAGTTCACGTACAAAGGGCAGGCTTGCTGGATGGCATCCTCAGCTCAGCCACACCCTGACCAACATAAAAGCCCAAAGCCAGTCTCCTTTTCTGGCTTTCTCAAGCCACTTTTGGATCTGGTTGGGAGCCACACTGCTCAATACGTGAGTAATAAACCATTCTGAATGAAAAAAAAAAAAAAAACAAGTCGATTGAAAACAATCTGATGTGTAAATTTGCAAAAGACATGGACATATAAAAGAGGAATTATCAAGAAAATATAGATGGATAAAATATTCAACTGCATTAGTAATCAGGAAATGCAAACTAAAATGGCGTTGAAATACAGTTTTATACCTATTACATTTCCAGAATTAAATCGGAAAATACCAAGTGTTGGAAATGATATAAATCAATTAGAGCTCCTAAACCCTTTATTGAAGGTATAAATTGATATAACCATGTTGGAAAACAAGATGGAATTATCCTTCAAGTTGAATATTCACCTACTGTATTAAAATAAATTTCCAATGCTATATTTATCCGCTGAAAATATAGAACTAGTTTTGCATGTGAAAATGGAGTTCCGCACAAGAATGGCCGTAGCAGCTTTGTTCATAACAAATAAAAACAAAAACAAAAATATTATTCAACGGAAAAATTAACACATTGCACTCTGTGTATGTGATGGGATTTCATAGCAGTGAAAAGGAAGGTTCTACAGCTACATACAATGCGTGTGATTCTTTGCAATACAGAGCAAAAAAAAAATCTAATTTAGAAGACCAAATGAAGTGTGATTCAATTTCTATACAAATTAAGAGCAAGCAAAACTAATAATGTTTTACATAGAGAAAAAACATATATGCAATAAAATTGTGTTTTTCAGAAATAGTACAAGATTAAAACATGAAATCTAGGACAGTGATTATCTGTTCATGGAGCTGGGGAATGAAGAACACTCGGGGAAATACAATAATTCTGGCTCTTAGGTTGGGTACTGGTTTGATATTCATTTTAAAAATTGTGTTCTGTTACATATACAACTTCTTATTCTCTTTCATATGTATCAATTAGTACATGAAATATAACAAAAATAATCCAAAAAAAAAGAAAACTGAAAAAATTTATTGGGAGGAAGTGGTGGTGTATAGATTTATCTGTTGTGAGTAACAAAAACCCCTAAAATTTGTAAGTGAAATAGTTAAAAATAAATTTGACTCGTTTTACTATCCAGAAAGTTATTTAAAAGGATTTTTTAAATAAGTGGCTTTAGACGTTGTTATCCTTTCTCACATTATGTATTTCTTAATAATTTAAAAGCTAAGGATTAAAAATTTGGAAAAGCAACATATAAAATAGTAAACTTAATTTCTGCTTTTCTCCTTTCCACAAGTGCTTTTGTTCATTTCTCTCAGCAATATATGTCTAGGTTGGAGTTCAATCACCTGCCACCAGTATGTTATTTATAAGTAGAAGAATATTTTTGTCTCACTTAAAGCCAAACAAAATAAGCCAGAAAGCACATTGTGACAGGGAGAAAAATTAAAAGTTGAAAATAGGTTTCTCTTTATCTATGGCTAATCTCCCCAGAATAACAGACCATCTAAATGTTGTGTTCTGTGACAGCCTGGGTACAATTTTCAGAACATTTTTTTCTCATTGGAAATTAAGCTTCTGGGAAGCCATTTATCCTGAAAGCACTATTGTTCTCAGTTGCATTGCTTTTCTTCATTGTTGGGTACCTGTTTTTCCACGGTTGTTATGCACACATAACTTACTCCTTTTTAATTATTTTGGCCTTTTGTTGAGATCACAATGGGAAGATTCATTTAGAAGACTAGGGAAGAAAAAGGCTTTTTTTTT
Organism: Homo sapiens; assembly: GCF_000001405.40. NCBI lineage: Eukaryota > Metazoa > Chordata > Mammalia > Primates > Hominidae > Homo > Homo sapiens. The sequence goes on along the minus strand of NC_000004.12, from coordinate 177,841,330 downwards.
TTTCTTGCTCTGAATCATCAATTACAATACACTCAAAAAATTTTACTGACTTTCTATCATGAGCTTGTGCCCACCTGAGAGGAGACATTTTATTACTAGTTTTTTCCCCATTTAGTTTTTATATTGTGGTTCTCTGTCCTTTGATATAATGGCTACATTTATTTGTTTTTCTTTTTGTTGTTGTTGTTCTTTAGTTAGCTCTGTCATTAACCAGTCTATTATTTTTTCTCATTCCCACTGGGTTTCTCGTTATTGTTTTTAAGTCCACCCTCAAGAAACTGCTGTATCACCATACTCTTCTAATACTCTAAGAATTCTTCTTCATATGTATCTGCTCCTATTTTCTGCCTCGGTGGTTGTTCAGCATTAATTCAGGAGGATTCAGAGAAAAACAGGTATGTTTGTTCATGTTGTTGCTTAAGTGTATGCTATTGTAAACCACAGAGAAAACCCCACGTTTTAGCCATAAAAATCTGAAACTCCAAATTCTAGCGGTCATAGAAGGTCTGAACATCAACTAGAATTTCATGTCTGTTTAAAGCTTACCTAGATCGCCTATGGTTTTCTGGGAAAAGAAATTGTAACTAGCAGACTTACTTATTTCTATCAGCCCCTGATGCATTGTTCCTGCAAAGGACTGGCAGAAATCTGAGATTCCTTTTAGGTCTTGTTTTTTCATCACCTCCCTTTGAAACCTGGTGTTCATGCTGAACAGGCTTTATAGATCATAATTGGGATCATCCTTGTAATAATAATCATAGCAAGCACCATTATCAGTATCTAATCTTTATTACACTTACGATTCATGAAACTGTGAAGCACCTTAGAATAGAAATTAGATGTATTTTTTAAAATCAGTCATTCTCTATTTCTCTAGTCCACGTTTTTCTATTACAGTACCTTTCTTTCTTTTCCTCTTTTTCTTCAGTCTTTCTATCATTAAACCTAGGGTGACTTGACATCCAGGTATATCTAGAGCAGCCCTGGCTTACACCCTTTAGACAATTATAGTTATTCATAGTACTTCCTCTCATTTTCACAAGTTTTCCATTTAGGGGACATTATCGGTTACATCATTTAAAATCCCACAGCAGGTTCATCCTGCCTTTATGAAACTATGCTGAAGTGCTAGCAAACTCATAAGTCGCATTAAGACAGAGATACCCATGAAAGAAGATAAAGATGAGTGAAGCGGAGGGATATGAAAAAGATCACCACTGCTGCCCGTTTCCATTTTTAATATAAAAACATGGTTAAAAATATTCTATCTCTTACTGCTGCCTTCTCTTTCTTGTTAGCTGTTAGGATCGTATTTGATTACCTATAACAGAAAATTCAAAATGTAACTGGCTTAAATGCACAAGGGTTTACATCAAATAAAAAGTGGTCCAGATGAAAAATGTCCAAACTTGATACTGCAGCTTGCATTTCATCAAAGACCAACTCTTTATCTGCATAAGCATACTAGCATGTGACTTCCATCCTTGAGGTCATCCCAAGATCCAAAATGATTGCTGGGGCTCCAAACTTTATACCTACATTACCACCAAAAGGGAAAGAGGATGAAGAGTAACGAAACACATAATACAATTATTTCACAAACTACCTATTCTTCCTTTAATGTGACATTCCTGAATTCCAGCTTTACAACTTTTATTATCATAGTCAGAATTTAGTCACACCTAAGGAGAAAAGTTACACCTAAGGAAAAAGGGAGATTACAGTTAAGTTGTTTTTGGGTTTTTTGTTTCTTTGTTTGCATTCTCAATCTTACAGATGTCCTCTTAGCATGCAAAAGTGGTATGATAGATGTTGGGAAGAAACAAGTTGTATCTCTGCAACATCTTCTAACATACCACAGTATTCCAGAGTGTTTTCAGCACAGGGTCTCTGCCAGACTCTCTGGGCAAAGCACTCAACAGCTGTGAAACTTGTGAGAGTTATTTTCACCTTACTATGACCCAGCTACCTAAAGGGAGACTAAGATAACTTACTTCCAAGGGATGTTTTGAGGGTTAAGAGGTCATATACGGCCGGGCGTGGTGGCTCACGCCTGTAATCCCAGCACTTTGGGAGGCCAAGGCGGGCAGATCACAAGGTCAGGAGATTGAGACCATCCTGGCTAACACAGTGAAACCCTATCTCTAGTAAAAATACGAAAAATCAGCCGGGCGTGGTGGCAGGCACCTGTAGTCCCAGCTACTAGGGAGACTGAGGCAGGAGAATGGTGTGAACCCAGGAGGCGGAGGTTGCATTGCAGTGAGCTGAGATCGCGCCACTGCACTCCAGCCTGGGCGACAGAGCGAGACTCCGTCTCCAAAGAAAAAAAAGTCATATATAATGCCTGACATACACGGTGCATTCCATAAATATGGTCTACTTTTTATTATGATATGCTCACCATTTAACAAATACATTTTTACAGTCCCTTCGTAACTCCCACTGAATTACTCATTCAATAACATATCCCAGATACAATAGGTTTTCAGAAAACCTATTTTGAATTCAGAAGTCTACATCTAATTATGTGTTACATTTAGTAAAGACTTGTCCATTAAGTTATAGTCAATTCCCTTACATTGCCTCTAAATCTGAACACTTCACAACAAGGGAGATTAAGATGTTTCAAAATTTCTGCATGCAGTAAAGTTGGTGTCCAGGGGCATTTACTTCAAAACAAACTGGCCGGCTGTCTCCCAAAAGGTCTCGTAGGGTAAAATGGATCATGCTGGTGAGTATGCAAGGTTTGGCTCTCATCCATGCAGGCTCAGAAATCTTTTAATACACACTGCGAGGGAATTAGTCTCTCAGGTTGCCTTTCACTAACCAAATCCACAAGCCTCAATTTATAATGACAAATGTTATATAACCATAATAGAGACTGGAACTCTCTCAGATAACTAGTCTTAAACAGGAAAAATAATTTTCCACAGATTGGTATCTGTTGAACATTGAATTAAAACAACAACAAAACACTTAATGTTTAAAGCCAAAGGCATAGTTTTAAAATGGCAACAGAGTAGTCGATGTTGATGTTGTATTGTATTTCACTTCCTGGTTCCTGAACAGTACCTGAGTGTCCATGTGTTCTTTCCTTAGAACAAGTCCAAAGACTTGTTCTTTCCTTAGATGCTAAATGCATTCAATTAAGGTTCAAGAAAAGCGTTGCATGTTTATAAGCCATTCTGTCTTTTACTACATGTGACTGTCAAGTTATGCTTTGTATAACTTGACTTGTATAACTGGATGTAAAAAGTCTGCTTATCAAAGAGGACATGTCATTCCCTAGTTCATGGAGATCTTTCCCCGCAGTTTACAAACAAAACAACAACAAGCTTAAGGCATAATTATCCATTTTATGGATAAGAAACCAAGCCCTACTGAAATTTGCTAAAGTCCAAACAGGAATTAGTAAATGAAGTGGCATTAGGCGGTTGCGGTGGCTCACGCCTGTAATCCCAGCACTTTGAGAGGCTGAGGTGGGCGGATCACCTCACGTCAGGAGTTCGAGACCAGCTTGACAAACATGGAGAAACCCGTCTCTACTAAAAATACAAAATTAGCCTGGCGTGGTGACACATGCCTGTAATCCCAACTACTTGGGAGGCTGAGGCAGGAGAATCCCTTGAAAGCAGGAGGCGGAGGTTGCAGTGAGCCGAGGTTGTGCCATTGCACTCCAGCCTGGACAACAAAAGCAAAACTCTGCCTCAAAAAAATAAATAAATAAAAAAGGAAAAGAAGTGGCATTGAATCAGGTCTATCCAACTCCATGCCTTTTCTTTTATAACAGTGATTTTGCTGAAGATTCTTCTAAATCTTTTATTTCACTGTAGTTTATTGTTTAATATCTCCATGCCACATATCACCTAAAGTTTTGTCATTTCACATATATTCATTTGTCTGGAGGGAAACAGAAACATGAGGGCATGATTTGGCAAAAGCATTAAGTAAACTGAATGGATTATGCACCAAACACTCATAGACGCTTCACAGCAAAAAATATTCCCTGAGGATAGTTATCTTCATAACCATTACTCCTTGCTTCTCGCTTTACTGTCTGATTCAAGTAGCCTATTTGCCAGCAGGCCTTCTTGTTGTCTTTGCCGCAACAGCAGCTTTGCATTGTGGTGAGCCAAGTGGTTGCACTAAGATAGTGCAGTCCATCTTCATACAACAATAGTGGAATCAGGCATGATTGGAAATTATGGACAGTCCAATTTGTCACAGCTCAGTATAATAGTCCCAGACTAGTATTTAAGCAACAGGACTGACATAATCAAGATTCCACTTCTTGTGGGGCCAAGCAGGCAGAATTTACTGAATAAAATTAACAGATTTTGTGTCACATTTTACTCCATCATAATTGCATAGACTTTAAATATAGTCTGACATTTGGAAACATAATCTATGGGGTCAAATGTAAAAGCAAGTTCATAAGACCAAGGAGTATTTTAGATATAGAAAGTCCCTAAAAGAGAGGCTAACTCAGCTTTCTTAGCAAGATAGGACATAGTTTTCCAAACTTTATAATAAAAAATTGCTCATTTCTTTTTTAAACACAGTAAATAACAAGGAATTTACAAACACACAGAGTAAGCCATTCTTTTGGAAAAATATAATTGATATAATGTTCTTTATATTAAGGCAAAAATTCTTTAAAAAGCACTGAATAGCATATCTGTGTTCAGGCAATGATAAGTGCCTGAGTATTCTAACACAGTTAGGGTGTCACTAATACAGACTCCCTTCTCAAAAAATGTCTCTACCCCTCCCTCATGTGGCAGAATTTTAAGTCTCTTTACCTTCCCTGGACTCATTCCAGACTATCAAAGCCTTTCTAAAAATATGTTTGCAAAAGTTAAATACATTACTCCAGGTATTATCTGCCCTATATTCAGTATTCCTTACCATGAACACAGTATGTTTATTAAAAAAAAATAAGATAATTTTTTTTATTGGCTATCATGAGCTTAGAGTCAAATGGATCTCTGAAAAGAATGATAATATCTGACTGTTGTTGAGTGCTCACTCTGTTCCAGGTACTATCTTAGAATAGTTCTATGAACTGGGTACTGGTATGAGACTCATTGTACAGATGAGGAAGCTAAATCACAGAGTTAAAAGCAGCTCACTGAATGTAAACCAACTATTAAGTGACAGAAATAAATTTTAATTTAGGCAGTCCGTCTCTAGAGAACCAGCTATTAACTGTTACTGTAGACCAGTGGTTATCAAAAGCTCTAGACCAGCGGCATCATCTAGTACTTGGTGGAAATATTATTTGTTAGGCCCTACTCCAGATCTACTGTCTCATACTCTGGGGGGTAGGTTGTAGCAAACTGTATGTCAACAAGCCCATCAGGCAATTTTGGTGAATGCTAACCTTTGAGAATCACCTGTCTATGCCACATCCATATTGGTCTTTAAAAATTTAAGGCACACAGAATATTCAGCCAAGAATACTAGAAACAAGCCTTCTGAACGATGACAGGTAGTATACTTGTAAGCTGTAAACTAGAGAGGATCAGGAAGCCACACACAGGAATGCAGACAACAGATTTTTAAAGAGTAATTCACCTGCTATAAGTATAACATCGACACTTCTTTTGAAACACTGTGTCAACATGAAGAATTTATCTTTTGCTGTTAACATTCAATATCTTTGAAAAACATTTCAGCTTCTTAACAAAAGTGAAAGATTGAACCATTACCACCCCACATAACTGTAGATGCTAAAGCTTAGATGACTTGTCTATTTATTAGGATTTAATAGATTTATCTTTAATGATTATTTTCTCAGCGATCGTAAAACTCCAGTCTGTAATTCCATGACAGAATTCGTATCTCCAAAAACTCATGGACGGAAAATGTTTTACTTGTCACAGCATAGTAAAGATAATGAAATCTATGCATTTTTTAGAACTACTTGAAGAAATATCTCATTGAATCAATTCAAGATTATTAAAATCTCTTAGGTAAGGTATTACGGTACTTCTAAAAGACTATTGCTAAATCAATCACCAAGATTTGGGAGTTATAATTATTTTTATCATTTATATGAAATTATAACATATGATTATCAGTTCCAGGTATAGTTAAGTCACAACCATCACCAGCCAATTATAATTTATAGGTGCCATAGGTATAGAACCAGTCAAAATATATCTAGGTGCACTAATTGGTCCTATAATTTAATAAGACAGTCTCATCAAGACTTACATGCACCTGCCAAACTGCTGCCTGTGGCAAGAATAAAAGTCAACCAGCAATTCTTATTATCATATTTTTTTAGGATACTTGTTTTCTTAAGATTACTTAATCCAAAAATATCCCCAGAAAAGGGGAACATACTTTACTGCTTGGTTTTAAAGGTGGAAAAACATGCAGAATCAGAGTTCTATGTACATGTAAGATATGCCAATAATAATCCAATTATTTCCAATTATTCTCCAAAATGTAAATGGTGAGATTGCAGCTGTGGTTAATAAAAAGAACACTTTGTGTTGGAACCAGAAGACTTGGGTTGTTTACCACGTGTGTGTAACCTTGGGCAACTCATCCCAGCAGCTCGGCTTTACTGCCTTCCATGGAAATGACAACACTAATGCTTTCTTTACCACAGAAGATGTGGAGAAGGATTCGTTGAAATTTATACAGAAAAACTTATATAAAAGGTACAGCTCAGCTTCAATGAATGATTGTAAATTATTTTAATAAAACCATTATTTTTTCACCTCTCTTCCTAAGGATTCATTTTCATTCTCCCTTAAATTGGGAGGATATTTGCTTATTTTTCTTTTTGCTATTGCATACAATATAAAGAATAATCAGTTTACCAAAATAATAACTTTGATTTATATAGTGATTCTCTTTAATACTGTCTTACAAATAAGGTAAAAGAAAATTAATACTCAACCAAGGCATGTATATAAGCAGGTTTAAGTGAGAGAATATGTCTTTGATAGTAACAGTTTTAGGGATCCAAAGATCTAAAAGTATGTTGCTGATAAGGATTTGCAAGTAGGTATCAAATTGCATGGGCCAAAGTGTGTTTTATGATGAAGATATTTTCAATACAGAATTAAAAGCGGAAAAAAAGTCAATTTCCTTTTCTGTTATGAAATTGTGTTTTATCTATGTGTTTATATATAAAGATAATAAGAATAGTGAGAACAAATATAAATTTTTTATCATTTCATGATATCTCCATCAGTAGACCTTGCACTTAACTGCATTTCTACAATAGCAATATAAAAAAGTAAAATAAGCCTCCAGGTTGAATGGACTCTTATCTAGTTGATAAGTATCTTTATGCACCTGTCTTCTTGCAGGAGTCCTCCTAAACCACAGTTGGACTAAACAAGAAAGGAAATAATCAAATATACTTTATTCAAAAGCATCACAGAGCTCCAATCTTTCATTCTCCTCAAATCAAAATGTACCTCTCATCACATTTTTACATAGATATAGATAATAACCTTTCCTTTTATGACATTATCATTATCTGAAATTCTTTTTCTGAACATAAATTATGTAAATGGAAAAACTACTTCCAACAAAAAAAGAGTAACTCTCCTTAGGGAGCTGACAACATAAAGCAATGTTGTTTGTATTAAAAGTACAATTCTAGCTGAGGTTTTATTTTTTTAAATACCTAATAATCCAAATTATCACAAAGTTGAATTTACTCCCTGGTGGCATATTAGAAAGCTGTATTCACAAGGACACTAAATAAGTTACTATTAGGTAAGTTTCTACTCAGCATAGAGCCAAAAATCTGTTTTTAATCGACTTAATATTCTCTTGTGGCAGGAAAGAAAAAACATGATTGGAACATTTGAAGATTAAAAATTGTATCAGTTGTGTTATTTAATTTAAAAGAAGGTTACAATTTATATATCCATATTTTAAAGCTAATCATGTTACTAGCAATCCTTTATGGAGACATATTTGTCATAATAATTTTGAATCAGAATACTCACAAAAGTTTGTATTTTCCAGAAGTAGCAATAGAGTAGGGAAATAATGTTGAATGTATTTTGATGGAGACAGTCAAACATGAGGCTGCATAATTAGATGAAGACACCAACAAAAAACACAAAGACAACGTTTGCTGACTCAAGAGAAGTGGCCCTAAAGTAAAAGGAATTCAGCTTCATGATCAGGAAGTTATTTGTTGTACCGATTTTTTTTTATTCTTTTGGTAAAAATAATTATTTCAGGCATCTGACTAAAACTTTGGGGATGTAATAAGAGTCTCACTTGAGGCTCAAAGGTCATAGTATGGAGGATGTCAGTGAGGTTTATCTTCTGAAACACTAGTTGCTTTCAACATCCAACTGCCATTTCCAGGTTCCAGAATCACCATGTTACCTTCTGCCTTCCCAAGGCCTCTGTTTATCACTGAACTAATTAAGAACTCCTCAAAATCAGGAGGTCCATAAAATGTAGCGGTAAAGATCCCATGTTTGCCATAGATTTATGTTTCCATTATGCCCCTTATTCGTACTGGGAACTTTAAGAAACTAGTTAACGTGATTGAGTTTTTTTGTTAGTTTTGTTTTTATTCCCTCATCTGGCAGGTGATATCAAATGATCCCAAGTGAGGGTCCTGGAATACTAAAATATAGCCCTGTGACTTAGAGGCCCAGAGGAGTGAATTTCAGGAAGGAAAATATGGTCAACCATATCTAATTCTGAAAAGTGGTCAAGTAAAGTGAGTACCAAAAGGTACAGAGATCACTGAAGACATTAAGGGCATTATCAGTCTACCACTTCACAGAAGGGAGGGTAAAAAAAAAAATCAAAACTCTAGAATGAGATGAGTTGGGGAATACTCAATACGTGAAGTGCTAGAGATGGTGAATCTCAAAGGAACAAAAGCTTTAAAGTAGGATGAGGGAATTGAGAGCATTGAAGTAGCGAATAGAGGTAAAACTCATTGACAACTCCAGATCTAGACCCTGAGATAAACAGCATTTGGAGGAATAAGCAGTTCACGTGAAAGGACTACAGAGGAATTAGTTTCCTCAGGGAGAACTAGGATTGAGGTATGGCAAGGAGAGGGAGAACATCCTACAGTCAAGTTAATATGTAAGAGAGATTACTGAAGAATTAAAGCTCTGTAGAAAAGTTCAGGAGTGAGAGAAGGATGGAGATCTAGGTCAAGACAAGAAGCACAGAGCAAGCATTATGATCTTGACAGGTCCACAGAAGGTGGACGGAAAGATCTGAAGACATATCTTGGCCTGGACCATTATGTTGGAAACACAAGGCAGGCCCTGGGACTAATGAATGAGCTTTTTGTCTCACTTGACCTTGTTTTATGTCACATTGGGGCATGATATGGTTCCGCTGTGTCCCCACCCAAATCTCATCTTGAATTGAAGGTCCCATAATCCACACGTTTATGGGAGGGACCTCATGGGAGGTAATTGAATTATGGGGGTAGGTTTTTCCCATGCTGTTCTCATGATAGTGAAAAGTCTCACAAGATCTGATGGTTTTATAAGGGCATTCCCCTGCACATGCTCTCTTGCCTGCCACCATGTAAAATGTGCCTTTGCTCCTCCTTTGCCTCTGCCATGATTGTGAGGCCTCCTCAGCCAAGTGGAACTGTGAGTCCATTAAACCTCTTTTTCTTTATAAATTACCCACTCTCAGGTATTTCTTCATAGCAGTATGAAAGTGGACTAATATAGGGCATGTTCATATCAAATCATTATGAAGATCTTTGTGAAAAGGGGTTCTTGCCAAATATTATCTTTAGCCTTTATTTAGCTGCTGGGGTGTCCACTGCGGTACCCTAGAGATGTAACCGCATTTTGTTTTCTGTGTTGCTTTTAGCAAGAATGGTATCTTGGAGTTCTTCAGATTTTTAATAGTCTCTTTACCTCATCAGGCTGGTAACATGTCCAGGGGAGCCACATCTCACACATGTGTGTGAACACCCAATAATAACACTTACAAATTACAAAATGAACTTCTCAGCTTCCTTCTGTGAGAGTATCCTACCTGTGAAGCATAAACTTTTCTTAATCTCCCAGAAAGAAGTTGCATTGCTTTGATGTTTTTAAGGTTTAATTAATCCTTATCCCCAGGGAAGATCACGTTATTTTTGTTTCTCTAAGGTAGTTTTTCTCAAAATTTAGTCCTCAGACAATATGTATCAAATTCTTCTAGGAAACTCATTAAAATACACATCCCTGAGCTTCACCTTAGACTCCTTGAATCACAATTTCTTATTAAAAAAATCTGAAAATCTGCTTTTGTAATCCTCTGCATAACATTGGAGAAACAATTTTTAAAACTCTGAGTCCTTCTTAGAGACAATTATAATGAATCTAAGAAACAGAGTAGAAAGAACCCTGAGAGTGTGTATGTGTGATTCCCTGGGGTTCAGAAGCTTGTATTACAGCTTCTTGTATTACGAGCTTCTGAACCCCAGGGAATCACACATACACACTCTCAGTGTGTCGGGAATTTATTCCTTCCAGTGGGTTCTTGGTCTCGCTGACTTCAAGAATGAAGCCCCAGACCCTCACAGTGAGTGTTACAGTTCTTAAAGATGGTGTGTCTGGAATTTGTTCCTTCAGATGTTCAGATGTGTCCAGAGTTTCTTCCGTCTTGTGGGTTCATGGTCTCGCTGACTTCAGGAGCAAAGCCACAGACCTTTGCAGTGAGTGTTACAGCTCTTAAAGGTGGTGTCACCAGAGTTGTTTGTTCTTTCCAGTGGGTTCGTGGTCTCACCGACTTCAGTAATGAAGCTGCAGACCCTCGAAGTGAGTGTTACAGCTCGTAAAGGTAGTGCAGACCCAAAGAGTGAGCAGCAGCAAGATTTATTGTGAAGAGCTAAAGAACTAAGCTTCCACAGCATGGAAGGGGACCCCAGCTGGTTGCTGCTGCTGGCTCAGATGGCCAGCTTTTATTCCCTTATTTGGCCCTGCCCACATCCTGCTGATTGGTCCATTGTATGGAGTGCTGATTGGTCCATTTACAATCCTTTAGATAGACACAGAGTGCTGATTGGTGCGTTTTTACAGAGTGCTGATTGCTGCATTTACAATTCTTTAGCTAGACACAGAGTGCTGATTACTGCGTTTTTACAGAGTGCTGATTGGTGCGTTTACAATCCTTTAGCTAGACACAGAGTGCTGATTGGTGCGTTTTTACAGAGTGCAGATTGGTGTGTTTACAATCCTTTAGCTAGACAGAAAAGTTCTCCAAGTCCCCACTCGACCCAGGACCCATGAAGTCCAGCTGGCTTCTCCTCTCATCAGGACTGAAGACAGTGTACATGTGCGGGTTTTCAAATGGACAGATGTGGGATCATCTGGTTCTAGCATAGGATCACTAGAGAAGTAGGGCCTATTCACCACTTAATCTGTGGCACAAAAACTATGCCTGTAATCCCAGCACCTTGGGAGGCCAAGGTGGGTGGATCACTTGAGGTCAGGAGTTCAAGACCAACCTGGCCAACATGGTGAAACCCCTCTCTACTAAAAAAATACAAAAAAGTAGCCGGGTGTGGTGGCAAGTGCTTATAATCTCAGCTACTCAGGAGGCTGAGGCAGGAGAATTGATTTAACCCAGGAGGCAGAGGTTGCAGTGAGCTGAGATTAGACCACTGCACTCCAGCCTGGGTGACAGAGTGAGACCCTGTCTCAAAAAAAAAAAAAAAAAAGAAAGAAAGAAAAGAAAAAGAAAAAAAATACTTGGTACGCAGGACACCCTCAATAAATAGTCATTAAATAAATGGATTATTGTAACTGCATTCTCATTAAGATTCATTTTTCTTATGTTTTTCTCACCCTGACTACACCCCCAATTACAATGTACACATAGAAGCCTGCCTTTTTCGTTTTTTATCCTCAATAACTAATAATTTCATACACATGAAAATCATTAAGACTAGAAACACTTATAAATATTAAAATGTGGCAAAGGAAATGGAGATTTGCTAAGCATCAGGGAGGTTCTAGTTATTTGATTAACAGCTGAAATTTTCAAAAGTTTCTAATCATGAGAGCCATTTTAGTGGCTAAACATTTTAAAAATTAAAAGAAAATCTCTTCAAAGAAGAGATTTCTCTAAATTTTCTCTAAAAATTTAGAGAAAAATCTATTTAATCTGATTATACTCTTCACATAAAGAAATTGACACACAAAGAATATGACTTCTTGGCAAATATTTAATTTTGCTGACCTTCCTCTCAGCACTATTTCTTTCATCAATCCTGGTAGTGCCCACATCCTTGAGAGGGATCTGGCCAACACCCTGGCCCCTAAGTTTCTTGACTTATCTGCAGATAACTTTTTTCCTTCGGTCTTAACTCAGCCACCAAATGCCCTACTCATATCTTTAACAATAACTAAATTTTAGCATTATCAATAACTCAACTAGGTTTAAAAAAATCCCAATTTCGGGCATGCAATTATTGAATGAGTGCCTCTTATGTTTTCAGTTATGATAGGAACACAAACACCCAGACTTTTACTATTACAACTTTCCTGACATTAGTTCAGCCCTCCTTTACATTGTCCATACCTCCCTCCTGAAATTATTTTACTTCCTAAACCATTCAGATTTAATGGTCTAGTGGTCTAGTGAACACTGCAATTACTCCCTAACATGCAGCTTCAACTTTTTCTGCCTGTCTCCCCACCTATCATTTTCACCTGGCAGCACCCCAGGTCTGGTTAAATCCAGTTTTCTTTCTGCTTTGTGCCATCACCCATGCAGCCAAATGTGATTACAGAAAACCAAGGACTCACGCCCGCTTTTAATACAGATTTAAGTAAAAAAGTACCAAGTGAGCCTCCAGCACTACTCAGCAATCTTGTGCTAGTTTCTCTGATCAATTTTCTCTCCTCTTCTCCAAGATGATTATTTCATAGTTTTTCTTTCTTCCCAAACCTACCACACCTGTTCTCTCTTCTCTTTTTTTTTACTTTTTTTTGTATAATTTCACTGTATCTTCACTTATATTCTTTGCTTTCCTTGGAATAATATGGGATAGACTTTCTTGGTTCCTATCTAAATTCAACCCATCATTTTTACAGTCTTACCCCCTCCCATCTAAACAACTAATTTGTTCCTACAACTTTTTCTCCCATGTTATTAACTTTTCTTTCCTGCTAAAATACTATCAACATCTAAGTATCTCCCATGTAAAAAAAATATATTTGGCCTCCTAACTTGCTGCGGACGCTGCTGAAGCCTGATTTCATTTATGTTAATAGGAATACTCCTCAAAAAAAAAAAAAAAACAGTTGAAACCAGCAGTCTGCACGGCCTCACATCCCACTGTCCCCTTAACCCACCCCAACCAGATTTCCATAAGGATCATTCTACTAAAATGGACCTTGTCAAGCCCAGTGACCTTCATTAGGCAATCACTTGACACAGCCTCTACTCCTTCTTAGAGTATTTTCTACATGAATCTGGTTTTTTGCCTAAAATACAGGCTTCTCATTTCTAATCTTCTGGACTGACTCCTTCCCTTATTAGAATCTTTAAATGTCGAAATACTCTGAGGTTCAGTGCCTAGTCCTCTCTCTTTTCATTCCCAGTTTATCTCTTTGAATCCCACATTTAAAAATATCACTTCAATACATATTTGATGAATGAATGCATGAACAGATTAATACGAAATGATGGTAGAATTAATCAAAGAGCCACTTGTGTGTCTTTGCCGTAGGTTAAGATCTTAGAAGGAAAGGCTAGTTTAAGACGTTCTGGATGAATAATTCAGAGATAGGCGTTAGAAACTTAGGAGTCAAATGATCACATACATATAATCTTGATTCCCAAGTTTTAAATCATCTCTATCCATAGATGAAACTGTCTACTTGACATCTTTACTTGGAAGCATAGCAGACATCTCCAGCTTATCAAGTTTAAAATAGAACTTTGCTTCCATGTCTTTTCTTCACTATATAATATTAAAAAATAAAGTAAACCTGCCTCATCTGTGTACTTCCCCATCTTTTGTTAACTTAAAAATATGCAATTTATAAATTTAGAGAAGGAGAAGAGAAGATTTTATTTCTTATAAAGGGCTACAGCCAGCAGGGTGACCATGCTGACAGGCTGAGAAGCAGAGCCTCCAGCCAGAAACCACAGATACTTGGAGAGGGGGGAAAAGGGAACAGAAATTTATGCTGAGCAGAGTGGCCAAATATGCATATTCAGTAAGCTATAGGAGTCATGAATATTTATGAAAGGGAAAACGTATGCAAGTGCTTTTGAGCTTCATGCTTCATGTTCAAATAATGGTTATGATCTCAGGGTGAAGTTTTTGGCTCTCTGAAGTGAAAAGATGAAGCAGAGAACATCAGGACCCTTCCTATGCATGCTCCCTTTACTAGCCAGAAACAGTCCATGGTCAGTGGCTTCTTATCAGGCAAGAAGGGGGGAGCAGCAACCAGAGATTGGTTGAGATCAGTGGTGGAGTCTTTTGAAAGGGCCGGTTCCTATTGAGCTCTTAGGGAAGAAAGCCTAATCATGGGTAGCAAGGGGAGGATAGTCTGACCCCACCATGCTATCATGGCTGAGAACTCAGTTTTCAAGGATACTCTGGGGTCCCCTTCTCCAAAAAATGACTCATTCAGTCATTTGGGTGGGGCTTAGAATTTAATTTTAGTCTACAATAATAAAGACATTACCGTTTAATCAGGGAAAATGTCCATAAAATATTGTTTTCCCTTCCATCCCAAATTAAGTATTTCTGTTAGCTCTGAGCACTTTTCACAACTACAGCTTCGGTGTGACAACCTCTCACCTTAATCTGAAGCATTTTCAACTATCTTTTGGACCACTTACACAGACTCATTAGTCGACCTCCTCCTCAAATGCTTGCCGTCTCATCATCTGTTCTTCAGACAGTCACAAAGATCTCTTAAATATATAGACCACATCACTGTTCAGCTCAAAATCTTCAAAATATTCCCATCACTTGCAAAACAATGTCCAAAATTCTTAAAAGTTAGAGAAAGCTGTACTTGTTCTGAGTTCTGTCCACATTTTTTCTATGTATTGTAACAAACCCATGATCATTATCATTTCAGCCATACTGGCTTTTTCACTGTTCCCCAAACACACCAGGTTCATTGCTACCTTCTACTTTGCACACACGGCTTCTTCTGTTTGATACTACATTTCCTCCTTAATGTCACCTCTTCAGAGAAACATTCTAAGACTAGCCTATCTAAAACACTTTCCCATGGCTACGGTCCATTTATTACGCTGCTTTATATCATATTTAAATATCATTTTTATATCCCTACCTATATCAAAATTGGCTTCATTGTTATTACCTATTTTTTCATAGACTGTAAATTCAATAAAGGTAAGGACTTCTTCACAGCTATGTCCCCAGTGTCTAAATTAGGGCTTGGCATAGAGGATATTTTCAATCAATACTATCGAAAGGAACATTGACACAACTTGGGGTTTATTTCAGGCATCTTGAAAGAGTCCTAGGTGGCAAAATTTAAATATGTAGCCTGGCTAATCTTTAATTCTAAACCACTTAAGGTTAAGGCTTAGGGTTAGACTTAAGAACATGGATTGATCTCTTATATCAAGCTTGACACATTTCTGATACTGTAGATAAATAATCCTGAGGTGTTTAATATGTTTTATAGATCAATGTCTACTCTACAAATGAGCTATTGGCTGTTTATATAACCACGCCTTGTTAGGCATTAAATCAGTAACTTACAAACACTTTTGCCCCTATTCCACACACAAAAATATATTTTACCATTATGATATGGTAAAATGATATTTTGTCATTACAACACAATTTATGCATGAATTTGCATAAACACACATAATTGAAATGAAAGTTTACTAAACATTTCTTATTCTATGTGTAATATATTTCTGCATTTTCTACTGTATTTTTATCTATTCTAATTTCATATTTCATTTTTAAAATTACCTTCCAACATAATAAAGTAATTGTATGATGCATAAATGATTTCAAAATCGTATTTTACAAAGCACTGTAGTAGGTATATATATAGGAAAGGCGTATTTGTTTTTAAAGGGAGCAAACAATACCAAGAAAATAAATTTCATCTGTGAATCTGAAGAAAGAATTCTACATGTGAACCTCTCTGCATCTCCACCATCCTAAATCTTTTACATAAGTAAATAACAAAGGATGATGTGTTATATGTCTGTGGTTATGTCAAGCTTTCAAGTACAGGTTTTGTTTGGTGAACTTACACATAAATTCAGGTCAAGGAATCACAGAATCCAATATACTCAGGCTTTTTAGCTCATTACTTACCATTTAATTACCTCTGAATAATGTATAAACACTTTACATCTTTATTTTATTCCACATTTTTAAGAAACAAAGCAATGGAAACGATGTTTTCAACACCACTGGTACTGTAGGGCAAGGACAAGGTGTAGGCTTGACTGTTGGATGAAGTCTCCTCTGGCTTTTTTGGTGGCTCTGAGTGGGAAGCATTCTCTGCAAAAACCTATGCAGTGTTTTAGGTACCATAAGCACAAAATCCACAGGCCTTGAAAGTTGAACTGCTGAAGTCAAAACAATCATCATCTGGACTTGCCTGAAGCATCTATTTTTTTAAAAAACTCTAATGACAAAAATTATTTTAAAATCTGAAATGGCATATCCCCACAAATATTGACAGTACAGAGATAATTGAGATACAGGAAAAAAAAACGTTTTTTGACTCTAGAATAAGCTGTAGGGGAAGAGGTCAAGTGTTGGAGAGAAGCCACACTATTTCTTTTTAAATCAAATTCATTGTATGTTTGTAGAGCCAGACAGACCTTTCATCCAGGAACAAAGAATCATTTCGAAGGGCTATGTGTATTCATCTCTGGGAGACATTCACTGACCCACGATGATAATCTCAAGATTTAGTAGGGGAAAAATGAGCTTTCTGAACATGTTTATCAATATATTATGAGTTGTGTCACTGGGATTATTATTTTATAAATTGGCAAGTTGTTACAATTTGGTAAATATGGAATAATTTTCAGAAATTAAAATTTTTACTGTCATATTCTTTTGTCTGTTTTAAAAAGTAGAAGGTAGCATACATATAAAAACAATGGAAGAATATATGTTTAAATGATAAAATAAGATAAAACATGTAATGAGCCCACAAAACCACAAACGCAGTCATAGATACACATACAGTAAATATGATTACACAAAGTATATTGGGATTTTAATGAATATAGATTTAAATTTTTGGACATTATGAAAATGAGTCATTAAAATTAGAAAACATTTCAGTTGTCACCAAAAGCCATCACCCATACAGATCAATCGGCAAACAAAACCAAATAAACATCTATTTCTTTAGCTACACTCAAGCAGCGAATTATCCCATGGACAGTTACATAGGGAACAGACAGACAATCTCACCATAAACATTTTCACAGAAGATTTAAAACAGCAACAAAAACAAAACACTTCTTTCAGCTAGCCCTTCTGGTGATGGACTGTGTACGTATTCATGACAGCATTTGTGTTTTTGTGGGCCCATTCCATAAATTTTGTTCTATTTTACTATTTATAAATGATCCTCTATAAAAAGAGAGAAAAAAAGTACCAAGTGGCACAGGTGCTTCAGTTTCCAGCAATTTATATATTGATTTACATCTTTTAAAAATTTGATAGAGTTTTCTATATATTAGATTATTGCACCCAAATATGCAGTCTTGAAATTTAACACCCAATTTGACTGATAATCTAATCTGCCAAACAATGACCTTGGTAATACTCCAGAAAACAAATTGATATTATGCAAAACTTTGGGCCTCAGAGTTAAAGGGATAAGGCTTTTATGGATTTCCTTAAATTAGTTTTACCTGATGATGAAACAAAAGCTATGTGAGACCACAGAAGATGACTCTCATCTAAATGACATCAGGAAGACCCCTTTCTCCTTACTCACTGATTGATGCCTAAAAATTCCAAATTTATGCCATTTTCTTGGATTCACTTATTTTTAATTCCAGGTAAATCTAAGACGATTAACGCTTTCAGATGGTATTTGACATTAAACCTCACGTGATTTTTTGACCCTCTCCTGAAAGAAAATTGAATTGGGGGAGGAGAATGGACCATAAGGTCCTCTATGTCCTGAGAGGAACGTAAAAGAAGTTCTTCCAAGTGTTCAAATGGAAAGTCTGCATATTCACCATGAAACCCAGTGCTTGGTGATTTTGCTGAGAATTCCCTAGGTAAAATTTTGAATTCTTGAGGAAATTAAAAGATTTTAAAATCTCAAAGAATTTGTTAAATCTTTTGAAGTTCAATATGACATAATTCAGAAGGATGACATGTACCTCCACTGTGGTACATAGTTGCAACACTCCTTTCCACTAGCTGTTATACAGTGGAATGAATGTGATACATCTGCTTTTCCAAAAGTAAACTTAGAGAATCAGGCAGGGACAAATGTCAAGAAGACATAATCAAGTGTATTGTGGATTATGCTTATCTCTGACTTTTATTGCCTTTGGGAAGAGGAAATTCTGTTAGAATAACACATCTGTTCTTCCTGCCCCAATTGTTTTTTATTTGTTTGTTTGTTTTTGGAGATAGAGTCTCGCTCTGTCGCCCAGGTTTGAGTGCAGTGGCTCGATCTCGGCTCACTGCAACTTCCGCCTCCCGGCTTCAAGCGATTCTCCTGCCTCAGCCTCCTGAGTAGCTGGGACTACAGGCGCGTGCCACCACGCCTGGCTAATTTTTTGTATTTTAGTAGAGACGGGGTTTTACCGTGTTGCCCAAGCTGGTCTGGAACTCCTGAGCTCAGGCTCCGCCCTCCTCGACATCCCACAATGCCAGGATTACAGGTGTGAGCCACCACCCCCGTCCCGTGAGAGAACACATCACACTTGTTTTGGAGTATTATTAGGGTCATTTGTTAGCTAATTAGATACATAATGTAACTCATCTTCTTTTATTTGGGATAGCTCTACTTACAGCAACACCTGCCCCATACAGCTATGTCATGGCTGTTCCTAAGGCTTTGCATCTAGGGTAAGGAGGAGAGAGTCCTGACATGTTCCAAGCCCCATCTGAGGCTGGAGGGGCCATTCCCTGTATTACCATGGTTATGTACTAGGTAGCCCATTAATTCCAAATACATGGGGATCATCTTCCAACCCAGACTTTATCTGCAATATAGCAATTTGCTGGATTCTTGTCCATTTCTTAGTTGATCCAAATTTGGGTAGAAAATATGAGTGTCAAACCCACACTGAGACTCTTTAGTATTTGACAATGAGTGGAATTTGGGATTGAAATAACCAACAGAGATGCTTTTGATGGTTCCAGGACTGGTCACTATAGACGCCAGTTTTCGCGGCAGGATCCTGAGGCATTTGAACTTGCAGTCACTGAAGCATGAGGCAGTCTTCTCCAAGATAAAAGCCTGTGTTTCTACAGGTGAATGGTTGTTTCATGTCAGCAGGCACAAAGGTTTTGCCACCTAACAAGAGGTAGATTAGCAACCCACACACAAGCCAGTTTTACATAACCTATTCTATAGCAGATCTTGAAATGCATGGACCAAGCGTCATTAAAAAGTGGCACATTCAGTAAAATTGCACTTAAAGAGACTTTTAGTCCCATTAAAAGGTCTCCATGAAAGGAAGACAATGATAGTGCTTACTTTACTGTGGTTTTTCTCGTGGGCAACTCCTGGAGGGCTAATAGAACAAAGCTATTTAAATAACAGAATCTGGAAAGAAACAGTCAAGTTCAAATTCCAGTGCTGCCATTTTGAACTGTGAAATTATTATTAGAACTTTTCTATTTTATTTTCCTCATCTATGAATTAAAATGATAATATTAAATATCTCCTAGGATTGCTTTAGGTGAAACCAGTTAGCTACATACGTACTCTGACAAATAGGAAGCCTTCAGTAAGTGCAAGCTATTACTATTTTATTTACCCTAGAGAGGAAAAGTTCTAGTTTAAACCCTTCATGTTAAGAAAAACTATACAGTTCTAGAATTATATAGAACCTCTGCCACATTCTTGAAGACATTCAGAATTGTCTTCAAGGCCACTAGACAGCAACATTGAAGGACAAACTCTGAATTCAAGTAGAATGTCCTTTAGCCACTATCTTCTACATGCTCTTGAGTTAGCTTTCAATTTGCTAATTCTGTAAATTATGTTCCTGAGCTAAGATCTCAGGACCCAAACTATGTATTAATCCAAAGAAAAGCAATGGTCTTCTTAACGGGATAGGAAGAAATAGGAAGTATCTAATACTAGTTAGGTCGTAGATACATCTGAAAGAACAATACTCCTATGGTTACAGAAAAGCAAAACCCAGACAAAATAAGTTTATATATTCTTATGGAGACAGTAAAAGGTAGCAGATAAAAATAAGCCTTGGTGCACTAAATTCCAGAGAAAAAATATCTCTTCATAAGGAAACAGAGAACCAAGAAAGATTCCACACCTGGGAGTTTGTGTGAGTATCTGATAATGGATGTACCAGACTGAGATAACAGTAATAATATGAAATCAATCAAGCCTTAGAAGATAGTGTGGGATGGCAAGATAAACTGGAATCGGAAGAAATGTAAATCCAAAAATAAAACATTCAGTATAGCAAGTCTCACACACACACACACACACACACACACACACACACACACACTGCTAAAATTATGACTAGAAAGCATCAGTGGAAAAGAAATGGTAAGTAAATTATGTCACAGACATTCTCACAGTGGTTGAATCCAGGGGCCGTATCAGAATAAAACCCGAAAAATATCTAAAATAGTAGTCAACCCATCCCAGGTTAAATATTTGCACATTTTTAAATGTGAAAGCTTGGGAGAGTGGAATTGGGACTACTCACAGGTGAATTCATCTAATTAAAGGTACAGATGAGACCTATTCTACTTACCATAAATGCCAGACAATATATAGAAAAAAAGAGTTGTAGTCTCTGGGAAAATGAAAAAAATGAGACAAAAATATTACACTTATTATTTTATATGTAATATCTAGATTCTTTAAATTAAGAGTTATGCAGAAAAGCAGAACAATATGTCTCATAATGAAAGAAAAAGCAGTCAATAGAAGCAGAATTATAGATGACAAAATTATTGGAATTAGCAGATAAAAACCTTTAATATTATAAATTTTTTTAAAGAATTTACAGAAAAAGATATAAAAGGGTAAGGAGACAGTTTATTTCAGAAGAGAAATAAAAGAACCAGAAGAACTTTCTAGAAAAAAAAAAAACAATTTGTGAATAAAACTACACTGGATAAATTTCAACAAATTAGACATGGCAGAAACACGGATAAATTAACTTGATAACAGGTTAATAGAATTGTGTCCATTTAATCAGAGAAAAAAGTTCGAAAAAACATGAATTAAACATTTACTACCTGTGAGAAAATATCATCTAATATTTAGTCCTAGAATGATATTTCATTCTAGGGTGATATTTCTTATTTATAAAAAAGCATTTGGAAAATATGATAAAATTGTTATCAATCTGAAGAAGACATCAAGCCACATAGTAAGGAGCATAAATGGTCCCAAAAAGGCCATAAATAAAAATAAAAGCACAAAGAGAGATCACTATTAAAGTGTTGGAAATGAAAGATAAACAGATACTTTTAAGCAGTGAAATAAGACACAATACATACAGTGGGACAAGGAAAATGATGGCTGACTTCTTATCCAAAAACAATCACACCAGCTGGGCACAGTGGCTCACCTCTGTAATCCTAGCACTTTGGGAGGTTGAGGCAGGCGGATCACTAGTGAAATTATCATGCAACAGTGAACTCAAACAAACGCAGAGAAAAAAAGTGAACCATGGAAACACTACAAAGTGATACAGAAAATGGCTACACCTGGAAATTCATATCAACAAAAAAGAATAGTGTCAGAAGTGATGACATATGGATATTTAAAAAAAACTGCATCCTTCTACTTAGTTAAATACCATTGAGTATTTTATTTTATTTATTTATTTATTTGCGACTGAGTCTTGCTCTGTCGCCCAGGCTGGAGTACAATGGCGCATCTTTGCTCACTGCAACCTCTGCCTCCTGGGTTCAAGCAAGTCTCCTGCCTCAGCCTCTGGAGTAGCTGGAAATACAGGCTTCTGCTACCATGCCAAGCTAATGTTTGTATTTTTAGTAGACATGGGGTTTCACCATGTTGGACAGGCTAGTCTTCAACTCCTAACCTCAGGTGACCCACCCACCTTGGGCTCCCAAAGTGCTGGGATTACAGGCATGAGCCACCATGCCCGGCCACCACTGGGTCTTTAAAGCAAAAAATAATAGCAAAGATTGTGAGGCTTGTAACATATATAGAAGTAAATATATGATAAAACAAAGGACTGAAAAATTTTACTTCTATAATTTATTTAATGTAAAATGATAGAAAATCAATTAAAAGATATATTGAAACCCTAGAGCAACTATTAAGAAGTAAAACAAGGACTTTTTTTTTAATGGAGTCCTCCTCTGTTGCCCAAGTTGGAGTACAGTGGCACAATCTTGGCTCACTGCAACCTCTGCCTCCCAGATTCAAGCGATTCTTCTGCCTCAGCCTCCTGAATAGCTGGGATTACAGGTGCCCACCACCAGGCCCAGCTATTTTTTTTTGTATTTTTAGTAGAGACAGGGTTTCCCCATGTTGGCCAGGCTGCTCTCCAACTCCTGACCTCAAGTGATCCACCGGCCTTGGCATCCCCAAGTGCTGGGATTACAGGCATGACTCACCGCACACGGCCACAAGGACATATTTCTGAAGACTAATTTGAGACAAATTAAAATACTAAAAAGAAAAAAAAGAAAAGAAATATTAATATCAAAAATGGTAGGAAATAAGGAATAAATGAACAAATAAGAGATGTAATAATCTGGCCAGTTGTGGTGGCCCACACCTGTAATCCCAGCATTTTGGGAGGCCAAAGCTGGAGGATCACTTGAGGCAAAAAGTTTGAGACCAGCCTGGACAACAGAGACTCCATCTCTAAAAAACTTTTAAAATGAGCTGAGCATGGTGACGCATGCCTGTGGTTCCAGCTACTCGGAAGGCTGAGGTGGAAGGATTGCTTGAGCCTGGGAGGTTGAGGCTGCAGTGAGCCCCTGAACTCCAACCTGAGCTACAGAGTAAGACTCTCTTGATGTAAGATTTTTACCCAATCATATCAATAATTACATTTGATGTGAATAAGCTAAACATTTTAAGAGATTTCTAGGTTGTTTGAAAAGATCCACTGACATACTGTTTACAGAATATTAAAGCCTTTATATATAATGTGTTTATATGTGTATGTATGTAGATACAATGTATCTTTGATCCAATATAATAGATAGGAATGTAATGATATCAAGGATTTGAAGGTAGGAGACATGTTTTTACTGGACATGAAGAAGCATATTTCAAAAAGATAAAAATATCAATATCAAAAAAACAAATCCTACAGCCGGGTGCAGTGGCTCCCACCTGTAATCCCAGCACTTTGGGAAGCCGAGGCGGGTGGATCACCTGAGGTCAGGAGTTCAAGACCAGCCTGTCCAACATGGTGAAACCCTGTCTCTAATCGAAATACAAAAATTAGCCAGGCATAGCGGCAGGCACCTGTAGTCCTAGGTACTCGGGAGGTGGAAGCGGGAGAATCGCTTGAACCCAGGAGGCAGAGGTTGCAGTAAGCCGAGATCACACAACTGCACTGCAGCCTAAAGGGAGCGAGACTCCATTTCAAAAAGGAATTCTAAATATTCATGCTACTATAACAAGGTTTTTAATAACAGATTTAAGAGACAGACTCATGGAATTCTAGATTTTAAGATTCCACTCACGAGATTTTAAAAGGATATAGAAGATTTGAATAATATTCTTAGCAACCTAACCTACTGAGTTTTATTGAACTGTATAATCACAATTGCAGAATACACTTATGAAGTACACATGGTATATTCACAAAGAGAGAAAAATGCCAGGTTGTAAAATAAACCAATAGATGTTAAAAAATTGAAATCATACTGAATATGTTCTCTGATCGTAACAGAACTCAATTAGAAATAGCAAAAAATAACTAAAAAATACTCCCTAAAAGGTGACCACAATCTTCTAAATAACCGATTGATCAAAGAACTCAGAGAAATAATATATTTCCAAATTAGTGATAATGAAAACACTATCAAAATTTGTGGGATGCAAGTAAGGTGCCCTTAGAGAGAAATTTATAACTTTAAATGTCTGTTGTTACAAAAAGCAAAAAACGAAGCTTCTACCTTAGAACCAAAGAAAAGAAAATACAAGTTGGTAGAATAAAGGAAAGGATTTTTTTTTATTTAAAGCTTAAGAACAGGCAAAGATAATGTATTGTGATTTAAAATCAGAACTTCCAATTCACTTTAGAAGTCTGGGGACAAAATTGACCAGAAAAGAGTACAGTGGATGTGCTGGAAATATTCTCTATTATTTTTCAAGTATGAGTTTCAAGTATGGGTTATACCTTTTCAAATTCACTAAAAATTTACTTTTAAACATTGTACTTTTATGCAAATCATATCTCAATACAAAATTTAAAAGTAGTAGACACTTATTACAAACAAATATATATACCATTTTTCTGAATTAAGGTAGTTAAATAATTCAATAAATTTACTGTAAACCCAAAGGCCAAGTACACTATTTTAAAAAGCTGTCGATAGATATTGTCTCTAAGACTCAAGTTTACTTAGAAAATCAAGGAGGAGCTGAATCTGTTGAAAATATGAAATATGAAGACCAATTAAAAAAACGATTTGGCAGAAAGATGAGAAGATATTTATTATAGGAAATGTTGGGACCTTAGACGAAGCTAAATTTAAAAAAAATAGTCATCTTGAAGTTGAAGCTGGAAAAAAAAATGAGTAGTATGACTTCTTAAAAAAGGTATTCTGAAAATAGTTTGTTTTTAGTTCTTATTCCATAGAAATGACTGAAGCAAATAACAACCTGTGAAAGAAAGAATTGATAAGGTAGACTTCTGGCTTCACACGGTGGCTCAGGCTTGTAATCCCAGCACTTTGGGAAGCCAAGGCAGGTGGATTGCTTGAGTCCAGGAGTGTTCGAGACCGGCCTGGCCAACATGGCAAAAACCATGTTCTCCAAAAAATACAAAAATTAGCCAGGCATGGTGGCGCACCTGTGGTCCCAGCTACTCTGAAGGCTGAGGTGGGAGGATCGCTTGACTCTGGGGAATGGAAGTTGCAGTGAGCCAAGATGGCGCCACTGCACTCCAGCCTGGGAGACAGAGTGGGATCCTGCCTCAAAAAGAAAATAACAACAATAAAAAAGAAAAACAGAAAAAAAACATGAAACAAGCAAAAAACGTAGTCTTCATTAAAATTAAAAATATTTGTTTTTTGAAAGCCACTGTCAAGAGAATGAAAAGAAAAGCCACTGAGTGAGAGAAAATATTTGTGACAGACATTTGGTATAGGACTGTTTTCCAAAATATACAAAGAACTCTTAAAATTTAACAAGAAGAAAACCATCCACTTAAAAATGGGCTGAAGCCAACCTCATCAAAGAAGATACAGATGGAAAATAAGAACATGAAGAGTTATTCCACATCATACATCATTAAAGAAATGCAAATTAGAACAAAGAGATACCACTGTGCATTTATTAATACAATGCCAAAAATTCAGAACACTGACAACACCAAATATGGATAAGGATGTGGAAGAACAGGAACTGTCTTTCATTGCTGGTAGGGATTCAAAATAGTAAAAAGGTACAACCACTTAAGAGGGAAGTTCAGCAGTTTCTTACAAAACTATACATATTTTTAAATGTACAATTCGGTAATTTAACTCCTTGGCATTTATCCAAAGGAGCTGAAAATGTATGTCCACACACATACTTGCACATGGCAGCTTTATGCATATTTGCCATATAGCAGCTTTATGCATATTTGCCAAGATTTAGAAGCAATGAAGATGTACTTCTGTAGAGTGGTTAGATAAACAATGGTACATCCAGTGAAATATTATTCACCACTAAAAAAGCTATCAAACCACCAAATAACATGGAGGAACTGTAAGTGAATATTACTAACTGAAAAGAACTGATCCAAAAAGTTTACATATTGTTTGATTTCAACTATATGACACTCTTGAAAAGGCAAAACTGTATAGACAGTAAAAAGATCATCATGCCTGTAATTCCAGCACTTTGGGAGGCCGAGGCAGGTGGATCATGAGGTCAGGAGTTCGAGAGCAGCCTGACCAACATGGTGAAACCCTATCTATACCAAAAATACAAAAATTAGCTGGGTGTGGTGGCATACGCCTGTAATTCCAGCTACTCAGGAGGCAGAGGCAGGAGAATTGCTTGAACCTGGGAGGCGGAGGTCGCAGTGACCTGAGATTGCACCACTGCACTCCAGCCTGGGTGACAGAGCGAGACTCCATCTCAAAAAAAAAAAAAAAAAAAAAAAAAAAAAATTAGTGACATCAGTGGCTGCTGCCAGGGGTTAGGGGAGAGAGAGGGATGAGTAGGCAGTACACAGGAGAATTTTAGGGCAGTGCAAATACCCTGCATGATACTATAATCATGGATACATGCCATTATACATCTGTACAAATCCGTGGAGTAGACAACACCAAAAGTGAACTCTAATGTACACTATGGACTCTGGCTAACGATGTGTCTCAGGTTGATCAATTTTAACAAATGTGCCATTCTGGTGGGGATGTTGATAATAGGGGAGGCTGTGCACGTGTTGGGGAAGGGATATCTCTGCACCTTCTTCTCAATTTTTCTATGAACCTCAAATTGCTCTAAAAGATAAAAGTGTATTTTTTTATGACAAGGATGTCAAGAAACATAGCATAATGCATAGAGAGCAGACCAAGATGATGCATGCAGAGGGATTCAGAATGCAAGACACTGATGTTTTAAAAAGAGGCTTGTATTTAGAGCCATTGGGAAAATGTACCTTATAGATTGGGACAGCTCTACTGTTTATTTAAAATGTGTACAAATTTTAGAAGAGTTTGGAAAGATCAAACTCTCAAAAAATTATTCCATGAGTTTGCGGCGACAGCAATTAAGGGTAGGCATGCTATTTTTGCCTATTCCCTAAGAAAATAACTTGAGAAATTTGAGGAATAAGACCGCTAAAAGAATGCAAATCAAAATGAGCCTCTGAAAGGGGAATCTGGCAGGAAAATAATAGTCCAGGCTTGTTTTTTTGTTGTTGATGGTGGTGTGTTGAAAAACAACTTGTTTTGTGGGGTTACCCATCTCTAGGTTTTGTAGATGAAAGTGAGTAGTTTGAATGATGAGTGAATGGTTTTACTGGGCCCAGAACTCACTGATTTG
Source organism: Homo sapiens (assembly GCF_000001405.40). Classification (NCBI taxonomy): domain Eukaryota; kingdom Metazoa; phylum Chordata; class Mammalia; order Primates; family Hominidae; genus Homo; species Homo sapiens. The sequence continues at coordinate 177,813,950 of NC_000004.12, read as the reverse complement.
TAATCAATAAGCATGTAGGTATCCCCATAAGATGTAATATTGTGAATTGTTACTATACCAGAAAGTACAGGAAAAGGAATAGAAGAAACAATTCAGTCCAGAAATCTTATCAACCCCATGCAGCCACTGAAGGAGCTGAACCGAGTTTACAAGGAGGTTTAATGACACTTTCTGGGAAGAAGTAGTGAAATATCCGAAAATGATAAGCGAAGATTACCCTGGGAAGTTGGAGCAGATGTACTTCACTTGCAGGAAAATCAACAGTAGTGTCAGGAGCCTACCGATGATGACCTGATAGCTGACACAAAAATAGGGACATGGAGCCGTTTAGCACAAATGGGTGCTAAAACCATTAGGACTTACGTGGATGGGGTAGATTTTAGAGGACTCAGTAATTCCACACAAAGGAGCAATAGCATCAGCTTCTAACAGATTTTAACATCATGTGTCTCTATGGTTCAGAAATGAAAAGCTCTAAGAGGAAATGGAAATTAAGAGGTTTAACTATGTTCTGTGGGATAAAGGTGGTTTGAAATGAGGCCCAGGTTTGGGCTGCTAGCATCACAAATTTATAACCTTTGCCAGAGAGCGGCAGTGATTGAAATTCCATTAAGAAAGAGAAGATGGGGTACAATGGGTGACTTTTTTCCATATAAATATGCTATTAAAAGTAAACATTTAATGAAGAGTTGTTTCAATTGAGTTATTATGTGGACTGTGAACATACGGCATAGATTGGCCAGCACCCTGGCTAAGAAGATTTTTCCTTCCATTCTCCCTCCTTGAGTAATTGAGTCTTCCCTGCGGTCTTCCATGATCCCAAAGAGTAGTGTTTAGGTAGATGGTTTTATTTTCGGTAACTGATTTTGTTTTCTAAACTTTTACCATACAGGGCCAGTTGGGTTATCCTTCTTGTTTCATTGTTTGTCCTGCTTAAAATTGAGAATGAACAGAGACTCACTGATTTCATCTTCTGAATTTGAAAAGAATGACACACATTGCCCTGCAATTCAGGTCTGACTTCAGCTGCAGGAAGACAGACCCCCAACCCAGAACAACCCTGCGTGGGGAATCCTTCGGGAAAAGGCTAAGCAAAATACAACACTGGAATTTGGGGAGGGGCTTGGAGAGTTTGTTTTTAAAAGTCTTGAGCAATAAATCATCTAACCACAAGAGTAAGAAAATTAGTTTTCAACTTTAATTTCTTTGGTCTTTCAGTTTTAACAGGCACACCTTTAACATTCATTTTCGACCCACTGAAGAGGAGATGAGCTTATTGGCTGGTGCACCTTGACAGCATGTAGGTGGAAAACAGGACATTCAGTCTTTGGTGCAGAGTGGGAGATACTTATGAACCATTTTAGCACATTTCAGGACCATGTAACAAAATCAACACTGCATTGAAGTGGCATCAGGAAGATCCATCCACAGAAGCAATGTCTGCTATGCAGGAAGCAGCTTCATCAAGGTGGAAGCAGGTCTGTGCTTCCAGGCTGGCCAGTATCGTTCATGAAAACAGCACATTGTGGCTGACTATGGTTTGAAGAAACAAAGGAAGCCAAAGAAAACAAAAAATGCTAACGGAGAATTTAATCCATCTCTCAGAGGTGGAAGAAGTTTCATTTGAATTGCTCCCTGTTCTTTTACTCTTCTTTCCCCCGAAAGGGAGTGTGGTAGATTGAGTTTAGAAGACAGCCCTGAACATGTATGGTTCAGCCCTTTTGCTCCATTTTGTCTTGGAGAAGGGCTGGATTCTGTGCTATTCTCCTGTGCTTTAAGTTTTGTAGCTACGGGATTTATCTAACACAGCCTGACTGGTTTGGAAAGTCTGTCTTATTTTGATGTTTTCTGTTACCTAGCCCGCTAACATTTTTTTCAAGAAATATAGCTAGTATTGTCTCCCTCTCTCTGACTCCTATTTCTATTTCTTTGTTGGTTCTAAGCATGGGTGGTCAAGAGATGTATTGATTTATCACGTTCCTTCAAACCCTTACACAGTTGTACTGAAAAAGGATAGGAGTTTTCATTGGGATGGAAGTCCTGTGTGTAGTTACGCAGATTGCCCTCATTCAGACGCTGCTGGGAAAACCATAGATTTTTGTTCCTCTAACAATGTTGTTGTCATCTCTGTACAGGAAGAAACTTAGGATGCTTTATGTGATGATATTGAAATTTTTACAATAGAGACATGCAAATATGGGCAAAACAGTTGCTCAAAAACTGAACACCAATGGAAATGTCATCTCAAACTTTCTGGAATTTTGAATTTCAGTGAGCTATTAGAGAAAGGGAGAGGGAGAGCAAAATACACAGTAAGAAACATTTGCAACAAACTGGGATCTGCTTTTTCCTAAGTTATGTGCTGTCTGCTTAGTAATTTCCATAAGCATCACATCAGTCCGTGATTAAATACATTTCAAATCTCAGAAGCCATACGATTTTTTTTAAAGTCATACAGCTACTGAGGGGCAGAGTTAACATTCAAATCCAGTAATGATCTTTCCATTATTTGATGCAGATGGTAGGAGCATCTCAGAGTCTCTTCAACTTCATGCTCATTTTATCACGGTGTCTTAAGATGAGATTATTTACCTGTCGTTTACGTTTTTCATCCTGATGGCAAATAGTAACAGCTTTTTTTCTTCTCAGAGAATATGCTATTACAAAAGCAAATAAAATATTATAAACATAAAGCAAAAAATGAGGGAGAAGAATGTTCTACTTTAGACAAAATGGCTTTGCTCAAAATTTACACCTAGGTTAGTGGGAATACTGATGGCTGTTTCTTGTCCCTTTTGTTTATTAATGGAATTGGAGTAAGGAGCTACTGGGGAGTTGAGGTGGTCACATTTAGCATATATAGTCTAACCATTTTTAAGTGTTCTTTTTTGTTGTCTTTGCTAGTTTTTTTCTACTTTCTGTTAAATCATTCTCAAGAGATAGTTTTAAACAAGTTAGTCTCAGAGAGATTCCACTATTTTATGTAATTTTTGTCTTTTCATATCACATTAAGATGATGTCCCACTCATGATGTATATTGGATTAACTAAGAACATATGCCATATGGCGTCATTGACAGACAATGTTTATGACAGTTGATTAGTAACCTCACTTCAATTGATGCAGTGTATACACTAATTCCCTTCAGACTCTGAACAGCCAAAAACAGGCAGAAGAAGCAAGGCATTTAACAAAAATTATGAAATTATTCCTCTTAAGAAAAAAAGTCACACGTAGTAATAAAAATTACCATTAACATTTCTCTTATTTGAAGGAAACATATTTTTTGTTTTCTCCATTTTAAATAAAATTCCAATCTCATAGATTGTATGTACATTATAAGAAATTTTTAACCACTCACAGAGCACTCATTTTACATCTCATGTGTTCTGTTAAAGAGAGGAGAAAAGTCAGTCTCACTTCTTTGTCCCCCTTTAACAGCGTAAAGAACCCATGGTGAATTGCACACTGACAGCACAGGAATATCCATTCTGTCATTTCCAGAATATTGACTCACTGCAGTCCTCTAGCCTATGTGCATTCCTGATTCGTGTCCACAGTGCTCCATGACTGTGCCATCCTCCACACGTTCATTTCAAAAAACCCAGTTCTTACAGGCAGGCTTCAAAATTGAAAAGCCAGAAACTTAAGCAAAGAAGAAAAATTTAAGTTGAAAGAACTGTTCATCAAATTCAATGCAATACGAACTCTTTGAGGAGTTATTTTCAACTGCTGTGTTTAAAAATACCACTTTTCCCACAGTTAGTAGTTAGGATTTCATCATAAAATACTCCCATAAAAACTATTTAATTTTCTAGTACAGGGAGGGAGGATTTGATCCCTTGTTAAACATTTTATGGGAAAGTCTAAAAGTGCTTTCAATTATTTATCGAATTGAAATCTAGGCCTTGGAAACTGCTGGCATCACACACACACACATAATATTATCAGCCCACTGAGTGCCATTAGGTCATAAAGCGCTGCTGTAGCAACATCTCTGGTACAGCTGCTGGTGCTCATGCAACTTTTACTACAGTTATAAAGTCATTTATTACATTTTCTTTATGATGCTAATGCATTGCAGTCTGTTACTTTATTGTTCCCAGCGTGATAAAGACTGAAATGTATGATATTGTGCAAAAAAAGTTTACATATATATATATATATACACACACACACAGCCCTACTAACATAGCCTGTTGCATTAAAAAGCTCTTAGATAAACTTAAAAGGTCAATAAAAATATTAGCAGGGAACATCAAAAATGAAATCGTTTTGTGGTACACTTGTGTCATTTTGGTTCATTGTTCCCCATAGAATTGTTTTAAGTCATGCTTTGTCAAAATATCCAAAGGATGATACGAGTATCTTACTAGGTTTGTTTTTTTCATTAGAATGTCATTGTGTTAGAAAATTTTTGCAATTCACTAAGGGGAACAATAACTATGTAATTTCCAAATAATCATATGAAAAGGAACAAAGTCATTAAAAGATAATAATGACCGTGGACCCAGAGGAATCCATAATTGATAATTACATCTTGTTCAAATTGTCTAAACTTAACTCTCCCCATGATACGATTGTACATAAAGAAGATGCAGTTTTCTATTGAGGAAAAATAATCAATTACATCAATTAACTGCTACCCCGTGCTAAAGCTTATTTAGCAGTTGACACCTACAGCACTATAACTTGGAGGGGAAATTCATTCCCAGACCACAGTCCTTTTGGGTGGCTGCTTCTTGGTGTTTGCAGGAGAGCTGCCACTGCTGTTGTTCATTTCTGCTTTTCTGCCTTCACTTTCTCTCGCCCTTTTTGTTTTGTTTTGTTTTGTTTGAGATGGAGTCTCACTCTGTCACCCAGGCTGGAGTGCAGTGGGACGATCTCGGCTCACTGCAACCTCCGCCTCCTGGGTTCACACCATTCTCCTGCCTCAGCCTCCCGAGTAGCTGGGACTACAGGCGCCTGCCACCATGCCCGGCTAATTTTTTGTATTTTTTTTAGTGCAGACGGGGTTTCACCATGTTAGCCAGGATGGTCTCGATCTCCTGACTTCATGATCCGCCTGCCTCAGCCTCCCAAAGTGCAGGGATTACAGGCGTGAGCCACCACTCCCGGCCTCTCTCACTCTTTTAGGAGGGGTGGCAGGGGGAGAAGATTATTCCAAGAATGCGAAGTCCAAGGGAAACAATCCTTTTTAAAATCAGTTATTAAAGCTGGATCTTCTATTTATATATTTTTGTGATATTTGATTTTCCCCAAAAAGCAGTTAGAATCAAGAGTTGTGTAATATTTAAGGAAAAGCTTTACATTGTGTGTTTTTTTAATTCTACTAAATTTTATTCTATTCAATAATTTTATCTAGATAATTTAAATGCATTTACAGTCTACTATTGATAGGGACAGAAGGCAGAGAAATTCTGGGAGGTTGAGTCCCCAGCTAGGGCCCCACCCTCAAGCTGAAAAGCCTGATACCATGGCCCAAAGTGAGAACTTACACCCCTGTTTTCCCACCAGTCATAGCCTGTCCCATCCCCCATTCTGTCCCCATAAAAACCCCAGGCTCAGCTAACAGAGAAGCAGCTGGATGTCAGAGACTATGGTTGGATGTTAGAGAGAAGCAGCTTAACTTCAGAGGGATGTCTTAATGGCATAGCTTTAGGAGAGGAGTCTGGCCAGGAAGCTTGGCTTCAGGGGAAGATTACCTTCCTACTCTGTCCTCTTCTCAGCAACCCTTCCCACTGAGAGCCTCTTGCATCAGCAATAAAATCCCCTACATTTACCATCTTCAATTCATTCATGTGTCCTCATCCCTCCTGGACACCAGACAAGAACTCGGGTGCCATGAGTGTGGGTACAAAAGGCTGTCACACTGACCCTGCACTGAGCTGTTAACAGTTAAACCATCCACAGATAGTAGAGCTAAAAGGACATTGTAACTCTCCTTCTGGGGCTTCAGGGGTCGCAGCATGCCCCCCAGATGCTGCTGCAGGTCCAGAATGTAGTTTGCTCCTGCTGGCTCCCAAAAGCACTCGCCCTGGCCCCTGCACTCACTCACCCACATGCTCCCCTTCTCGCGAGGGGTGGAACACTGTGGGTTCCAATGAGTGGAGTTCACCCCTGTTGGCACCTAAGTGGCCAGCTAGTCCCAGCACCCATGCACTCCAGTTCCCGCCCATGAACGAGTCAGGGAACTTTCCTGCTGCATTATCATCATGGTTTTTTGTTTGTTTCCTTGTTTGTTTGTTTTGAGACAGAGTCTCGCTCTGTTGCCCAGGCTGGAGTGCAGTGGCACGACCTCAGCTCACTGCAAGCTCCGCCTCCCGGGCTCACGCCATTCTCCTGCCTCAGCCTCCCGAGTAGCTGGGACTATAGGCGCCCCCATCACGCCCGGCTAATTTTTTTTTATTTTTAGTAGAGACGGGGTTTCACCATGGTCTGGATCTCCTGACCTCGTGATCCGCCCACCTCGGCCTCCCAAAGTGCTGGAATTACAGGCGTGAGCCACCACGCCCAGCCATTATCATCATGGTTAAGTTAAAAATTGTAAAGTAATAGGCTAGCAAAATTTTAATAATGGGTGTAAGCATTACTATACTACCAAATATGACTTAATAGTGACATTGAATTTGGAGTTGCATAGGCTCTTAGAGTGGTTTACCTTACTCTCTCATTTCACTAAGAACTAAGAAAGTATCAGTAAGATTTTTAAATGTGGCTATGTACTATGTACATCATTTCTCTCAACCTGCTTTTAGTCTCAATGTGAGCACAGAGGCAGAAAAGGAACCATTCTCTTAAAGTCTAGAGCTCCTCACAGCGAAGAAAAGTGAAGTAATTAGAAAGTTTGGCACCTTCTTCTCATGGCTGTAATGTTCAGAAGCAGCACGGTGAGAATGGTTCTTGCGTCTCCAATTGCAATTTGATTATAAACAAAGTAAATTAAGTCTGCTGGCCTTGCATGTTTATCTCAAACCACTGGGATCAGTATTCTAAATTTTGTCTTATAAATTCTTACTCATGAAATACAGGTTGGTGAAAATAAGACAGAACTCTCAACATGAGATCTGCCCTCTTAAGTATTTAAAGTGTACATTATTATTGACTAAAGGTACAAATTTGTACAGCAGATCTCTAGAGCATATTCATCTTGCTTGACTGAAATTGTAAGCCCCTGATTAGGAAGTAACTCCCCATCTCTCCAAACCCCAGCCCCTTGCCACCACCATTCTGCTCTTTGATGCTATGAATTTGAGTATTTTAGATACCTCATTAAAGTGGAATCATGTAGCATTTGTCTTTCTATAACTGGATTATTTCACTTAGCATAATGTCCTCAAGCTTCATCTATGTTATCATATTTGGCAGATTTCCTTTGTTTTAAAGGTTCAAAGGCACACCCCTCTATGCATATGCCCCAGTTTTATATCCGTTTGTCTGGGGACGGGCACTGAGATTGTTTCCACATGTTGGCTATTGCAAATAGTGCTGCCATACACATAAGGGTCTTATAGATCTTCAAGATCCTGATTTCAATGCTTTTGGATAAATATGCAGAAGTGGGGTTACTTGAATCATATAGTAATCCTATTTTTATTTTTTTGAAGAATCTCCACACTGTTTTCTATAACAGTTGTACCACTTTGCATTTCTACCAACTGTGTGCGAGGGTTCCCATTTCTCTACATCCTAGCCAGTACGTTCCCTCTTTTGACAATACATATTTTGACAGCTGAGAGGTGATATTTCATTGCGGTTTGAATTTGCATTTACATGATGATTTAGTGATGTTGAGCACCTTTTCACAGGCCTGTTGGCCATTTTTTCATCTTCTTTGGAGAAATATCTATTAAGTCCTTTACCCTTTTTTTAAGTTGGGTTATTATTTTTTTACTATTGAGTTGTAGGAATTCCTTATATATTTTGGAGATTAACCCCTTATTAGATATATGGTTTGCAAATATTTTCTCTCGTTCCATAAATTGCCTTTTCACTGTCTGATTTACAGACACTCCCTGACTTGTTATGAGGTTATGTCCCAATGAAGCCATCCAAATTGAAAATATCCTAAGTCAAAAATGCATTCAATACCCCAATAAATCGATTGTAAAGTCAAAATTGTAAGTGAAATCATCATAAGCTAGGGGCCATCTGTAGTCCCTTTGCTGTGTAGGAGCTTTTCAATTTGATGTAGTCCCACTGTATTTTTGCTTTTTGTATCTGTGCTTTTGGTGTCATATCCATAAAATCATTGTCAAGACCAATGTCCTGAAGGTGTTTGCCTGTTTTCTTTTAGGAGTTTTACAGTTTCAGGCCTTATGTTTAATTCTTTAATCCATTTTGAGATGAATTTTATGTATGGTGTGAGATATCAATCAAATATCACTCTTTTGCATGTGGATATCCAGATCTCCCAACACCATTTGTTGAAAAGAATACCTTTGCTCATTGTGTATTCTTTGCAACCTTGTCAAAGATCAGTTGACCATATGTGTGTGGGTTTATTTCTGAGCTCTTTATTCTTGTTCCATTTGTCTATGTGTCTGCCTTTAAGCCAGTACCATGCTGTCTTGATTACTATAGATTTGTCATATATTTTGAAATAAGGAACAATAATGCCTCCAGCTCTGTTCTTGTTTCTCCAAATTGATCTGGTTATTTATGGTCTTTCATGGTTCCATATGGATTTTTTAATGTTTTTCTATTTCTATATAAAATGACATTGGGATTTTGATACATATTACATTGAATCTGTAGATTGCTTCGGGTAGTATTAATAATTTAACAATATTGTCTTAATGAATCAGAATCTTTCCATTTTGTGTCTGTTTTAGTTACATTTCATCAAGCTTGTATGTAAGTCAATATCCACTTTTTTTTACACTACTAAGATCATTATTGTAATTTAGGGAACAAAGAAAAATTTATTAGACCATGAATACATTTTAAATAAAATGAGTATCTTAAAAATAAAAAACAGTATGGTTATATTCCTATGTTTTTTTTTTCTGTTAATTACAATTAACTTCACAGAAATATTGTAGAAGAAACACCCAAACACAGGATCTACCACACAAAGTTCCTAAATCACTGTACTTAATAATATTTAAGTCTATCACTAAGCATTAGTGATAAAGTCAAAAGAGAATTCTTGTAACAATGTCATTCTATTTAGGATAAACTCAGTACATTTAATCTTATCAGTATATATTTGATATTTAAATGTAATATATTTACTAGTTTTACATGTAATAGATATTGTTTTCTAAATCACAAAACCAAGGAAAAGAATGACAAGGATTTTCTCAATCTGATGTAAAATGTATAAATTACATATTTGGCATAATAGTTGAACCACACTATTTTTGCCAGTGATTCTCAACCTTCTTTTAGTCCCATAAACATGTGGAAAGTGAGTTAATTTTTTCTCTAGTTATTTGAAGGAATAATACAGAATTATCAAATTTAATTAACTTCATCTCATGACACAAAATTACACCATAAAGCACTTTAAGTAGGGTAAACACACTAAAATGAATACTGCATTGCTCTTAAGTTGTAATACTTTTCTCATTGCTATTCTAATTGGAAAACCTGATTAATTTCACATAGAACATTAGAATGTTTCTGTCTAAGAGCAATTTTCTCTTTGTAAAATCATTACTAGGTTTCATATTAGGGGATAGTTTATTTTCGATGTCGGCATTGAAAAAGTCCAAGCCCCTACCATCAGAGCATAGATCCAAGTCCATAATTTTCCACCCTGAGACTCTTTTACTCAGATATATGGTCTCTATTTTCATCTGGGTGGTGATTAATTTCTTTCTTTTATGGTACTTATAATTTCTCCTTAGATATTTATTTGTTGTTCGCTTCTTTATTATCCATCTTCTTCTCTAAAGTGTAATCAAATCTACCCAAAGGGGTGGGAATTAAGTTTGATTAGGTCATAATTGCATCCCCACTGCCTGACAGATGTCAATTAATTGAATATTGTTTAAATAAATTGAAAGAATAAATCAAAGGATATTCATGTTATTTGCATTTTTTAAAGTATGAATCTTAGAACTTACTGTATTTATAGGTTCAAAAGTACTGTAATTAATATTCAAAAGTTAAATTGGATATGCATTTTACTAGTTTTAAAAGGATAGTTTTCAAAGGCTATTCATTTATATATTGTTGATTTATTTGTGTATAAGTACACATTAAAACACATAGTATATGAATAAAATGAATAAATCTGGAATACATAAATATACTTGTTTCTCATTAAAAAATTCCACTTTATGTGCATTCATTTGATAAAGGAAATATATTACAGGACACTGTAATAAGTCAAAATTGCTATGTTACAAATATTAACATTTTAACCTATAGTATACTCCACTTGTTTCTGCTTATATAAAACAAGGGGTTTTTTTTCTTAATAACAGAAGACATGTTTCATCACACTTATACGCTCTACTTTTTTTTTTTTTTTGGACTGCTAAACTCCAGGGAATGAAGATTCATCTCTCATAGTGGTCTGTTTAGACATAGCCTTGCAAAAAGCAATTGTGTTAGTGAACCAGAAAGTTTGCTCATTGTTTGGGTCAGAGCACATTAACGTGTGTCAAAGCCTTAGAATTAGTGAGGAAAAGCAGCAGCATTAACAGCCTTGGGAACAAACAGGGGTGGAAGCCAGGCAGTGCACTAATTATTTGACAGACTATATATAGATAGTATAAGAAGGTGCCATATACTGTAGATGCAAATAACGATAGATATTGATTTTGGGGGGCTTGGGAAAGGTTGTCTTAAAAAGACATCTTGTTAAAATGAATTTAAGCCGTTTAAACATCTTAAAACACCTTTGATCTAACTCACATATATTCAACCTTGCACATGAATTCCTTATGTTTTGTGAAAAATGGGTCAGAGATGCCCCTAGGAACACATAGATGAATAAAATATGGTTAATGGGTTATCCTATAGTCCAAGAGGCTGAGGAAAATTAAGCAATGGCAATATATGGCTCAGTCCCAATTGAGATGTTGACAAAATGTAGTCTGACTCATTATTTATAGAATTCCCACCTGCTCTTAACTACATTAAATTTTTAAGTTGTTCTTTTATAAACTGGATCATATGTCATGTTTCTCCATATGCTTCTTAGCAGGCATAGAGAGTTCCTAGTACTTTTTTAGACAGACTGAGCCCTGTGATATGATTCATTATCATGCATAAGTCCTGGGTTATTACCATGTTTTGCCATTTGGAAAATGGCGCTAACACACTTGATATAAGGTGATAGAGTAGAATTAGATGCTCGTAGTTAATTGTAGACTTAAAGAACACAATGCATTTCCAAGATCATAAGTAGATAAGAATTACTGTGGATTAAATCCCCTGTATGAAACTAATTTCAGAAGCAGATGGCTCTACACAATTTGATGGCCCTTCAGTTTCTTTATTGCAAATAAAATACTTGCTAGGTTTGGTAAAACAAAAGTGGAGCACAGCTGTCTTATCAGTATGTATTTTGATAAGGACATCTAATCAGGCTTTAACTGATGTGACAGTTAAAACAAATCCTCACATTTGTCAGCTCATGTCGTTATTGAACATAATATGCCCCCATCATGAGGCACCAAGTACTTAGGCTGCAGGCATGATTCATTGCAGAAGAGTCAGTGTAAGCTGCAGGATATTTTCAGGAAATAGGGATTCATTCTGACATGAAAGGCAGTGTAAAGCAGGATGATATCACAGAAATTAAAATTAACTGCTGTGATACTTGAGAAAATGTAAACCATTATCTGTTTTATAAAAATTTGATCAGATCATGGTTAGATTATTTCTGGAAATATATACAATAGGTAGTGTCCTATCTAATCTGCAATATTTAATCCATTTCATAATTCATAGTCTCCCAAATAGTTTTTATTTCTGTGCTCCAGTGGCATTTCAAACATGAATCTAATGATGGATTTATCACACTCTACTGATGATCTATTTTTAATGCAATTCTTCCCTACTGAACAGAGAGGTTCCTGAATGCAGAAATCATGCCTTTTCCTCTTTTGTAATTCCAGTACCTGGTACAGTGATAATTGTTAGTTTATTATTAATCAATCAATAATAATTAATTGAATAAATAAATAAATGGAATATAGTATGTGAATTAAGATAACCATGGGAATAATAGAGTGATGATAAAGTTCTATTCATTGCTTTTACTTGTGGGTGGTATAAAGAAGGATTTCAGAGGTAGCCAAATGTATACTATGTACACCAGAGGTCACAGACACAAGTGACTATTGAGAAGAAACATAAATTTACAGAGAAGGTGTCATACTGCTTCTTCTGCTATCGAGAATATTACCTTCAGGGAAATGCAAATTAGAACCACAATGACATTATCACCTCACTCCAGTTTAAATGGCTATCATAAACATAATAAAAAGTAACAAATGCTAACAAGGACGGGAGAAAGCAAAGCTTACACACTATTGGCGGAAATGTAAATTACTACAGCCATCATGGACTACAGTATGAAGGTTCCTCAAAAAACTAAAAATAGAACATAAGATCAAAAAATCCTACCACTTGGCGCTGGCCATATATCCAAAGGAAATGAAATCACTATGTTGAAAAGATATCTGCACCCCCATCTTTACTGCAGCATTATTCACAATAGCCAAGATATGAAATAAACCTAAGTGTCCACCAACCTATAAATGGGTAAAGTAAGTGTGGCATATATACACAATTTAATAATATTCAGCCTCAAAAACAGAATTAAATCCTGTCACTTGTGGCAACACAGATTAGCTTGGAGGACATTATGTTAAGCGAAGTAAGTCAGGCACAGAAAACAAATACTGCGTGATCTCATTTATATGAAATTTAAAAAGTTGACTTCCTGGAAGTAGAGAGTAGAGCAGTAGTTACCAGAGGATGGGGAGGAGCAGGGGTGAAAGGATGGGAAGAGATAGGTGGAGGGGTACAAAGTTACAGTTAGACAAGAGGAATAAGTGATCGTGTTCTATCGCACATTAGAGTGACGATAGTTAGCAGTACTATATTTCATTTTTCAAAATAGCTAGAAGAAAAAATTTTGAATGTTCTCACCACAAAGAAATGATAAACGTTTGAGGTGAAGGTATGCTAAATACCCTGATTTGATCATTACACAAGCTTTATATATATCAAAACATCCATCACACTGCACTTCATAAATATGCACAATTAGCATCAATTAAACATAAAATAAAAACAAAAATAAATAAGAAAAGGGAGGGATCATAGCTACTCATCAGCAAGATGTCCCTGCTTTCACTGGTAAGATTTATGTAATTTCAGTGGGTCTAATTCTTGAAAGTATATCTTTATAGAATACCTGGAAAATGAAACGAAAGATAAGACCAGTATAATGAAACAAATGACACTATCTAAAAAAAAGAATATTACTTTCTTAATTATATTATTTTTTGAAATATTGTATGTGCCACGATATGGCCCACATTGTTGGAGCCCTAACCTGGATACTACTCAACAAGGCAAATCATTTAAAAATAAGGCGTAGTTAGGAGAGGGGCCAAAGCTATAGAAAACACTTCCGAGTGAGAACATTCACAAGGAGCAATAACCTACTTGGAAAACTGCTCAAGGACATGTTATAGAAAAAGCAAACCAATACCGGAGATCAGCCAAACAAAGAAGAGGAATCCAGTCAAATTTCATGGTCCTCTCTTCCCACTGAAAGGAAAGATGCATTGCACTGATGCATTGGGGCAATGACGCCCCAAAACTCCGGCTCACAACCTCTTGGGAACTTGTTCTATGCTATGTAATACAGGAGTAATTTTAAGTAAAAAACAAAAAGCAAACAAAAAACATTTTCTTTCAGGTCAGATACAGCGTATCATAAACTGCTGCTTTGTCAAGGTCACTTATACAATATTTTAAATTTATAGAAAAACCTTTGTCTTTTATCCTATATGTAAAGGATACATTCTACTTAAATTTTTTAGGTTAGTTACAGACTTGATACATGATTTCAAAACTGACACAGCAAATAATGTTTAGCTTAGGGGCCAAATAAACAGTAAGTAATATATTAAAATTCAATCAAAAATAGAGGGAAAATATTCTCATATCCTGAAATATGTAATTCTTGTATTTACTGACTTAAGAAAAAAAAAATGATCTCAGTGAGAGTAGACTTTTCAAAGTGCAAATATGTCCTGGCTACTCACTTCTTCCATCTATTCCTAGTTTAAAATTCTCTCTCAGCTTTGGATTGCACTAGGCTGAGACCCAAAATAAAGCACGTGAGGTGCCAAATGCCCTGGTAGATTCCGCCCTGTTAGTCTCATCTTCCGCCATACTCCCTTGCATATCTGGTCATCTCTTGGTTCCTCAAACTTCCCCATTCCTCCCTTGTGTAGGGTTTCACATGCTTCTTTTATGATATGCTGCCTACCACCACCACCTCTTCTTGTGGTTAGATTTCAGCTCAAGTTTTACTTCTTTAGGGAAATCATTTTTGACATCCGGGCGTTTCACAGAGATTTTTCTGCTTATCCAAATGGATTTCTTCCACGACAGCTCTTGTCTCAGTTTGTGATGATACATTGACTCATGCGATCGTGTTATTAAGTCTGTCTCCTCCACTAGACAGAAGGGATCATGAGAGCCAGGCACCTGGTAGTTTTATTTCCTTATTGGTTCCTAATAAGAACCTAACATAGTTTCTGAAGCACCTTAGGCACTTCTTCAATGTTTACTGATGAATGCATAAATGAATCAGCTGTCATAATATAGATATATTCTGAAATCAATTAATTTTAAGTTGATAAAGCAGATACTGTTATTTTTCTGATGAAAAATGCAAAATATACAATCTTGAAAACAGAGCGTCAAATCGATTGAATGCAGAGGAATAGAGGGGTTATTAGGAATTTGGAGGTACTAATACTGTTAACCACAAGTTAGGATTTCTTTTTGGATTTGCTGCAGAGAATGGCAAATGAAATGACCCACAAAACACAGGATAGGAAAAGGGTGGGGGAAAGCAGAAACTAAAGGGTAAAATAAGGCCAAGTTTCAGAGCACGGCAACACAAGAGACAGAAACCATCATGTTTAGGTCTTGTTTTAATCTTTCTTTTCCTCTCTCTCTAAGACTCTTTGCTGTGCTGGATCAAATATTTTAGTATACTAGAAGAGCTTCACCACAAAGTGATAGGTATCTATACAGCCTTCTTTTGAAGAAGATATTCATTCTTTATCTTCTTTTACTGCTTCATTCTTTTCTTCTTTGTATCTAAGCATTTTATAACCAACTCATTTAAAGCTGTTAATTTAAATTTGCTTTCAAGGTAGTTCCATTATTTTGTGGTATAAAATCAACTTGTTAATTAAAAGAATTGCCCTCCTCACCCCTTTTTTCATAGATTTGTTAATGGAATTAGATAGTTTACAAGTCCATCTGATAAAATAATGTCAAGAGTATAATGATGCTCTTTAAGGGAAGCAGCAATGGTATGACGATGAAATAGCTCATAATAAAAGAGGATGATCTGAGTGGGGGTTTTAAGATATGAGGCTATTACACATCAGAGGTCAAAGAAAGTTAGCCTACATTATAGCAGTAAAAAACAAGTGAGTTTCTAGGCAAAATGTTCTTGACTATTTGACTGTATCTAGTTGATATATATAAAATCATCTACTGTGAGTCATCTGTAAAAGGTCATGCTTTAAAAGCATTGGTAATTCTTTTAATTATTTCATTTCCCTTGAATGCTAGGTGAGGGGCATAAGGCCAGGCCTACACTTTAAATTCTCAGGCAAATTCTAGCCAAGATATAATTAAAAGTTTTACACTCATTTTGTTCCATGTAAATGAATGCCTCACATTTCACCCCTTCCTCCAAGGTGGGAAAGAATGTCATTTCACATGGAGTTCCTGAGAAAATGGAGGAAAATGTGCAAATAAAACATTTTTAAAAAACCTACAAAAGATTACAATTTGGAAGCTGAGCTTTAGCTAATATAGTTATGTCAACTTCTTGGAGCCAATCTTTTCTCAAAAATTTAAGTGCATGTAATTCTTTTGCAAAGACGGTAACATTTTTTCCCACATTCAAGGTTCTGGTATAAAACATGCAAACATGTGGCTTTGTTAACAGGTTATTTGTAAACGTCTTCTAATACACACTGTTTGAGATTGCACTCACTCTGCCCTCACACTTATTTCCTATTAATCCTATCATTGTCACCTGTTCCATCTGAGCTCAACTTTACGGTGGCTGCTTGGCTCACAGATTATTAGTTCTTTCCTGTACGCATCCAAGCTAACACAATATAATACAACTTTCCTCCACAATTCAAACTTTGGATTAGGCTCGAGTTAACACACATAAAGCATTTAGCACGGGACCTGATACGTACTGAGAACTCAGTATATATTTAACCATTATCATTCTTTTAAAAATGAGAATATATGTTTGAATACTACAATAGATAAGAATGCTACAACTTCTGCCAAAAATAGTCTTTTTTAATCCATTTGCAACTTTTTGCTTTTACCTCAACTAGAAGCAAGGACAGAATCCTCATTATTTGTGGATTCTGTATTTGCAAACTCACCTGCTTGTTAAAGTTTATTTGTAACCCCAAATCAGTACTACCAGTGCTTTCACAGTCATTCACAGACCTGTGCAGAACGGAGAAAAATTCGAGTTGCCTGACAAGAACGTTCCCAGCTGAGGTCAAAGCAGGTGACACTGTGCCTTCTTATCGCAGCTCTCCTACTATAAACAAGTATCCTTTTCTCAGTGACATATTTATATTTGCATTTTTCTCTTTTGTGATTTTTGTTGGTGTTTAAAATAACCCCCAAGCACAGCTTGAAGTAGTTTCTAGCATAACAAGGCTGTCACATTCCTTACAAAGAAAACATGTTGTTAAATAAACTTCATTCAGATACATATTATAATGTGATTATAAGCTTACTGTTAATGAATCAACAATATATATCAAATAATGTGTCTTTAAATAGAAACAAACATCAAAGTTATGTATTGATTTGTTCATGAAAATCTGACCCCGTGTTTCCCCTGGCAGCAAATGGTTCAGTATTTGCTAATTTATTTTTCTTAACAATTTTATAGAACGTAACTAACACAAATAACTAGAAGTGACTGTGGTGGAAAGGAAGAATGTGTTTGAAAATGGTTATTTAATATTTTCTGAGGAAAAGTGCAAATATTTGGAATAGTAGGTCACAGGATCATAATGAGGAAGATTTTGATTGCCATACGTAATGCTAGAGTTTTTTTTTTTTTCTTTTGGCACCTGGAAAAGCAATTTAATGTTTTTGTTTAGGAAATTATCTAGAACCGACCACACTCCCCCGACCACCCCACAACGAAGGAACAAAACCACGTGAGAAGCTTGCTCCCAGGACTTCATGCAAGAAAAAGAAGTCCCAGGGATGAGAGAAATCAGAACTGCGAAGGTGAATCAAAGTTTATTTGGAACAGAGCAGAGCTCAGAGGCTGAAAAGTGCTGAATCTTTCAAGAAGTTGGATAGTCAAAATGAGAACCTAAATGGATGGTAGACAGAAATCCTACCAGTTGTGGAGGTAAAGAAAATGAAATAAATCCAAATGGAATACAGACCTAAAGTTTCAAAAGTGAGGAATCTTCATATATGAATAACTACAAATATCTTCTAGGATGGGGGAATTCCTTAAAAAGGAAAAACTTGGCTATGTGGTATAAATATCAATATGCAGCATAATATAGCATAAGATTTCTGGATATTTCTTATTTCTCTATGATGCCATAATATCTAATTGTTTAGCTCATCATCAGGTGGAAACATTTCTGTTTCTTTTTTTTTTTTTTTTTTTTTTTTTTTTTGAGACGGAGTCTTGCACTGTCGCCAGGCTGGAGTGCAGTGGCGCGATGGCTCACTGCGACCTGCGCCTCCCGGGCTCAAGCGATTCCCCTGCCTCCGCCTCGCGAGTAGCTGGGACTACAGGCGGGAAACATTTCTCAAGGGCAAAACCACTAATCTAACCGTTGTTTTTATGCTATACCTTACAATTCATTAAACCACAGTTCGGTACTAGGAATCAAAGAGGTATGTGTTGAATAAATCAATGAGCTGCTTCTTTTCTAATCCTTCAGCTAAATCCCACCCACTCATTACCTTCCTCCCGCCCCCACCACCACAACCATTCTTAGCCTTTGTAAGAAACTGACACAAACATGGTAGTACATGTCCTGTATTTGCAGATGCGCAATTGCTTTGTTTCATGCCCATACTCAAGCCAAGTTCTGTACACTGGACATTAACAAGAAGAGCCTCACTTTGAGGAGAATACTATTTATATAATTATTACAAAATTGGAGCTTTGAGGGTGTAAAAACTGCCTATTCACATTGTGCAGACTTTCTGATAAACCATACATGTGCTGAAATCAAATAATAGCCTAATCATCTTTCTCACAAAATAACAACAGGCTGTCACAAAGAATCATGAGGCATATGGTTATACTACAAATAATGAAGATATTAGTGATAATAATGCATTTTCACAAGGCAGCCAGTTGTCCAATTACTAAAGGCTTCACACACAAAACTAAATTACATACTTTATGAAAGTTCTTTAATGTCATCAACTTTTTTTCAGTAGCTTGGTCTCCAAATTTTTAATAAAATTATAACTGGTTACATTTTATGTGGCATTATTTAAAACTCACAACGGAAAATTACATGTTAAGGTAAACATTTAGAAATAGTTCTAAAAATATGAGTTACTCCGAACAAAACTTGAGCTTTGTCAGAAAGATCAGAAAATTTTAAAAGTTCTCATATTATTTATTCATTTCACATTTTCAGGTGTCATCCAGTCTCAATTTTAGAATTGCAATCTAAATATACTAGAGAAAAAGGAAACAAAAGAAAATACTTCCATTAAATCTGGCGTACTTATTAAAACAGAAAAAAAACTTTCAATGTGAACATTGTTTTTGTAGAGTTGTATGGTGATAAGCATATCAGATTCTGTGTTAATTTATAGTTGCACATGAGGCTCCTATAAGAGACAATCCATTTCCTCATGGAGCTAAGGGACTAATGGCTCCTTGAGGCGTCTAAACACAAAATTGAAACATTCTGAAGTGCCCTATAACTGGTCCACTGAGGAAGCTGAAAAGAACAATGAAGTGTGTCTTGAAGGCTAAGCAGGAGCTCCTCTGGTGAAATAGAGAACATTCCCGGCAAGAGAAAGTTCAAGTGCAAAAGGGAAGTGTGAAGAATACCACCTCTGCTTAGCAATATGCTTGGAGCTAGACAGAGAACAGATGTTAAAGGTAAATCTTAAAGGAAAGTGCAACATCAAATATGAAGGGTCTCGTTTGTCATGCTGAATTTTGAATTTCTTTCTGTAATCTATGAGAAGTCATCAGAAATTCCTTATGGTGGGCATCTCATTATCAGGCTTGTCTTCTGGGGAAGGTAAAATGTAATATCATTGACCTGAGTGTATCATACTGGCGGTCATCTTCATCAAAGGGAAGGCTAGACTCTACATTTTTAGGACTGCCCTTTGTTTACTGCCAGGTTCCTATGGCGTGACCATTATTTGCTGACTATTACCAGGGGGCTCTATAAAAGAGGGCAGACACTGAACAACCCATCTGAATCTTTCCCTGTTACCACTGCTAATAAGGTTTTATCCTGTTACCCTTTTCCTTGTAGTAAACAGATCTGGTTTCTAACTGATCACTGGTCTAAAATATTTTCAGTACTGTTCAAACTCCAGTTTTGGCACTTTATTCCTCAATTTTCCTATCATAGAATATTATTCGCTTCTGTTCTAGAAATTATTTTACGATAACTTGTGTGTTTTTAATGAATGTTATAGAAATATTTGAATTATAAAGATAAATATAATAAGAAAATCACTCTTAATTAAGAGAAATACCAACCAAACACAGGAACTAGTGTGAGGGATTCTTGCTAGAAACCATCTCAAACCAGCTGAAATCACACGCTGGTGGCCACCTACACAGGAAGGGCAATGCTGCTTATCCTATAGATGTCCTTGGAATTTGACAGCTAGCTTTGGTCCTGAAGGAAGGCTCCAATGTCAATCTTTCAGTATATCTTGAGTTGTAAAGTCCTGTTTACAAAGATCTAAGACCTGATAAATTTCAGTTCCTTGGATAAATAGAATCACTGTGAAGATCTTCTCTGGCATTGGAAACAATGAGGATATTTACACACATATGCATTCACATTCTGTAGAAGAGCTTCAAAGGCAGAGGGGAGACAGAAAGCTTTTCATAAAAAAACAAACTTAACTCTTTCGAAACCACTTGAAGTTACTAAAATTTTGTTTCAGGTCACATAATGTCTGGTTTAGTTGAAAAGAAGCATGCAAACATTTACAGCACCACTGAATGCTTTGAATCTGTTGCTCCCAATTGAAAAATTATTTGTGGTTAAGCCCATGTCTTGGCCATGAATACTTCTGTTGAGTATTTTTTATTACATGCACTTCACGGTAAGACCTGTTAATGTTACAAGCAGTTTCTAACAATTGCATCCTGTGATATTATAATGCGTGTATTTATGCATACTGCTATGTGAACTGTAAGCACGAAGCGTTTTTAAGGACTATAACCTGTGGCATTTTACTTACGTGTATTTATGCATATCACAGAGCTGTTAATGTTATAAGCATTTATAAGGACTTTATCTAGGGCTATTTTTATAATTACTCAGAAATCTAAATGTGTCTTGTCAGCTTGAAATCACTTTGTTTACACAAAGCCCATGGCAGTCCTGTATGTCTTTCTCAGGGAAGAATAGATACTTTTTCTGGGAGTGTGTATCTAAATGACAATGTTTTCAATAAGGGAATTAAACATTCAAAGAAAATAAGTTCTTTAATTCTACGTAACTTAAACTTATGAACATTAGATAGCTATTTTGCACAAGATAGATTACATGGAGGACAAAATGATGAAAAAATATGTTCTTGCTCACAGGAACTCAAAGTTTAAGAAATGGACATATACAAAATTAATTTGTAACCATGGAAAAAATGTTATGGTAGAGATATACAGTATAATGGGAAAGTAGAAAAGAGAATAATTCCAAAATAGTTCCTAATCTCTAAACACACTGTTTGCATTTTTCTGTAATTTCCTTAATGTTTATTTCTTCTGCCTGAAATATACCACCCTCTCTTAGTTCACTTATCAAACTGTTATTCACCCTTCAATATTTTTCTTTCACAATCCTAAAATCAATAGACAAATTAGTAATTTTTTGTGTTCATTTTGAAAGTTATGCTGCAACAACAAACTCTTCAAGTCAAATGAACTCCGCAATATGCCCTGAAATAGTTTGAATGTTTGTCCCCTCCAAATCTCATATCAAAATGTGATCCCCAGTGTTGGAGGTGGGGCCTGGTGGGAGGTGTTTGCATTATGGGTGCAGATCCCTTATGAATGGCTTCATGCCATTCTCACAGGATTGCATGCGTTCTCACTCAGTTTTCAGATCTGGCTATTAGAGAGCCAAACACCTCCCCTCCTTTCTCTCTTCCTTCCTCTCCCACCATGTGATGCCTACTCCCCTTTGCCTTTACCATGAGTGGAAGCTCCTTGAGACTCTTACCAGAAGCTGATGCTGGTGCCATGCTTCTTGTACAGCCTACAGAACCATAAGTCAAATAAACCTCTTTTCTTCATAAATTACCCAGCCTCAGGTATTCCTTCATAGCAAAACAAAACGGACTGACACATACACACACAAGAACTTTTGCTCCAGGGACTGGGAACTAGGTAGATGGTGGCCTCACCATGATGCAGGTACACTACCTGGACAGTGTAGCCTTCTTGGTCAACATGTAGCCTATGATTTGAGGCTGAATTTTCTATAGTTTGCCTCGGTAGGGTATTCTTTACTTTTACTCACAGCAGTTAATAGAGTTCACTAGATAGTAGCAGGAAATGGTGTTATCCAGGAACATTTAAATTTGTGGAGCTTCTGGAAAGTAGATAAACAGCAGAAAGTTGGTTCTTACTTGGTAGAATCCAGCACCCCGTAGCTGAAACTTCTGGTCACACTAAGAGATGATACCAATCTTGAACGTATTGTGCTACAGAACTGTTATCAAAAATACTAATATTTGGGGAACTGAACTTAAGATGTAATTTAGATTGTTGGGACATGACCGACTTCAGGAACTAGATTATTATAAGTTAAATGACGTTAAGAACAAAAATATTGAATGCTGAAGTATTTTAATCAATAACATCAGGTTCCTAAAGATATAACCTAATGTCAAAACGGATGTTAGGCATGAAAATGGAGGTTAAACCTATGACTTCGAAATGAGAAATGAGTGGAGGTGAGAAAACTTGCCTCCAATATGGGGTCAGGAAAAAATATAAGACCTAGAAATGTAACAAGCCATTGTAGCTTGCATCTTAATTTGCTTGCAGGAAGACACAACAGAGGTATATAATTCTAAAAAAGACATATGTCAGCATATTAAATGGATGTGAAGTTGGATAAAGCTAACTTCAAATTGCACTTTTCTTCTGAGGGGTGTGGTCTTATATTTGCAGACAACCTTATATGAGACAGCTATATAAGTAATAGAGAAAGTAAAATTATATACATAGTGTTAATATACTTTACAGTTCAGCTAGTTCCGAGAATACTTCAAACGTGTAGTTCTAGAGGCAAGATAGGTGTCAAATGGTATCTGACTGCCAAGGTCTTTCTGGATGGGAAAAATAAGGATCTCCACAGGAGCTTGACAAGGCGTTCTGTGGATGCTTCATACGTATTACTGATTGATATAGGCCTCAGATTTTAATTATTCTAATAACCAGTTATTACCAAACTATAAATGTCCATAATTTTTCCTCCTCCACCTGTCCTGCCAGAAAATGCACATTAATTATAATCTTAATGTCATTTCCCCTCAATTTAGTATTGTGTACACATTATAGATTAACAATTCAGACTTGACTATTATGGTCCAAATGTTTTTCTGTGGCAACAGGGAGTACATTCAACTTTTTTGGTGATTTTTTTCCAATTACTAATTGCTCTCCTTTTCTTTATCTTGACCTAACTAGAGGCATAGCAATTTTTTTCACAATGTATTCAACCATGGTATCTTCTCTTTGTGTAAACTATGCTCAATTCAAAAGATAATTACTTGAAGTCCACTAATTTACAAAATGACCCCAGCATTCATCCTTCATCTTGCAATTCCTACTGCAGCAGCTCAGACTCTCCTCAATCACCAGGTACTGAGGCAGATAATGTGGCCGATTCTTCCACCTGCAAATTCATGATATGCATATTCCATGCTGACACTGAAGGCCTTGACACAGTGACAGACTTTTTCCACATCACTAAGGATTTTTCACACAGTGTACTACCGTGGTTCATATTTCTTGCAGGAAACGTCCTGCCATTTCAATTAGTGGGACAGGTGACACCTTGCTGACATTTCAGCAAACACCTAGGACAGTTGGAAATAGAATTAATCATAGTCTCTTAACCAAAACTAAAAATCTCATCTTGTCTCTAATCCGTGACCCTAAATGAGCATCTTGAAACATAAGCTTTCAAAAGACAGCTTTTGAAAGACATTTCCCTAAGGTATTTCTTACCTACATGGTTAGATTAACTGCAAAACGTATTTTTGTTTTTGAAAAATGTTTACTATATGGTCATTTTATCTGTTTAATGGATACTTGAAATCAAACGTTGGTACATGAATATAAGCATTTATGTATATGTATACATACGTGTGTGTGTGTGTGTGTGTGTGTGTGTGTGTGTGTGTGTGTGTGTGTGGAGTTGCCTTAGCCCTGGTCACCAGGATCCCTCACATGGAGCGGCTTTTTAACTTCAACCCATCTTGCCCAGTCCAGTCCTCGCTCCTCTTCTCCACTCCATCTTCTTCACAACAGGTAGAGCTTTCTTTAAAAGTACAGTTTATGTCAATCTGCTGCTTAAGGCCCTTTGATGGTTGCCTTTAGAACAAATCCTTAACTTGTTCGATCCTCTGGATCCTCTCCAGCCTTGTATCACGTGACTCCCCTCGCACTCTTGGCTCCACCACATTAGCTATTTTCAGGCAGCCCTCCTTATTCTCCCTTTTCTCAGATACCATCCACATGCTGTTTCCTATTCTTAATGTTCTCACCCCATTTCCATCCTCACTCCAAAGACCTTTTACCCAGAAAACTTCCTCTCAGTCTCAAGTTATTTTCTTTAGGGCTTTCATCCCTGACACTGTAACGCCTAAGGTTCTTGCTTAGCGACGCCAAAGAATTGGTGTGGCGGCTGACTGCGGCGAGCGATAGAGACACCAACTGAGAGAGAGAAAAAGCTGTAAGTTTTATTGAGCAGAGTGAAAGTACAAAGCTTCCACAGTGTGGAAGGGGTCCCGAAAGGGTAGCCACTGCTAGTTTGGGTATTCGCCTTTTAAACATTTTAAGGTGGGAGATACGTGAGGCAGGAAGCTTGTTACAGGAGCAAGAAACAAAGGCAGTAAATTATTTTGTGACATGTCTTAGATTTGAGGAAGACTGGAATTGCAACTTAGGTTTTATCTACTTTATGGCCTTGTAGCGGCATGGCAAAGGAGACAGGATCTTACAGGACTTTACAAAGTATGTTTACAAGGAATTGGAATTGGGAGTATAGATAAGGTCCGCTGGTCACAGAAAAATGGGCAGTTAGCATTCTTTTTACTTTAGTTTCAGGGGAGGGGGAAGGGAGAGAGGGAGAGAGGACACAGGGAAACTTAGAGCAAAATTTGTGCTGTTTATAGCTTTCTTGGGGAAGAAAACACATGCACAAACCCCGGTGTTAGGAATATTTTAAGCATATATCTTCAATCTTATTCATCCAGGACCGAAAGAAGTCCTGATGCAGGAAATGAGTAAGTTTCACAGCTTTCTGAGACCCTACTTGACCCAGGAAGCCCAGCTGGCACCTCCTCTCAACACTACAGGATAAGTTAGATCTGTCCCATGTTAGTCCCTTTTACATCACTCTAAAGGAATACCTGAGGGTGGGTAATTCATAAAGAAAAGGGGTTTATGTATCTCACAGTTCTGCAGGCCATAGAAGAAGCATGGCACCAGTATCTGCTCCGGTCAGGACTTCAGGAAGCTTTTAATCTTGGTGGAAGGGGAACAAATATCACACGGTGAGAGAGGCAAGGAGAAAGATGAGAGGAGGTACGAGGGTTTTCTTAACAATCAGATCTCGTGGGAACGAATAGAGCAAAACTCATTACCACAAGGACCGCACCAAGCCATTCTTGACTGATCTGCTCCTGTGACCCAACGCCTCTCATCAGGCCTCAACTACAACACTGGGGATCAATTTTTAACCTAAGATTTGTAGGGGACAAATATCCAAACGATATCACCTCCACTGTAGTACTTTGTATTTCTCCAGCAAAACCTTTGTCACACTGTACAGTCATTTCCTTCACAGAGGAGCCACATACATGGTAGGTCTCCACTATTTAGCATGATGTCTGTATTTATAGCTGTAGAAGTGATGAAGAAAAGGCAATTATGGAAAAATATTTAGGAGGCCAAATAAGCACAACTTGAATGATTAGATATGAAAGAAAATCCTTTTGCTTGTATAGAATCACACCAGACGAAAGGATTTTGAATTTCTATTAATTTGATGTTTAATGGGGAATTTATAACACTAGTATGCTATATTTATAAAACTATTGCATTATTTTTAAGCCTATTTTATATATACTTCTGCTCTAGATCTTTTACAATTTTGTACTATTAAAGCTTTGCTCACGTTTATTGTAAAATTTTACTTTTAATGGTCTAAGACTTACTAGAATCTATTTCAATGTTTTCATGAGTCCTTCCTTATGTCTACACATCATTGTTTAAGGAAACTCAATCTGGAAAATGTATTGGAGAATAATCAGAAACACAAACTGTCAAAAGCTCTGTTTATCAGGATTATTGGTGAATTATGTCTTTCAGTTATGAGTTACAAGTCTCAAAGCTGCAACTAACCCAACTAAGTAATATCACTTTAATTGAAGATGATCTAACTTTTAAGTTTGAACGGTTCTTAGGATTTATGTAATGCCACTGAAGAGATGGATGCTTGTCCACGCTGGACCATGGTAGTGTTTGTTGAAATGTATGTTACCCTGTATAGACTTCAGTGTCTACCGCTAAGGTCATGGTATCATTGTCTTTCACTCCCAAACTTAAGTCCTTTCTAAGCACTGTGTGTTTCCAGCAGTTTGGAGCTCCTTTTAGGGTAACCAAAAAAAAAAATTCTGATGCTTTTGCTTGACCCTAAACACTATGAGGCTGTTTTAGGTCACTACTGCCTCAAAATGGCCTGCCATCCTTCCTAGCCTGTGCTGCCCTGCCTTTCCCAGTACAGAGTGAGATCTTACCACTTTTCAAGCCTGGCCAAAAACTGGGACAACAAATCACCTCTGTTCTCAAATCTCTAATATCTTACTCTAGGACCCCTTGAATCCTGCAAATGAGACCCACTAAGATAACCTGCTTTTGAATTCTATCTGATTCTCTGCCCCCGCCACACCCTAACCTAGTCCATCAACTGTTTCTGCTATGAACATAGGAATATTTCCAGTTGTACATTCTTCCAGCCCCTACTCCTTCCACTTAGAACTTTTTGAATTTCAAAAAACCCAAAATTTTTATCCTATCACTTTTATATTCTAGTATAGCAAACCTCCCTTCAGCTAAGAGATATTCACATGCTGGGACCCAGATGAGAGAGGTATCAAAATAACAAAATACTAGATAAAAAATAAAACAGGCCTGGTGCCGTGGCTCCCACCTATAATCTCAGCACTTTGGGAGGCCGAGGCAGGCAGATCACCTGAGGTCAGGAGTTTGAGACCAGCCTGGCCAAAATAGTGAAACCCCATCTCTACTAAAAATACAACAACAAGTAAAAAATTAGCTGGGCGTGGTGGTGGGTGCCTGTAATCCCAGCTGCTTGGGAGGCTCAGGCAGGAGAATCGCTTGAACCTGGGACGTGGAGGTTGCAGGGAGCTGAGATCGTGCCACTGCACTCCAGCCTGGGCGACAGAGTAAGACACTGTCTCAAAAATAAATAAATAAACAAAATTTAAAAAATTAGCTAATAAAAAATATTCTAATACATATGGACAAGAAAAACTTATACTATAGCTCTCCTTTCCCTTGCTATTGGGGTATTCCTTCTAGTAGCACAGCTTCTAGTACTCTAAACCTAGGTGACTTACAAATCCAACCAGAAGTCCCATTTAGTTTAGTTCACAGGACTCTGCAAACAGCATAATATGCTATACACACCCTGCTCATAAGGGAGACCATTAAACACACTCCAGCTGTTTTGCCCCCAGTGCGTTTCTAAAACAAGAAAACCTTCCATTTAGGTTTTTGTGGGGTTTTCCATGTTTGATTAATTTCAAAGAAATTTTTCAGAAAAATTGAGACTGAATATAAGATTTTATTCAAACCACAATCATATATATATACACACACACACACAAACACTAGTATGTGTGTATATATATATACACACACACACATATATATACACACACACACACAACACCAGTTTATTCACTTGTTGATTGATGGGCATTTGGGCTGGTTCCATATTTTTGCAGTTGCGAATTGTGCTGCTATAAACATGTGTGTGCAAGTATTTTTTGTATAACGACTTCTTTTCTTCTGGGTAGACACCCAGTAGTGGGATTGCTGGATCAAATGGTAGTTCTACTTTTAGTTCTTTAAGGAATCCCCACACTTTTTTCCATAGTGGTTGTATTAGTTTACATTCCCCACCAGCAGTGTAGAAGTGTTCCCTTCTAATCACATCCACGCTAATATCTATTATTTTTTGATTTTTTGATTATGGCCATTCTTGCAGGAGTACGGTTACTACCTTGTGGTTTTGATTTGCATTTCCCTGATCATTACTGATGTTGAGCATTTTTTCATATGTTTGTTGGCCATTAGTATATCTTCTTTTGAGAGTTGTCTATTCATTTTCTTAGCCCATTTTTTGATGGAATTGTTTTTTTTCTTGCTAATTTGATTTCCTTGTAGATTCTGGATATTAGTCCTTTGTAAGATGTATAGATTATAAAGATTTTCTCCCACTCTGTGGGTTGTCTGTTTACTCTTCTGATCATTCCTTTTGCTGTGCAAAAGCTATGTAGTTTTATTAGGTCCCAACTATTTATCTTTGTTTTTATTGCATTTGCTTTGGATTCTTGGTCATGAAACCCTTGCCTAAGCCAATGTCTAGAAGGGATTTTCCAATGTTATCTTCTAGAACTGTTATAGTTTCAGATCTTAGATTTAAGTTCTTGATCCATCTTGAGATGATTTTTGTATAAGGTGAGAGATGGGGATTCAGTTTTATTCTCCTACATATGGCTTGCCAATTATCCCAACACAATTTGTTGAATAAGGTATCCTTTGCCCCCTTTAGGTTTTTGTTTGCTTTGTTTAAGATGAGTTGGCTGTAAGTATTCGGTTTATTTCTGGGTTCTTTATTCTTTTCCATTCGTCTATGTGCCTATTTTTATGCTAGTACTATGTTGTTTTGGTGACTATGGCCTTATAGTATAGTTTCAAATCAGGTAATGCGATGCCTCCAGATTTGCTCTTTTTGCTTAGTCATGCTTTGGCTACACAAGCTCTTTTTTGGTTTTATATGAATTTTAGGATTGTTTTTGTAGTTCTATGATGAACAATGGTGGTATTTTGGTGGAAATTGTATTGAATTTGTAGATTGCTTTTGGCAGTGTGGTCATTTTCGCAATATTGATTCTACCCATCCATGAGCATGGGATGTGTTTCCATTTGTTTATGTCATCTATGATTTCTTTCAGCAGTGTTTTGTAGTTTTCCTTATAGAGGTCTTTCACCTCCTTGGTTGGGTATCTTCCCAAGTATATATATATTTTTGCAGCTATTGTAAAAGGGTTGAGTTCTTGATTTGATTCTCAGCTTGGTCGCTATTGGTGTATAGAAGAGCTACTGATTTGTATACATTAATTAATTTTGTAACCAGAAACTTTGCTCAATTTATCTATCAGTTCCAGGAGCTTTTTGGGGAAGTCTTTAGGGTTTTCTAGGTAAACTATCATATCATTAAAAAAGTCCACTTTCTCATACATAGAAAAGATTTTTGTGATGTAGGGTTTATCATCCATTTGCCTTTTGACTTAATATTTTCTGAGTCTGGTTCTTTTGGTCTATAATGAGACATTGGGAAACTTCTCTGCATCACACAAATCTTTTCTATGTATAAGAAAGTGGACTTTTAAACCTTCAATGAAATGCTTTTCAACCTCAGGAGCAACTATATGTAAAACCATATCGTCTTCCCTCTTAACACATTGAAAGAATATAGCAAAACAATTCTCTCCTGATTCTGACAGCATATGCTTACTAGCATATGGTTCATAAACTTAGTTCAAAGAATTCCCTGATTACTTCATATTTATATAACATTTTACTGAACATGTTTTTATGGATCTGTTTTAATTTTTTTAGATGCAGTTCTATTCTTTAAAAAATCTAATTTTTCTATGAAAATAAGAACTCATGCATGCAGAAAACTGGAAAAATGAAAAAAATCATAGAAAGAAAAGAATTGGCTATTTTCCCACTAAATAGAGAACACCTTTAATACATTTGTTTCTTTTTGAAAGTTTTATTGATTACATCTATTTTTTATATTGATTTTAAAATTGTCCCAGAATAATCAATACAGTTAAATTCTTTTTATTATTATTATTATACTTTAAGTTCTAGGGTACATGTGCACAATGTGCAGGTTTGTTATATATGTACACATGTGCCATGTTGGTGTGCTGCACCCATTAACTCATCATTTACATTAGGTATATCTCCTAATGCTATCCCTCCCCACTACCCCCAGCCCACAACAGGCCCCGGTGTGTGATGTTCCCCTTCCTGTGTCCAGGTGTTCTCATTGTTCAATTCCCACCTATGAGTGAGAATATGCAGTGTTTGGTTTTCTGTCCTTGAGATAGTTTGCTGAGAATGATGGTTTCCAGCTTCATCCATGTCCCTACAAAGGACATGAACTCTTCATTTTTTATGGCTGCATAGTATTCCATGGTGTATATGTGCCACATTTTCTTAATCCAGTCTATCATTGATGGACATTTGGGTTGGTTCCAAGTCTTTGCTATTGTGAATAGTGCCGCAATAAACATACGTGTGCCTGTGTCTTTATAGCAGCATGATTTATAATCCTTTGGGTATACCCAGTAATGGGATGGCTGGGTCAAATGATATTTCTAGTTCTAGATCCTTGAGGAATCACCACACTGTCTTCCACAATGGTTGAACTACTTTACACTCACACCAACAGTGTAAAAGTGTTCCTTCCAGCACCTGTTTCCTGACTTTTTAATGATTGCCATTCTAACTGGCATGAGATAGTATCTCATTGTGGTTTTGATTTGCATTTCTCCGACGGCCAGTGATGATGAGCATTTTTTCATGTGTCTTTTGGCTGCATAAATGTCTTCTTTTGAGAAGCGTCTGTTCATATCCTTCGCCCACTTTTTGATGGGGTTGATTTTTTCTTGTAAATTTGTTTAAGTTCTTTGTAGATTTGGGATATTAGCCCTTTGTCAGATGGGTAGATAGCAAAACCTTTCTCCCATTCTGTTAGGTTGCCTGTTTACTCTGATGGTAGTTTATTTTGCTGTGCAGAAGCTCTTTAGTTTAATGAGATCCCATTTGTCAATTTTGGCTTTTGTTGTCATTGCTTTTGGTGTTTTAGACATGAAGTCCTTGCCCATGCCTATGACCTGAATGGTATTTCCTAGGTTTTCTTCTAGGGTTTTTAGGGTTTTAGGTCTAACATTTAAGTCTTTAATCTATCTTGAATTAATTTTTGTATAAGGTGTTAGGAAGGGATCCAGTTTCAGCTTTCTACATATGGCTAGCCAGTTTTCCCAGCACCATTTATTAAATAGAGTATCCTTTCCCCATTTCTTGTTTTTAAACCCAAATTATGAGTGAACTCCCATTCACAATTGCTTCAAAGAGAATAAAATACCCAGGAATCCAACTTACAAGGGATGTGAAGGACCTCTTCAAGGAGAATTACAAACCACTGTTCAACGAAATAAAAGAGGACACAAACAAATGGAAGAACATTCCATGCTCATGGATAGGAAGAATCAATATCGTGAAAATGGCCTCACTGCCCAAGGTAATTTATAGATTCAATGCCATCCCCATCGAGCTACCAATGACTTTCTTCACAGAATTGGAAAAAACTACTTTAAAGTTCATATGGAACCAAAAAAGAGCCTGCATTGCCAAGACTCCTAAGCTAAAAGAACAAAGCTGGAGGCATCACACTACCTGACTTCAAACTATACTACAAGGCTACAGTAACCAAAACAGCATGGTACTGGTACCAAAACAGAGATATAGACCAATGGAACAGAACAGAGCCCTCAGAAATAATACCACACATCTACAACCATCTGATCTTTGACAAATCTGACAAAAACAGTTAAATTCTTTCATTAAAATTTTTATGGTCTAAACATTTGTGTCCCCCTGACCAGATTTACATGTTCAAGTCCTAACCCACAATGTGATGAAATTAGGAGGTAGAACATTTGAGAATGATTAGTTCACAAGGGCTTTTTAATATTCATGGGATACATGAGGATATGGGAGGGGGGCAGGGAAGTGCTGGGTAGAGAAAGGCGAGTCCCTGGCTAGGGCTTCACCCTTGGGCCTGTGCCTATGGACCTAGGTGAGGACAGGCACTCCTGCCTTCATGCCCAAATGTTGCATTTTTCAAGACCACCCTGACCCGCCACGCCCCCACCCTGGGCCTGTTAAACCCAAGACCTTAGCAGGCAGACACACAAGTGGCTGGTTAAGAGAAGCAGATTGGTGGAGGAAGATACAAGCACCTGAATCTCCAGAAAAGCAGATTGGTTGAAGAAGAAAAAAAGGGCTGGACGTCAAGAGGTGTGGATGGGTGGAGGAAGATATAAGAGGCTGGACATGGAGAGCACCTGGGGAACACACTGGCAGGCACTGGCACACAAGCAGGCCATTGACTGGCAGAACAACATGGAGTTTGGCCAGGGTGGTTGGAGGAGAGCCTGGCCGCTGTGGCCTGACTCCAGGGGAAAACCATCTCACTTCTGGCTCCCCTATCTGCTGAGAGCTACTTCTACTCAATAAAACCTTGCACTCATTCTCCAAGTCCACCTGTGGTCCGATTCTTCTAGTATACCAAGGCAAGAACCCGGGAAACAGACAGCCCTCTGTCCTTATGACAAGGTAGAGGGTCCAGTTGAGCTGGTTAATACAAGCTGCCTATGGACAGCAAACTAAATGCCTATAGACAGCAAACTAAAAGAGCACCATTTAACACACACCCACTGGGGCTTCAGGAGCTGTAAACATCCACCACTAGTCACTGCCTTAGGGTCGGAGCCCCACAACCTGCCCGTCTGTATGTTCCCCTAGAGGTTTGAGCAGCGGGGCACTGAAAAGGCCAGCCACTCCCCTTGTCACACACCCTTCGAGGGGACAAGGGAACCTTTTCTATTTCAGTGAGATATTTTGATACAGGCATTCAAGGCATAATAATCGCATCATGGAAAATGAGGTATGCAATTCCTTAAACACTTATTCTTTGTTTTATAAGCGATCCACTTATACTCTTTTAGTTATTTTTAAATGTATTTTGACTACAGTCAACAACCTATTGTGCTATCAAATACTAGGTCTCTTTTTTTTTTTTGAACCCGCTGCCTTGATTTTTCAAGATGGAGTCTCACTCTGCCACCCAGGCTGGAGTGCAGTGGTGCAATTTTGGCTTACTGCAACCTCCTCCTCCCAGGTTCAAGCAATTCTCGTGCCTCAGCATCCCGAGTAGCTGGGACTGCAGGTGCAAACCACCATGCCAGACTAGTTTTTTATATTTTAGTGGAGACAGAGTTTTAACATGTTTGCCAGGCTGCTCTCAAACTCCCGACCTGAGGTGCTCCACCCACCTTGGCATCTCGAAGTGCTGCAAGTATGAGCCACCACGCACAGCCCGTACCCATTTCTTGTCTTTTATAAAGGATTAGTGTCTTTATAAAACAGGCAAAGGACAGACTCCTCATCCCCTTCACCATGTGAAGACACAGCCAGAAAGTACTGTTGTGAAGCAGAAAGCAGGCCCTCATTAAACACCGGTAACTCAGTCTGAGACTGCCCAGCCCCTAGAATTGTTAGAAATAAGTTTGTTATTTACAAACAACCCAGTCTATGGTAGTTTGCTATAGCAGCCCAAATAGACCAAGACATTATCCTATAATGATTGGCTAGCTATCTGCTTTCCATAATTTAACTATTTTTCCATTGCTAGGCATTTTTGTTATTTCCTTTGTTTTGCTAAGTTTGAACTCTTGCATAAATCCCAGTCAGCATTTTGGATTATTCTCACGTATCTAGAAGTGGAATTACTATGCCACAGGCTATGAATCACTCCTAATAATGTGGCCAAATGTGTGTAATTAAAGGTGGTCCACAGCCCTCCCCAGGAGGCTACAAGGGTAGGGTGTCTTGAACCCCTGACACCTCTAGTGGGTCAAGATAGGTAGAGGATCTTGAGCCTAGAAGCTTGTGGTCATTAGTGCAGGTATAATGTCACCTTTCCTGCCTGATAATTACTTAATGTTTTTCATTTTTGCCATTTTTTGCTAAATAGTTATAACTTTTTGAAGCTTTGTTTTAGAATGTATTATTTAATAGTTTCTAGGTATTACTCAGGGTTCCACTCAGTCCATTGCATTTTAGAAATTTAATACGTACTAATCTCTCTCACATCTAGGTTAGATTCATTTTTAAAAAAATATGATATGGATACTTGAAATATTTCATTGTTTTTGGATAGTATATAAATGGATTCAACATTAAGACTAAAACCCTTTATCTCAGTCTTGGTTAGAAATGATATTTAACTGCAATAGACAGAAAACTCAAAATAACAGTTAAACAAGATGAGGATTTTCTTCTCTCTCATAAAACAAATCTAAAGGTAGTTAATCAAGATCAAAAATGATAACTCCATTGTTATCAGCAACCCAAATTTCTTCATTTTCTCTGCTATTCTAGTCCATGGCTTTCTTATCAACATGACCTCCTGGTCTGAAACCACTACTGAATTTCCAGCTATATATCTGTGTTCTAGATAGCTGGAAGGAGCAAGAGGAAACGGCAAACAGGTCCTATCATCGAACTGAGCCAGCTGCCTTGTGGAATCTTCCCACAATGCTGCCTTTAGGGAGTCCCACACTACTTCATTTACATCTCTGGTCAGAACCCAGTTCTGTGTTCACACCAGCTGCAACACCGGCTGAGAAACATAGTATCCTAGCTGGGTTTGACATCAAAGTGAATATATAAACTATCAAGATTGTATTACCAACAACTACAAAAAAAAAAAAAAGCTGGAAGGACGGGAAAAAAATCATACTTACTGAGCTACTGAAAATTTTAACCTTTTTGGGGGGTTTTAATCTTTCAAATAAAGATCACAGGGCCTCAGTAAAATTATCTAACAGGTCTCTGCTATATATTAAATGGATTTTGTTTTCCTAAATTGTTGATTAATTTTTCTTCAAATTACAAATCATCTCCTAACTTCCTTTTGTGATTATCTTTATTACAAATTTAAAAATTCATGACCACTGTATTTTTATAAGACACTTTAATGCACTGACTTTCCTTAAATTCAACTTTGTCTGAAATTAATATGATCAACCTGACTTTATTCTTATTGCTTAATAAATTATTGCCTAATCTTTAATTTTTAACTTATATCAGTAATTTTGCTTCCCAGCTATCTCAAAAATAGTTGAACTTTATTTTTAATTGAATATCCTTAACTTAATGTAAAACTTGGAACCATTTGAATTTTCTCTCATAAGAGTTGTGGCTGGTTTTCTGTTCCCCTATTTTATGTCTTTGGGGTTTCGTGTTTCTCGCTTTGCTCACTCTTTGTTGCATATGTTATGAACCTCAATAAACTATGCTTGGTTTGTGTCTACCTTTTCAGTGATTTTGAGGTTTTAATTTACTAGGGTGTTTTATAAAAGCACATATTTAACATGCATTAATTACATTCAAGCAGATATCAGTATGTTTCTATTTTTAGATAAAAATTGGAACACTTTATGTATCTCTGCTCAACTATTCTATTCAAAGTATTTTACACAATAAAGAGTTGTATGTAAAGAAAAAATGTTTTGATAATTGTTTCTATTTTCTTAGTTCTGTAATTAGATACTGGTATACTTTGAGCTCTTCCACATGAGAATATTTTCTGCTGCCTTCACACATGGATGACTGTTCAGTTATAGAAAATCCTTGCTTAATTCTATTTTCCCCTTTAAAATATCTAGATACTTACTACATTGTTTTCTCAAGTTTAATATCGCAAACCAAGTAAGAAGCCAGTCTAACAATTGTTTTTGATCATTTGATTTTTATACTAAATATTGCCTGTGTTAAGTTTTTCTTTCTTCTTTGGATTCCTTTATTAGAGTTTGCATCATTTTGCTGCACATTTGTGTATTCTGGAAGTTTGATTTTCTATCAATTCTAATATTTCCTTTTAATTCTACTATAGCATTTCTAGTTTCCTTTAGCCATCCATCCTTAAGAAACAGACATATTCAGATGTAAGAATGTCATTCATCATTGATCTAAACAAATTTAGATTGTTTTGTCTTCATTTATCATATGCTTGTTTTGAGCAACTAGACTCTAGCTTTCATGTTCTTTACATTATCAATTCTGGTTTTTTCTTTTTCTGTCCTAGACTGCAGAAGCCACATTGATGAAAGTTGAAAGGGCGTGGTGGTCCATTGTATTATATGAGTGGCTGACACAGCATGCAAAGTGCATTAAACTGTACAGATATGAAGCACCTTTCATATCATATGACATATATGATCATATACCTGTAGTTGTAACTTTAAAGAATATGTTTCACTTTATCAAAGTCTCAGATTTCAGCCAAGAACCATAGTGAGAGAAAGGCTAAAGTTTTCTTCCTACATCCTTCCTGGACTATCTTCAAGAAAAAAGGAGTACAACCCAGTGCATACTGCTGGTTCAGTTTTTTGATTAAAATTTGTTAGCCCCCATGCTTCTATAAAGTAACAGAACATAAAGATTGTGAGAACACAGACCCTGGAATCCGAATGTATGATTCCAGTAGAATTTATCAAATTTGCCTCAACCACTTGTAAAATGGGGAAAATTCTAACTACTTCACAAGTTTGTTGTAAGGATTAAACCTCATATTATAGATAAAACACTTAGAACAGTACCTGTCATATAGGAAGCTTATACATGTGTTAGCTGTCAATACCAATTTGTCAAAACACCCCCCCACCCAGATCAATCCAATCATTCACTGAATTTTGTGAGATTCATGATTGGTCATAGTTTTCGTTTGCTTTCATGTGTATCTAACTCGCAATTAGGAGACTGCTACGATTGCTATCCAAATAAGATTCTAAACCAGAAACCAAAGGATGCCTTCGATTACTCCAATGATGTGGACTATCCTCTTACTCATATTTCATCAAGGACATAGATAATCCCCCTCATGGATTTGTTTTCTTAAAGCACTTCTCAAGGCTGTGGTCACCTTAATTCTTCCTGCCACTGCAGTGAGAACAACTTGATGGCAAGCACCATGACTTATCTTCAGATTTGTACAAGGATTCAATGCAGTCCCTGACAGAATCTGCCACTTCAGTTTTTCAAATGAAGAAATGAATCAATGAAAAAATAAAAAGAATATCCATATAACCAATCAAGTTCTATTTCTACCTTTTTATACCTAAGTAGTAATACTAATTAAAAAGAGATTGAGAGGAAATTCAATGAAGTTGAATAAAGTTGCTTAACTTTAGTAGAATCTAAAAGTAATAATAGCAAATGTATAGACTTCATTTTTCTTAAAATACAAAAGAATTAAAGTTAAAAGGAATAAAGTGCTTGGCAAACATGTTTTCTAGTTCAACAGATGGATGGCTTTTCTACTTTTGCTGATAAGAGACATTAACCTAATGAAATGTACATTCCACCTTCATTTTTGTATCTTCTTGCACTTCTGTGAGAGAACTTAAAGTCCCTTCTGGCCTCTTTAGGTGTTTCAATCATAAAGATTTTAATGTGTCTTTTTTTTTCCTTGGCAGACAACACAGCGGAACATATCCAAGTATGTATTATTTCATTAAATTATAGAGACCTACTAGCTTAATTTCAACAGGTTAATGATCAAAATATTATATTAATGGCATTCCAAGTTACATACTCATAACCTACTAACAGGTTACTGATATACACATAGTTTATATTTTAAAAGCTACTCTAGAGCATCTCATTGAAATTGTGATGACTTTCCCTGTTGGGACTGCAAAATGTTATAATTACTAGAAATTATTTCAAATTTTTATTATATCTTAAAAGAATGTAAAATAACTAATCTGGATGTTTTAATAATATTTACATGGTAATTTGAACTCCATAAAATTAAAAGAACTAAAATGAGTATAAATATAAAAACATATTTTTTAAAAATATCATATAGGCTATTTTTTCAGGTTAATTTTCACAGTCCTTTTCAAAGTAGTTTTATTTGCTAGGTTCTGACTGCCTGCCATCAAAAAATATATATTTATATTAAAAATTTTTATGAATAAGAGTCCATTTTGAAGTTATGTTGAATTAATAGAAGTATCTAGTGATGACTAATTGACTATTAGAAATATGGGCTAAATTACGTGAAAGATAAATTTATATCCATATTCATGTAATATAACATTTTCAAAGAACAGGTCCATTTTTAATGTTGTATGTTCAATCTCTCTCACTAAGTAATCAAAGAAAAGCAGTTAAATACCTTGATCATATGTAAAATTAGCAAGGATTTAAACAAAATGATTATAGTTAACATTTCAAGGGTATATGAGACAAAAACAATTATTGATGGTGGGAATTTCCCCTGGTGCAATCTATTTTGGAAGCCAATTTATCAATATGTATTAGCAGCTTAAAAGAGTTGATAATTCACAGTCAATAATTCAGGTAAAGATGCAGATACCATCGCTGATAGTGTAAAATGCAGGGAATTTACTTAAATGCCCAAAATAATAGAGTAGTTAATTAAATTGTATTAGTTTCATGATAGTATTGAGAAGCCATGTTTATGTGCCCAAGAGCTTTAAGTGTTTCTATTATTTGACCTCTTCATCTTGCTAAGAACTTACCTTTAGCCAAAATAACATGTAGGCAAAGATTTATATATGTGTATTTATTATAGCATTCTATATATAATGTCTAAGGGAGACTTTTAGATATGTATATGGATAGTCTACATAAGAGGACCCAGTAATTTAGTATTTTAAAAAATACTTAATACTACTTAGAAAAAAGTTCATGAAATTGCTAAATGACAGCATCTGCAGTATTATTCAAAATTTCTACAAAATATGTATAAATATACAAATGCTAACAGTGTAAAAATGCAAATTAAAAACTGAATAAATATACTAAAATCCAAAGAGCCTTATTCATTTTTGGCCTGAATGCATGTATTTTTCTTAATTCTGTTCATTTTCCAAATTTTCTACAATGTTAATTTTATTATAAGATATATGGCATAAGATATTTGGATTAATTGCTAAGTAAAAGAGTAGGATGCAAAGTGGTTTATATATTTGATAAAATTATGTGAAATACACTTTTGACAGATATAAAATCGGATACTAGAATTCATTTGTGACTCAGTGATTTTCCTATTTCCCTCACTGTTTCTACTTTTAATAACTGGAATTCCATAAGCAATATTTTTCTCTTCTGCATTTATTCAGTCATTTAGTTTTATCAGAATGGTAGTATAGACTCAGTTATTTTACTCTTGACATTATAATCCAATACTGTCACTATTTACTTTGGTCATTGTATTTTTCTAGCTTTGGCTACTGACAGATTTTGGGGGCTTGTTTCTGTGTCCTTTTGACAAGCTCCTGTTGTTTTTGTTGTTATTTTGTTTTTATAGCATTTATTTACCTTCTGGCAATGCAAGATGCTCCAGGTTCATCTTGTGTATTTCCTGACTCAGCCCTAGAATCAGCCATTTCTCCAGTGAGCTCGTTTTCTTTTATTGTAGAATGCTATTTGTAAAGCAACACCTTGTTTTCTTATTGCTACTGAGGCATCACTATTTCTAGGAACACCACAGTAATAACAGCTACAAGCAAGATCTATGGAGCAGTGCTAAAATTTGTCATGAATAGTTAGAGATATTTGTACTCCTGAAATATTTACTATCATAATTTTAACAAGAGTCCACAAATTGTCACCACCTGTTTCCAGAGATGATATTTAACCACTACCACCATACTCCTCGAGTGTAGGCTGTACTCAGTAACTTTCTTCTAATGATTAAAGTGTAGAAAGAGAGAAATAGACACTTTACACTAGAGAAACCTGGCAGACACTTTCTTAACCAAATGGTCAAGGTCAACATCGCCAAAAGTCAGTCATGTTGGTATCATCCCTGATATGACACCTCAATGGTATTTTTCCACAAAATCTGTAACCTCAATCTAATTGTAAGACAAACACAAACGAAGGGACATTTGAAAAAAAAATCTAATTAGTAGTCATCAGAAGTGTTAAGATCATGAAAGACAAGGGACACTCAAGAAGCTTTCACAGATTGGGAGAGATTAAGAAGATATGAAAACTAAATGCGAAATAGTATCCCAGACTGGATATCCCACATTGGATCTGGATGGTATGCAATTTTCTGGAAAAGAAAAAGCATATTAGTAGAAGAACCACTAGTATACAAGTAATATCGGTGGTTTAGTTAACAATATCATACCAGTGTTAATTTACTAGTTTTGATAAATGTATTATGGCTATATAAACTGAAACCAATAAACTACGTGAAGGATATATGGAAACTTTATACTATTGTTGCAACTCGTAGGTCTGAAATCATTTCAAAATAAAATGCAAAGTACAAAGCTTAGACATGGTTCTGATAGTATGGCACTGTCTTAACTAAAAGCTGTGACTAAGTGAAGACTGCCTGTATGCTTGTCATCCTGTGTCAGAGGCTTGGATAAAGTGGACACAGAATAAGTAGACACTACCCACAATAAGTAGTAGTAATAACGTTACTTAATACTAAAGAGATACTGTATTGAAATGCAAATTTGAGTTTATAGTCTATGTAAGTTGAAATAGGAAAGAAGAATTTGCATTTAATAATTACAGGCAGTATGGAATCATTGAAAACTTGAGTGAGTTGACAGCGCTTATGGGTCCGTAAGTGGTTAATCATCTATATTGATGTTATCTAAAGGACATGAAGATCTTTCATGTATTTTTATGAAGCCCAACTTAGAGGAGGGAGAGAGACCAAATAATGTTTTATAGGAAGAGATGTTTTCTGAAATACTGAATCATCTATCAAGTATACGTCTGAGACCAGAGTCTGCCTTTGAATTCTCTTTTAGCCGTATGTTGACTGGTTCAGTATTCTTTACATTGGAGGTTCTCAGTAAGTCCTTGCTGACTGAGTGCTTTTCATGATTCTTAAATCCCACTTCTGATTTACTCAGCTCCATTGAATCAACAATGAACAGATGGAGAAATTGATGCAGCTATTCTAAAGTATCTGTTTAGTTCACTGTTCAACTATATTTTAAAAGGGATCGCGCATGTGTCAGAATGGGAGAAAGGAGAAAATATTTTTCATATTAAGAGCTTGTGTCCATTTCACTGATTCTAATCAAATGGAAGAGGCTGACTGCAAATGGCGGGCCTTGCAAGCATTTCTCCTTCCTCGAATAATTAGAAAATTTTATTTGTGCTTTTAAGAAGCTTTCAGTGGTAGTGTTCTACCTTCAACATTTATCTCACAAACCTAGCTACATAATATATGGCAGTAAAATTAGGACAACATAAATGTTTAAAATCTTGAACAAGAAAGTTGATCTTGCTCTGATTAAATAGGCTTACAGAATGTTTTGCATTGGAGCAAAATTGAGACTATAGTTATTAATGTTTCACATTTTTGTATCATGTTAAGACAAGCTATGATTCTGTCAAGCAATTACTTGAATGTGTTGCAAAAATTGTTAAGTTTATAGCAGTGTGTTTCTAATAAAGCTGAAGTAACCCAAGTATAAAAAAGTCTGTATTAAAAATTCTTCATTATGCCAACTATTCTTACTCTTACGAGTCTAGGGCAGGTGAGGCATTTAATTTTTTCATGGTTTTACAAAGTATTTAGCAATTACTAAAATATGTTGGTTCCAGAAGAAAAATGAAAAATTCAGTTATAAAAACCCAACATGTCGTTTTGCGTCTCTGTAATTAAGGCAAGCCTAAAATGCAAAACTAAATTAAGAGAAACCAAAACTTTGACTAATGTACAATTTTATAACAAAAACAACATTTTATAGAAATATTCACCATTTTAAGACATAATAAAATTAAGCAGGTGTTTGCAACTAATAACTTGCAAGCAAAGAGGTATATTCTCCAAAAGGAAAGCAGAGCATTATACACATTGGAGCATTTTAATCAAATACATGTATTTGGATTAAAAAGATAAAAACTTATCCACATTAGAGGCATAAATGCAGAAATATGGAAAAAAATTAATTTGACTTGTATAATACATTATTTACATTATAAAGTCCTGATTTTTCATATTGTACATATTTAAATCAGATATTCTGCCTCTCACTACTTTTTTCCCTCCTTTTCCTTAGTCATCTATTTTCCATGAAGAAATTATTTTGAATTGGAAAAATCCAAGGGTTTAAATGGTTTTGGCACTCTACTACTAAGGGATATAGTCCAAGCCTCTTTGCCATGCAGACAACTCTGCCCATAAAAAGATGTTTGTGCTTCCTGCTTCTGTCTTCTTTATATATACTGTGTAAACAATGAAAACAGAGCTGGAAAAAGCTCAGACAACATAATCTGCTTGGATATATTCCCTGTATGTAAACCTAGGTATAATCCAAAGGTAGCTTAAGTATCTTCCATCAAAAGACATCCAGAAACTTCTTACTACCTACGCTTAAATATGTGTGTACAGTTTTGTGTAAAGCTGAAGCTGTTATTTCAGAGGTTAATTTAAAAAAGCTTTATCGTAGTATACACACTGAGCAATAGCATTTGAATAATCTTTTTGAATTGGTTCACCTGTATTTCCTAAAAGCCAAATGTATCACTAAATGGCAGAAAACAATAAAAAAAACTCCATGAGCTTTTGTAATACATCCAATCCACTGACAATGAAGCCATGCTTTGTGCAGCTTAATTCTGTTAATGACTGAGGAGGGGGTGACTGCAGGACACCTAAGCAATTTAGGATGAGCTGAAATGAAGCAGTGGTAACAAGGGTCTGGATGTGTCCAATGTATAGCCCCTAAATAAAGTGGGAATCAGGGACAAACCCCACTGACATGGGACATCTTTGTGACAGTAGGCTTACTTAACAGATAAGTCAACATGCAGCTTGAAGAACAGAGCTTCAACAAGTACCCATGAATAAAAAGATTTCCTTCCCATGCACTATTAAATATTTGATAGCTGTATAGAAGTCATTTCAGTTGACTATATGGAAGTCATTTCAGTAGTGGCAATAATCATCTTTTAAAAATATACTGGTTAAAGCGTAAGCATGGCCATAGGATTTAGCAGCACATGTAGTACATATATTCTGGATGAATCATTGTTTCTTGAACTACCCCAGACACTGAATGAACTTAACCTCTATGTAAACCTCATAATTAACAAACTCTCTGGAGGTCTTCCAAAACAAGAATGACCCCAAATCATGGCAGATTGCTCTGGGATGACTGTCACAGACTGGCTCTAAAAGAATTAGCAAGGAGAACGCATCTTGGTCCACACTAAAGTTGTCATGATGCTTTTAGTGTAAACCCACTGCTACCAAATCAAAGCATACACTTGCATGAAAGAGCAGTCCATATCCTACCACACCATGTCAGACACTCATAGCAGTGCTGGAGTGTGAGTGATGCCCTGTCTGGTAGGTGGGAAAGGAGAAGTCAAACTGTTATAAAATACGATTTTAAAAATGATTTATCCCTCAAATTTCCATTACAGCCATTGTTCCCAGATACTAACTTTTTATATAAGATAGCTCTAGGGGTAATAAGGAAATTGATAGGGGGCATGTTTCAGTATTTGTTGGGTTAGCAAAAAAAATAGAAATTATATCAAATGCATATTTCTGTTAGCTATTCCAAAAAGTAATATATGAGAAACATAGTAGTAGAAAGTCATTATGAAGTGAAGTTATAGATGTTTTAGATTGTAAACTTTGGCACTTGGAAGAATATATTATAAACCACTTGACAAAAAAGAGCAACTATACCATAAAACAAGCAAATGAAAAAGTATAAAAAGGCCAGAGTGAAAGTAGTGACAGGCTTTTAGTACCAAGACATTGACTGGAGTCCATTAAGAAGTGGAAATGAGATTGGAGATATACTAGTAGAGCTAATACTATGTACTATTCCACCTTAGTATGTAATTCTACAGGCATAAAAAAGTAAATGAACACAATTTTAAAAGACAAAGAGAGAATAAATGGCCAGCAAGGCAGAAGAAGATAGAAGAAATAATTATAATCATTGCTGAAAATAAGAAACATTTTAGCTATAATTCCTCCCATAGATGTTGAGTGGCATATATTCACAGATGTGGATTTATATGCACAATAAAATTAAGGTGCATATAAAATGTGTTAGTGATAAGTAGGAGAGATCAATTTCTATACATAAATGAAAAACAACACACAGTTTAATTACAGGCAGTATGTGCCTTGTTAAGTGTCTGTAAGACCAAAGAAAACAATGTGAAGCACACACACACAAAAAAAACACCCAGTAAAGCTAAAAATAATTTTAAAGATTAAAGTGGCAGAATTCAAAGACAACATGATATGCAATGACAGTCATATTAATTACCATCAAACAGCTAAGAGTAAGCAACAGCAACAGCTTTCAAGGTTCTGTGTCTGTCTAGCTCCGCATAAATCAGTTGGCTTTGATCCACTAAATAAGATCTAGGTGAATAAGAATGCCTCCACTGCTCCTCTATAAGAACTAAACTTGCACAATGTAGAGCAAACTGTTAAGTAGTCACTCCAAGAGGTGATTTGATAATAGGAAGTTCTAACTTCATATTCCTCAGACTATGCAAATATAGAACCTAAATGTCAAAGAGATGAGTATGCAAACACAGCTTCAAAACAAGCTCTTGTTTCCAACCAGGTTTGGTAGGAAGGGCTATTGTTTTTAAGCCCCTCCTACACTGAGAACAAGGAACTGTCTTTGATCATAACATAACTCTAATCAGCTGAGCTGCCCAGTACACTGAAGTCTCTTAAGTGTTTTACATAAACTCTCATTGAC
The DNA here is from genome assembly GCF_000001405.40 of Homo sapiens. NCBI lineage: Eukaryota > Metazoa > Chordata > Mammalia > Primates > Hominidae > Homo > Homo sapiens. The sequence continues at coordinate 177,769,313 of NC_000004.12, read as the reverse complement.
GGTGCAACCTGCACACCCCCGCACATGTGTAGTGTCTGTGAAGAAGATGTCTAGAGTATAAAGGTAGGAAACGTTATGAACTCTCCCAGTGGAGCACTATCATTTCAAATAAACTTGGAAACAGGGATACGTGGACATCCTGCCCACACAGTCTCACCTCTGGATAGTATATGGTCATTCAAGGCAGTTTCCTGGGTCAGTCTAAATCTAAGAAAAACTCATGTGTCCAGTTAAGCTGGAAAAAATGAACTGAAGCCTACATAGGTACATAGAATTGAGGCTTAGGCTCACATTTCAGAACCAAAGAAAGTTGATAGCAAGAAATGTTATCAATATAAAAGCTGGAAGCAGGCTCCTTAGACTGCTACACTAGCTTACAAGTACATTTGGCACAATCTCTACCAGAATGAGTTCATGGTAATATTAGTGAGCAACTCTTCCATGAGTTGACTGTGTTGGATAGAGAGGGAAAACAACCATTTTAAGAATACCTACCATGTGGTAGGCAGTGTAAGATCCACTAGGTGCAAAAAATGTCTCCTTTCATCCTCCAAAAGCCATTAGGGTAGATATTAGCCTATTTTATCAATAAGAAGAATAAACCTAGAAGAAGTTAAATTGTCAATGTCAGCTGTTGTAAAATAGCCCAGTCCAGATTAAACCCAGTACTATATTATTTCCAGTTTTGTATTCTTTATGATATACAAGCTTCCTCACCAGAACTCGGCTTCATCACCTCAGTTTGTGATAAAACATTCACACACTTCCAACTTTGAGGTGAGGAGAAACATGTACAAATGCAGGGTATTCCTCAAGGCAGCAAGGGGGAACAACCGCAGATGATGACTGTGGTTATAATTCTTCAACATTCTGATTGTTTGTAACTGTCAATTGAGAAATCTGAAAAGGTGCATTTCCTAAAATCTCATACATCGGGGAAAAAAATTTAGTTTAAATTTTCTCTTTGTACCGTAAATTGACAAACAAATATGTCACTAGATCCATTCAAAGCATGTAATCACCTTGGTTCAGTAGAATATCATTTTGGAATTTTCAGAATTTAAGAGAAACCAGAACACAGACTGAACAACTCTTAGCAAAAATACTTAATAGAACACTGCAGGCGAAATCAGCAAAGACTGGAAGGTGCCCAATGCAATATCAATGTTGAAAAATGAATCTAAATAATATATAAAGCTACCAACCCATAGGAAGCAGAAAGGCCGGGACTCGACGTTGCAAAACGGCACTGTACTTTTTAACAGCATAAGTTAGGAGACTCAACATAGCTCTATACTCCGATTTTGATATTGTAAGCCAATAAAACTTATGTGTAATGTACACATATTTCAAGAAAAAGCAAAAAACATACAATTTTATGCAAAAATGTGAATTATCAAGCCAGGGGGCTTAGTTTGGAAAAAAAATTACTATGGATCTTTAATTAAAAGGAACAGCAGAAAAGGGGAAGAAAAAACAAACTCAGGTATCTCCAACATCCTTATTGCACTTCATAGCTACTTTGTGAAATTATCAATTAAAACTACTTAAGTTTGGTGACAACACAAGATTGCATAAATTAAAAAAATGAACCATGCAGTGAATAAATTTTATGAGATAATAAATGTATTACACAGTTTAACATACAGATGCATAAAGCAGTAAGATTTACAGAAAGTATTTCATTTGAAAGATGACTTATGTTACAGTATGTAGTATACAACTTGAAAACAAATAGTATTTAAGATTCCAATTATCAAAAACGTAAAAAAATATTGTATACTCTGATGGTTAATTTTAGGTATCAACTTGACAGGATTAAGGCATACTGAGACAGCTGGTAAAACATTATGTCTGGGTACCTCTGTGAGGGTGTTTCCAGATAGGATTGGCATTTGAATCAGTGAACTAAGTAAGACAGATCCGCCCTCACCCCATGTGGGTAGGCACCATCCAATTGGCGAAGGGCCTGGACAGAACAAAATGACAGAGGAAAGGTACATTTCTTCTTCTGGAGCTGGAATGCCCATATTCTCCTGCCCTTAGACATCAGGAGCTCAGGCACTGCAACCTCCAGATACCAGGACTTGCACCAGAGGCCCCCCCAGGTTTTCAGGTGTGATGGTTCATATTAGGTGTCAACTTGATTGGATTGAGTGATGCCTAGGTGGCCGGTATTGTTTCTGGGTGCATCTGTGAGGGTGTTGCTAGAGGAGATTGACACCTGAGTTGGTTGACTGGGAAAGGAAGACCCACCCCCATTGTGGGTGGGCACTATTCGATTGGCTGCCAGCGCAGCAAGAACAAAGCAGGTGGAAGTGAAGACAATTGCTTGCTGAGGCTTCTGGCTGCCTTCTTTCTTCTTCCATGCTGGATGCTTGCTTTCACGCCTCCTGTCCTCAGACATCACACTCCAGGTTCTTTAGCCTTTGGACCCTAGGACTTGTACCAGTGGCTTCCCGGGGGCTCTGGGGCCTTCGGCCACAGACTGAAGCCTGCTCTTTCAGCTTCCCTGGGTTCGAGGCTTTCAAATTTAGACTGAGCAATGACCAGCTTCTCTCTTCCACAGCTTGCAGATGGCCTATTGTCGGACTTCGCCTTGTAATCGCGTGAGCCAATTCTCCCCCCAAAAAAACTTCCCTTTCATATATACATATATCCTATCAGTTCTGTCCCTCTGGAGAACCCTAATACATCAGGACTTTGACCTCAAATTGAGAGTTACACTGTTAGCACCCCTGGTTCTGAGGCCTTTATGAAACCCCTGATGTCCTTTCCAAGGAAGTGTACTCAAGTAATAATAAATACTCCGCATACAGTATGTGGTATGAAGGACATATTATCCTGGAGAAGCAGTAAAATAAGATCACTACATAAGTTCAGTAAGACTTGGACTGGGCCATGCTACTGGCTTTCCTGATTCTCCAGCTTGCAGACAGCCTATTGTGACTTCTCAGCCTCCATAGTAATGTGAGCCAGTTCCCCATATAAATCCCCTCTCAAAACTGTATTTGTCTTCTATTGTTCTGTTTCTCTAGAGAGCCCGAATGCATACTTTTATTGATGGAGATGACCCCATTAACCGTTGGAAACAGGAATTTTTCTCTTTTGTTTTATTTCCCCCACTTGTAATCGTGATGAATTTTCACAGAATAACCCATGATCTCCTGGGTTGCACCTAATAAGGGCAGACTTTAGTCATGGAACTGAGCAGAACAAAATGATCTGAAATCTTGGTTTCATTAAGTCTGTTCTGAGACCCACCTGAGTAACTAGCCACAGCTACACAACTGAGAATCTCCATTTTGAGATGCAGCATTTACCTTATTAATAGCTGACTTCCCAGGGCATAAATGATGACACAGTTAAAGGTGATTTCACAAGGCTTCGTACATCTCTAAATGTGGACATATAATGTCAATATGTCTGCAGTCAACTAAGTCTCTAGATAATTGCATTGTCAGATAAAATTTTGTTCTGGGAAAATTTGCCTTTCAAAAGCATACTGTTTTGCTTACCTATCCCAAATAGCTCACTAAGCCAGAATCCACAGACTTGAGATATAAAGTCCATGAGCATCTAGAATGGTTAGAGCTTTCTCTCTGTTCTTTACAACCATGTCAGCTATAATTAAGTCCATTGTCGTTATTATACATTGTAGCTGAATATCTATTTTCTAGACCTGCAGAAAAAACATCAGAAAATTACCTTGCTTTAATAGAAATTCCTGCCCAATTGACTTAATGGGGTATAATTCTATAACTATAAGTCAAACTCTGTGGCTCAAGTAGAAAACACTTGTCTATCTTCAAATAAATGGGGAGTTACGGAGTAGGAACATATCGGGTGCCAAGAAGTTAAGAGAAAACACCACGTGTGTTGGAATCATTGAAGATTAACATCCGAAAGACACTTCATTTTGAAGATAAATTGTACTTAGGAGGAAATATAACTTGCTCATTGTTACACAGCTAAAGGTATAACATGTACAGGAGTATTTGCATGTATGTACCTTGACTTCTTGTTTTCAGACCACAGCAAGAAGTGTCATCTACCATTCTATAATTCCATATAGAAATTAGAAACACCAATGACAAGTTTCTTGCTATGCTGTTAGTTTTAATCATCCTCAAAATCATTTCCATTCCATTAGTTGCACAATACAGCACTGGCGAAAAGAGCGATATCACCAAAATATTTATGACTTTCCTATATTGCTCAGTAGACGATAGCACCAATAAACTGGTCTTTGTAATGTGAGTAGTGAGTCTTTCTCCAATGGGACCTGCAGCCATTTATCTGAGTTATTGTAGTCTCTTATAAGGGAAATACACAAACTTTTCATAAGGCTGCATAATACAGTGTCTGAGCTGGTAACAATATTGGGTGTAGTAGGCGAAAAAATTATAGGAAGGCTTTCAAGATTGTTGCCCCATCGTAGACATAATCTGTAATCCTTCCTCATGAGAGTGGTTGGGACTGGGCGTATGGATTTTGCTTGCACAGTTGGGTTATCTCATGTGACAAGTTAAAGAAATTGTGTAGCTATGACCAAGATTCCTAAATCAATCTTAAGGATAATTATCCAGAGTAGGCCTAGCCTAATCAGGTAGGCCCTAAAAAAGGTCTGGACCTTTCTTAAAAAAGGAAATTGGAAGCATGATAGAAATTCTACTGCTGGCTTGGAAGAAATAGGTGCATATTGTGAAAGAGTCCTTAAAGGGAGTCATGCAGCTAGGACTTGAGATTGTCTCCTAGGAATGGAGCATGGTCTCCTTCTAACAGCAATAAAAGAAAACAGATCTCAGTGATACAGCTGCTAGAAAATGGATTCTGCTAATTACAAGTGAGCTTGGAAGAAAGAGCAAACTGATAGGACCAATAGTTGCCTCCAGCCTTAGATGGGAACACAATCCAACTGATGCCTTGACCTCAGCCTTGTGAAACCCTCAACAGAAAACCTAATCATGCCATGTGCAGGCTTCTGACCTACAGAATAGTAAGATAATGCTTATAATGTTTTATGTCACTAAGTTTGTGAAAATCTGTGTCACAGAAATAGAAAGCCAATACATTATAGGACCTCTTTCCTTCCCCACGCCTCCCAAAATCCATAGTAGCACCCTGGTTAGAATGGGGTTTGATGAGGCTGGGCGTGGTGGCTCACGCTTGTAATCCCAGCACTTAGGGAGGCTGAGGCAGGCAGATCACAAGGTCAGTAGGTCGAGACCATCCTGGCCAACATGGTGAAACCCCATATCTACAAAAAATACAAAAAACTAGCTGGGTGTGGTGACGGACACCTGTAGTCCCAGCTACTCAGGAGGCTGAGGCAGGAGAATTGCTTGAACCCGGGAGGCAGAGGTTGCAGTGAGCCCAAATAGCGCCACTGCACTCCAGCCTGCAGACAGAGCAAGACTCTGTCTAGAAAAAAATAAAAAAAAAGAGGTTTGATGGAATCGAGTAGATAAATGACATACATAGTAGCCCAAGTATTCTATCTTACTACAGTTAAGCAAGTAGGTCCAATGGGTCTGAGTGAATCAAACGTCCCCTAATGTATAACTGGAATGAATACACTTGGCAGTTATCAAAACCTCACTTGATATGTTGACCCTAAAAGAATCACTATAGCAGGAAGGACCAAATAGAAGCCCCTAAAACTTCCACCCTCCAGCCTAATAAATCATAAGCAATACTGTATCAGGTGGCTTTATAAAGTTTAATCCCATCCTCAGACTTAAAATATGATAGCATTTTAATTACTAATATATTACTATTGAATTAACATTTATGGTCCCTTTATAAATGAAATTATGGCAGATGACAGGAAAGTAAAAGAAACTTCAAGTAGAATCCCTTATTACAGCCATGTGCTGGAAGTAATATTTTATTAAAATAGATCAACGCAACTTCTGGAACTCAGTATATAGCTATTGATATAATGAATACAGTCTGTTCAAGCCTCGTCCAAAAGCAGTTTGCTTTTATGTGGAAAGGGCAGCAGTACACATTCACAGTCTTGCCTCTCTTTCAACCAGCCCCTTTCCTCGGCCATCTTATTCTACAGACTTGACATCTTATTCTATAGAGCTTCATGCTGGCACAGTGTATGGAAACTGGACCAAGGAATAGCGGCAAGGCCTTTTATATTGGTGAAGTTTTCAGAGGTCCAATGACCTGGGACAGTTTAAGACAGCACCTCCAATGTAAAGGACAAGTTAGTATACCTTGAGCTCCCTATTAAAAAGCAAGAGCTCCAGTGCTTTGACAGGCCCCTCAAGGATTTTAGCGGCAGCCTATGCCACCCTTGAAAATACTATGACTCAATTATGGGTTGGTTCATAAGGCTGTCAGTTTCAAGTGGGTCCCAGAACAAGAGAGGACTCTATCAGGTCTAGACTATGCTGCAAAACCCCTGCCATTTGAGCTATGTGACCTGGAAAAGTCAATGCTGCCATAGGTAGCCACAGTAAATAAAGATGCACTGAAAAGTCTCTGGCAGGGCCTTATAGGAGAGTCACAGTACAAACTGCTAGGATTTTAGAGCAAGGCCATGCTCTTTGTGGCAGAGAAAGATGCCTTTGGTAAATGGCTCCTTTCATGCCACGGGGTCTTCATGATGAGTTAGCATCTGATCATGGGACATCAGTGACTAAGATCAGAGCTTCCCATGATGAGGTGAGTATCATCAGATCTTCAAGTCATAAGATCAGTTGGGTACAGCACAAATCCTTCATGCAATGGTCACAGTACACATTGGTGATCAGGCTTAAGATGAATCAAATGTCTTACAAAGTCTTAAAGTCAGTAAAGAGGATACAGAGAACTTCTATGCCTCTGAACTCTTGAACCAAGGCTCCTTTCTTAGCACAACCTGTGTCATTAAAGAGGTCCCCTGTGACTAGCATACGGGGCAGGAGGACCTCCTATCTGGCTCATACATGGGAGACAGTACAGCTTAATGTTTTACACTAGTAAACTACTACAGACTCACAGGTGGCATTAAAGGTGATGATTAGAAAATCCTACTCAACAAAGTTTAATGCCACATTTTTTTACCCTCAGATGACTTTGTATAGAGGCAGAATTAGCCTAACATAAAGGTGTATGTGAACTCCTAGGCAGAGGCAAATGTCTTCGCTGTTTGGACGTGGTCTTCAAAATAGCAAGATTACGATGGTAAACCAGGAGGTTTGTGGAACAAATATGTGGATGGGCGTTTGAGATAAACTACAAAGTATGAGAATCTCTGTGTCTTGTGTCAGTGTCCATCAGAAAGGATTCTGCACAGATGAGGCTGTCAAATGTGTGGTGGACGAGATGATTTGTTGAGGCTTTCAGCCAGCCCCTTTCCTCGGCCATCCTGGTTCTGGTGCTGTGGACCCACAAAGGAATCTGTCCTGGCGATGGAGACAGAGACGACGCATGGGCAAAACAGCACAGGCTCCTTCTGAGCAAGTCTTAGATGCCAACTGTGGCTTCTTACTACCGAACCTGTTATAGGCACAGATTACGCTGGTGATCGTAGCGGACCTGAATGTCATGAGTTTCTAGGGTCGTGTGACTACCTGCTGGGGATAAGTAGCCTGGAACCTGGAGAAGTCCCCGGGGCGTCTGTTGGTGTTTCTATGCTTACTGACAGCAGTGAAAGGCAAATTACAGCATTCATGACCTGACAGGAGGTCAAATCCCCCAGAGATAAAATTCAGGATTGCATTCTTCCATTTCAGCCTTGCATTCACTAGCAAACTGAACTGTTGGGCAAGAGGGAGGGAAATCCAGCATGGGTGATCAGAAAAGAGATATACTGTTTATTGCCCCTGAACCAACTGCAACAATGAGGACTCAAGCTTGTTGCACACACTTCCCATAAGAAGTCTAATAAATTGTGGCTGGCCACCATCTTACAGGCTTGGTAATGGAGTAGACTTAGTGAGAGATCTGAGCAATACCAAGGGCAGGCAAAACAAAGGCAGAACAGAAGATGCTATTGCTGCCCCTCCTCATTCCCTTGGGCCCCTCCAATTTTATCCACAGCCAAAGTGGAGAATTACTTGTCTACTGGCCCTCAAAATTAGTGTTCCACTGCCATCGCCTTTCCAACCACTTTCAGATTTCTGTTGTAGAGTCATCTTCAGTCTGAGATTCTGACTGGGCCGACACAAATGCATTATAGAAGTGAGGGATAATCAGCAGCACTGGAGACCACCCTCAACCGACACGGAAAAGCTGCCACTGGACAAATGCCACGGCCTGCAGGCAATTCTAAGGAGTATTCTACATGCTTCTCTGACGGCCCTGCAAAATTCAATCCCTGGTGCCTACTAGGATGACACTGATCACATTCTCATCCTTCCCTGCTTCTTCTCTCCTACTTGTTGGAGTCACGTCTCAAATAAGAACTGTGGCCCTTCTCTCAGACTCTTTCAGCAATGCAACTAAGACACCTATGTTTAATGTAGAGTTCCTAGTATTAAGAAGTGCTCATACATAATTATGTATAATGGTATTATTGAACTAGTACTGTATAAATGTGTATTATATGTTAACATTATCATTTGTAAATAGGATTATTCCTATATGAGCTATGGTTTTAGTCACAGATTATATTACAATTTATGCTAAAACACATCTGTCCATTAGTAGGGTTAATGTATACAATTACCCATCTGTTGAGCTGACATTTGTCAGCCTGACATTTAATATTGTCACAAACAGGCAACAGTCCTACTGAGCCTCGCCTAGGAATTCAAAGGAAGCGTCTCCAGGCAGAAACTTTTTAATTAAGGTTTGATTTAGTGAAAATTATGAACCACAAAAACAACTGCTTCAAGCAATATCAAATATCTGGACTGAAATAAATCTGCAGAGTTCTAATCTGAGAGCTTTCGATCATCTAAATTTGCTGTAACACCCAAGCACAGATTTCGAATTTCAGTCACTATAAAATACATTCTTTCTATTCACTATCTTGTATAATCTGTAAGTTGGCAGGTTTCCTTTTTTGGAAAAGAACAGTATTTTCTGTTGTTGCTGTTGTTTTCAATTTTGGATTCCTCAGATTTGCACATAGCAATAATGAAAGGAATTTTAGCTAAAGTTTGTGAGCTCGTGCTATGTAATGGCTTACATATATGCTCTCACATATAATTTATAGTGTCTTTATGAAATACGATTTTAATCCTCATTTTGTAGATGAGGAAATTATGAAACAGGAATACAAAATACCTTATCCAGTGCCCTCAGTGGTACCACAAGGATAAAAACTCCAACAGTCTGACTCCAAATTATTCTTAACTAGATTAGAATTGTGGTTAGGCTGGGCAAAGTGATTCACGCCTATAATCCCAGCACTTTGGGAGGTTGTGGAGGGAGGATCACATGAGGCCAAACATTTGAAATCAGCCTAGGCAGCAACATAGCAAGACATGTCTCTACAAGAAACTTAAAAATTAGCCGGGCATTCTGGTGCATGCCTGTAGTTCCAACTACTCAGGAGGTTGTGGTGGGAGGATACCTTGGGCCCAAGATTCAAGATTTCGGTGAGCTGTGAGTGTGCCACTGCACTTCAGCCTAGTCAGAGAAAGACCCTAGCTCTTAAAAAAAAAAGAATTGTGGAAAATATGTAGAGATAATTCCTTAAATAAGACTCTTTAGGTTTAAAAAGGTATAATTTTTCACTGTCTCAAATACAAGTTGGTATTGCTTCTCTATTATTTCATAACACTCACGATTGAATATTGCAGGACTTTTATTCTAATTTATCATGATAGTAGCTATTTTGCCATCATACTATCCTAACACACCATTATATCCCCTTATACTGCAAATATCTTTTGAGAATATGCTTCACTCTTAACTCTAAAAAAGGAGTCCCAAATCCCTGGGCCACAGATAGGTACAGGTTCGTGGCCTGTTAGTAACTAGGCCACAAGGCAGGAGGTGAGCAGAGAGCAAGCGTTACCACCTGAGTTCTGCCCCTTGTCAGATCAGCAACAGCATTAGATTCTCATAGAAGCCCAAACTGCATTGTGAACTGCACACGAAAGGGATCTAGGTTGAGTGCTCTTTATGAGAATCTAACTAATGCCTGATAATCTGAAGTGACAGTTTCATCCTGAAGCCTTCACCCCCCAGGTCCATGGAAAAATTGCCTTCAATGAAACCAGTCCCTGGCACCAAAAAGGCTGGGACCACTGCTCTAAAGCATCAAGTATTGTGTAGGTCAAAACACCAATCCTCATAGCATCACTCAGTAACATTTCTCAGACTGATACCGTGGTAACTCTTAACACATTCCAAATCTAGCCATACTTAAGACCATAAATATATTGTTTTAACCAAGTTCTTTTGATGAAAACTACTTTCTTCACTATAATTAAGCTATAGAATATAAATCTTTTTATGTGTTTAGAGAAATATGCCATTAGAAAGCTAGGATCTGGTTCTTCTGGAATTAAACAAGAAAAGTCTATTTTTTAAAAATCACTTAAAGAATGAAGGTATGGATTTATAAGGAGAAGTCTAGGCAGCTGGATAAGCCGATAGCTGAAGATAGATAAGATAAAAATAATAATGTGGCTGAAATTTATAAATGCCATTGAAGAGAGAAAACCATTTGTCATCCTGATTTTTCTGGTATATCTTGGAATATGATGATATCACAAAGTGCCAAAAACATTTTTCCCCACTTTTAAGGTTATGGGACCTGCTGCCCTAGAATGCAACTTCTGGTAAAAGAAGTCATTTGCTGTTAATACAATAGGAACTGATTCACTATGAGCAGATTTAATTGTGTAAAGTCCTTTGAGATTCCATGAAATCATTCTGTTAATGTTGACTATAATTTAAATTGAACTAGTTGAATTAGAATGCCTTACAATGAAGAAAATAAATCAACCTATACCATTGCTAATTCTAACAGGGGACAACAGTTTACCTGCCTCCCAGAAGGATGCTGAGTAGCCATGTCAACTCTCTCAACCAACAACAGTCAATGTAGCTCAAAGTGCAGGGTGGATGTGAGATGAGACATTTGAGAGAGAGTGAGCAAACCCTGCTGGAATAAAGATAACCTGGCCTCATATTAACATCAAATGTCTAGAATTCCAAAAACAGAAGATCACACAAACTATGGTGAGAATGAAAATTATACTAAATTGCTAGTTATCTTCTCCAGGAAAGCAAGTAAGACATGGTATAGCAAATTGTTTACATTTGTCATAGAAATGCAATTATTCAAAAGGAAACTGTAAGCACTCTATGCAAATTAATAAAATTGAGAAGATGAGGATATTTTTAAAATCCCCAATGCCTTAGAGAGGTTTGATGGACTCTTACTGAGATTTGTAAACCCAAAGGCCCAGGCACAGAGTTATAACAAGATGAGGGTGTTTGCGGGGAACAGGAGATTCAGGGAAAAACAATTACATTTAGAAACTATTTCAAATTGTGAGATACAGCTGGGCACAGTGGCTCATACCTGTAATCCCAGCACTTTGGGAGGCCAAGGCAGATGGATCACCTGAGGCCAGGAGTTTAAGACCAGTCTGGCCAACATGGGAAAACCCTGTCTCTACTAAAAATACAAAAATTAGCCAGGCGCGGTGATATGCACCCGTAGTCCCAGCTACTTAGGGGTCTGAGGCAGAAGAATCACTTGAACCGGGGAGGAAGAGGTTGTAGTGAGCTGAGATTGTGCCACTGCATTCCGGCCTGGGCAACAGAGCGAGACTCTGTCTCAAACAAACAAATTAATTAGTTAGTTAATTACAATTGTGAGAGAAAAGTTGTTCTGTGTTCTTTCATTTATTAACTACGCTTAAATACATTTACAAGTCTATTTTTCTTAAATCATATTTCCTCACAACGGACATTGCTTAGAATTTTATCAAAAATAAATGAATCTATTCAATTGCACTTGTTTATCTTATCCAAAATATCTCACCAGCTTGGTGCCATACTATTACAGCATATTTCGGATCTCTTTACAGAGTGTGGAAGCTATGGTGGCAGGAATAGTATAACATATTTCTTGAGATCATAACCCAGAATAATCTCATTTTTTAAAAGCCTATGTGTTATGTAAAACAATTATTTCAGTTTGTCACACTAACTGAAATTGTCAACCTCAATATGCAGACAACTCATGATTAGATATTGTTCTTGATGTGATCATTATACGAAAGTTTAAGTTGTCAGGGAAGATGAGAAAACCTATAATATGTTTCTTTGATTTATAATAGTTATTCCTCCTACTTTTCCCGTTATATATTTGATTTAACCTTACAAATGTAAATGTTAGTTTTCTGTGAGGAAGCAGGTGGCAAGGTCATTAGACTTGGAGGGATTTAACGTGAGCCTCTAGGAAATACGCAAACCTCAGACATGTTTAAGTAAGGATCCTCACCTTAAACGAATTGCTTGTTACATACAGCTAACTCCGAGTGGAATTTCAAGACATTAATGTAAGAGAGGGTGACCAAACCATGCTGGAGTAAAGATAACCTGTCCAGTATTATCCCAACGGACTGCTTGACAAATCATGATTTGCCAAACTTAATTCAGGTAAGTTTAAGTGAAATATTTCTAAATAGTGAATCTTAGAAAGTTTCATAAAAATTGGAAACACTTATAAATTCTATTGAAATTAGTTACCATTTACAGAAAAAGTATAATTATTTGACCTTTTATAATTATGATGAACAAAGGGAAAATTGTTGATTGTATATTGTTACTGGAAAAGGTCTATGTAAAATACTCATCCTGGCATTTTAACGCAAATACTTTAATACCACAAACATACCTGCAAATGTTTACTCCATTAAGTTTACCACTGGTTTTATTATGTCTTGACAAAAGGATCAAAGTTATTTTTTTATTTTTTTGAGACAGAGTTTTGCTCCTGTTGACCAGGCTAGAGTACAATGGTGTGATCTCAGCTCACTGCAACCTCTGCCTCCTGGGTTCAAGCAATTCTCCTGCCTCAGCCTCCAAGTAGCTGGGATTACAGGTGACCACCACCATGCCCAGCTAATTTTTGTATTTTAAGTAGAAATGGGGTTTCACCATGCCAGGCTGGTCTGGAACTCAGGTGATGCACTCGCCTTGGCCTCCCAAGTGCTGGGAATATTATAGGCGTGAGCCATCACATCTGGTCTCAAAGTTACTTTTATGATTCACTTATCACATCAAATTTGCTATAGACAATGTAATTTTCTGCACAAAGATTTTAACCATCTAAGCCTCGTATACAGGGTAGTTGAGCATGAAAGATGCACTGGAGAAATCACAGGTGTAACTTAGATAGCAGTTATCACTGCTTTAGAAATGTCACCATTTTATAATAAGCATCCTCTTATTTTAGGATGGCTGATTTATATTCATAGTACCAATACAGAGAACTCAAAAAAACAAGATATTTAAGTAAGGATAGATATTGTACGTACTTGGTTTAATACCATTTTTAATTCCTTAACAAATGTATGTGATCTGTGTTAGCATATCTATCTTTCTTACCTAGATAACACATATTTTTGTAGAAAGGAAATTCTGAATATATGCATGCAACATAATGAAAAGTTGTCTATAATGTTTAGGAGCCCTTTGGAGGAGTCAACCAATGAGTGCAGGCACTGCCACACAAGTTAGTGGTAGAAGTGGGAAGGAAGAGACACAGGATAACTGAGCTCTGAGCCCACCTAGACTGCTCTACATGCAAAGCATTAACAGTACACGAATGATTTAAAAGGAATACAGTCTGCATTCAGAGTTAGTAATCATTTCACTCTATATGAATACAGGAAGCTTTTGGCCTAACCCTGAATTAAAAGTGGTTCTAAGCAAATTATATTTTGCAGATTAAAGTGATAACACCTGCCAACCTTAGGAAAAAAAAAAAAAAACATCAAGGTTGCCAAAGGCTTATGCAGAAAATCACTCAATGCTTTATGTCGTTGTTTCTGTAAATGAGATTCTACACCTATGCATGGACACTGTTTCCATTTCCATTACAAAAGCCACGGGTGGGTAACAGATAAAGCCTGGGCTCCACAATGAGGAGATGAGAGCGTCAGGAGTTCTCCACCCGCCAGCTGTGTCACCTCAGGGAAGACATTTGACTCCTTTAAATCTGTTTTCTATTGGTACAGATGCGTTAATTCCTGCCGCCTGACTTCAGAGGTTTATTGTGAGAATTAAACGATAAACACAAAGTCTAATTTACAGATTATAAACATCACAGAGGTATTTTTACTACGTGGAGTTGAGAAAATATGATCCCACTTTCATTTTGTTTCACTTATCTTTTTTGATTTCCCATTTTCTCATTGATAAAGTGAAAGATGTATACAAATAATCCATGATCTCCTCCAGCTCTGCAATTCTATGACACTAAGAGGTTTGTGTTAGTAAAGACACCTTCAGAAAAGAAACCTAGAGCCTCTTCCTTTTGTGAGTACCCAAGATTTTTAAATGATGCCAAAATAACCAAATGAATTTTATGTATTTGAAATTGTATACTTAAATTGCTGCTGTTGGCATAATGTAATATGTATGTAGTAAGAGCATATATACACATTCTATATGAAGCATACACATTGGTATGTCTGTACATTACATTTTAACAAAACATTAAAATTGAAATATTTTTAATAAATATGGGTTTAATGGTATATTACAGATAGCTTAGTCTGAAAACGAACATGTTTGGTAAAATAAAAATAGTAATATTATCTAAATCTTGTCTGTGTATATTCAGATTGTACAAATAAGAGCATTTAAAGATGAAGTTACAGCTTAATTTGAGACTTTTCATATCTGTGTGAGTCAAATGACTCACTGTGCCCCAATTGCCCAACTTTCCATATCTTTTCCTCCAGCAAAAGGTACTCTTCAAAAGGGGAGTATAAAATATCTTTAGAGACTATTATAGGAAAATCCTAAAATCATCATATGACAACATCACAAGGAGTGTGGAGATGTCAAAAGTTGATTCAGAGGAAACTATGGGCATTTAGAGGTGTTTTTAAAACAACTATGCAGCTTTTAAGGTTACATTCTGAGAGAGAGGGACAGAATATTTGAGGCTTACAAGAAGATAGACATGCGTAAGCCAAACAATACAAGAGAGCATACAAAATTGCATACACACACACACACACACACACACACACACACACACAGAGGCAGTCTGTACTTTGCATAGCTTCAATATATGCTTGAACCTAAGTTACTGTGGTTTACCTAACAGTTTAAATTTCAGTTAGCATAGTTGTGTTAACTGTATAGTTATGTTAACTGTAATTGCATGAAGTATAAACTTTGCTGCTAGCTCTTTAGCATGAAAACTACTACATAAACAACATGTGCATCATGATCCATGACCACACGAATTACTTCAAAGTCTACTGGTGGCTCCTCACTGTACATCTGTTATTTAGTTCATGCACAGACAGTAAAGCTTGTAGTTGTGTTGCCTCCTTTACTCCCAGTGATAAACTGAACATCTTTACAAAACTGCATAATTGAAAAGAAGAACTGGCTAAAGATTCAAACAGAAATTGAAAGTGGAAGAAATACACGGTGGAAATTTTGACACAGCTGTTGTTCAAGAGACTCTAGACTTGCAGCCAGAAAAAAATGCCATAAAGGTGAACTTACATATAAGTAAGGAAAGTGATTATTATTAAAAGGAAGAAAATTGGGAGAAAAGCTTCTTGTTAAAGGAATTCAGATATTATACAACATTGAAGGCACAAAAGATAAAATGTTGAAAGCTGATGCAAACTCAGAAAGGAGTATGACAATTTGTGTAGGCAAAGATGTTTGCTTCATATTGTAAGCTATGCAATGAGAAAAAGGCAAACACTACTCAAAACTACTCCTGGTAGGTTTTTTACAATGAAATAAAACACATTAGTTCTTAGTGTTACCAATGCTTCAAATTACAGTATAGATAATTACTAAACCATTTTTCATTTTTCTATTCATTTATAAGTGACATTGAAGGAGTGCTTAATATTTTCAAACAAAATGTGTACAGGTCATGGAATAATCATAAGTTATCCATTGATTATTATGATTATCCTTCAGCTTCAGTTTGCAGAAGATTTAGATGATTTACTGTACCATTCAAAGCAAAAACTAGGGAGAGATGACTTTTCAGGGTAACAGCCTTCACATGGCAAAATCCTGTCTCTACAAAAAATACAAAAGTTATTCAGGCATAGTGTCACATGCCTGTAGTCCCAGCTACTCAGGAGGCTGAGATGAGAGGATCACTTGAGCCTGGGGAGGTCCAGGCTGCAGTGAGCCAAAACTGTGCCAGCGCACTCTGGCCTTCTGGCCTGGGCAATAGAGTGAGACCCTGCCTCAAAAAAAATAAGACACAGCATCCTTGAAGGGAGGGATTAGATCAACAATTTGTTCAGATTTCCAATATTCATGATTCAGTCTTGATAGGTTTAATATTTCTAGGAATTTATCCATTTTTTAAGTTGTCTAATTTGTTAGTGTATAACTGTTCACAAAAGTCTCTTATGATCTTTGGTATTTCTGTGTTATCAGTCCTAATGTCTCTTCTTTCATTTCTCATTTTGAGTCTTGTCTTTTTCTAGGTCTAACTATAAGTTTTTAATCAATTTTGTTTCACTTTTAAAAAGAAACAACTCTTCATTTATCTTTTGTTTTTCTAGTCCCTTATTTATGACTGCTCTGATCTCTTTTTCTTCTGCTAACTTTGGGCTAAGTTTGTTCTTTTTCTAGTTCCTTGAGGTGTAATGTTGGATTATTAGAGATCTTTCTTTTTTGATGTAAGCATTTACTGCTATAAACTTCCCTCTTACAACTGCTTTTACTGCATCCCATTAGTTTGGGTATGTTATGTTTCCATTTTTATTTTCAAGTCTGAACAGACCATAATAAGTAAGAAGATTGAATCAGTAATTAAAATTATTCCACCAAAGAAAAGCTCAGGACCAGATGGCTTCACAGCTGATCTCTACCAATCATTTAAAGAAAAACTAATACAAATTCTTCTCAAATTCTTCCAAAAATGTATAAAAGAGGAAATACTTCTAAACTCCTTTTACAAAGCTAGCATTACCCTCATACCAAAACCAGATAAAGACATTACATGAAAAATAAACTATGGGCCAATATCACTGATGAACACAGATATAAAAATCTTCAATAAAATACTGATAAACAGTATTTAGTACATTAAAAGGATTATTCACCATGATCAAGTGATTTGTCCGTGGGATGCAAGGTTGATTCAACATATGCAAATCAATAAATGTAATTGATATCATTTGGCTCTGTGTCCCCACTCAAATCTCATTTTGTAGCTCTCATAATTACCAGGTTGTGGTAGGGACCAGGTGGGAGATAATTGAATCATGAGGGTGGATCTTTCCTATGCTGTTTCTTGTGATAGTAAATATGTCTCATGAGATCTGATGGTTTTAAGAATGGGAGTTTCCCGGCACAAGTTCTCATTCTCTTTGCCTGCTGCCATCCATGCAACATGTGACTTGCTCCTTCTTGCCTTCTGCCATAATTGGGAGACCTCCTCAGCCATGTGGAACTATAAGTCCATTAAACCTCTTTCTTTTAATAAGTTATCCATTGCCCAGTTTCAGGTATGTCTTTATCAGCAGCCTGAAAATGGACTAATACAGTAATTCACTATATTACCAGATTGAAGGACCATATCATCTCAATAGATGTAGAAAATGCATTTGACAAAATTTAACATATTTTCACCATAACAACTCTCAATGAATTAAGTATACAAGGAATATTCCTCAACACAATAAAAGCCATATGTGACAAGCCCACAGTGACATCATACTCAGTGAAAAGTTGACGGCTTTATCTCTAAGATCAGGAAGATAAGGATTCCATTTTTGCCACTGCTATTCAGCATATTACTGGAAGTCCTAGCCTGAGCAATTAGGCAAGAAAGATAAATAAAGAACATCCAAAAATAGAAAGGAAGAAATCAAATTAGCCTTGTTCACAGATGACATGATCTTATACTTAGAAAAGTCTAGACTCCACAAGAAAAGTTTTAGAACTGAGAAATTCAGTAAAGTTGCAGGATGCAAAAATCAACTTATAAAAGTCAGTAGCATTTCTATACATGAAGAAACTGTCTGAAAAAGAAAATAATTCCATTTACAATACACCAAAAGCTAGAAGTAAACTTAACCAAGGAAGTGAAAGATCTATATACAACACAGATGAAAGGAATTGACGATAACGCAAATAAATGGAAAGATATCCCTTGTCCGTGGATTGGAAGAATGTTAAGATTCATACTTCAAGCAATCAACAAATTTAATATAATTTCTATCAAAATTCTAATGTCATTCTTCACAGAAATAGAAAAGAAATCCTAAAATTTACATGAAACCACAAAAGATCCCAAGTAGCCAAAAAGCAATCTTGATCAAAAGTAACAAAGCTGGAGGCATCATACTACCTGATTTCAAAATATATTATAAAGCTATATTAATCAAAACCGCATGGTACTGACAAAATAAGAATTGATATATTGAACAAACAAATATGATAGAGAGCCCCAAAATAAGCCCAAGTATCTACAGTCAATTGGTTTTCAATGGTGCCAAGAACACACAATTGGGAAGAGACAGTCTTAAATAGATGAGGCTGGAAAAATGGATATCCATATAAAGAATAAAAATGAACCTTTATTTCACCCCTTATACAAAAATCAACTCAAAATGGATTGAATACTTAAAGACTTGAAACTATAAAATTACTAGAAGAAAATATAGACAAATAGCTCGCTGACTTCTGACATTGGCCTGCACAGTGATTTCTTAGATATGACCCCACAAGCACAGGCAAGAAAAGCAAAACACAGGCAAATGTAATTGAATCAAACCAAAAAGCTTCTGCCCAGCAAAAGAAACAACAGAATGAAGAGACCACCCACACACTGGGAGAAAATAGTTACAAATCGTACATTGGATAAGGGGCTAATACCCAGATTATATAATGCAAGGAACTCAAACTATTCAACAACAAGAAAACAAATAACCCTATTAAAAACGGGCAAAGGACCTGAATACACATTTTCCAAAGGAATACATACAAATGGCCAACAGATATATGAAAATTTGTTCACCATCTATAATCATTAGAGAAATGCAAATTAAAATCACAATGAGAAATCACCTCACACCTATTAGATCACTTATTATCAAAGAGATGATAGATAAGTGTTAGTGAGGCTATGGAGAAAGGGGAATACTTACACACTGCTTTCGGTATTGTAAATTAGTACAGCCATTTTGAAAACCAGTATGGAGATTCCTCAAAAATCTTAAAATAGAATTACTCAACTATCCAGCAATCTCACTCCTGGGCATATATACCTAAACGAATTAAGACCAGTATGCTGAAGAGATATCTGTACTCTCATGCTTATTACAGCATTAATCCTAATAACCAGCATTTGAAAGCAATCTAAGTGTCCATCAACAAATAGATTTTTAAAATATGACATATATACACAATGGAATACTATTCAGCCTTAAAAAAGGAAATTCTGTCATTTGCAACATGTATAAACCTAGAAGACATTATGTTCAGTAAAATAAGCCAGGCATAGGGATATAAATACAATATAATCTCACCTATATGTGGAATATAAAAAGTTGAACTGATAGAGAGTAGAATGGTGATTACCAGAGGTGGGTGAGGGTAGAGGGGTGTTGACAGAGAAATGGGGAAACATTGGCCAATGAATACAAAGTTTCAATTAGATGTCAGGAATAAATTCTGGTGTTCTACTGCACAGCAGGATGACTATAGTTAATAATTACATTTTTCAAAATAACTGAAAGAGAGGATCTTAAGTGTTCTCAGCACCAAGAAATGATAAATATTTGAGGTGACTGATATGCTAATTAGCCTTATTTGATCATTTTACAATGTAACATGTGTTGAAACATCACATCATATTCCATAAATGTATACAATTTGTCAGTTAAAAATAAAACTTAATTTTTAAAAATTACTGGCATTTAGAAATTTACTCATGCCAATTTTATTCCAATATACTTATTTCTGTATCATTTGGTATCTTCATGTAGACAAACCCATAATTAACATGTATCTATGATGTTCATATTTCTATTCTTAACTTCAAGGTGACATCTTCTACAGCAAAAAGATGGATTTAGCAAGGTCATTTTTAGCTCTCCCTATGGCTGACTTAATGCTACACTAGCCATTACAAGGCACATTAGTTTCTTGCCGGGACATTTTTATCATGGAAGTAAGCTTGAGGCCTACCACACTTCATGAATTTTATGTAAAATTCTTTTGTTTTGCCTTTTAAAAATTTCTCCCTTTCTGCTTCTTTATTTTCCCATTGTTCCATTTTTTTTGTACTTGAGAGTGTCATTTTGACACTTTCTATTTCCAATCAAAAAGTTTTATTTTAACACTTCTATTTCATGTGATTATGTTTTAATTCTATAAAATCTGTGCAAGCCCTCACAATCTTGGCATACCATCTACATCTAAGCATTGTGCTGATACGTAGAAGGATGTCTATAGTCTGTTAAATGAAGAAATTTGTCTTGTTAGTCCCATTGAAAGTTTTCCTGATGAAGTTTTTCTTATTGGTTTTGAATTTCTCATGCTTATTAATTTTTATTTATACTATTTATCTTGTTTATAGAACTATGGCACTTTATTTTACAGTAAATTATAAATTGTCATTAATATAACATCCATGTTATATCTGTATCTGAGTTTCATAAGACTTCATTGTCATCTGTTGCTTAAAATCACATTCTGTAAAACAATGTATCATATAGAGAAGTTTTGTTTATTTTATAAAGCTTTTCTTGTATATTGCTTATGTGTTAGAGTTAAAACATAAATGAAAATAAGATATTGCTCAGAGTGTACTTTATGAACAATCTGTAAGAAGACCAAAATTGTGATGTGTAACTCAGTTCAACAAAGATGGCTATCTAAATTGTTTCGAGCACATTTCAGGCTAGGTTTTCAACCCTAGACAGAAACATCAAATCCATCTCTAACTCTTTTGGAAACCTATTATCAAATGAGAAAAAATTTCCTAGCTGACTTCCTTATCTTATGATGGAGCTTTGACACTTGGATCAACTAATAATTGTAGCCGTTTCACAGAAAAGGTCAGTTTTGACAAATGGCCTCTTGCACATGGTGAAAACACTCTTTCACTGTCAGGCTAAGGTTATACTCAATAAATGCAGTTATATAATCAGAAATATCTTTGGATGGACTATAATATACCCACAGGGCATTTAGAGAAAAGCAAAGCTTCATTTTTGTCTTAAATTATCTTCCTATTGACAAAAATGAATACAAATTAATACAAAACGCCATAGGTAACAGAGTTACACGAATAAGCCACTGCAGCTATGTAACGGTAAGTCTCTGATGCCATGCAACCAAGGGTATGTGAAGGATAAAAGACAGTAGAACGAGGACAGTGTATATAAATGCTATTATATGGCAGCTAAGTGGTAGCTAGTCACAAATAAATGAATGGCTTAAAGTAGTAACCTTACAGAAAAGGTAGGTTAAATGGGTGTCATTCAAATTCATATTTATGCATGTCTAATTTGTGGTTGAGAAGTAAGCCTTGTACAAAGTATTTCTAGAATATCTGAATAATTATAATTCATTGGGTTTTTAAGTAAAAAGTCATCAGAATTCATTGAAGAACTTAGGAGTTATGTAACCAACATGTCACTTTTAAAAAGAATTCTTGTCACAACATCACATAGAATAAGAGCTAACTCCCCATTTAGTTTTCTGAGAAACAAAACATGTATTTGATGACCAAGAATTCATCAAAATGAGTGTTTACTGGAATGCATATTGTGTGCTTAGCACTGCTGCGTTATAGGAGGAATAGGAAAGAAAAAAATGGTTGTCACCATAAGAGAACTAATGAATAACACACATGCAAATTTAACAAATGTTAACATGCACTCTTATACTAAGAGTCAAACAAGTATTCCAGGACAATTTAATAATTCAAAAGCCATGAAGAGGCGGCAGAGAAGTAGTCCGCTTAATGGAGGATATTGGTTTTCACTTTTGCCAATGCAATTTACAAAAACTTGGATAAGTAGGAAGAATAATAAACACCATGACAAACAAAAAAAAGAGTAAAATTATGGGCAGTGAAGATGATGTATTTTTGGACAATGAGATGAGAGAAAAAAGGAAAAAGAAAGGAAAACATGGGGCATGGGAGAACACAGGAATGCAATAAGAGGAAGTATTGTGAAGAGGGATTGATAAGTAAATGTCACATTAAACTAGGTCTGAAAATCCAGACAAGTATATAAAGAGTAAATATTTATTGTTTATTTTTGTTTTTGTTGCTCTTAAGAGGGAAGAGAGATGTTGAGAATGCTGTCTTGTGTCTATTAATCTGGCAGCAAAGTGCTGGAGCAACTGCCTTCTTTATGAAAAAATCTTCCTCTTAGATGAGCCTTGGAATACAGTAGAGAAGTGTCCCAGTGGAAGTCAACATCAGACAATTCAAAATATTAGAACAGACATCCAATGAGAATTTAAGACTCTCAATTAAAAATAAGGCATTATCATCTTAGAAACAAGAGCTGAAGCTATTAAAATGGATTACCAAAAAGATGATCAAAGATAAAACACAGAAATACTTGTAGTTAGAGCCAGCATATGAGAAATACAAGCACTATGAAAAAGGAAAGAGAAATAGTTTAATATGCTGCTGTCAAAATGAAGGAGAGACGTTTAAGAGGCTAACCTGGTTAATTGTATCTGATGTCATTTGAATAAAGCCAAAAAGAATGAGGCTAAGTTGGTAATGAGAAAGCAGAAATTTGGGAGGTTTGTAGTTTCAGCAAAATTTTGAAAAATAAGACGAAATTATAAAGGATGAAAGAAACAATGGGTAATAAAGAAATGAGAGAGAATATGAATGATAATAACACACCAGAAACCCAAGATGAGTTACGGATTTCTTCACAAGGAACAGGGAGTTGCAATATAGCATGTCAGTGAAAAGCTATGGAATTAGACTGGCTCCGTTCAGGTTCCCAGGTTTAACTCTTCCACTTGCTGTTCATGTAATTTGTGGAATTTTTATATATCATTTCCTGTAAGCTTTATTTCATCTTCTGAAAAAATGACATAATTATGATGCCAACTTCATAAGGTTATGAGAATTTTTAAAATAACTCAGGGAAATAATATATTTCTTGGCAATTTATTGTAATTCAGTATTATTATTTGGTTAGGTTGTTTGTACTGGCAAAGGAGTCAAGATGAATGAAAATATGCTAGATGAGGGGTGGTCACGTTATAGGAACAAGGAGGTGGATGTTAGCCTTATATTGCATTGGACCTTCTCAATATTTTCAAACAGATCAAATTAAAATCGGTAGTTTTCATTGCTTCCTAATTCTCTGCATATAAAATCCTCTCCACTAATACATAAAGCTTGGAGATTTATGTTTTAGGATAAATGTAAGTTATCTACAGAAGAATCTTATCAAAGTGAGTAAATCTGGACTTGTCAATAGGGTGCAAATTGACATTATGCCACTCCATTGGTTTGACTCTAGTAGCTCACCAAGAACCTTACAAAACATTTCCTAAATTGCTGTGTCATTTTGCCATGCTTAGTCTGCACAGCAACCAGATTTATAATCAATTTTTTGTAGCGTAAACGTGAAAGAAGAGATAAAACGGTAAAGACAACTGAGAAGATGACTTTTCTCTCTAAATCCATAGCAGTTCGGGAGTCTCCAGTGGATTTAGGAATATCATAAAATTTGGCACAAAATATCTGACAATTATCTACGATGGTACTTGTCTTTATTTCTAATTTTATACTTAATGGTATAATGTGTCTAACTGAATTTTGAGTGTTTCATAGTTAGGCATATGGCTTTCCTAAACAGTTTGGCAATTGCTAGTTACCATGGAACCTACGAAAGAGGACTCCATTCCCATCTACGCAAGCTTTCAGTAACATGACACTATGCAAAACAAGGACTACCTACATTTAAGATTTTACATTGTGTAGGTAGGTGACTTAAATAAAAAGCTGTCTCAACATTTAAAGTATTCATGTTATATAGGCTTATCCCTTAAAAATTTCTTTGGAAAATGTTTTGAATTACAACGCAAAAAATGAGGAGCTTACAAATACATTGCCTATTTTTTTAGATGTGTAGGCAGGGCAGATATATGCTCTTGCACTGGACTGAAATACCCAGTGATTACCAATGTACAACAGATGGAAATGCTGAATGCTAAGTAACATATCCTCTTGATTACTGTACTTTAAAGTATGTGAGATTTATTATAAGCCTAATTCTAATTCAATGAATGCCATCAACAGATTGCATGATGGGTCATTTTCACCATGGGGTGTAAAAGAATTACTAAGAAAGTTGACAGGCAAAGCTTATTAGAAAACAATCATCTTGTAAATTTGATTAATGGCACTTGCGAATTCACATTTATTCAAAATAATGTTTTCTGTACATACGGTGACATGGGGAATCTTAGGCCACCCCCTGGGAAAACATAATGAAGATAAGCAGCTTTTCAAACCCAATTTTGATGCTTTGCAATTAAAAAAAAACAGTCTAAGTACTTGAATTAAAACAAATCTGTCACTGAAAAAGGCATTTTTTTTAATCCAATGGCAAGCCAGTGCACTTAGCCAGCTTATGGATCCAATACTCAACTGATCTTAGGAGTGAAGGCAGAGTTCATGACTGCCCTGCCATGGAGGCCTCACGGTTCCTGGGCAGCCCCTACATAGTCCCACTGCCCATTGAAATAAGCGTATCCTCTCCTGCCTATGGGTCAAGATGGAGGGGGAGGCTCAAAACCCTTCATCTATCAACACTGACCCCATATTCTGAGCTATGAAATTTTCATTGCCAAGTCTTCGCTATACGAGCAACAATCATGGGTGCTTAGATACTGGTTTCCCAGAAGAAACCAAGATCACTGATTACAATTAAGCAATTTGTGTCCACAATTAGGCCCCAGGTTATTTGATCAGAGAACGTAGGAGAGAGAAGGCAGCCTTCCGTCTTCAACTACAGTGATTTCATTACTTCAGGCTCTGGATCAGTGCTGTCAAGTAGACACACAATGCAAGCCACAAGTAGAATTTTAAGTTTCTAGTAACCGTATTAAAAAGTAAAAAGAAACAAGTGAAATTACTTTAACAGGAATGTTTTAGCCATATATATTTTATCTTTTATATGAATATGTATAATTCTTTTTTCATACTAAGTCTTCAAAGTCAGTATGTATTTTACATTTAGAGCACATCTCAATTCAATCTAGCCATAATTTAAGAGCTCCGTAGCAAGATATGGCCAATGGCTACCATTTGTACAGCACAAATGCTGATGGTATCTAATATCTAAGCTCCATTATTTAGTTTGTGTTATGTTTAATCAAAACCAGAGTAATTAGTAGTTAAAACCTTGGAAAACATATTGATAGGATACATTCCCTAAAAGAAAAAGTATGGAAATCTGAGTGTAACTTTGTGCAGATAATAAAAACCAAAACATGTCTATCCAAATCCAGATGTTTTGCCCAAACCATAATGCCAAAATTCATTTAGATGATTGATTGCAACTTTTACTTTTCATCAACAATAGCAATAAAATGATGCTCTGTAATTTATCTTGTTAATTTAGCATGGAAATCACAGCAGCTATTTTAGGCCCAGTCAAATTTTAGATACTGAATGGTGTGGATTATACATCAATACTGATGTAATTGTACAGAAGGATGCAATTTCCTTTTTTCCTTTATGATCAAAAGCTCTAAGTTTCTCTTTTAATTCTCAAAAATCTCCTTGTACTTCGTAATTTTGTGATTTACTTCTTGTCTCATTTTTCCTTGTCTACCAATCTTAAGATGAAATCTCAAAAATTGATTTCAGAAGACTTAGCTTTTTCTTTCTCTCATTCTATATAAGAGAAAACATGTAATATTCTTAATTTAGATAGGATTTATATATTTATAATACCAACTTTGATTATTATGTGTACTGTGTATACTTTAATTTGAAACAAGACTCAATAGCAAGGCAAAAAAATATTTTAAAAGTGCATTTTATTGATCTGTAGCTAATATTAGTTGTTTCTTATCTAAAGTAGGGCTTTACTCTTTTGCATTCTAACTTGGTTTTATCTTCAAATATTTTATGTCATAAACACCAAACACTTAAACCCAGAATCAGGATTTTAAACATATGTGCTCAACCCCTTTTCTATTCTACATTTGTAGTTCCACATAAAATTATTTCTACTTACTCTCTCTCCCAGTGGCAGTTCATGATCTTCAGTTTCTAACATTTAATACCAGGCTTTCCTCATCACTAAAAAGCCTGCCTGCCTTCTTCATTTAACATTGGTCAATTTGTATCTATCCTTCAAAGTCCCACATCAAATATTTCTTTGGAAATTATTTTTTTTCAGAGCACTGCAGCATAGAACTCTCTCCTACCTCTGACCTTTTCTAGTATTTACTAGAAGTATTTAGTAATTATTTTAATCAGGATTTTTAAAAAGCTGAATTAACAACAAAAAAATCTATAGAAACAAGAACAAAACAAGCAATGTTGCCTAACTTTCAACAATTGCAGCTGTTACTAGCAGGATGAAAGGCCACTCAGAGGATTGAGGGAAAGGGTGAATAACTGAGGGAGGAGAATAGGGTCTGAAGGCAGGGAACCTAAGCTCAATATTCACTGACTTCCTAGAATTGAATCAAAAAGAAAACCCCACCTCTCCATGTCCAAGTAACAAAAGGATCAGAGGTAACCCCCACTTTCAGCCTGAAGATTAAAAAATGGAGAGGACTTCTGATGGGTCACCTCCTGCAACCAGACCGGTGGTGGGCCACTCCTTCATTTACGTAGGGTGTAACCAACTAACAAATGGGAAGAGGGTATTTAAACCTCAGAAAATTCTGTAAGCAGTGCTCTTGAGCCGCTTGCTGGAGCCTACCACCACTCCATGGAGTGTACTTCCCTTTCAATAAACCTATGCTTTCATTGCTTCCTTCTTTTGTTGTTTTGTTTGGGCATTTTGTCCAATTCTTTGTTCAAAATGCCAAGAGCCTGGATGACCCATAGTCAAGACCCTCCACTGGTAACACAACCATCCTCAGACTAGATAGGAACATACAGCTATCAGAAGGGACCACTACGCAAGCTTATAGGTACCTTGACAGAGCTCATCATTTATGAATGTTTTAACCTTGTACCAATTTAGCCTCAATGTCCCAGGTGAGAGATACTATTGGCCAGGATCACCTGTCTGTCATTTGGCTGTCAACAGTATAAAAAGGGTATCTAACAAAAATATACTACCGAGACTCTAACGGAAAAACACAAGCACCTTGCTATTCCACCTTACCGAGGTAGAAAAGAGTGCTCCTCCTCGAGGAAACCAGGATGATATTAAAAAGGGTGAAAAAACAGATGACGAGTGGAAACACAAATAATGATCACAACTCAGTAGTTACCTATTTAATATATTGCACTGTTAGTTATCCTTAATGGTTGCTTAACTTTCTATACATAGGCTATTTTTCTCATTAAAGTGGAAATTTCTTAGGAATTTTATGCTTCTTAGTATCTTCTACAATGCCTTATATATAATAGGTTCCTAATGTATTCTTTCCATTCTTTTCCTTACTATGAACGTTAGCAAGTATTTTTACTCCAACGGAAAATGTTTCTAATTAACCTAAGTGTGGTAAACATGCACATGTTGACATGTATAAATGTATATGTTCATATTCACTCTTTTGCGTGTGTCAGTTTAGTTCAGTTCAGCAGATAGAGTATACTTTGTAAAAAATAGAGTACCTATTCTCTGAAAGCAATGTACTAAGCTGGGGCCAAAAGGATGAAAAAGATGTCCCTGCCCTCAGGTCCTGTGCTTTTATGTTTTCTGTTTTTAGAAAATAATTACTATAATAAATCATGGTCTAACAACGTGTATTTTTAAATGCTCTCAGTTTTGTTTCTAGAAATTCAGAATGCCTGAGGATTTGAAGGACATTTTTATTATAACAAAGGGGAAAAAAATTCTCATAAAAGCAGACAGCTAATGCTTACTTTAGTCTTCATAGCACAAAGAAAGCTGGCATTATTTTTCTTTCTAGAATTAGTTTTATGTATGTAGTTAACTATAAATATTATTTCTAATTATATTTTCAGAAATGAAAAGTTCACAAATAACGTCCAGCATGTAATTTCACTATATGTCACTGTTTTTTGATTTATGACCTTTCTGAAGCCAGTTTTAAAGAATTCTATATAATAACTATTTGCCTTTTTATTTAAATACATTTATTTATGTAACTAATGATGATTGAACACTCACTTGTAGAAGCTGTAACAGTAAGTATTTCTGGGACCAGAAACCTGAGGTATAACATAGTATGCCTTGAAGAGTTTCACTTTTCAACGGAAATGATAAATCATATCCACAAATGACTAATACCAGATAGTATCTAAAAATTTGTATGAGACAGTTAAGGAAACTCTATAAAGAGTTCATAGAACAGATTTCTGTGCACCCTGCTTAGAGAAGCTTTCCCAGGTGAAGTAACAGATGAGCTGGATTTAAAGGTTCCATTCTAGCTTTCTAGTCTCATCTACTGGTTATCCCCCTACTCCCTTCTTCTCTCGTCTAATTACGCATTAAAATTATGCCTTGCACTGTCTTTAACTCTTTGCTCTTATTAAGGTAAAACTCTAATATCCTTCTTATCATTTAGGGTTCAATTCATTCAAACTGGATTTATTGAGTTTGTAATATATTCCAAGCACTGTCCCATGGAACGTCACTTCCAAAAAAATGACCCAGTCTCTGCCCTCAATGAGTTCAGAAAAAAATATTGTAAAAACAATCACACAGCTCTAGGAGAGGTATACATGAGATTCCTTAACAGTGGAAGTGAGTTGTGGAAGGTTTACCTGAAATTGAAGTGGCTTAGATGGTGATAAGGGAAGGCCTTCACAGAGAAGGTGGAATGGATTAGAACCTTAAACATTGAGTATTCCTGGCAGACAATTGTAGTTTGAATAGCATTATAAAAAATAGCTAAGGAAGTATATAAATAGGCTGTATTCCACCACTGGTAGAGTAAGACTCAAATCCAATATTAAACTTTACCTGACCGGCGGTACATTCTAGCAGGAAAATAGGGATCACACGGAGGTAGTCAAAAAGAGAGCCAAGAAAACTCACCTGCTTATGTCACTGGAAATGTCTCTCTCTATTCTTATTTAAAAAGTTATGTTGCATGAAATTTTAGTTTGGCAATTGCTTTATTTTTGTTTTAATTCTGACCAGACTCTAACACATTATGTATTGTGGACTATGTTTCCATAAGGCTTTTAAAATATGGTCATCTAAAACATAATAAATCCATGTCATTTGATTTTTTAAAATTTGCAGATCACTGCTCATACTATCATTCTATTGATACTGACAACCGTCATTAAGTCAAATGTTTCTAATTTCCAATTTTAAAAAATAAATGCTAGAGTTTAGTACTTACAGAAGTAGACCTGGCTAAAAATTAAGAGATCATAAATCTGTCACTGACAAGAAATTACCTATAAATCACAAGTTGTTAATGCAAGATTTTCTCCAATAATTTGTTAGCTAAAGTATAAAAGACTCAGCATTTTCTCCGGAGTTTCAAGAAAAGAATGCACAATACAATAGCAATAGCACTGGGTTATTCAGGTCACTGAGAAAGGGGTTAACTAGTTGACTGTTTTAATCAATATTGCCTACATATTCAAAATCCACTGTCCAACTGCAAATTATCTACTCTTTTTACTGTAAAATGTTAACTATGGTCAAATAACATGAGTACAACTTCATTTGACCACTTATTTTTATTTGTTTTTTTTTTTTTTTTAGAAATGAAGCTTCGTACACTTATTTCTCAAACACCTTAAGGAAAAATTTCAACTTCAAATAAAGACCTACTGCTAGTACCAACTTATTAAAAGCAGGTGTTTTCTAAATCTTAACAAATGGCAATAACAATTCAATGTTTAAGCACTGCTAATGCATTCTAATAGTAAAATAATATTTTAGATCATTAAATTAGAATTTAATAAAGTTTATTTTAATCACGAGCTATTGAAGCAAAATAGCAAAGCAACTTCATAGTGATATTACATATTGATGGGCTTCAAAGTGCTGCTGAATCTAATCTTTCTCCTTCACTTCTGGATTCACCATACTTGTAGTAATTGATATTGCAGAAATAATTATTCCTCCTGGTATCTTTTATCACATTCCAAACTTACTTACCCTCCCCAGTGCTGGAACTGGTACTGTCAGAGCTCCTAAACCTTGCCATTGTAGCAAAAAGTTAGGGCTAAATGTATGTAGCCAGGGGGACAAATGTGGCGGTGCCATGAAGAAAACAGGTACAATCATAAAACTATGTCTATTGCTGTGCAACAAATTACCCCAAAACTTAGAGCTTGAAAGAATAATTATCTGTCTGCTTCAGTTGGTCACAAGATACAGTGGGACAGTTTGTCTCTGTTCCACAATGTCTGGGACATGGCTGAGAGACTTAAAATCCAGGCCTAGAAACATTTGAAACCTCATTCACTCATATGTCTGACCATGGATGCTGACGGTCAGTTAGGGGACTAGCTGGGACTCTCAGCAAGACACAATGGCCTTTCCGTTTTATTAGCAAGTCTTTCAAGGAAAAGAGAAACCACATCGCCACTCATGGTCAGACCTCAGAAGTCATGCAACACCCCTCTACCACTTTTTATTGGTCAAAGAGGTCACAAAAGTACGCCCAGTTTTGGGAAGAGGGAACATAGATTGTACTTCTCAATAGAGGTATATTACCATTACATTTTAAGTATATAGGATGATTTTCATATGTATACATGGGTATAGTCATCTTTGGAAAATACAATCTTTCATAAGAAGTACTAGAAGTAGAAAATCATGCTGGTGGAATTCTGAATTTGAAACTTGAAATTTTTTCCAGTCACCTGGGAAATTAAAATTAGTAGTAACATTAATTTCAGTACTATTATCCTCTGTGCCCTGTATGTCATATGAAGCATAGTAATGCTAATATGTTACTTACAAGCTTTTTTAGATGGCTTGAGATCAGCTACCATGTGTAACATTGTTTCTCTCTCTCTCTCTCTATACACACACACACACACACACACATATACACACATACATATATGGCTTTCTATACTACTAGCAAACTCAGAAACACAATCTGAACTTGTAGTTCAATACAATCCTATAAGAGCATTGTCCTATTTGCTCTCCTCCTTTAGTTTCCCACCTATCTCCTGCCCCGCAAGAACTACACTTAGTCATGGATGAAGGTTTAATGTGGTTTTACTTGAGACTTGCATCAGTGAATCTCATATTTTCAAACTATGCATTCCAACAGAACATTAGGACATTATTCAGCATATAATCACCGAAAAGCATGAGAAACTACTGTTAAAAACTGCTGAGTTTTAAAGGCTAGTTATTGTTGGAATATGATGTGGTCACCATGAGACCTATAAACTACCTATCTTGTCCTGGCTAAAGTAGCATGTTCTAGATTAGTGAGAACTGAAAATGAAACTTTATCTGGAGTAATGTTCATCATATTTGTCCTCAGTCTGTCATACTAGGGCATCACAGGCAAATATGCATCAGCATATACTTGGGTAAATCCTTTTATAGTTCTGTTCTGACCATTATTTTAAAAGTATCATATCTTCTTGTATTAAAGATAATTATATGGGTCAGTACAATAATTTGTTAGAATCAGTTCTCTCTGTGAAAGTGTTCTATGACCTATTGTTTATAACGGCTTAATAGGTCTCCAGATGTTATAATATTACTCAATATTTTGTCTTTAAAGATCACTATGTATAGATGTATAAGTAAATGGTTCAAAGTAGTTATAACTATCAGTTTCAATAAAAAGAAATGCTGTCAGGGACTTATCTTCACAATGCAAACAACTATTAAATTTGCCTTCTATGTTAAATCATAAATCCATTCCCACCAGTTAACAATTGAGTGGAATATATCAAGACTATTTCCATTTGACTCAAGTTTATGTATGTGTATATTAGTAATTTTGTTAATAGTTCAATTCTTATTAGATATAAAATATACAATATTTATTAATAACTTAGGAATCATATCAAACAGAATATAAAGGTAGAAATATAAAATTTTGGCCAGGAACAGTGGCTCACACCTGTAATCCCAGCACTTTGGGATGCCTAGATGGGCGGATCACGAGGTCAGGAGATCGAGACCATCCTGACTAACATGGTGAAACCCCCATCTCTATTAAAAATACAAAAAATTAGCCACGCACATGCCTGTAGTCCCAGCTACTCAGGAGGCTGAGGGTGGAGAATTGCTTGAACCCAGGAGGCGGAGGTTGCAGTGAGCCGAGATTGTGCCACAGCTCTCCAGCCTGGGTGACAAAGTGAGATTCTGTCTCAAAATTTTTATATATATATACATATAATTTATATATATACATGTAATTTATATATATACATGTAATTTATATATATACATATAATTTATATATACACATATAATTTATATATATATATAATTTCTTACTGTATGCATAAAACAGTTTGGTTTTGTTTTACCATAATTCAAACTCCAGCTTTATCAAGCTATCATACCTTTTTTTAATAAATATATAAAGAGGTTCCTCATGTTTGGAGTTAGTGGAAGGAGTGAGAAAATTATCTTCCTTTTTACAGGCCACATTGTAAAATGGAAGAATATGGGATTGGACAACCTTGGGAATGTGACCAGTGAAATCAAAATTTTCCTGGATCTGCAGATAACTTATCCGACTGCTTCTAATGATTCTGCCAATTTAAAACTTTAGAAGGAATTAGAAACCTAGACATAGTCTTAGAAATTGATAAAAGCAATGTTAGGGGCATGAGACAAAATGTATTAAACTAAACATCCAGGAAGATTCAGAAAATCCAATTTAACCAATATTTATCAAACTAGCTTCATGCATAGCATACAATACTACCTATAAAAATAAAATTGGTCCAGGATTTGCCAATTAAGACATTTTAGAAAACTCTTATTTAAACTAGGCTTCTATCTTAACAGTAGAAGCCTCAATTTATAGTCTCTTTTTAAATACTACAATTATAGGTTAGCATTTGTGTATTAGTCCATTCTCATGCTGCTAATAAAGACATACCCAAGACTGGGTAATTTATACAGGAAAGAGGTTTAATTGACTCACAGTTCAGCATGGCTGGGGAGGCCTCAGGAAACTTACAATCATGGCAGAAGGGGAAGCAAAGATGTCCTTCATATGGGGGCAGCAAGGAGAAGTGCCAAGCAAAAGGGGGGAAAGCCCCTCAAAAAAACCACCAGATCTCATGAGAACTCACTATCACAAAAGCACCATAAGGGTAACTGCTCGCATGATTCAGTTACCTCCCACCAGGTCCCTCTCATGACATGTGGGGATTATGGGAACTAAAATTCAATATGAGATTTGGGTGGGGACACAGCCAAACCATATCAACTTGATAAAAGCAAACATTGGTATTTGTTTTTAGTTTCCATTCTGTGACCAATTGAAAGATTTCCATTTTCAATTTTTAATAAAATATGCAGGAATATAAATATTCTGTATTCACACTGAAGTTGAAAATGGCCAGTCATAAACTCCATGGCCAACTTCAGGTGTCTTAAAGTCAACCATGTCAACAATCACATTAAGTGTAAGTGACAAACACTATAGTTAAAAGGTAGAAAAACCATCAGATTGGATAAAAAATACAGTTTTATCTTTTTACTGCTTAAAGGGAATGAAACTTTAACACTGATATCTAAGTGGGTAGAATAACAATGATACACCATGCTAAACTAATCAAAATAAAGTGGCTGTAACTGCAAGACACTAGACAAAGTAAATTACAGAACAAAGAATATCACCAAAGACCAAAAAAAATTCTTTTTGCAATGATAAAGAGATCAGTTCGTTGAGAGGACATTAAGATCTTAAACTCTATGTATGCAGTAATGGAGCTTCAAAGTACATGAAGCAAAAACTCAATAGACCTGCAAGGGGAAATACATATCTACTGTTACAGTTAAAGATTTCAATAGCACTCTTTCAAAACTTGATAGAACAAATATATAATTCCATAAACGTATGGAAGTCTTGAACACTACCAACCAAATCAAAGAAATTGACAGTTTTGAAAGCAGGATCTCAAAGATATTAGCTCACCCATGTTTATAACAGCATTATCACAATGGCCAAGAGGTGAAGCAAACCAGATGTCCACTGATGGAGGAATGGATGAATGAAATATGGTATAAACATACAATGGATTATTCAACCTTAAAAGGGAAGGAAATCTTGTTACATGCTACAACGTGAATGAACCTTGAGGACATTATGCTAAGTGCAATAAGCCAGCCACAAAAAGACAAATACGGTATGATTCCATTTACTTGAGGTATCTAGAGTAGTCAAACTAATAGAAATAGAAAATAAAATAGTGGTTGCCAGGGCCTTGCGGGGGGTGGGGAAGAGAATGGGAAGTTGTTCAACAGGTATAGGATTTCATTTTACAAGATGAAAAAGTTCTGGAGATCTGTTTCACAACAATGTGAATATACTTAACACTATTATCTGTACACTTAAAAATGGTTACAATGGTAAAAAGAAAAAAATGACAATTTTAGAATCCAATTAACAGCAGATTACACCAATTCTTTAAGAGTACATGGAACACTTACTGAGATATAGAACATCTAGGGCCATAACACAAGCCAACAGATTTAAAATAACTC
This sequence comes from Homo sapiens, assembly GCF_000001405.40. Classification (NCBI taxonomy): domain Eukaryota; kingdom Metazoa; phylum Chordata; class Mammalia; order Primates; family Hominidae; genus Homo; species Homo sapiens. The sequence goes on along the minus strand of NC_000004.12, from coordinate 177,734,349 downwards.
AATTAGTGCAAAGTATGTTCTCTGACAATTGAATTACAAGTCATTAATAGAAAAGTTCTCATGAAAATTCCTAATTAAATATTAAAACACCACACTTCTAAGTAATATGTGGATCAAAGCAGCTATCAAATTGGAAGTTAGAAATTTTACTGAATGCCAATGAAAGCACAAAATGTCAGAACAACTAGAATGTCACTAGATGTAAGTGTATAGGCATAAATTTGAAGAAGCCATATTAGAAAAAAGTACTCAAATTTATGACCACATGTGCTATTTTAAGAAGTCAGAAAAAAAACAAGCCCAATAAAGCAAAGGAAAGGAAATATTAATGATCAGAACAGAAATACATGATAGAAAAAGAAAAATTGGGGGGAAAAACAACAACAAAAATCAATGTACCTGAAAACTGTCTCTAGAGAGGAAAAAAAATCTGATAAAACTTGAGTCAGATTTGCCAGGAAGAAAAGGTAGGGAGGAATAAGATCCGAATTAACTATACCAAGAATAAAAAATAACAGTAGTTCATATTCTATGTATTAACAGAATTTTAAGGTAATCATATGAAAAATGTATGCCAAAATATTCAACAACTCCAATATAATGTGAATGACAAATTACTTCAAAAACAAAAATAATTGATAAAAGTCTCATATTAATTTTAAAAAGGGAATTTAAAGCTTTCCCACAAGGAAAATTATATGCTCATATTAAATACTTCATTGAACTCTGCCAAACATAAATGGAAGAGGACAGAATGCTTCCCAGCACGTTCCGTAAGGCCAGAATTACTCTGATGCCAAAAGCAGACATTTCCAGAAAAACTACAAACAAGTACTCCCAATGAACATAAATGTAAAGTTTCAAACAAAATTTTAATATATAAGAATCTGAAAATATATATGATGTTTGATTTTACGTTTGAAGAGAAATCAGTATTATTCACCATATTAACAAACTGAAAAGAAAAACTATATGATAACCTTAAACTCAGAAAAAACATTTGAAAAAATCCAACATTTAGTCCTGATAAAAACTTTCAACAAAGTAAGAATAAAAGGGAAATTATTCGATATTATAAAGGACATCTACAATAAACCAACATCTACCATCGTAATTAATGGTGAGAGACAGCGTGCTTTCATCCTAAAACGAGCAAGCAGATAGAAATGTCTTCTCTCGCTGCTTCTATTTAACATTGAACTGGACATTTTAGCCAGTGCAAAAAGTCATCAAAAAATAAAAAGACATACACATAGAAAAGGAAGAAATAAAACTCTCTTCATTCACAGATGACACTTGTGACTTTGTAGAAAACCTGATGCAATCTACAAAAAGCTATCAAAATTAATAACTAATTTAGTAAGGTGGAAAGATAAAAACAAATCAAATATCTCCACATACTAGCAGTGGACACAACTGACAATTTAAGAAACATTTAGATTGCATCAAAAATGAGATTCTTACAAATAAATCTGACAAAAGATATACAAGACATGCACTAAAAATAAAACATTGCTGAGAGAAATTAAAGAATACTTAAAGGGAGAGATGTGCCATTTTTATAATTCTGATGACTCAATTTTCTTAAGATGTAAATTTCCCCAGAGGGGACCTAAAGATTCAACACAATTTCAATAAAAATAAAAATCTCAACAGAATTTTTGTAGAAATTGACAAGGTGATTCTATAATTCATATGAAAACCAAAGGAACTAGAATAGTCAAAATAATTTTAAAAGAGAACAAAATTATAGGATATTGATTGCAACACTTAAAAAGTTACAGTAATTGTATTAGTCAATTTTTACACTGTTATAAAGAACTGCCCGAAACTGGGTAATTTATAAAGGAAAGAGGTTTAATTGACTCACAGTTCTGCATGGCTGGGGAGGCCTCAGGAAACTTGCAGTCATGGTAGAAGGCAAACCAGAAGAAAGGCACCTTTTTCACAGTGTGGCAGGAAGCAGAATGAACTCGGGAGGAACTAACAAACACAAAACCATCAGATCTCGTGAGAACTCACTCACCATCAAGAGGACAGCATTGAGAAAACCACCCCCATGATTCAATTACCTCCACCTGGTCTCTGCCTTGACAGGTGGGGCTCATGGGGATTACGGTGATTACAATTCAAGATGAGAGTTTGGGTGAGGACACAGCCAAACCACATCAGTAATCAAGACTGATTTAATTGGCATCAACATAGAAAAGTACATCAATAAAACAGAATAGGGGGCCCAGAAATTGACCCACAAATACAATTTTTGTCAAAGCAATTCAGTGGTAGGAGGATTGTGTTCAATGAACAGCACTAGGAAAATGGTAAGTCCATATGGAGAAAAAAATGAACTTTGTTCTATATCATGTAAAATATACGAAAAGTTGCTCAAGAAATGTGGGAAATATTTGTGAAAATTGGTTTACAGAGGTTTGTTAAAAATATGAGTCTAAAACATAATCAAATAAGGAATATATGGTTAACTTAGCTACATTCAATTTTTAAATTTTTTTGATCCTCAGAATACACTGCTAAACAGGTAAAAAAGGCAAACCACAGCCTAGCAGAAAATTGAGGCAAATCATTAACAAAGGACTTGTATCTAAAAAAATATAAAGCATGCTCAGACCAATAATTTTTTAAAAAACAACTCAATATAAAAGTCGACAGACTATTTGAACAGATATTTCACCCAAGAAAACATACAAATGGCAAATAAATACATAGAAAAGATGCTTAACATATTAATCATTAGGCTAATGCAAATTAAATCCACAATGCTATATCAATAAACATCTATTAGATTGTCTAATTTTAAAAGACTGACAATACCAAGTGCTGTCAAGAACACAGAACAACTGAAACTGAAAGATTGGTGGCAGCAATGTAAACAACTACAACCATTTTGTAAGACAACGTAAGCTTCTTAAATTTAAACATCTACCTATCATATGATGGAGACATTCTACTCCTAGGTATTTACCCAAGAGGAAAAAAAGCATGCATCCATATACAAATTGGTATACACATGGCCATAGCAGATTTATATGTAATAATCAGAAACAGGAAACAACACAACTGCCCATCATTAAATGGATTAACAAATTTTAGTATATACCTATCATGGAAGACTGCTTAATAGTGAGAAATATTGAACTATTGAAACACAAGAGCATGTATGAATTGCAAAATAATTATGCTAACTGAAAGAAGCCATACTTCGTGGCTTGATTTATGCAAATGTTGAGAAAACACAACTAATCTATAGAGAAAGAAGCAGATCAGTGGTAGCCCTGGACATGGGTGGGGGAAGAAAAGATATAAGAAAGGGGCACGGGAAATCTTTGGGGATTATGGATGTACTCACTCTTGATTATGGTGATGGTTTTATGGGTGTATACACGTATCAAATCTTATCACTTTATATGCCTTAAGTACATGCAGCTTATTTTATGTCAGTTATATTTTATAACTAATGAAAATACATAAACTCATAGGCCATTGTTTAAGATATTTGTTAAAATTTGTAACATACTGAAGATGAACAGTAGGAAGGGATGCAAATACCAATGACCAATATTCTCTCTAGTTATATTAGATAAAATAAATATTTTATCAGTTTCATTAGGAGCTAAAAAACAGAAAAACAAATCTACACCTTTGAAAGGGATTACATGTTTGAGTCTAAGTTAGTATTTTGTTTGATTTTCAAATTGAAGGTAAAACAAAACGGGCTTTTGGAAATATCCAAAATTGTTTAAACTTATTAAGTGACCACGAAGGTTCGATGACAATGCATACAATCGGGAGAAAGGAGATGTTAGTGGGGTGAAAAAGGATCTGCAATTATAATAATCTAAAATTTTGAGTATTTTCCAAAAGTTATATTTACAAGCCATGAACTCTATAAATATATGGCAATCAAATTCAGTGACTTTGAAAGAACCGAGGGAACTTGTTTGGATCCAAGAGGATCTAGAGTCTAAAAAATTGATTGAATCTTGCATAGAATTTTTTCAAACAAGAAATTTGGAGTTTAAAGAAATTGGATTTATTGTCTACAATTATAACTGATAGTAACTACTGGCAGAAGCAAGCTACAACCCATTCCCTTTATCCAATGCCATTTGCAGTGTATTAACAGTTCAGCGGACGTTAAAGAATCTGTTAAAAGCTCAAAGGCAGGGAGAAGAATCCGTTGATCCTAGAGCTCTCAAAGAATGACAACTTGGTAAAGCTACTCACCAAATAGCAAATAAAATGAGATGACATATGAAGTTTAGGTTTTGGACATTTTTGGTTCTGGGAGTACCAGAGGAAGAGTAAACTCACTCATTTGCTCTCCTGCTAGTAACTGCACACCTGTTTTCTTTGACAATTTATCTCTTCTCTCCTAATTATCTGTGTAATTTGGCTGGAACTGACGCAACTCTCTGGCATCAAGCATGGTGCTAGACTTGGCAATGGGATTAGCATATTCTCTTAGCTTTTTGTTGTTGTTTTGGGTTGACAACCTGGCTCAGAACCAAGGGCCAATCATCAGAATCACGTTGTATTAACTCTAGTCACTCTTATCAGAATTTTTGGGTAAGAAGGCTTCACACCCCTTTCCCACTGTGGCAGATAAACTATGCAACCAAATCTGAGCCGCTAGTAATATTCCTTGACTTTTTTTTTTTTTTTTTTAGATGGAGTCTTGCTCTGTCACCAGGCTGGAGTGCAGTGGTGCCATCTCAGCTCACTGCAGCCTCCACCTCCCTAGTTCAAGCTATTCTCCTGCCTCAGCCTCCCGAGTAGCTGGGATTACAGGCACTCACAACCACACCCAGCTAATTTATGTATTTTTAGTAGAGACAGGATTTCACCATGTTGGCCAGGATGGTCTTGATCTCCTGACCTCGTGATCCGCCTGCCTCGGCCTCCCAAAGTGCCGGGATTACAGGCGTGAGCCACCACTCGTGGCCGTAATATTCCTTGACTTTATAGAGGGAGTCCATCTACAGAGGGAGAAAATAAACCTAAACTACAGAGGAAATACTAGAAATGGAGAGAAAACGCACCCTTATGAAAATATTTGAGTCTCCTAAATTTATCCAACTTGATCTGAGTTTCTGACATTAACAACCAAAATAATAGACTAAAACAAAGTGTTTATAATATTTTCAAACGTTGTATTAAGCTTCACATCTAATATTTTATTTCCCAAATCGCCTAGAATAAGGATGGGAGTTATATTTACTAAATATTCTACTACTTAGAGATCCGAGTTTCAAGAAAAGAACGAATTATACTTTAAAAGGCAGATGTCAATTAAGTCCACTTCATCTTGACATACTTTAATTAGAAATCTTCGGCTCGTGATGACGTAAGGGAAATTTCTGAGTTTGAAGAGTGCTCATGAGAGCATCTGTTAGGTCTAGGGTGAGGTTCCAGCCCATGCTGAGGTCCGAGGGGAGTGGGTGGATGAACGCCAGATAGCTTCAAGAACACTCACGGGCCATAGGCAGGTGAATACGGTTTCTTCAGCAGCTTACTTCCATTAGCTCTCTCACACTCTGCTCTGTCTCGGCTGCTTGAGCCGGCCATTTCCACGCACAGCTGCGCGGCCAGCTCTCCCTTTTCTTCCGGGTCAGAAGCTTAACTCTTTCCTGGTTCCTGGCTTCCCCCTGCCCGCCTTCAAGACGGACAGCTTTGGCTCGCTCTCTCGTTCTCTGGGCACCAGCGCCATGTTGAGCCATGTTATGCCAAGCCGAGCCAAGCCACGCCCAAGAGCCCCTGCACAGCATCAGCAGGGCAGTTATACCTTTTACAAACAATAGGGGCATAGAGCCAAGTATGAGCTTACAGAAACAGGTTATATAACAAGTAGAGGTGTGTGCCTGTGCACCAGTCCCGCTGAGTCATGCAGGCCGGGATGTCTGCCTCGGCCCATTCCTTGACCAAAGCACATCCGTGTAGCTTACAGCATTCACAGCCTCAGCTGAAAGCTCTGGTTTCTAGCTTCCTTTAAAAAAAAAAAAAAATACTGGGAGTTTTCTTATACAAGTCTCCTAAATGTTTTGTGGTGTATAAGCCAAGCTTCTAGGTAGCTTATCTACCATATTACTAGAAACAGTTCTATGTTCAGCTTTTTACATTTTCTTTGATAATCACATAGATATTTTTAACTCTTAAATTTCCTTTAAGTTGAATATGGTTATTTCAAGTGACTATTATTGCCTGGTAAAAGTTATAGTACATAATACAAAGCTAAACAGTGATTATTGTAACTATTGGCGATTATGAATGGTATGGGGATTTGTCCCAGTGAGATTGTGGCACTTGCTGAATGTACCAAAACACATCATGCCATAACATTATGAATGTTATTTTATTCAACTCAAAAATAAAATATAAGCTCTGGATACAAGTGACTATGGAAAGTGGAATAAAAAACGAAATTCTCTGAACATTCTGGATATATTTGCCTTCTCTTTCCAATTGCCAAAATAAGTCTCGTCTAATCAGTTAATGATAAATTGATCCCTCATTGTCTGTTGGCACTGAGAGCATTCTCCTAAGTATAAGCTAGTATCTCCTTGAAATATGTTCATCACCACAATTAAAATGTAAAATAGACTCACTTTTTAAATGAGGATAATCACCGCCACTTTCACTATACTACCCTGTCCATATCAAGAATATTGCTACTTTTGAGTTATCACTCCCAGATGTTCCAAACGAAGTTTGCTGCAGAGAAAAATTATGAAAAATTCAATCATAGACCTAATTTCTTAAGAAAAATAACAGATTATAGATAACAATTGAATTAGGCCATTAGCAGCTAATAGAGTGATGGTAGAATCAGATAATCTACATTAGTAATAGACAAAAATCATCAACTGAAATCAGGGACGGCAGGATTGATAAGTGACACAGTGTGTGTGTGATTCTGGAGTATGCACAGCGTAGGACTTGGTCAAACAAACAAATGAAAACAGAGGAAGAGAGGTAACCATGAAGGAAAGAATCTTCATAAGGCCTGTATCTCTATAATAACAAGAGGCGTTCTGTCAAGGACACCTCGCAATGAAGAATTATGTCCGTTCTACCAGCAGTCAGAACTATTAGAACTTTTAACCTGGCTTAGATGTTTTAAACATTAAATTTTCACAAGGAAGCCTGAAAATTAAAAACAGATCTGTATTCACCTAGTCCCAGACAGCAGTATTCTCTTCTATTTTCTGAAGGGTTTGTCCCAGTGAGATTTTGGCACTTGCTGAAATCTGCCACTCACTGAAAACTGCTGCTAAAATATATATAAAGCAAGCACTGAAATCTGCCACTAAAATATGTATAGAATCTATAGATTGCTGTAACCTCAAGATGATGATTTAACCCCTCTCTGGCAAGTGGAATATAAGGTCATGTCTTTCCTCGAAATGAGTACCCAAGATTTGTAGGCACTCTGAATAATTCAGGTATCATGTCACAAGTGAAAAAGAAGGTATAAAAATTTAGTTATTATAATTCATTAATTTAGGGCTAATTCTCCCTTGATCAGTCAATGCTAAGACTTACAACCCACATTTCACTCAAAAATATGAAGCTTATATCAGGAATTCTGTAAGTGTATCCAGTCTGATTTATAAAGAATAGACTGTCATTGTATAAAAGTAGAGCCTATGAGGACGTATTTTTAGACCTGCAGTATTCAGGTGAAAAATTATAATACCTTCCAAGGAGGTAGTGGAAGCAGATATAGTGAAAAGTGACTTAATTAACTAAGCCTGGATTTCAGGGGGAGAAGTTTGTTCTGAAGATATTTAGTGCCATCAGCTTCTACGTAGTATGTAAAATGATAGAAAAAGATAAATAGACTTACAGGAAGTAAGTTCTAACTTCCTTTTCTTAAACTCAATTTTAATTTATTCAAACTAGAAACAAATTGAAGTTTGGGAAAACAAAAGTGTGGTATGTTGGAAAGCAAGCAGTGAAATGAGTTCAAGAAAGAGGCAGTGAGTCACTAAAGTCAAGGACTATGACACAATCCGTGTATTTGACAAGGTAGGGGTCACAGACAACATTGGTTTTGTGGTTTCAGTGGAGAGGTGGGAACAAAGCCTTGCACGAGTGAGTTAAAGAAGAAAATAGGAAAAAGAAAACAAGTACAGGCAATTCTTCTGACAACTTTTGTTATGAAAGGAAGTAGACTGACAACGTTTAAGAGGAATGTAGGCAACTAATATGTGTGTATATAATTTTGTTAATGTCTTGTGCCATAATATTCACATAAATAGTGTAATGCTCAAAGTATTCAATTTTACCTTGCTTTTTCACTCAAAAATTTATATTTTGCTGTATTCATATTGATGACCGTAGGTATAATTCATTCTTTTAACTGATGATAATTTTCATTTTATGGTTGTGTGACATTACTCTGGTGCTTTTCATAGATATATAACATTTCTTCACTTATCTGCTGTTATGGTACTGGTGCAATAAACATCTTTGTAATGCCATTTTATTTACCGTAATTAATATTTTCAAAATTTTACATGTGGAATTAAAGTAGCTGAATCATAGATTGTATATTTTTAATTTCACTAGATTTTGCTCATTTTTATTTAGTGTCCACAACTATTTTCTCCCTGTTGGTAATATATGACACCTTAGCCTTATCCTCGCCACCACTGACATTATCAGACATTTACTTTTGCCAAAAAAAAATTTCTTTGTAAATTTCAGTTTCTAAATGTGTGGTTATGCTGAGAATTGCTTCATATGAATTGGCCATTTTTATTTTCTCTCAGTGAATTGCCAATTCAGATTCTTTTCTCACTTTTTGGGGTGGGGAGTTCTTATTGCTTCTAGTTCTTGATTTTCAGCAATTACATGCTTCTACACAAATTGTCTGCTATATCCACTTTGATTATTTGCTCCTAAAAACTAGTCTCATTGAGATAGCTTAAGACTATCTGCTATGAGGTTATGAAGGCTTATCAGCCTCCCTGTGCTCAGGACTGCTCCCACTTTTATTGGATGTCATGTCTCCAGTGCCGTGGCTCACAGTGACGCAGGGAGTGTGCAGGGAGCCAGCAGTTTGACTGGGTCCACTGCAATGCCTAAACTAATCTCCCTGGCAGGTGCTCCGAGGCCTCCCCTGCTTCTAGGATCCACCACTTCCAGGCATATATCTCCTTTAATATGACCACCATCTTCTGTGATTTTCTCTCCTGCAGGATCTCATGCTGCCATGTTATTCTTCAGTAAACCCTCACCTACTTACACTCTCTCGAGAATTCCTCACAGATGCAGCTCCTTTGAGAAATCTTTCTCTTTGACCACAGCTTGTGTGTATGTTTGTGTTCTAACGTTATATATTTACATAGTTGGAATAAGAGAAGAGACTGCAAAACACACAGCCAGCTTGTCCTGGTTCTGACAATGCCAGAACATCTTGCCAGGTAAAAAACAGCCCGAACAGCCGGGCGCGGTGGCTCACGCCTGTAATCCCGGCACTTTGGGAGGCTGAGACGGGCAGATCACGAGGTCAGGAGATCGAGACCATCCTGGATAACACAGTGAAACCTCGTCTTTACTAAAAATACAAAAAATTAGCCGGGCATGGTGGTGGGCGCCTGTAGTCCCAGCTACTCGGGAGATTGAGGCAGGAAAACGGTATGAACCCAGAAGGCAAAGCTTGCAGTGAGCAGAGATCAGGCTACTGCATTCCAGCCTGGGTGACAGACTGAGACTCCGTCTCAAAAAAAAACCAAAAAAACAAACAAACAAACACACAAACAAAAAAACACACACACACACAAAAGAAACAGCTCGAACAATTTTACTACAACTGATCTTTTGCTTCCAAACTCTGTAAGGCATCACATATACCCTTTATTCATCCTCTAGAAAATGAGTCTCTCCACGATAAGAAACAAAATCCTCCAACCCAGATCCCTATATGACACTCAACTTTGAGGTTAGTAAAGGGCAAGCCACAGACTAGAGAACAGATGAAAGTGGTAACAGTAATCCCTGTCATTTAAAAAGTGTATTTATGTTAGATTACTAAATTAATATTATAAGAAATAAGGTTATAAAATCAGAGAAAGGCAAGGTGCGGTGACTCACATCTGTAATCCCAGCACTTTGGGAGGCTGAGGTGGGCAGATCACCTGAGGTCAGCAGTTCGAGACCAGCCTGACCAACATAGCAAAACTCCATCTCTACTAAAAATGTAGGAATTAGCTGGGCATGGTAGCGGGCACCTGTAATCTCAGCTACTTGGGAGGCTGAGGCAGGAGAATCGCTTGAACCCTGGAGGCAGAGGTTGCAGTGAGCCAAGATCGTGCCACTGCACTCCAGCCTTGGTGACAGAGCGAGACTCCGTCTCAAAAAAATAATAAAAATAAAAAATAAATAAAATCAGAGAAAAAAACACTTTCCATTAAAGCAGAGTAACTTTTAATGTCCATAGGTCTGCAGAATATATTCCTTTCCTTGTCAGCTGATTGAGTTAGGTTACTTCTTTCAACAGCATGTCTCTAGATTTTAGTACAAGTTCAAGACCAAGGTAAATAAGAGACAATAGCTGAATTAAGATTTCTTAGGATAAATGACTGCCTTTGTAATGCCAAGATGCTATCCAAGTAGCTACTGCTACCCACCCACCCACATATGGATCAGAGTTATTAAAATATCTTGTTATGAGGAGAGAAAAATTGGTGGCAGGGGTCCTGGATGTTTTGATAATATTTAATTTGAGATCACTGTGACAGCTATTCCCAGTGTGTTGGGCTTTAGCTGGGTCATTGCTTGTCTTTCATAGCGGAAGTAATGCCATGTTGACAATCAGACCTGCTAAGGCTTAGACAGCCAAAAGTTAGTTTCAGTTAAGAGATCCGTAGCCATAGAGTGAGGATGGATCCAAAAGCAAGCAGGTGGGCAGGCCAGGCCAGGCTGAATGTTACCATTATCTGGGTGCAAGAAGCTTTAAAACATACGCAGGCCACACCTGAAACCAGTTAAATCAGCTTCTGGTGGTAGAAGTCAGGTGTCCCTACATTTTGAAAGCACCTCAGGTGATTCCCCTCAGTCTGCAGCCAAGGCTGAGGAACTGTGCTCGATGGCGATGCTGAATAAGTATTTAAAATCCTTGTGATGTAATCCATCAAGAAAATGACCTTTTCATACAATTGTACCTGCTTCTACGAGATTTTAACTCCTCATATTTTTCCATTGCTCTTTAATGCCAGTGCATCTTCGGGACAAAGTTAGCAAGTTCAGAGTGCCTGGAAACAAGTACAGTCATGTGCCACCTAACAATTCCATCAACAACCACATATAAGAGGACAGTAGTCCTACAAGATTATAATAGCATATTTTTCCGTACATTTTCTGTATTTAGATAGAAAAATACTTACCATTGTGTTTCAGTTGCCTATAGTATTCAGTACAGTAACATGCTTGACAAGTTTATAGCCTAGGAACAGTAGGGTAAACCCCATGACCTAGATGCCTAGTAGACTGTACCATCTAGGTTTGGATAAGCACACTCCATGGTGTTTACATAACGATGAAATCACCTGACACATTTCTCAGAATGTATCCCTTTCGTTAAGTGAGGCAAGACTATCCATTCAAGTATTGTCATCTACCATCACTTGAAAACCGAAGAACGTGATTCTGTCTTCTATTCATCTTAACATTTAAAGTTACAAGAAAATCTCGAAATCTACTTTTCAAATATAGCCTTCTCTGTAAACCATTTCTTTGTAATTATAGCCATCACAAGGGTGTATTTGAATTGCATGTTTCATTATCACTAAAGTATTCAACCTGCAGTGCTCCACATCTCAAAATCATCAGTCTGAAGAAAACATTCAGCTCACTCAGATACTTGCAAGGCAGCCAAAAATACATACTACAATCCATTGAACAGTTCTTCCTAGAAGGTAGTTGTTGTTGCAAATAATTTTCGCCTCCAAGAATGATTTAGAATGTGTTCATTTTAAATATCACTTTTCTAAACAAATTATTTTACCCTTTCCTTTCTAAGTGGCCTATATATTTAAGTGTGCTTCTGAGGCTGGAAATATACATGTATTTATATTCCCTTTCTATTTCTAGCTGCAATTTAAGATACAGAACTTTATGTTTATTGCATTACCAATAATAAGCTTGCCCTAGGTCATTCTTTGGCTAGCTCAGCTAGACCCTTGTAATCAACATCACATATTTAATGAATGAATGGCTAAAGGCAATATGGGTGTTATTTACCAGTTGTCTGATAGGAGAGGAGAGAGACCTCCTACCTCTCTCAAACTATTGGGTGGGGTGGTGGAAAGGTCGTGACCTCAAGGAAACTTAAGAATAGAGGGCCATTATAATGAGGGCCCTCAAGGAAATTGGATCAGAAATGTGATCTTAGATTCAACGTGACACCAGGTACCTCCTGCAGAAAGGATCTGGGGACCTTCATTCAAGTTATCTAACATTCTTGCATTAGTTTCATATTTTTGCTACAACAAATTATAACACAGTGGCTTAAAACAGTACAAATTAGTTATCTTCCAGTTCTGGAGGTCAAAGTCTAAAATCAAGGTGTCAGCAGGACTGCATTCCTTCTGGAGGCTCTAGGGAAGAATTCCTTTCCTTGCCCTTTTCAGCTTCTACAGGCCACCAATGCTTCTTGGCTCATGACCCCCTTTCACATCACTCCAACCTCTTGGGTTCATTACTACGTCTCCTGCTACCACTCTGAGCCGCCTGCCTCTCATTTAGAAACACCTTTGGGCCATCTGAAAAATACAAATTGCTCTCCCCATCTCAAGACACTTAATTTAATTATATATGAAAAGTTCTTTTTGCTATGGAAGGAGGTATACTCACAGGTGGCATAGATTAGGATGTGGGGATCTTTGAAGTGTTGTTGTTAAGCCTGGCACAATTCCCATGAACTCACACTTCATGTGTGATTTTTCTGCCTGGTTTTTCTGTTCATTCTTGTGGTTCAAATTCTGAAGGATGCAAATATGAGTGGCTCTTATATGTACTCCTGATCCAATCAATATGGTCATGAAAATCATAGTATAAAATGACTATCTGAGCGAGCACAGGGGATTCTGGGAAGCCAATGGTTTCTATTTATGTCATGGTGGCATGGTCTGAAAAGCACTAGGTATCAAAGTGCCTTAACATTATTTGAGTACCTACTATACACCAGCCATTATGTAGACATTATACATATATATATTTTTTTTCATTTTTTCATGACAATCTTATCTGGTAATTATTGTTATCCTCTATTTCATTGATAAGAAAACTAAAGTTAAAAAATGTGAAGCAGTTTCTCCATGTTCACACAGATACAGTTAATGATGGAGATGGAATTTGAATTACAACTTGCCTGACTTTGAAGGCCATGTTTGAGCTACACGTTATGGTTCCAGGGCCATTGTTAATGATTTCAATTGCTTTAGACACATCTTTAAGCTACTTGAACAACAATTTCATCAGCTACAAATTCAATACATTTTCAATATCTGATTTCTAAGTGTCCTTTCGGTTTTAACATTTTGTAATGTATTTTGTGCTCAATGGGTTGCAGTTTTCCTTTGTAAAAGTTTTAAATTAGTCCCATGTACAATTTGGATTTAAAATTATGATCTAATTACTCGATTGGATGAACTAAGTTAACAAAATGAACATTTTTAAACTTTTTAGTTTAACTAAGTGAACTTATTTAGATGAATTTAAACAACTAATTTAAGGATCATGCAAATAGGTGGCAAAAAGTCCTCTTGGTAACTCATATCACCATTTAAGATGGGAGGAGTGATGGAGCTTGTTTGATTTGTAAGTTTTCTCACAAAACATGAGTGATATCAGAGAACGTTAATTAAGTAGAATGGAAATAAGAAACCTGGCCTCTATTACTACAGCTTAATATACTGAGTGTTTATTTGACATTTCTTATATGCCAGCCATTGCATTAGGAGCTTCATATATGCAGCCCCATTTAATGCTCACGTGGATTTTTCTCATTTACCAACAAATAAACTGAACCAAATAGAATGCAAGTAATCCAGCCAAGTTCACAAAGCTACTATGTGGCAAGGCTGGGATTCTTATCCTTGTCTATAGGGCACCAAAGCCTGTTGTTATTTCTGCTACACGTTATACGTTAACTCCCAGTGGTGGGGAATGCTGGAGGAGTGGTCTAAGAAGCGCCAACAGCAGGACTCAAAAAACCTGTGCTCCAGCCCTACTCAGTTGCTGCTCAGGTTGTGAAATGCCATCATTTATAAGAGGAAAAGATGTGGACTCCAGTGTCTCTTCCCTCTTAAAAGTCTCAGTGAGGCCGAGCACCGTGGCTCACACCTGTAATCCCAGCACTTTGAGAGGCCGAGGCGGGCGGATCACGAAGTCAGGAGTTTGAGACCAGACTGACCAATATAGTGAAACCCTGTCTCTACTTAAAATACAAAAATTAGCTGGGTGTGGTAGCATGTGCCTGTAATCCCAGATACTCGGGAAACTGAGGCAGGAGACTCACTTGAACCCAGGAGATAGTGGTTGCAGTGAGCCGAGATCGTGCCACTGCACTCCAGCCTGGGCAACACAGCAAGACTCCATCTTGAAAAAAAAAGTCTCAGTAAAAAAAAAAGAATATATGTGTATATATATATATTTGTTTCTTCCAGAAGATGTGAGGATAACCACCATTCAGATAAACATCTTATTGATTGTTAGGAATATTCTCTAACAGAAGGCTTTCCTGAAAACTGTGTCATCTTGCCTCGAATCATGTATAGTTATAGTTTTTGTTATATCTAAGTCCATCCTCCCCCATTAAACTGAATTTTGCCACCTCATGCCAATCTGACAGTTTTTTTCTGTTGGTTGTTTGCTTGTTTCTTTGTTTTAATAAGTAGTTTGTCTCTCAAGAGGGAATGGTTCCAGAACCCAGGAAATACCAAATCTATGGCTCCACAAGTCCCTTTTATGGAATGGCACAGTATTTGCATGTAACCTACACAAATCCTCCTATGTACTTTAATTCATCTGTAGATCACTTATGAGACCTAATACAATGTAAATACC
Source organism: Homo sapiens (assembly GCF_000001405.40). Taxonomy (NCBI): domain Eukaryota; kingdom Metazoa; phylum Chordata; class Mammalia; order Primates; family Hominidae; genus Homo; species Homo sapiens. The sequence continues at coordinate 177,719,262 of NC_000004.12, read as the reverse complement.
ATGTAAATCATTGTTATACTGTAATTTTTATTCATACTTCTTTTTTTTCGTTTTTGAGACAGAGTCTCACTCTGTTGCCTGGGCTGGAGTTCAGTGGCAGGATCTCAGCCCACTGCAACCTCCGCCTCCTGGGTTCTGTCTCAGCCTCCTGAGTAGTTGGGATTACAGGCACCCGCCACTATGCCCAGCTAATTTTTTGTATTTTTAGTAGAGACGGGATTTCACCATGTTGGCCAGGCTGGTCTCGAACTTCTGACCTTGTGATTTGCCCGCCTCGGCCTCCCAGAGTGCTGGGATTACAGGTATGAGCCACTGCACCCGGCCCATACTTTTTTTTATTGTTGTATTGTTATTTTTATTAGTTTTTTTCCCCTAATACACGACTCCCAGTTTGTCCAAGGTTTTAATCATGCTTGTGTGGTTTTAATTTAACCATCAATAGTGATCTGAAAATATTAAGTGGAAAATGTCAGAATTATACAATTTATAAGTTTTAAAGTGCATGCCAGTCTGAGTATCTTGGTGAAACATGCTATCCAGTTCTGTCCTGCCCGGGACATGAATCATCCCTTTGTCTGGCGCAACCATATTACATGTGCTACCTGCCACTTACTATATAGGAAAAAAACAGTATTTAAAGCCACAGTACTATCCACAGTTTCAGGCTTCCACTGGGGGTCCTGAAACATTTCCCCTGCAGATGAGGGGGAACTACGGTATTTTTGGTCTGCAATTGGTTGACTCTATGAGTGCAGAACCCACCGATAGGGTGGACTGATTATACTTTATTGAAATATGAGTTATGTAAATAAAGTGCACCCACTGAAGTGTTCATTTCAGTGAGTTGTGATAAATTTATATACCATCAAAATCAAGATATAGGATATCTCCTTTGCCTCAAAATTTCCTTCTTGTAACTTCCCAGTCAGCCCCCTTCATACCCCCAGTCCTAGGCAACCACTGATCTGTTTTCTGTCTCACTAAATTAGTCCTTTCCCGAGTTTAATGTGAATAGACTCATACAGTAGAACTCTTCTATGCCTGGCTTCTTTCACTAAGTATATTGCTTTCTGAGATCAATGTTGTTGTATGCATCAGTAGTTAATTCATTTGTATTGCTGAGTAGTATTTTATCCATAGGTGTATTCTGAAGAACTTAGAATACATTGTTAAGAAGTGCATACTGGACTTGATAGCATTGACTCTGAGAAAACCTTGCTATAAAATCTATATAAAATGATAATATTTTACCCACATAAACTAGCACATTAATTACTATGTCCAAAATGAAGCATTTTATAATCTATGTAATTATTTTATTTAAAAAGCATAAGCCCCCAAAGTTCATAAGGTATAGAATCTATATACTAATATGACTTCTATCAAGCAGAGATTAATTTTAACAATTGCTTAGCATGAGTTTCCTTTAGAAATTTTGTTTGGTGCTTTTAAAATAAATTAAAATGGTTTATCCTGTGATATTTGCAGAGTCATTACAGCATATTCTAAATATAACTTAGGGATTATAAAACATGTAACATTTATTTAAAAGATCAGTTATATAAACACATATTTAGAGATTTAATCATTTGCTTATACTGGAAATTAAAATTGAATGGGTTGAGATGTGCCTGATGTTATTTGTTGATACTCAGTCTATTTTATACCATTGCAAACTCTTTGCGGTATGCAGAGGCATTAATCTTGAACACTTTACTTGCAAGTTTTTCTTGCCAGGAAGGTTATGGAAAGATTTCTACAAGAAATTTATCTATTGGTTTGGAAAGTTGGAAGAGATTATTCTCAAGTGGCAACAGCAAGTAGATGCTTAGTTGTCAGCAATTTGCTGAAGGCAGAAGCCTATAGATTTGGATGCCCTGCTGAGAACCATCTACTTCAGTGTGATCACAGATAAAACCGCTGGAGGTGGCTTCCTGATAATCTCTGAGCTTCCATATTTTTTTACTTCTCAAACTTTCCAATGATTTTGTTTGCCTCGAATTTCCTGCGTCAAAAATCTTACTGGTAGTAGAAAGTACCAAAGTCACAACCATCCTAACATCTAGGAAAAAAAAAATAGACAATCTATACAACCTAACTTTTCTATAACTCATCAAAGAGCTGAAGGTCATAAGGTAACCAAGACACCTAAATGCAAGAGTGACAAATCCCTAGGAGGAGGAAGAAAACCAAATGGTTTTCCCTTTACCAAAGCATGAGAGGAAGGAGTGGCTGTCATAGAAGCGGGTAGAAAGAACTCAGCTAAAATTGTAAAGACTGAGTATGATTAGAATATCAGTTTGGAATATAATTGGGAGTCCTACACACACAAAGACATGAGGATTTCATACTCACTACAAGCTCTTCATCTCAGTACAGCATCATTTTCCATTAAAAATCTGGGGATGACCAGGCACAGTGCCTCACACCGGTAATCCCAGCACTTTGGGAAGCAGAGGAGGGCGGATCATAAGGTTAGGAGGTTGAGACCAGCCTGGCCAACATGGTGAAGCACCGTCTCTACTAAAACTACAAAAAATAATTAGCTGGGTGTGGTGGCGGGCACCTGTAATCCCAGCTGCTCGGGAGGCTGAAGTGGGAAAATCCCTTGAACCCAGGAGGAAATGGAGCACAGCTGACCCTTGAACAACACAGGTTTGAACTGTATGTTTTCTGTTTGTTTGTTTTTTACACTTAGTGTCTGTCATTTAATCAAAAATGATGAGCCATAAAATAGAGTTGGGTGGACCAGCCTGGACAACATGGCAAAATCCCATCTCTACTAAAAATACAAAAATTAGCTGGGCTTGGGGGTGCGTGCCTATAGTCCCAGCTACTCAGGAGGCTGAGACAGGAGAATCACTTGAACCCAGGAGGAAAGGGTTGCAGGAAGCTGAGATCGTGCCACTGTACTCCAGCCTGGGCAACAGAGTAAGACTATGTCTCAAAAAAAAAAAAAAATAGAGTTGGGTGGGGTAGGAGTAGGAGTATTGACAAGAGAGAAATTAATCAGTAAGCAATGGCCAAGATATAGACCCTTTCAGATAGGATATGTAAAATAACTACGATCAATGTGTTAAAGAAAAAGATAGAACCAATTGAACTTCCTCTGTCAAAATAGACAACTAAATTCAAAACCATATTTCTCAGGGAATTTCAAAGTTTAAAGCAACAATGAATTATATTTCTACTTAACTTTCTCATTAACCTTTGTATAAGGCAAACCTATCTTTAAAAATGACAATACAAATTCATTATATAACCACATGAGAACCCTAATTGCACTGATGTCTTATCTTTGTAAGCAAATTAACACAGCCTCTGCCATCTGACATAAAGCTATCTATTCAAAAAATGCTTTGTTATCTCTATCAATGAAAAAAGAGATGTATCTTCTTAGATCTCCTATAGATCAAGTGTATCTTCTATAGATCAAGCTCTTAGTGACCAGGTAGATAAAATGATCTAGTCAGTAGAGGTCAGTCTGCCCTCTTTCCCAAATGAACTGGCTCTCACTAAATGAGTACATAAAAAATATAGCCATGTTAGCAGGGATAAAATGATTGCATAGTCTTGTCTTACCAAGACTGATTTGCCAACATTACGATTGCATATCTAATATGTCAATAACAGAATAGTGTTGATTCCTTGATATGGCACGATTCCCTGGAGAGGAAGAACAGCCAACTGGTAGCAAATTAAGATTGATTATATTGGAATTCTTCCATCATGGCAGGAGCAGCAATTTGTCCTCAGTAGAGACCACTAGATGTAGTTTTCTTTTACTTGGTAGAGACATAAGCATAACTTCTCAGTCTTACCTCAGGATTATGTCATCTCCGTTATTGTCATAGTCTAGTCTTTAATGGACCTTGCTTATCTTGATATCAGTTTAAGCATCATACCATTTTGCCATATTGGTCACTTGCTGATTGGACTGATTGATCAGGAAGTAATAACTATTTTATCCTATTGGTAAGAAATGCTTACCTCTTATCAGAAAGTAAAAATTAAGTGAAAATCATGGTCATTAACTTAGAAAAGATTCTATGAGTCTAGTTTTCTAAGGTATGTTAGATTGTTTTTCCAAAGGAAAAATGATAAAGTTGTTGGGATTTTCTTCTAAGAAAGAAGTACAACTCTCTACAATGGGAAAATTATATATAACTTATTGGTATAGTATACCTATTGGACCCATTTACCAAATAAACTATAAGGCTGTCAATTTTTGTGGGTTCAAGAACAAGAGTAAGTCCAGGACACTGCAAGCTACTAAGCCACTTGAGCTGTATGAGCCAGGTCAATAGAACTGCAAGTGTCTGTGGCAGATATGGTTGGTGTACATGGAGCTTCTGACAAGCTCTGATAAGCATGCACTCTTCTTCCAAAAGATATTCTCCTTTTGACAACAACTTCTGGCTTAATGCTGGGCACTAGTAGAGACAGAATACCTGACCATGAGTGACAAATGGATCTTGTGATCTGACCTGCCTATCAGAAAATATGTATACTAGAACACACGTATCTGACCAGGCACGGTGGCTCACGCCTGTAATCCCAGCACTTTGGGAGGCCGAGGCAGGCGGATCACGAGGTCAGGAGATCAAGACCATCGTGGCTAACATGGTGAAACCCTGTCTCTACTAAAAATACAAAAAATTAGCCGGGCGTGGTGGCGGGCGCCTGTAGGCCCAGCTACTTGGGAGGCTGAGGCAGGAGAATGGCATGAACCTGGGAGGTGGAGGCTGCAGTGAGACAAGACCACACCACTGCACTCCAGCCTGGGCAACAGAGCGACACTCCATCTCAAAAAAAAATATATATATGTATCAGAAAATATGTATGATCTATGAAGGCCTAGAGTTAAGTATTCTATTGCCAAGTGTGAGTGTTATAGAAAAGATCAGGACAAAGCTCTTTCTGAAGGCAAAAATCTTATAATCAATGGCTCAGGCTCCCAAGGACCTACTATTACCACCTCTACCTCCACCCAAATCTATGGCTTCATGTGGAATTCTTTATGACCAGTTAAATGAGAAATAAAAAAATCTGGAGCTTCATTTAGGATAGTTCCATATAATAGGTTGATACGGCCTAAGGCAACACTGGTTGCTCCCAAAGTCCTTCACAGGTATGTCCTTGAATAACAGTGGATAAAAAATTACTTCCCATGGATAGAATGTGGAACAACACATCTGTTTGTCTACTTCGGCTCTAAGAAGAGATAACCAAGTTTTGGAGCCATACTGAAACATGAACAGTGGCTAATGGCTTCGCTGATTATCATAGGCTCTGAAGGAATAACATTTGAGGAATGAGTATGAGATCTCTGGACTGATACTCAGTATAAGAACTGAGCATACGAAGCTTTAACTGCCATAAGATCGATCATCAGAGCGTATCTTCTATAAATCAAGCTCTTAGTGATCAGGTAGATAAAATGATCTATTCAATAGAGGTCAGTCTGCCTTCTTCCCCAAATGACCTGGTTCTTGCTAAATGAGTACATAAAAAATATAGCCATGCCAGCAAGGATAAAATGATTGCATAATCTTGTCTTCCCAAGACTGATTTGGCTAACGTTACTACTGCATATCTAATATGTCAACAACAGAATAGTGTTGATTCCTTGATATGGCACCATTCCCTGGAGAGGAAGAACAGCCAACTGGTAGCAAATTAGGATTGATTACATTGGAATTCTTCCATCATGGCAGGAGCAGCCATTTGTCCGCAGTAAAATAGACACTTACACCTAATTTGCAGCTGCATTCTCTATCTGTATTAATTCCGCCAACACTACCATCCATATATTTATTAAATATCTTATTCATCATCATAACGTTTCACTCAGCATTGCCTTTGATCAGGGAATTTTATTTTACAATAAAATATTGTGTAAATCATCTCTAGTTCATGAGATTTATGGTTCTATCAGCTTTTCCTATCAGGGTGGTACAGTTTGAATGTTTGTGTGCTCTTCAAAATTTATACTGAAACTTATACCCAAAGCACACCGTATTAAGGGGTGAAACATTTAAGAGGTGATCAGCTCATGAAGAATCCACTGTCATGAATAGGATTAATGCCTCATAAATGAGATTGGGTCCTGACCAGACAATGATCCCGCCGGTACCTTGATCTTTAAATATCCAGCCTCCTTAACTGTGATCAATAAATGTATGCTGATTATAAATTACCCAGTCTAAGGCATTTTGTTATAGCTGCACAAATGGACTAAGACACAGAGTGGGGAAGAAAATGCCTAAATAAAACAGTGAAGTGGGAGACTTCTGATTTTAGTAATAGTGAACTTAGGAAATAGCAATCTTTACTTAAAACAAAATAAAATTATAACTGCAGTAACTAAAATAATTTCCTAGAATAATCAAATAACAAGAAGTTACAAGGCTAAGATACACTGATATACATTGTATATCAGTGAAAGAAACCAAGCATTTAGGGCCACTATGCTGATAGAATTAGCAGGAAATTTGTACCCTTGTGGAACAAGAAGAAGAGGAATAAGAATACAATAGAACATGCTAACTTTGAGGCACTGTAAACCATTCTTATTTAGAGTTGAAGTTTTAAAGTGCTGTGTCCTAAGAGTAAACATACATAGAAGTAAGCAAGCCCTTACATAGGACTATAACATCTCTTTGAGTTACACCAGCAGTCCTAAACAATCTAACTTTCTGAAATTGGATTAGGCTGGTCATATATTTCTTATGTTCTCAGGTCCTGAAGAGGTTAAAAAGTTCTCTCTGGGAGGATATTAGATTATCCAATATCTTGAAATTTATTTCTAAAAATAGTGCTTCAACTAAAATGTCCACTACACAAAGATATCTAGGGAAATTAGAAGATATGGCAGATGAGTAGGGACCAACATACACAAAATATTAAATAAAATTAGGTCCTCAGGTACTCCAAAGAGTAGAATTAATAATATGTATGGGTTATAAAATATCTACAGTTACTATAAACGCAAGTTTAAGCAGCATTTCAAGAAAGAACTAAAAGATTTTAAAAACTGGTATCAGCCTGGCATGGTGGCTCAGGCCTGTAATCCCAGCACTTTGGGAGGCCAAGGCGGGCAGATCGCCTGAGGTCCGGAGTTCAAGACCAGCCTGGCCAGCATGGTGAAACCCTGTCTCTACTAAAAATACAAAATTAGCCAGGCGCAGTGTCAGGTGCCTGTAATCCCAGCTTCTCGGGAAGCTGAGGCAGGAGAATCGCTTGAATCAGGGAGGCGGAGGTTGCAGTGAGCCGAGATCGTGCCATTGCACTCCAGCCTGGGCAACAGATTAAGACTCCATCTCAAAAAAAAAAAAAAAAAAAAAAAACTGGTATCATACTTTTTAAAACTCTTTTTTAAAAAAAAGTTTAGTGTAAACATTTTACACAAAATATGTTTACCAAAATTAATAATTTAGTGTGCAAATATAAGAGGAAATGAGATATAAATGAAGAATGTAGTAAACTTGCAGACAGATGAGAAGAAACTATCAAGACTAAAGCTCAGAAAGACAAAACAATAAAAACTACAAAAGAGGGGATAAGAGATAGCAAGGTCACAGTTAGAAGATTTCATATATACTTAATTGCAAAAAGCAATGAAAATGTGAAATATGTGGGTAAATACAAAGTAATATTTCAGGCGCAATTGCTCACACCTGTAATCCCAGCACTTTGGGAGGCCGAGGAAGGACAGATAATTTGAGGTCAGGAGTTGGAGACCAGCCTGACCAACATGGAGAAACCCCATCTCTACTAGAAATACAAAACTTAGCCAAGCATGGTGGGAGGTGCCTGTAATACCAGCTACTCAGGAGGCTGAGGCAGGAGAACCGCTTGAACCCGGGAGGCAGAGGTTGCAGTGAGCTGAGATGTCACCACTGCATTCCAGCCATGGTGACAGAGTGAGACCAAAAAAAAAAAAAAGTAACATTTTTGAATAAAACAAAAATTTATACACTGTTGTGTTTGAAAATATTAAATGAAAGAATTACATAAGTCAAGAGAGCATCAAATGTCTAGGTTAACAATTCATAGAATAGTGAAAGACTGTATAACTAAAATACCAATAAGAAAAATAGAATAATAAAAATATTAAATATATTAATCAGTCAAAAAGAAAGGAAATCAGAAGTAAAATATTAGGGCCAAATAAGAATAACATAATCATATCACAGAATTAAAACTCAATGTATAAATAAATTCACAATTTCCCATGTGAAAAAAAGTGTTTGTCAGTCTAAATGAAAAAATACAAGCAAAATGTATATATACATGCCCATAAAAAATACATCTGAATTATTTGCATGCAGAAAATGTAAAGGTATAGAAAAAGACATACTATATAAACACCCATCGAAGAACATTAAGGTAGCTATGTTAAAATAAGAAGTAGACTTTAAAGCAAAATGAAGTACCAGAAATAAAGTAGATCACTTCACAACAATTATAAGGCTTAGTTGAACAGACATCATCTATCAAGACCATCAAAGAATTACCCAACTTAGCCTAGCCTAAACTTCTTACCCAGAGACCTAGCATCTAAATACATGATAATGATTGAAGCTACTAACTCATGATTTGGTTTGATACAAAGACAAATAACAGATACATTTGATAATGAAAATCTGAAGAAAAAATGTTAGCATCTATCTTAATAGTGAACATTGCTCTTTTTCCCCCTTGAGTTCAGAAATGAAGTAAAGTTGCCTCACATTGTTACTTCTATTCATCATTCTGCTAGGGGCCTCAGCTAGTTCAGCAAATTTTTAAAAATAGTTGTAAGTTTTCAAAAGGAAGACACAAATATGTTATTTATACAATGGTAAAATGATCCATTAGAGATCAATTATGAAGCTGGCTGGTGATAACTCGTTTTATATCTGGAATGCTATTCTTTAATATATCCTTATATCTTGAAAGATAGCAATTTACCAACATGAGGAGTTGCTTTTCCCATTGCCAAAATGCATTTGGAGCCAAAGGATGAAAATACAATGGCTCTTCTTACTATTAATCCTAATGATCAAAATCAACATTTTTACCACTTATTGTAGCACCTCTATACAGGATGGTCCTCCACTGATCATTTGGATCAGATGTCAAGACTGATAACACCACATACCTATTAAGAGGGTATGAAAAGCTTTATTACTTTTATTTTCTGGAGGGAGCAGGGCAGGTCTCCTCAACAGGCCCAAAACTGGCTTGAGTGAGCAAGTAAAAAATTGAACTAGTCGGCCTAGCTAGTTTCCTTCAGCCGTTTTATAAGGCATTAATCCCATCCATGAAGGTGGATCCCTCATGGCCTAAGGGTTATTATTGTGTCTGGGGTAGGAGCATGGTGAGGGCTGCTGTACACAGGCAGGAATTTGTATCATTTGAACCTCTGGCCTGCACCAAAGGAGAGAGCAGCCAGGCTTTCTTATCAGTGTGCCCAGACGGGAGGCAGAGAGGTATTCATGGGAGCAAGGCATGTGAGGCAGTCAAATATCAAAATCAAATATCAAAATATGGTGTCCAATTCTTTATTACACTTCCTCTCCTCCAAGTCTTGCACAATAATAATTTATAGGACTTTGATTTTAAAAAGATAATATGTTTCCACCTGTGAGCACAATGGCTGTCCTGAATTCCAAGTTGAGGCTGCCACATTATCATGTACAGGTCATCAATTAGCAACAAAGGTGAATCACATTTGATCATTCCTGCTTATCAAGGGAAAAATGCAGCTGTTCCTACAAAATGGAAACCACAAGAATAATTTCTGGAATTCAAGTGAAATCCTGATTGTACTTCTTAGTAATGCCCCTGTCCAATGACATAAGATAATGAAACACTAAAACACTCCCAAGTAGTAAGATCACTAATGACTCAGAATTTCTTTTTTGTTGTTGTTGTTGTTTTGTTTGTTTGTTTTGTTTTTGAGACGGAGTTTTGCTCTTGTTGCCCAGGCTGGAGTGCAATGGCGCGATCTCACCGCAACCTCCAACTCCTGGGTTCAAGCGATCTTCCCTCCTCAGCCTCCCAATAGCTGGGATTACAGGCATGTGCCACCACACCCAGCTAATTTTGTATTTTTAGTAGAGATGGCGTTTCTCCATGTTAGTCAGGCTGGTCTCCATCTCCCAACCTTAGGTGATCTGCCCGCCTCAGCCTCCCAAAGTGTTGGGATTACAGGGGTAAGCCACCGCGCCTGGCATGACTCAGAATTTCAATGATAATTTGACTCAATCTACAAGGTCAGGAGCTATGACTTCATAAAACTCAAGCTGAGGGCAAAGAAACAAGAAATTAATATGGAATGAAAAAATTATAAGTTCCACATACAACCTCATGACAAGTTGCAGAATCCTTTGCAGAAGCTCATTCCCATCTACTAAAATTTTCTACTGTAAATTGGTGGTGGTGGTCATTAAGTTGTATAAGATCAAAACATGACGGTGGCTGTACTAGTAAATGAATACACATCACAAGAAAGTACAGAGGCTTATAGGAAGTTTGACCTCCTATTTTGGGGTTTGTAATGAGCACATCTTCTTGGCACCATGTTAGGCAAAACATGATGTTGCCACTGATGAGTTTGAAAGTTTAAATATGAGTGGAAGATGTATATAAAAGTTATTATCCAAGTGGTGAACGGTACCAGATACAGCTTGCTGTTTTCAGAAGCAGGCTTACCCTTCTAAGCTCTTCTTGCATTTCCTAGTTGTTTTTCACAGCAGGGTTCCAGCTGTAGTCTTCTACTGAGAGGCACTATGCAAGAGTTGAAAAGAGGCACAAGAGAGAAGTCATCTTGATTTCGGGGTGGCTGGGCAGTCATGCGGGCACAGGTACATGGCAGATGTGGGGCATTGCTCATGACGCTGAGTCTTAAGTATCAATCACAGTGCTACAGGCAAGTCAGGGCTTTCAGGGAGGAGGCCAGCAGTCCCAGGAATCAGGAAAACTTTTCTGGACTTACTTTAGAAAGTCAGTGTATGCGGAGTCAATAGGTTCTATTTATTGGGGTGTGAACACAGTTAAGGGAATTACAAATTATAAGCGAGGCACCAAAGAAGTAGAAGCAGCAGAAAACCATTACCAAACTTCAGCCCAGAAAGGGAGAAAATTGGATTACAGGAGACTGGTTAAAGTCTGCACTGTAGAAATTGGGATTTCCTATAAGAACTCTAAATGTACACCACAGTTATTTCCAGGAAGAAAAATAGAGAAGGTGTGATGAGTATGGATAAATCCCCTGATCTTCTATTCCCACCTTTCCATCTCCTGCCAGTGCCTTTCTTTAATCGAACCCAACCAGACACCAAGGGCAAGGAAGCCCATATGGTGTAATCAAGCTCACGCCAATCAACTTCCTAGGAGGTAAAGCAGAACAGAAAAAGGCAAAGATGGATCTTAGGTTTCGGGTCAGTTGAAGAGGAGGCAAACAGACAATAACCAACTACCAGAGAGTGTCAATCATAGCTCTCTATTAGACACATGATATTTCGAATTTAGAGCCATAAAAATGCTTATATTCTTGATCTAATCATTCACCTCTAGGAATTTATCTTAAGGAATCTATTGGAGAAGAACAGTTTTCATTGCATTGTTATTTATAAATGGAAACTGTAAAAATAGCTTAAATCCTTGAATAATAGATTAGCTAAATACGTTTGGTATGTCCATATGATGGCATAATATGTTGCCATTACAATCATGCCCCTTACCCGTGGGGCATACGTTCCAAGACCCCCAGTGTATATCTGAAACCACAGATAGTACAGAACCTTATATATACCACGTTTTTCCTATACATACATACCTATGAGAAAGTTTAGTTTACAAAGTAAGGACAGTAAGAGATTAATGACAATAACTAATAATAAAAATAGAATAATTCTAACAATATGCTGCAATAAAAGTTTTTCTTCTTTCCTTATTAAGACAAGAACTTTCACTTTTTCACTTAAAGGAAGTAATTTATGGCTTCTCTTGGAATATCCACATAGCCAGCATCACCACTCTTGCACTCTGGGGCCATGATTAAGTAAAGTAAGAGTTATTTGAACACCAGCCCTGTGATGTCCTGATCACCACGATGGGTACCAAGTGACTAATGGGAGGGTAGCATCTATAGCCAGAAGACACCCGACAAAGAAATGATTCATGTTCCAGGTGAGGTAGCAGGAACAGTCCAGGTTTGCATCATGCTATGCAGAATAACCCACAGTTTAACACTTATGAAAAAGGTCTATGCTTTCATTACCTTTTTGCACCCTCACCATCTTCACTTTTATTTGAGAAAATGTATTTCTCTAATATAGTATGTCAGGACTGAGAAGTCAAAAACTACATTTCTAAAAGAAAAAATATTGTGTATATAAATATAATATTTTATATATATAAAATCATTTTCTTTTATGTAAGAATATAAATATATTTTATAAATGTATATTTATAATTTTACATAAAATTATATATACACACAATCTATTTTTCTTTCTTTTTTTTTTTTGAGACAAGGTCTCCCTCTGTCCTCTGTCACCCAGGCTAGAGTGCAGTGGCACAAATCACAGCTCACTGCAGCCTGGACCTCCAGGCTCAGGTGATCCTCCTGCCTCAGCCTTCTGAGTAACTGGGACTACATGTGTACACCACCATGCTTGGTTAATATATATATATTTTTTTGTGATAAAGTCTCACTCTGTTGCCCAGGCTGGAGTGCAGTGGCACGATCTAGGCTCACTGCAACCTCCGCCTCCCGAATTCAAGCAATTCTTCTGCCTCAGCCCCCCAAGTAGCTGGGATTACAGGTGTGTGCCACCACACCCAGCTAATTTTTGTGTTTTTAGTAGAGACGGGGTTTCACCATGTTGGCCAGGCTGATCTCGAACTCCTGACCTCAGGTGATCTGCCCATCTCAGCCTCCCAAAGTGCTGGGATTACAGGCATGAGCCACCGCGCCTGGCCTCGGGTCTATTTTTGTATTTTTGTAGAGATGTGGTTTCTCCATGTTGCCAAGGCTGGTCTCAAACTCCTGGGCTCAAACTCCCACCTCAGCCTCCCAAATTGCTGGGTTTACAGGCGTGAGCCATCAAGCCCAGCCTCTTTTTCTTTTTTTTTTCTTTTTTTTTTTTTTTGTTTATTGAGATGGAGTCTCGCTCTGTTGCCCAGGCTGGAGGGCAGTGGGGCAATCTCGGCTCACTGCAAACTCCAGCTCTTGGGTTCAAGCAATTCCCTGCCTCAGCCTCCCAAGTAGCTGGGACTACAGGCACCCGCCACCACGCCCAGCTAACTTTTGCATTTTTAGTAGAGATGGGGTTTCACCATCTTGGTCAGGCTGGTCTTGAACTCCTGACCTCGTGATCCACCCGCCTCGGCCAGCCTCTTTTTTTGTTGTAGAAACTCCACACTGAAGAATCACAAATATGGGTAGAAAAAGGAATAGCAATGTGTAGCAGAGATGCTACCTATAGAAAAGAAGTAGAAAAGGTAAGAGGAAAGGAGACCAGAGGAGGAGGCTTCAAAATGTTGATGAGTCTGCTCTGTCACTGCCTATAGATGGACCAGAGGACAACAGTGAAGAACTGGCTCTGTCACCTGGACTTCACACATATTCCGGAACAACTCTGAGTGACAATGAGTCATCTGCAGTTAAGAATTTCACTGATATGCTTTTCTGATCACTGTGGGTTAAATTGACATTGCAACAGGTGCAAGAATACTTAGGAATATGGGAACATAATATGGTGTTAAGCATAATAGGAAGCTTACAAAATTTAACATACTATTACCTTGTATACTGTCTTTATGGCTCTAGACCAGATTTTAAGGTATATATGTTTAAAGACTATTGATGAAATTTTAAAAGCACAGTGTAGATAAATCTGGATGGTGGAATTATGGCTAATTTTTGGTTGTTATTTTTCTAAAATATTTTCCAAAATGTTTTTTAATTAGTAGCAATTATATTTACTATCGGAAAAATATTAAAGAAAGGAATTTTTATCTCAATGTGGACAAAATAGATACGCAGCTCCAATTAATAAATGATGATTCAATAAACCTATTTCCTGAGTGTGCTGCATGCTATCAGACTTATGTCAAAATTAATAATATCAACTAATCACCTAACTGAGTCATACCTAAACTGTTTGAATTACGTGAAATAACACAACATTTGCAACTACATTACTTAGGTGCAGCAAAGGAGTTCCATTCTAACCTGATCTTCAAATAATAATAATGCAAAAATTAAGACATCTCTTTATTTTGAATGATTCCTATATCTAGTTTTACCTCAAAAAAAACACAGCAGTTTAGAAAATTGAATTTGATAAAATGAACTCTTGAAACAAAGTTTATTTCCTTGCTTACTATAAAGCATGCACAAGGATTCAGCAAGAATTAATCTAACAAGGGTAGCAGTTTAAACTAGGGGCAAAAACTTAGGGAGTTTTCATTTTTGTGTATTATGATGAGAACCTAAACGGCAATGCTTATTGAAATTTTCATTCCTTGATTCGATTTAATTTTCTTGAATTAAATGGACTAATGAGCTTAAAATGGAAACAAAGATTTCATTACAAATGGGGCACTTTCCACTCAAGTGTATTTATTTTGGGGAAATGAAGTGGATAACATAATTATTCATATAACTAAATAGATTTTGTGTTGGATCAGAAGGAGCCTAAGGCAGAAGAAAAACTGGCTCTTTTTGTTAAACATGTTAATCCGTATAACTTCACTCATGCCATTTCAAACTCTAAAGTCTGTGTCATTCATGGGTGAGAACTTACACTGAAAAATTTTGAAGCAGGGCTTGACTCCCTTTTCTTGTTAGCTTTATGGGGCAAAATGCAGTTAGTTAAAGGTTTTGGTAAGTATGTTTAATGAAATAAAATAATCATCATAATCACAATGTAAGAAACCAGGACTGTAATTATTCAATTTTTATCTATAATTTATAATTGCTACCTAAGCTTTATTTTATGCATATATATTTCCCTGAGAGGAAAAAGGTAAATGTGATCTTTTAAATGTGAAATTGCTTTTATCATTTTATGTATAATTATAATAGCCTAAATTACACACATTTTCAATATTGAATAATTTATGTAATTGTTCCCTTTGGTTAGTCTGAAGCTCATAATTTCTCTGAATTTTTTTCCTGAGGACAATTCAAAGACAATAAATAGCTGGGACATGGGGTAGTATTATTATGTCAGCATTCAGATAGTGTCAGGTGGAGTTTTCTAGAAATCTAAAATAATTAATTTTTAAAAAGCACTTTTGATTAGACTATACCTTTTAACTTGCCTGTTTTGATTGTAGAAAATAGAATAAATTGATAATTCAGGTATTGGATTTGCCTCTTTAAAAAATTGGACATCATAAAGATAGTCTATTGGTTAAAAAAATGAAGTAAGACTTATTTTATACGCATGAATTTTCATAAATGCTTGTAGTTGTTGACACTACTAAACATTAAGGGAATGAAGAAGGAATATTTTCTTTTCTTTTTCTTTGTAGTGAGACACAGCCTCACTCTTATCACCCAGGCTGGAGTGCAATGACACGATCTTGGCTCACTGCAACCTCTGCCTCCCAGGTTCAAGCAATTCTCCTGCCTCAGCCTCCCAAGTAGCTGGGATTACAGGTGCCTGCCACCACGCCCAGCTAATTTTTGTATTTTTAGTAGAGATGGGGTTTCACCATGATGGCCAGGCTGGTCTCCAACTCCTGACCTCAGGTGATCCACCTGTCTCGGCCTCCCGAAGTGCTGGGGTTACAGGCGTGAGCCACCACATTTCTTATAAGTATTTTCCTTTTTTTATTCTTATACTTTAAGTTCTGGGATACAGGTGCAGAATGTGCAGGCTTGTTACATAGGCATACACATGCCATGGTGGTTTGCTGCACACATCAACCCGTCATCTACATTAGGTATTTCTCCCAATGCTATCCCTCCCCTAGCCCCCCACTCCCCGACATGCCCTGGTGTGTGATGTTCCCCTCCCTGAGTCCATGTGTCCTCATTGTTCAACCCCCACTTATGAGTGATAATATGCGGTGTTTGGTTTTCTGTTCCTGTGTTAGTTTGCTGAGAATGATGGTTTCCAGCTTCATCCATGTCCCTCCAAAGGACATGAACTCATGCTTTTTTATGGCTGCATAGTATTCCATGGTGTATATGTGCCACATTTTCTTTATCCAGTCTATCAGTGATGAGCATTTGGGTTGGTTCCAAGTCTTTGCTGTTGTTAACAGTGCCGCAATAAACATACGTGTGCATGTGTCTTTATAGCAGAATGATTTATAAACCTTTGGGTATATACCCAGTAATGATATTGCTGGGTCAAATGGTATTTCTAGTTCTAAATCCTTGAGGAATCACCACACTATCTTCCACAATGGTTGAACTAATTTACACTTTCACCAACAGTGTAAAAGTGTTCCTATTTCTCCAAATCCTCTCCAGCATCTGTTGTTTCCTGACTTCTTAATGATCGCCACTCTAACTGTCATGAGATGGAATCTCATTGTGGTTTTGATTTTCCTTTCTCTGATGACCAGTGATGATGAGTTGTTTTTCATGTGTTTGTTAGCCACATAAATGTCTTCTTTTGAGAAGCATCTGTTCATATCCTTTGCCCTCTTTTTGATGGGGTTGTTTGTTTTTTTTCTTCTAAATTTGTTTAAGTTCCTTGTAGATTCTGGATATTAACCCTTTGTCAGATGGATATATTGAAAATTTTTTCTCCCATTCTTTAGGTTACCTGTTCACTCTGATGATAGTTTCTTCAGCTGTGCAGAAGTTCTTTAGTTTAATTAGATCCCATTTGTCAATTTTGGCTTTTGTTGCCATTGCTTTTGGTGTTTTATTCATGAAGTCTTTGCCCATGCCTATGTCCTGAATGGTATTGCCTAGGTTTTCTTCTAGGGATTTTATGATTTTAGGTCTTATGTTTAAGTCTTTAATCTATCTTGAGTTAAGGTGTAAGGAAGGGGTCCAGTTTCAGTTTTCTGCATATGGCTAGGCCAGTTTTCCAACACCATTTATAAAATAAGGAATCCTTCCCCCATTGCTTGTTTTTGTCAGGTTTGTCAAAGATCAGATGGTTGTAGATGTGTGGTGTTATTTCTGAGCCCTCTGTTCTGTTCTATTGGTCTATATATCTGTTTTGGTACCAGTACCATGCTGTTTTGGTTACTGTAGCCTTATAGTATAATTTGAAGTCAGGTAGCATGATGCCTCTAGCTTTGTTATTTTTGCTTAGGATTGTCTTGGATATATGGGCACTTTTTTGTTTCCATATGAAATTTAAAGTAGTTTTTTCTAATTCTGTGAAGAAAGTCAATGGTAGCTTGATGGGGATAGCATTGAATCTATAAATTACTTTGGGCAGTAAGACCATTTTCACGATCTTGATTCTTCCTATCCATGAGCATGGAATCTTTTTCCATTTGTTTGTGTCCTCTCTCATTTTCTGGAGCAATGGTTTGTAGTTCTCCCTGAAGAGGTCCTTCACCTCCCTTGTAAGTTGTATTCCTAGGCATTTTATTCTCTTTGTAGCAGTTGTGAATGGGAGTTCACTCATTATTTGGCTCTCTGTTTGTCTATTATTGGTGTTTAGGAATGCTTGTGATTTTTGCACATTGATTTTGTATCCTGACCCTTTGTTGAAGCTGCTTATAAGCTTAAGGAGAAAAACAAGCAGAAGACAAGAAATAGCTAAGATCAGAGCAGAACTGAAGGAGATAGAGACACAAAAAACCTTCAAAAAAAATCAACGAATCCAGGAGCTGGTTTTTTGAAAATATTAACAAAATAGATAGATGCTAGCCAGACTAATAAAGAAGAAAAGAGAGAAGAATCAAATAGACGCAATAAAAAATAGTAAAGGGGATATCAGCACTGATCCCACAGAAATACAAACTACCATCAGAGAATACTATAAACACCTGTATGCAAATAAACTAGAAATTCTAGAAGAAATGGATAAATTCCTGCACACATACACCCTCCCAACACTAAACCAGGAAGAAGTCAAATCCCTGAATAGACCAATAACAAGTTCTGAAATTGAGGCAGTAATTAATAGCCTACTAACAGAAAAAACAGCCCAGGACCAGACAGATTCACAGCTGAATTCTACCAGAGGTACAAAGAGGAGCTGGTGCCATTCCTTCTGAAACTGTTCCAAACAATAGAAAAAGAGGGACTCCTCCCTAACTCATTTTATGAGGCCAGCATCATCCTGATACCAAGACCTGGCAGAGACCCAACAACAAAAGAAAATTTCAGGCCAATTTCCCTGATGAACATCAATGCGAAATCCTCAATAAAATACTGGCAAACCAAATCCAGCAGCACATCAAAAAGCTTATCTACCATGGTCAAGTTGGCTTCATCCCTGGGATGCAAGGCTGGTTCAACATATGCAAATCAATAAACATAATCCATCAGATAAACAGAACCAGTGACAAAAACCACACGATTATCTCAGTAGATGCAGAAAAGGCCTTTGATAAAATTCAACAGCCCTTCATGTTAAAAACTCTCAATAAACTAGGTATTGATGAAACATATCTCAAAATAATAAGAGCTATTTATGACAAACCCATAGCCACTATCATACTGAATAGTCAAAAGCTGGAAGCATTCCCTTTGAAAACCTGCACAAGACAAGGATGCCCTCTCTCACCACTCCTATTCACCATAGTATTGGAAGTTCTGGCCAGGGCAATCAGGCAAGAGAAAGAAATAAAGGGTGTTCAAATAGGAAGACAGGAAGTCAAATTGTCTCTGTTTGCAGATGATATGATTGTATATTTAGAATATTTTTGTTTTATTCATTCTCTAAAACTGTCTAATTTTCCACTCACCAGGATCTAGATTTAATTAAAAGCTGTAAGAGAAAACTATGTAAAATAAATCGATATAATATTCTCTAGCCATTTAAATAAAAATTTGAAATGGTAGTGTTGGATCTCATCTATATCTTTTTCAAAACAATTTTTAAAAACTAATTACCTTTTTAAACTAATGACAGATCCTCCAACTAAAGACCACTGAGAAGATATTTGTAACTCAAAAGACATAGGTTTATGTAGCCTGCTGCAGCAAAGAATGACATACACATGAATGATCACGGAGTATTTCATAGGAGAAGCTAAGGAAAAGCTATTTTAGAATTTGACAGGCTGAAGTTAATCATAAGCTTGTTTTGGCAAGGATTCTCCAAGATACAGGAAATAGGCAAAGTGCTGGACTAGTCAGTGATCTCACCATTAGAGTACATGGGTTCATGTAGAAATGGAGGGAAGTTTTTCTGTTGTTCTTTGATTTCCTGGAGCATATGGGTCTGATAAAGCTGATATTAAAAAATCTAATTACAGATAGTGTGGCATGTATATTATGGTTTTGTTTGATAGATTTATTTTGTGAATAATAAATCAGTCTATTTTGCAAGTCATGATTTCTGCTTAAGTTCTCATCCCCACCCTCAACCCACGTATGCATACCCTTGCTATCACCAGGTACTTTTTTATTTCATTAGTTCCGCATCTGGTGGGCTTTCAGGCTAAGCTAAAGGACAAACCATCCCCTCCTGGGGATATGATCAATCCAAACTTGCAACACTGTTCACTCAGTGGTTAGTAATCTTGTATCATGTTGTAACAGTGTATTTTCACCTCTTCAAGTGGAATTAGTCATGTTGTTTCTTCTTTAGTGATCTTTTTTCCGTCATCTGGTGTGACAGTGAATTCACATAACCTGGTCATTATCAATGAGTCGTGCAGTACTATGACTTCAGGAGAGGGGTATCTGCTAAAAATTCAGAACCTTTTTCCAGTAGGGGGAAAGAATATAGAGAATAAAGAACAAAAACTTGCAAATAAGCGTATTGCAATTAGAGGCTTCTGGATCAAGGCAGTTTTCTGAGGTCCTTTGGCGGAAGGAGTCTGCTCGGTGGGGTTATTGGCTTATCCCGAGTTGTCTATTCCTGTGGACCATCTGCTTCTGAAGAGTCACCAGAGAACCTCAGGGTATGTGGGTTTTGGTTTGGAAGTGTGTTAGTTGGCCTTGTTTTGTTTTGCCATTTACTGTTGGAAAATGAACACTGTTGTTGTGTCTGGGAAACAAGTATTCAAGAATCAATCCATCAGAGTTTTACTATTGTGTGAGTTATTAACAATACCTGTTAACTCCAAAGATGTCCAAGTATAGGCTTTCTCTGAGGATGTTTTCAAAATGCACAATCATTTAACATCATGTAGAAGCTGCATAGCTGGCCAGTAAGGGGAGGTGCTCCTATATTGCTGATAAGATGTAATGGCTCCCTCTGATTTACTATATTGTCATGAATTATCACAATAGAAGAAGACCATATCTTCTATTAAGGTATTTCATAAAACTGATTCATAAGAATTTAGTCTATGACTCTGCTAGGCATAAAAATGTGTCACGGAGAGTGAGAACATTGACAGAATCTCTAGGTCATTTTATTCATCCTGCAAAGATTACCCTGAATTTCATCAACTGACAGACATGTTTAAGCCTGGAGAGAAAAATATTTTAATAAATATTTATTGCATCAGTCTTCCTGCCTAAAAATAAATATGTTTCCTTCAACCTGAAAAGTACACAATTGTTCAAAAATATTTAAATGAATTTGTTGAATGAGAAAGGAAGTGTTAAAGGTGAATTGGTCAGAATGGGGCATCAGAGCTTTCTGTATATTCAGTGCTCCTCTAAAGGCATTCTCTTGGTATTAAAAACAAAAACAAAAAAAACGCCAAGGCCTGAGAAGCAGGAATTTTGGGGAAAAAATACATATTAAATGACTAGCATTCAAAAAAGAGGAAGCTCTACCACATCTTACAGTTGTAAAAATAAATACGTAAGAGTAACCCAAAGTGGATGTTATTAGACTTGGTAAATGTGTGATGATGAATCTGTATTGTAGTCACACAGACACATACTGAAATATTGATTTTTGTTTTCTCTGATAAAAATATAGACCTGAGCTCTAAGTTTACTTCTTAGTAAGATGCAATTTATTCCTTTGCGATGACCTCTTTGGGCATTTTTGTGTATGTGTGGATATTTACATTTAAATAACCATGAATAATCATCATATGACATCTCTACAAGGTGTTTTGTTTTTGACTGTGTCAAAAATGACATAGTCTCAAAAATAAATTTAAGTATATTATCTAGTATGTATTTTAAATCGATATAATTACTAAGGCGATTATTATTAAATATATTTTAATTTGTAACCCTCTCTTAGACAAAATAAAATACTTTAACATTTAACAAATATAGCCGCTAATTGACTTTTATTCTTCAAGCCATTTATTATGGTAAATATTAGTTTGCCACACAAATTAGGATAAAGAAACAGACTTTAATTAAAGACATTGAATACAACATACATATAAACATGTTCTGAAATTAGCCATTCTTCTTTTTTTTTTTTTTTTTTTTTCGAGACAGAGTTTCACTCTTGCTGCCCAGGCTGGAGTGCAATGGCATGATGTCGGCTCACTGCAACCTCCACCTCCCGGGTTCAAGCAATTCTCCTGCTTCAGCCTCCCGAGTAGCTGGGAATACAGGCATGTGCCACCACGCCCGGCTAATTTTGTATTTTTAGTAGAGATGGGGTTTCTCCATGCTGGTCAGGCTGGTCTCGAACTCCCGAACTCACGTGATCCGCCCACCTCAGCCTCTCAAAGTGCTGGGATTACAGGAATGAGCCACCACGCCCAGCCTAGCCGTTCTTAAAAATAGTGGATGTCACAAATTTTCTATCATATATGAAATACTAATTTATAATTATTCAGGATAGTGAGGGAGATTATGCTTTGGGTATCTCAGAAAAAAAATAAAATATGCATTATGTAAACAAATGTATAACATATTTAACATATGTATAATGAATCTTGGAATGATTGAACATAGCAGGAAACACTGTAATTTCTGTATAACTAAAAATCTCACTAGCAAAGACACAAAATACTTTTATTGTTCTCATAATAAAATGTATGAAATCAACTCTATGTAGTTTTAAGACTATGAACAATTTGAGAATTAGTTACAAATCTTATTAAAGAGTGACAGCAGCAAGATGGCAGAATAGAATCCCCCAGAATCACTCTCCAAGCAAATTACAAATGGAAACTATTTTCAAAGAAAAGAATAACACTAACATTCTGAGTTCACCAGAACTCTAAGGAGAAGCAGAGAAATCCACTGGGCCCACAGAAACTGGAAAAATCACCACCAGTAAGAGAAACAATCATTTAGACTACATGACCCCCAAACCCAGCTGCAACAGCACTAATCAGAGAGAACTTCCATAAACCCAGAGTCTCCTAGGTGAGACAAAGGAATTGGAAGTGGATCTTAGAGCTCTCCCCCAGTCTGGGAATCTTCGTGGGAAGTCCACTCTGGGCCTGTCCCACAGGAATCACTGGGAGTGCCAGAAGAGCTGAATCACCTGGGGTGAATGGGGGACAAAGAGCAGGGCACCGATTGCAGCAACTGGTGTGTGGATCTTAGTAGCTTCTCTGCATTTCAGTCAGCAGGGACATCGCATCGAAGAGATAATGCTGCAGGGGGCACAATGAAAGCGGCGTTCAGAAAGGCCCGCATCCCTGGCTAGATTTTCCACAGAGCCCAAATGCATGCATGGAGCCTGCTCCTTGCCTGGAAACAATTAAAAGATCAGATCGGTGTTAAGTTCTATATGCTTATCAAAATATCACATGTACCTTGTAAATAGGTACAATTATTATGCCTGGATTTTTAAAAATTGAAACAAGAAACAAAAACAAAACTTATGAATTGTGTCTCAGTCCTTAGAGGACTAAATGCTTTTGTTAGCTATCAGGCACACAAGTGTGTTAACCGTAATTATCTTAGTTTAGATGACAGTAGTCAAACCTTACAGAAAGCCCTTTTCTTATAATCATTCTGGTTTTGTTTTGTTTTGAGACAGAGTCTCTTGCTCTGTCGCTAGGCACGATCTCGGCTCACTGCAACCTCCGACTCCCCGGTTCAAGCGATTTTCCTGCCTCAGCCTCTCCAGTAGCTGGGATTACAGGCACACGCCACCACACCCAGCTAATTTTTGTATTTTTAGTAGAGATGGGGTTTCACCATGTTGGCCAGGATGGTCTCCATCTCCTGATCTCGTGATCCGCCCCGCTCGGCCTCCCAAAGTGCTAGGATTACAGGTGTGAGCCACCGCTCCCGACCTAATCATTCTTAATCTAATCATGCCAACCATGTTTTTTAAAGATTACTTATTTTGTATTTTTCAGATAAATGTTGTTAACCAATACATATGTTTCTTTTGTTTTGCATTTAGCTGTAATATGGTAATAGGCCTCCAACGGTAAGACCAATACTTTTTATTCACTTGAAATTCTGTTTGCAAAAAGGCAGTAATGAAGTTCAATAATTTTTATTAATTCATCACAACTTCAGTTTATGTTTTATCTGTGTGTGTTTGTGTGAATATATAATTTTGTGCTTTTGTGACACTTCCTTAAATGCATACATGAAAGAAAATTTAATATGATCAAGATTTTATTAAAATAGTTTAGTTATATGTGGAAGGGATTGTTTAGGAAATAAGGCAGCTATCATAATTCATCACTACCTAATGCAAAGCACCATTAATAACAGTTGAATGGCTATAATTTTATATATGCAGATCATCACTATTATAACAGGTATATCATTTTTTTACTTGGTAGAAATCTTTTGAGATGAAGTTATAAGCAAAAACGATATTTTAAAAGTCTGCACTGTGTAACCAAAGCTACAGACATAAATCTTTTGGGGAAGAAATACTTCATTTATGAGTGTAACACCTTATAATTTTTCATAAATTTCCCCAGGTACTTATTTTTTATATAATTTCACCAAATGACGTAATTCCCTTTCTTATAAACATTCCTAGAAATACCATATATAAGACAAGCACTCTTACCACAAGATTTATTAAGGAAAATTCTTATTTAATCTAATCATGCCAACCATGTTTTTTAAAGATTACCTTATTTTGTATTTTTCAAATAAATGTTGTCAACCAATATATATGTTTGTTTTGTTTTGCATTTAGCTGTGATATGGTAATAGGCCTCCAATAGTAAGACCAATACTTTTTATTCACATGAAATTCTGTGTGCAAAAAGGCAGTAATGAAGTTCAATAATTTTTATTTATTGAGGAAAATTCTTATTTTCCTTAATAAACTACATAAAGATGCAATTTTCCTGGTACCTTTGAGAAATACTTGCTTTGGTGATCCAGGTTGAGGTCTCCAGCATCTGAACTTCCTGAACTTTCTTCTTCACGAGTGCTTACATTTAGTGACAATATCATTATTGCTTCCCCACTGTCCCTGGAAAGTTCTCACAAAAGTTGTGTAAACCCTATACACTAAACCACTTTATCCTCAGGATAATTTGAGTAAACTTATTCACTTGAATAAATCCATACTGTTACCAAAACCCCAATCAACCAAACTTGCACTGCAGTAAAGTGGGTAGTTATATGATACATTCCAACAACCGAATACTATACAGATTGGATAGTCAACTGGAGCCAATTTTGTCCCTCCTTGAAAGTAGGAATGTCTACAGATATTTTGATTGTTCCAACTTGAGGGGGCTGCTACTGGCATTTAATGAGTAGAGGCCAGGGAAGCTGCTAAACATCTTAACATACATAGGATGAACCTGACTAATAAAGAATTAACCAGTCCAAAAGGTGGAATAGTACCACGGTTGACAAATCTGCTATATAGCCGTGAAAGACACATAGTTTGATTGTGCTACTGCACTCAACATCCAGAGAGAATCTCACAGACATAATGTTGAATAAAGGAAGTCAGATTACATCAATATCTAACCCATGATTTAATTTATATGAGATATAGAAATTGCTAAAAATAAATCTCATGGACTCATTTGTGTTGGGTGTATATGGAAGAGTGGAACTGCTGGGTCATAGAATATGGGGATGCTCAGCTTTGAATATATTGCCAAAGGATTTTCTAAAGCTGTTGCATCAATTAATTTATACTCCCATCAGCAGTGTGTAAGATTTCCAGTTGCCTTGCATCCTGGATATCACTGCGTATTTTTAATTTTTTGTTTTGTTTCATTCTTAGCCATCTGGTAGGTTTGTAACGGTATTTTATTGCGGTTTAATTTTTATTGTCCTGATTTAGATCTAGAGCTAGATAGATCTGGCTGTGGTATCATTGTTATGTATGTGTCACAAATATCTTCTCCCACTCAGGCTTGTGTTTTTTGGATTTTTTTGAGACAGTGTCTCTCTCTGTCGCCCAGGCTGGAGTACAGCAGAGTACACTGGAGTACAGTGATCTCTGCTCACTGCAACCTCTGCCAACCGGGTTCAAGTGATTCTCCTGCCTCAACCTCCCGAGCAGCTGGGATTACAGATGCCCGCCAACGTGCCTGGCTAATTTTTGTGTTTTTTAGTAGAGACAAAGGGTTTTGCCATGTTGGCCAGGCTGGTCTTGAGCTCCTGACCTCAGGTGATCTGCCTGCTTTGGCCACTCAAAGTACTGGGATGACAGGTGTGAGCCACCACACCTAGCCTCAGGCTTGTCTTTTAATTCTCTGAATGTTGTATTTTTTTCTAACTCTTGCATCCAGAGATAATAGTAGAGTCATATGCAGTCCTAAGAAATAATACAGAGACTTCCTGTATAAACTTTCTTCAGCTTCCCCCAATGATAACACTGTATAAAATCAGAGTATAATATAAAAAAAATTGACCTTGATACAATCCACCAATATTGTTTCGATTTCACAAGTTTTACACATACTCACTTTGTGTATATATTGAGTCTATGTAAGTTTATCTTTTAATAGATTCATGTGACCACCAAGAGTTATATCACAAAAGACCATGTGCTACACATTTATAGCCAAAGCCACCTCCCATTCTCAAATCTCCTAACCCCTGGCCACAATAATCTGTTTTTCATGTCTATAATTTTGTCATTTTTTTACAATGTTATATACATAGAATCACATATAACCTTTTGAGAATGTCTTTTTCAAAATTCCCTTGACATCTCAACGTATAATTGTGTGTGTCAGCAATTTTATTTGATGCATTTGGGTGTTTGTTTGTTTGTTTACATTTCTTTTAATTGTGCTTCTTGAATTGCTTGTTATTCTATGGTGTGGATGTCCCACAAAACCTCTAGGAAGACCCAACCCTTTTGATACCTTGATTTCAAACTTCTATAATCCAGAACTGAGAGACAATACATTTCCTTTGATTAAGCCACCAACTTTGTGGTACTTTGTTATGGCAGCCCTACCACACTAATAAATTAACTCTGACTTGTATCTGTTTTACACGATTGAGAGAAGACTGTTAAAATGACTATACATGAGTGAGGAGAATGTTAAAATCTCCTTGTTATTTTATCTCCTTGTTATTTTTTCTTTAACTTTTGTTAGGTTTTGCCATGTATATTTTAAACTACCATTGCATACACACAAATTTAGAATTGTAATGTCTTTCTGTTGAATTCATACATTTATCATAATGAAATATGCCTACGTATTTCTTATACTATTTCTCACCATAAACACTACTTTATCTGGTATCTGGTATCGTTACACAAGATTGGTTAATATTTTGCATAATATGGAATTCTCCATTGTCAGTTATTGCTTTCAGAACTTGAAAAATGTGATTCCTTTTCCTTCTTTCTTTCATTGCTTCTGCTAAAAAAACAGCTGCCACTCTTTTTTTCTTTCTTTCTCTCTGTTAAGGGAAATTTTTTTTTTCCGGCTGCTATGAAGATTTTATTTTTCTCTTTAGTTCAGCTATTTTATATGATGCATTTACATGTGATTTTCTTTGTATTTCTTCTAATTGGGGTCCATCATGCTTCTTGCATTGTATATTTGATGTCTATGCCTATCTTGGTAAATTTGCAGGAAATATTATGTCAAATATTGCTTCTGCCCTAGTCTTCTTACTCTGGAACTCAAATTACATTTTTAAAAAAGATCTGTTCATTGTATTCCCTAAATTTTACATGCCTTTCTGAATTTCCCATCCTATTTCTATACGTGTTTCAAGTATTCTGACTTTTTTCAGTTTGCTATTTCTCCTGCAATGTTTAATACATTAATAAGTCTAGCTTTTTAATTCTTATATTCAATTATTCTATTTCCTTAGTTTGAAAATGATAAGTTGACTTATAGATCCCAGTCCTCCAATAAGTCTACATCTTTTATTTTTTAACTTAATAATCATTATTAAAGTCCCTTATTTATAAATAATTAGACTACCTAGATCACCTGTGGATCTATTTTGATAGTCTGTATTTTTAATTTTGGTTTCCATACATTTTATAGACATGTCTGGTCATTTTTAATTAATGACATACATGGTATATAATAATTGGGGAGTCCCTGATTTATACTCTTTCTCAAAAGAGGGCTAATCTTCGTGCATGCCTAGAGTATTTTGGCAGATCACCCTGATCTAGTCAAAGGAAGGTATGAAGCTTTCTTAAAGTTGGGCTTTCTTTGGTCAACTCTTACCTCTAAGGCATAAACCTTGCTCTTAGGTTATATCCTTTCTGCGATCTTAATTGAAAGCTGAGTGCTCATGGGGGTCATTCAATTTGTTCATCTCTACACTTTTGCTTCATTTTCCCTATAACCAAGACTGTTGGAATATTTGTTCAATTCTTTAGATCTCAAATATGGCTTGCTATTTGTTTTCTGGTGTCTTTTCCTGAACACCACACAGGAAGTGTGTGGTGGAAGGAGGTGTGGAGGAAGTGACCAAAGGCCTTCACGCAGTCTCTCACTTCCCTGCAGTTACTTTTTCCCTAAAATTCAATTGTTCTTGGAGGGTCCAAACGCCACCTTCTGTTTCCTCAGCACAATGAGACTTTCGTGACCCCAGGCTTTCGACTTCTGCTCTGCCACCTCACCCATGGCATTGACAAAGCCCTGAGGAAAATCTCAGAGATAGATAAATATAGGACTCACATAAATCTGCCTCCCTTGTTTCCAGAATTTGTAGCCCCGTAGTTCTGTCTGCCATGGTGGTTCCCTAATGCTTTAAAAGAGTGGACTCACGTACTAATCTTTTCTATTTTTTAGGGGAGGGTTAGTCTCACACAAGCTGCCTTGTTATAGAGGACATTGGAAACCACTGGATTATGTGAGTTTTTCATCTGTTGAATAAATGTGGTATTCCTGAATGCTGACAAATATCTGGTATACTTATCTCAATCTGTAGGATCACTATTTTCTCCTTTTCTATTCCCAAATTTGCTGTCACTTATTCACTGTTTCCGACAGGTTTACGACACCTTACCTTTAGGCAGCTAGAAAAGTTGCCAGAACCAATTTAACTTAAAAGTTTTTTAAAAAATAATTGTGATGTTTCCAGAGTAACACAATGAATGCCCCTCCCCAATTCAGCAGCTTAGAATTTCATGGTAAACCGATTCCATATTTGGTATAACAATTTTTTATTATTATTATTTTGAGACGGAATCTCACTCTGTCGCCCAGGCTGGAGTGCAGTGGCGCGATCTCAGCTCACTGCAAGCTCCGCCTCCCGGGTTCAAGCGCTTCTCCAGCCTCAGCCTCCCGAGTAGCTGGGACTACAAGGCACGTGCTATAACAACTTCTAACACTTATAATAAGCATATTTTCCTTTAAAAATATCCAAACATGTTCTTAGAGAAACAATCTTTGAGCATTTTTGTATGGTCCTTTCATGATGCTACATTAAGCCTATGTTGAAAATATGTGAGTAAGTAACCCTCAGGAAGTCAGTAGAACATGTTAAGTGCTCTGAGCTGGGTTATTTAAAGTCCACTGTCAAGGCCGGGCGCGGTGGCTCACGCCTGTAATCCCAGCACTTTGGGAGGCCGAGGCGGGCGGATCACAAGGTCAGGAGATCGAGACCATCCTGGCTAACATGGTGAAACCCCGTCTCTACTAAAAATACAAAAAATTAGCCAGGCGTGGTGGCAGACACCTGTAGTCCCAGCTACTCGGGAGGCTGAGGAAGGAGAATGGCGTGAACCCGGGAGGCAGAGCTTGCAGTGAGCAGAGCTTGCAGTGAGCCGAGATCGTGCCACTGCACTCCAGCCTGGGCGACAGAGGGAGACTCCATCTAAAAAAAAAAAAAAAAAAAAAAATCCGCTATCAAAAAGTACTTGAACTGTCTATAACTCAGCTAGCTCAAGACATAATCACATAGTGGAACTTTACATCCCATATGCTAAAGTAGCTCATTGAACAAAAAAGGTGTACTAATGTCTACTATGCAGAGAAATCCACTGCTAATATTTTGACTCTCAGCCCAGTGTAATCTGCAGAGTCTGTCATGGTAAACATGAGTTTTCAAAAAATTATCCAGATAAATCAGCCCATGAGAGATTGTTTCCTACAATGAAGGCTTTCTTATCAAAGAAAATGTTTGCCATGAAAAATGGGAGGAGGTAGGGGTGTTGGGGTATAAAAACTTAGAAATAGATTATTCTACTTACAATTGCACTGGGTTTCATTCCTATTCATGCCTATGAAATAGGAATGCAAGTTTATGGGGATCTGCAAGATAGATCAGCACTTTAAATCGCATCTGTTCAGTTTTACTGCAAGCTGATGTCTTATTAAAACCAAACAACAGCATACTTTAGAGCCAAAAATTATTACAAGACCGCCACACCAGGAAAAATATGAAACAAACAAAACAAGATATAGTGAATAGAGCTACTTATTAAGCATGAAAATGATCCTCATCTGGGATTATTTGGATGCAATGTTAGAGGCTTTTTATTCCTCAGTTGTCATTCCTGCAATAAATACTAAATTACAGTTGTATTTTTCCTAGTAATACACAGAGATCCCATCTTAGAGCAAGAATTGGAGGAAGTATTATAGACCTGGATGATTTTTATAAAAGAGAGGAAAAATAGAAAAAAGGTTGATTTATGAAGCAGTAAGTAAAAAATAATGACACGCGTTATATATGGAAGTTGGAAGTAATCTCAGAGCAACTATTTTAAAGAAACTGTATTTTGTTTTGTTTTTTTTTTTCAAGCATGGAGGCAGGATAATAAGCCCAATACAGACTTAGCTCAAATTCTAACAGATTTCAATAAATTGCTTGTATAGGGCCAAAAAAAAGGAAGCATCTATTTCATAATGTCAAGAAATACAAACCCCAAATCTTGAAAATGAACAGTTTTATTTATTGGTGAAGGCACTTTATGCAGCTAACTTATGGAGGAGATTAATCTATTACTATAATTTTTATGATTTTAATAAAGTAGAATTTACTTTTGTGAAACATCCTATTATTAATCATTGGAAGGTGTTACATTATTTTAATTAAAATAAATGACCTGATAATGCGTGAATATATGAAATCATGAATAGTTAATCGTTCAAAATGCAATGATATTGTGAAGTACCTGTCTCAAAATCTGTGGTCAAATGCATGTACATAAATATAATTGCCTTGAAAATTTTGGATATTCCTCTCTTGGTAATTTAACAAATAATCATCAATTTTATTTGGAACTATAGACTTCATTAGCTTTATTCCTATTGATAACTTTAAAGTTTGGTCTGAATTCAGAATTAATGGACAGCTTGCTAGGAGACTAACTTAACAGAACTTCATATCTGGAATAACTACAGAAATGTGCAAGGTTGTGAGGTTAAACCTGATGGAACTAACTTAATATTCTTCAACTGACAAAGAATAAGAGAAACTTAATGGGAAACATTTTTTTAAAAGTGAGACATCTCATGATGCCAACACTGAAGTTCAGTAGAGGGAGGCCTACTAGGTTTTCACTTATTAATCAATGCATCCATTCATTATGGGGCAGTCATCTACAAATATTTATTTACTATCCACTGTATTATAAACTAGGTTTCTTATACCTCACTCCAGCCTGCCTTGATCACTTGATCATCAACATGTTTCTTTTATTTTGCCTATATTAACTTCTATTAAAGTTTTCAAATTTTAAAACAGTGATATCCTCTGTTTGAGGATCCCAGTCCCAAAATAGACATGCTTTCATCTAAAAAATGTTTCTCTACCTAATATGAAAACACCAAATAATATGTTTTCCTTAGCCTTCTTGGGGTGCTAAAACAAAATACCAAGACTTGATGTCTTAAGCAATAGATACTTGTCTTTCACAGTTCTGGTGACTGGAAAATCCAAGATCAAGATGATGGCAGATTTATTTCCAGATGAGGGTCTAATTCCCAGCTTGTAACTACCTTCTAGCTGTGCGTTCACATGGCCCTTCCAAGGAGCTCTCTGTCTCCTTCTTCTTATAAGGGTAATAATCTCATCATAAGGCTCTCTGTCTCAAGATCTAAACCTAATCACCTCCCAAAGGCCCCACCTCCAAACACCATCACATTGGGGGTTAGGGCTTCCACATAAGAATTTGGGGGAGCCACCATCATTCAGTACATAGTAATCTTTATTAAGATTTTATTAAGTTCTTAATATGTCTCCCATTTTTCTTAATTTCCATGAGTTTGTCTTTCTGAAAACATTATCAAATGCCTACTATGTCCTAGGAACTGTGATAAATACAAGACATGGAGCTTGAACCTTTCAAGATCATGAAGAATTTACAATTTTGTGGCAGATAAATTGTTACAAATTACCATAGTACTGGTTATAGCACTGAAATATAAATATTTTTTAAATTATATAAGAACACAAAAGACAAACTAATTAATTATGACTGGAGTACCCAGAACAAGGAAAGGTTTACAAGAAGAGTTAAGAATTAACCTAAGTCATAATCCATGCCCAGTGGAGGCAAGTGGAAAACATTTAGCAGGCAATATGGGCAAAGATCACTTTTATGCAAACAGATCATGTCATTTGGAAATGATCTACTTAGAAATGATGAATAGTGTTGTGAAGCTATATCCAAAAGTGTGTGATGTTTACTCACCCACATCCTTTTTGGTACTTACAGAAGGTAAGAATGGAAAGGGATGTTTAGATCCAACTATAAAGTGTCATAAATGGTACAACAAAGAGCTCAGGATCAGACTATAAAGTGTCATAAATGGTCCACCAAAGAGCTCAGGCTGTGTCTGGTAGACAATGGGAAACCAACCAAATTTTTTAGGTGGTAAATAAGTTAGGTTAACAAATTATTAGAATATTAAAATAATGGCTAATATGTATGCTTTTGATATGCCTTCTCTGTACACTTCTATAAACTTTACATGCAATAACATTTATTTCATGCTCACCACAACTTTATAAAGTAAAAACTGGTATTTTCTTCAATTTGTAGATGAAGAAATTAAGGACTAGAATCACTGGTGCAAGATCACACTGGGGAAAAGTGACAGAACCAAATTTCAAACTCCAGTCTTTCTGCTTCTAGAGATTGAACTACTAACATCTGCATTATATAAAATTAAGTCTCTCAAGGTAGTTTGTGAAACGTAACATACAAATAAGTGATTAAAATTTTTGGTGATACCCTCTTGTTCCTCTTTCTTCAACACCCTAGATTTGAGATATTCTTGTTTTAGAGTATGGGGGTCAGAGTTGTGGGGGACAATAGACATCTATTGAACCTCTCTAAACATTTTTCTTGAACACAAATAACTAGAAGCAATAAGGGAAAGCTAAATAATATCTCCCATAAAAAAATCTATTACTACACACCACTGGATTTAATGCTTGCTCTAAAAAATTATTGATATGCTCAATATCTTCCTTTTAATTTACCAAGCAGCTTCCAGAGAATTTAGGTGAGGTAGATAATAAAAGAGATAATAAGTGGCACATGAAAGGTGATGAAGTTTAAATTTAAGAACATATTTTGAAAATCCTGCTAATAAATGTTGACTATTTCCAGGCTCTTTATTCATCTTGTAGTACAGCAACAAGATGGCAGCATTACCAGCAATTCAAAATAGATACAAATTTAAAATGATGTTATTTGATATATAGCCATGAAGAAGGATCTTTGTTCCATTTTATTATCTGTTTCCTATGGTTAATAACCTTAAATATTGCCTTGATTCTATCCACTCTGTTCTTGATGTATAATTTCCAAACTCAAAGCTAGATTGAGGCATACGATTCTCACTCTTACATACGTTTTTCTTTCTGAAAAATGTTTTTTATTGTGAAAACATATTTTTCCTGATCCTTGTTTAAAACCATGACACAAATTAATCAATCTACCTCCACACCATCTGCGGCCCCCTAAAAAGAAGCATAACTTTTCATCAAAGATTAGCACATTACTCATCCAACTAGATTATAGAAATGATAAAAACCCATGTCAGCAGGCTCTTAGGGTGTTCAGTGGTTACGTTAGAGAAGTTGTAAAATAATACAATTATTGGATGATGATGTGATATTATCTTATAAATATTTATCCAACTAATAACCTTATAAATTGATAATTCAAGAATTTATACTAATGTATCATTTCCATATCAAATAATTATTTTAATAGGCATCAATGTTTTATATAAAATTCTAATCTGAGAACTTAATATAAACCTGAAATTGTAACGTCATTGAATATTAGAAGTTCCAGTTGTACACAATTGCTCTCCTTTCTATTACAATCTTTCTTTTTTTTTCTTTTCATTCTCAGTTCTCACATACAGGCTATATAAATTAGAGTTGCCAAGGAACAAATATCACTAAAGCTAACCAATACATAAATAAGCAAATAAATTAAATTAATGCAATAAAAGGAACAAAATAGAAATAAAAGGAAATACTTGTGGAAACCCAGCTTTGGTATTACATTAAAACAGCTACCATCCAATCCACACTTTAATTTGCTATATTCTCTTTAATCCCTTTTAGTATAATGGCATAATTCAAGTTAAACAGTAAATTAAAACTATGTAACAAAAGCAAAGCCAAGGTATTTAAGGTTGAAGATCAAAACTAAGAAATGCACAATAGAATATACGAATATTTCTTATAACTAAGTGATCAGGGGAAGAGAAAATACTTGGGATTTGACTTAATTTTCAAGATTGAACAGGCTATATGTGGAGCAAATAATTCAATCACAAAGGAAAGAGCCATCAGCTTGTACCTAGTTTGCATAAAAGCCATATCATTGCATATTACAATGTTCCACAATATTCTGACTATTTTATAAACAACCACAGTTCTTTATATGGAACCTTGAATTCCAGTCCACTGCAAATTAAAATACTATCATTATTGAGTTGATTTTTTCCAAAGACATCAAAAATATTTATCACCTCCCTACGACTTTGATATCAAAATAAGGAGACTTTTCCACTTTAAGCCACTTTACATAGATAATTTCTTTGAGTTCAAATCAATGTAAAAATTGTCTGGTTAACCAGCATCACACATTAATTAATAATTTAAGAGGTAGAGTTTTTGAGTTTGGCTTAATGTGTATTTTATATTAGAATAGCATTAGCACATAATTTAGAACTGGTATTAGCTTTTTATAATTAGGTGGCACTGCCTGCCTTATTTGATTAACTTTAAAGTATTGCAAAATCTAATTAACAGAAGGTATCTAAAACAAAGTTTCATTGAAATCTGAAAGCATGCTTTAAGTAGAATTGCTCTATAGTAATATAAACTCATTTATGTATAAAAATGTATATGCTTTAATATACATAAATATATACTTTCTAAAGCCAAAGAAAAAGTAGTGTAGGGGGACACATGAAATTCTTCAGAATGGTTCCTTCTACAAAGAACGGGTATGTTTGTATATGCATCTGTGAGTGGAGAAAGCTTCTACTTTTTTATTCTACTTTCTCTATTTTCATTTTTATATAAAAACTTATATTTTTATGTATTACATATGTAATATTTTCATAGAAGAACTTAGAGTGAAGAATCTATGGTAATCTCTCACAGGTCAGACTGGAAAGGCAGTGAAACCAACTTTCAGTCAACTCTTCCAGTGTGTAAGTTTACTGAGGGCAGGGAATTTTTTTATTTCTATGCATTCTCTCCTTGATGCCAGTGGAGTAATTTATACAAAATAGGTTTTTGATAACTGAACATATTTGAACACATAAGTGAAGAAATAAATACAAGTCAGCAGCAGATAATGATCAGAAAATCTGACCTTGCAATTATCACAGAAGAGTTACTGTGAAATGCAAAAACAAGGGCCTGTGACTGGAGAAGAGCACAGGCATTATTACTCAGCAGCAGAGTCCCAGTGCACAGGGTGTTGGAATTGAACTAGAAATAAAGTCTTGAAGAAACCAGGAGAGGAACTCCGTCCTGGAAGCAAGAAGACACATTCTGTTCCTACAAGTCTTAAATGGGTCTAGCAATTGAAACTTCGTCATAATAAACAAGGTTGAAAAACTATGCCCATTAAATAGATGGCATCAAGGTTGATGCAGTGCTGAGTTTAGGGAGAAGAACGAAATTCCTCTTTGTCTTTCTGCTCCCAGAAAATGACCTGGTCACAGGGCCTTTGTTCAATATGAAGCCAGCCACCATAAATTAAGCCATTGCAGGATATACAGCAGAATTAGAAAGCCAGAAAAGAGACCTGTCTCCCCACCCAGCCCAACTCCCTCAATCTATAAGATATATGTGAAACCAGCAGTACAATAGTAGAGGTGACGAAAACGGATTCTAGAGGGGAGATTTTCACTTGTCATGTCTTCCAGCCTGCTAGAATAATAGAGAAAAATGTTTAGTGTTTTGGACATGTCCCAAATGTTTTCAGTATTTTCCCACTCCTACTGCTATTTCTGTAATTCAGGGCTAATCATTCTTTGACAATACTATTTCAGTCTTGTGCTAACTGGCCTCCCTGAGGCCAGTCTATCCCTCCTCCAATCCAAACACTATACCGCTCCTACACTCACATTTCAAAAACCTCAAACATCATTACCTGTTTGAATTTCTCAATAACTCCCTGTTACACACCAGAAGTTTAATTTTTTTTTTCTTCGCGATGGAGTTTTGCTCTTGTCGCCCAGGCTGGAGTGCAGTGGTGCGATCTCAGCTCACTGAAACCTCCACCTCTTGGGTTCAAGTGATTCTCCTGCCTCAGCCTCCCAAGTAGCTGGGATTACAGGCACCTGCCACCATGCCTGGCTAATTTTTGTATTTTTAGTAGAGATGGTGTTTCATCACGTTGGCCAGGCTGGTCTCGAACTCCTGACCTCAGGTGATCCGCCCGCCTCGGCCTCCCAAAGTGCTGGGATTACAGGCATGAGCCACCACTGCACCCGGCCCAGAAGTTCAATTTCTTAAGGTGTCATAGTAGGTCTGAGTGGATTAAAATGCTGTAGCTATAATTTAGTTATACACAGTGAAGTACAATACAATCTGTAGATATTAAGTTTTTAAACACTGAGGCAGAAATAGGAAATAATGTGATTAATTCTAAGGAAAAAAGTTCTCCTAATGAAAGACTTGAAAAAGAAAGATGACTATGATTGGAATAGAGATTGGAAAAAAATTGCTTAAGCAAAGATTAAGGCTGACTGAAGCAGTGAGTTGAAAATATGTTCATTTTAAGGAAACAGCAGACAATATAGTTAATTCGGATACAGACTGATGGAGTATTTCATGTTTTGATTGAAAAAAATGGATATAACTCATGAAAGAATAGGAAGTTTCAATGAGCTTTTGAGATCAAGGCAAATGATGTAATCAGCATTCTACAGCTCAAGTATAATCATGCATCACTTAATGATGAGGATATACTTTGAGAAACGTGTCCTCAGACAATTTTGTCATTGTGCAAACCACATAGAGTGTACTTACACAAACCTAGATGGTGTAGCCTACTACACACCTAGTATATGGTATAGCCTATTACTCCTAGGCTACAAATCTGTACAGCAGGTTACTCTACTAAATACTGTAAACAATTGGAACACAATAGTAAGTATTTCTGTATCTAAACTTATCTAAACATGGAAAATGTACAGTAAAAATATGGTAGAAAAGATAAAAAGTGGTACACCTGGACAGGGCACTTACCATGAATGTGGTTTGCAGGACAGGAAGCTGCCCTGGGTGTGCAAGTGAGTGAGTGGTGAGTGAATGTGAAGGCCTAGGACATGACTGTACAACACTGTAGACTCTGTAAACACTGTACACTCAGACCACGCTACATTTATTTTAAAAATTCTTCTTTCTTCAATAATAAATTAACTGTGGCTTACTGTAACTCTTTTGCTTTATAAACATTTTAATGTTTTAAACTTTTTGACTCTTTTGAAGAAACACTTAGCTTAAAACACAAACACATTGTACACCTGTACAAAAATATTTTCTTTATATCCTTATTTTATAAGCTTCTGCATATTTTTTTATTTTTTAAGCTTCTTTATTAAAAACTAAGATGTAAGCCTGGTACAGTGGCTCATGCCTGTAATCTCAGCACTTTGGGAGGCCGAGGTGGGCAGATCACCTGAGGTCAAGGGTTCAAGACCAGCCTGGCCAACATGGTGAAACCCCGTATCTACTAAAAATACAAAACTTAGCTGGGCATGGTGGCATGCACTTGTAACGCCAGCTACTTGAGCAACTGAGGCCAGAGAATCGCTTGAACCTGGGAGGAGGAGGTTGCAATGAGCCAAGACTGCGCCACTACACTCCAGCCTGGGCGACAGAGCAAGACTCCAAGACTCCGTCTAAAAAAAAAAAAAAAAAACAAAAAAACGAAGACACAAACACACACATTAGTCTAGGCCTACACAGGGTAAGGATCATCAGTATCACTGTCTTCCACCTCCACATCCTGTCCCACTTGTAAGTCTTCAGGGCACCAACACGCATGGAGCTATCATCTCCTGTAATAACAATGCCTTCTTCTGGAATACCTACTGAAGGACTTGCTATTTAACAGGCTGTTTACAGTTACCTGAGGCTATTTTAGAGTTAACTTTTTTCTAAGTAGAAAGAGAACACTCTAAGATAATGGTAAAAAGTTTTGTATAATAAATACATAACCATTTATTAGAATTATCAAGTGTTTTGTACTGTACATAATTGTATTGCCATACTTTTATATGACTGACAGTGCAATAGGTGTGTTTACACCAGCATCACTATAGAAATGTGAGTAATGTCTTGTGCTACAATATTACAATGGCTATGACAGCATTAGCAATAGCAATTTTTCAACTCCATTCATTATTACCTTATATTACCACTGTTGTATATGCAATCCATCCTTGACCAAAATACCATTATGACCGGTGCATGGTTGTATTCAATTAAGTTTCAATTGTATCTTGAGTTGGCCAGAAGTGGATTCAGTTTACTCCAATCTAACTAGACAGACTTACATGGATACGAGAAAGTGAACTTCTGGTTTAAAAAATAATAAACATCCCTATTACTAAGAGGCATTAGATGGGGGTGAAGTAAATAATAGGATTATGGTCTTTGCTCCTACATGTAATAAAGGTACATGTTCCTAGTTCAAGCACTTTCCTTCAGGATGGATGTGACTCATGGAAGAAATGACATTAGTGAGTGATGGATTGTAATTTTGCCATCAGGGAAACTTCATCTTTAGATTCCAGTACAAAAGGTTCAAATTGAGGCTCAAAACTAATAAAAACCAGCAAAATACAGACTACAAGAATCACACCCCATGTTCTCACTTTCTGTTACTTTCATTTTCAGTTACTACCACCTGGAGATGAGGGTTGTTTCTTACCGACTTACTTTTCAGTGACACTTATTAAAAGCCAGTGCTGGCTGGACACAGTGGCCCACACCTGTAATCCCAGCACCTTTGGAGACCAAGGCAAGAGGATTACTTGAGTTCAGCAGCTTGAGACCAGCCTGGGCAACGTAGGGAGACCTTGTCTCTACTAAAAGTTTAAAAAATTAACCAGGCATGGTGGCACATGCCTGAAGTCCCAGTTACTCAGGAGGCTGAGGTGGGAGGATTGCTCAAACCTGGGAGGTAGAGGCTGCAGTGAGCCATGATCAGGCCACTGCAATCCATCTTGGGAAACAGAGCAAGACCTCTGTCAAACAAACAAACAAACAAAAACACAATGCCTAATAGTTAATGGCTCAACTCTTTATTAAAGGAAAAAATATTTAGAAAAAAATATATGATACTAAAACACTCTGAACTTAGCATTCTTTGATGATCACATGGCAGCCATTTTTGCTTTATCCTACTACTTAGAATAATATGTAATATAGATCACATAAAAATATAAAAATCCTATATAAATTCTACTACTTAGGATCATATATAAATCATGTTTAACTTTCCTTTATTTCATAGCTAGTATATAGTGCAGTGTTTAAGACTGTGGACTCTAAAATCAGAACAATTGAGATCAAATCTTAGCTCTGCTACTTTCTGGCCATGTAATAACATGGCCCAATTATTTAACTTCTCTGATTTCAGTTTTCACATCTCTAAAGTGAGGATAATAAGGGATTCTACTTTACAGTTTATATGGATGAGTAAATGAGTCAATATCTATAAAAGATTTAGACACTGCCAGAGATATAAGAGCTCTCAAGGTGAGGAAAATCACAAAGTGTAATTTTAGGATTCCTCTATCGATATGTAATTATTTCTATTGTCCCTTCTGGGGAACCAGAAATCATCAATACCCTCCACATGGCTACATGGTCAAGTCCGAGTCTTCATCTTACTTAACTCACCAGCACTGGGAAACACTGTCTTCACTTGGCTTCCATTACGTGGTCCTCCTCCTGGTTCTCCTCCTCCCAATGCATCCCTTGGTCTTCTGCTTATTTCACCTTTTCTCAATTGTACAGGAAAGTACCATCAGGTTCAGTGCATCCCCTTTTATCTTTATGTAATTTCACCTAGATAATGATTTATGAATACACTGTTAAGTGATGTTTCCTACATTTAAATCTCCCAGACAGAACTGCCCCTTGAACTCAAAATTCCTATATCCAACTACCTAGAAAAGATCACCACATAAATGGCTAAGAGATAGTCCACCTTCAAAATCTTCCGAACTGAAAATTTGATCTTTCCCTATATCTGTCTTGCCGCAGTCTTTCTGATCTTATTTTACAGCAATGCTAACCTTTTAGTAGTTTAGGGTAAAAGTCTTGAAAATATCCAGGGTCCTCTTTTCTCTAAGGACAGATATCTAGTCCGTCAGTAAAATTTTGCTCCTACCTTCACTCCATATCCCACCAAATATGAGCATTTCATGGCATTTGTACAGCAACTATTTTGGTCTAGGCCTGCATCATCTCTTGCCTAGATTATTTCATCGATTTCAAATTGGCCTCCCTGCTTTCACCCTTCCCTCAATAGTGAGCTAGAAACTCAGTGGCCAAAGGGATAAAATGTAATTCCAATCATGTCACTCTTCTGCTCACAATCCTTGTTGCTCACAGTAAAAATGAAAGCCTTTCAAAGGTCCCACAAGGAAGGGCCCTGTCTGACCAGGCCTTGTTACTTCTCTATATCACCTGCTCCTCTCCTAATAAGTAATAAACAATAACAATGATAGTCCCTTTCATACCTAAAAAGAATAGATTGAGCAACACAAGCAATGCATCTATAACAGAATGAGAGAATCAAAAATTCTATGTCTCACATGGTTAAACAACTTGAGCCATTCCCAAATGGACTCGGCTGGGCGCAGTGGCTCACGCCTATAATCCCAGCACTTTGGGAGGCCGAGGCCAGCGGTTCACGAGGTCAGGAGATCGAGACCATCCTGGCTAACATGGTGAAACCCCATCTCTACTAAAAATACAAAAAAATAGCCAGATGGGGTGGTGGGCGCCTGTAGTCCCAGCTACTCGGGAGCCTGAGGAAGGAGAATGGCGCGAACCT
Organism: Homo sapiens; assembly: GCF_000001405.40. Taxonomy (NCBI): domain Eukaryota; kingdom Metazoa; phylum Chordata; class Mammalia; order Primates; family Hominidae; genus Homo; species Homo sapiens. The sequence goes on along the minus strand of NC_000004.12, from coordinate 177,678,343 downwards.
GGGAGGCGGAGGTTGCAGTGAGCCGAGATCGCGCCACTGCACTCCAGCCTGGGTGACAGAGCAAGACTCCGTCTCAAAAAAAAAAAAAAAAAGAAGAAGAAGAATAATATTATTCCACTCTTTCAATGGCCTTTTCTTTTTTCTAGAAGGCCACATATGGGAGAATACATGAAAATGAGTTTGAAAAAGTTACTAAAGATTTTATTATTTTGTCTGGTTTTTGCTGACTTTGCAAAAAACAAGATGGGTATTAGAAGGCAGAAAGAAAGAAAAAGTAGGAAGGAAGGAAGGAAGAAAGGAGGGAGGGAGAGAGGAAGGAGAAAAGAGGAAGAAGAGAGAGGGAGAGAGAGGGAAAGAAAGAGGGAAGGAAGATTGAGACGGGGAAGAAGAGGCCAGGCAGGCATGGTGGCTCATGCCTGTAGTCCCAGCATTTGGGGAGACTGAGGCAGGTGGAATACTTGAAGCCAGGAGTTTGAGATAAACCTGGCCAATCTGGTGAAACCCCAGGTCTACAAAAAATACAAAAAAATTAGCGAGGTGTGGTAGTGCATGCCTTTAGTCCCAGCTACTCTGGAGGCTGAGGTGGGAGGATCATCTGAGCCTGGGAGGCCCAGGCTGCAGTGAGCTGTGATAGGTCCACTGCACTCCAGCCTGGGTGCAGAGAGAGACTGTGTTTCAAAAAAAAAAAAAAAAAAAAAAGAGGGGAAGGAAGAGAGGAAGGAACCAAAGAGAGAAAGAAGGAAGGAAGATATAGATATGCTGCATGCCAATAAACCTAAAATTACTTTGCATAATATTTCTGTATTTATAATACATAAAGCAACAACTCATTCCAAAATAAATTTCACTAATCTATATGTCTTAAATATATGTAAAACCATATATACACTCAACTAAGTTGCAAAACATGTTAAATAATATCAAATATTTCAATATTGATACCTACTGACGCACTACAAGAGTTCCCTAACTGAAGAACTCTGATTATGATTCATAGTAACTAACATATTCTGAAATAATTTATCTATAAATACGGAACTTAAATACAGCTTGCCGATGTACACTTTTACTCAGAAATGATTTTTATTCAAAACCTCATATATTTGACATTCATATGCAAATTTATAACTACCGATGGAATTGTTTTCCTTGTGTTTGAGATGGAGAGCAATCCTGTCTAGCTGCCATACCTGCGGGTTATTAATTAACTTCACATTCACCATTATTAAAATATTTTATTACCCATGATTGAATGTGGTAATGAAAAATAACTACTTGTCACAGGCAAATATTATCAAAAGTGCAATAGGGCAACGAGGGCCACACAACCAAAAATGTAATCCATTTTTCTTTCATGGAAGAATCCAATAAAGCTAGAGACATGCAATAGTATAACTAAATACCTCTTGGTTTATTTGTGGGGGAGAAGGAGAAACTAAGGGAAACAATGACACTATTTTGATATTATTTATCTTTAGGTGCTCCAATAATTCTTGCAATACTTAACATGTCTGGAAACATAGAATCTTTGCCATTTATGGAAAATATGAAAAATAAAGCTAAATTTAGAAAAAGTCACATATTCTAATAAAATATACTAAGGGAATTAGTTCTGGCCATAAGATAAATTGATCACATAAATCTCCAGCAAAATATATTAATAGCTACAGTAAAATCCAATAAAACAAAATTAGCAGCTTTATGCCTCGGGGCACATTCAACTTCTCTTACAGATCCCAACTTCCAGCCACCATTTTCAGCTCAATGCCCTGTCTCTCTGCTTTAAAATGCATTTTGTTTTTAAGAAATCCATTTTTTCTCAAATAAGGAATGTTTGTATTAGAAATGTACAAATGTTTTAAATTAGCATTTGAACAAATAACTAGAGAAAAACTTACATTTACTTGCCTTTCTATCATTTGTAGTTTAAAAATATACCAAAACAAAAATAATGTTTTTAATTCTGGAAGTAATGTTCCCATAGGCATGTCTACTAAATGAAATATTATAATGAAGATATTTTGCAAACTCTAAAGTAATAAAATGTAAGGCAGTATTGTCATTTTATTTGCAAGGAAACACTTAAGACAGAGACTTTGTAATATAAGTTGGCAAACAAAACATTACTAACTGTCCTACAATAAACGTTTTGATTAACAGAACTTTGATATTTTTTAAAAACACTCTTTTGCTGATATATTAAACCACCCAATCTGCTTCCAAAGTAGGCAAATTTATTTTGTTCAGCAAATATCATAGTTACGTATTAGCATAACATTGTTATTAATTTATTATTCACAAGCTTATTTAAGTTGTTAAACAGCTAATCTTTATAATACTTTACATGTAAGATCCACATTATTTATACGAAGAGAATGCATGTCTTCTCACAATGCTGAAGTAGGGTCATTTCAGTTCTTAAGATGCATACTGATGAGATGCACACAAGTTCCTCAGAAGCCAACCAGACTCAAGACATATGTCAAATTACATTCATTTTTCCAATTCTGTGAAGACAAATTAATTTTCACACTATGTTAGAGAAAAGCAAATCACCTTGATCTCCTCAGAAATACCATGTGTAGCCAAAATATAAATTAATTAATTAAATACAATTTTAAAACCACCCACTCTTTTGTTAGTCCCTGTGTCTCCTGTACAGATGCTAGCTTAATGTCCTGTGTACTGACTGAATGTCTGGGTGGCCCAGAGTAAAGACACTTTCTTATCCTTCTCTATCCCTGAAAAGCCATGCTATTCATCACACTGGAAAAGGCAGATATTTCAAGGGGAAACAGTAAGTTGGAAAGAGGGTTTGGATAACAGAGCAGGAAGTCATTTTGTCTTTCTTGAGTCTCACTCTATAGGACTTAGACACCAAGGAGCCCAGGTAAGTTGAGGCTCTTCTTTGGTGAAGGGATGAAAGACTTCACATGAAGCCAAGGACTGTGGTAGGAATATTCTCTGTCCAGGACCTCAAGGAGGCCGGGCGCGGTGGCTAATGCATGTAATCCCAGCACTTTGGGGGGCTAAGGTGGGTGGGTCACGAGGTCAGGAGTTTGAGACCAGCCTGGCCAATATGGTGAAACCCCATCTCTACTAAAAATACAAAAATTAGCCAGGCGTGGTGGTACACATCTGTAATCCCAGCTACTCGGGAGGCTAAGGCAGAAGAATTGCTCGAACCCGACAGGCGGAGGCTGCAGTGAGCTGAGATCATGCCACTGAATTCCAGCCTGGGCGACAGAGTGAGACTCCATCTCAAAAAACAAACAAACAAACAAACAAACAACAAAAAAAAACAGAACCTCAAGGAATAGTTGAGTAAAACTCTGTAGTGTAAACTATTTTTTCTAATTGCATGTTTTTATATTTTCTTGTCTTCTCCAAACATTTAGTTCAGTCTTACTGAAATATTTTCACCTGGCCTATACGTTGCTAAAAAGAATTAAGAAAAGTGTGTCTTCCCAACCTCCTCCTCTTAGGCCAGAGGTTAAATAGGAAGAAACAACTTTCCTGAAATCAAGAAGACAGTGACAGTGGTAATATTCTAAAAAAAAAAAAAAAAAAAAAAATTAAGTCAGGGTAGTGTGGAGAGATGACTAGAATCTTGCTTCTGCATAAGAAAATATTTCCTCTATTGCCAATCTTAGAGTATGTGCATAATGTTATTAAAAAATCAGTGGGTTTTCATTCAGTTGAAGAAATAAGTAAGCATTTTAGGGAGGAGGTATTTTTTGGGTTTTCAGTTTTTTGGGTATTTTTTTGGCTTGTTTAGGTTTTTTTCATAACATTTTCATTCTAGATATTAAGTTAATAACTAGTAGAACTGAATGAAAATTTTTCAACATTTTAGAAGCAACCTTTCATGGATTGACTTGTGATTTGGACCAGCTTAAAAATGATATTTACAGATTCAGGACAACATCCAATCCATCAGAAAACCCTTTGGCTCTACCTTTACCATATACTTGGAATCCAGCCGCTTCTCAACAGCTCCCCTGGTATTATCTAGGTAATCTGCAGCAAAGGCCTCCTAACTCATCCGCCTCGTTATACCCTTATCCCCTGCAGTCTATCTTCAGCACAGCAGCCAGAATGATCATTTAAGTATAAGCCACATCATGCCACTCTGATGAAATACCCAGAAATATTTTTCCACATCAATCTTGGCAAATTCCTTTTGTGGCCTCAGAGAGTATGTATAATCTACACTCCCTTCCCCACCTTTTACATCTCAGAATCCCTCTTCTACTGCTCTCTTGATGACTTTATTCACTTGGCTCCAGTCACAATGACCTCTTCATACTTGCTCCAATACCAAATGTGCTTCCAGCAGCAGGCCTTTTGTACTAACTGTTCCTTCTGCCCGGAAAAAAAAAAATCCCCCTCTTCTCCAATGTATCTGTAAAGCTAAATTCCTCCTTCACATTTTTGACTGTCACCTTCTTAACAGAATCTACCCCAACCAAAGTACTTAAAACTGCAACTCTCCTTACCTACATCCAAACTCCCTAACTTGCTCTAATTTTCCATTTTCAAATCTCCGTGTATTCTTCAAATATGCAGTATAGCTTACTTATATATTATGCTCAGTTTTATCACCTATGATCTGTATTCCATGATAAGTTCCATTGAGTGAAGACATTTTTGTTTTGTTTACTACTACATCTAAAGCGTTTGGAACAGTGTCGAACACACAACAAACACTCAGTAAATTGTTGCTCTAAAAAAATTATGGAAACAGCAGATGCAAACAAGACCACCCTAATCCTAACAAAGAATTCCACAACTGCTGCATAGAGGAGGTGTTCTCATTCATTATTTTAATCCATATTAATAGAGCCTAACTAGGGTCCCGACAGAGTTCCAGGTGTGGAAATATAATGAAGTGAAAAAGCTAACATGGTCCCGGACTACATAAGCCCATGTGGGAGACACAAAAAAATTTAAAAATCTCAAAAGTAAGCTTAATTTGTTTTAATACAGCCACAGGCAGGTACACCAGTGCTCTAGGGAGATTCGACTTAAGGAAGAATGCCAACAGGCTTACCTAAGGAAATTACAACTGAGGGGAACTCTGAGGGATGAGTGTGAGTGATTAAAATAGAAAAAAAGGAAAGAAAATTTCATGAGAATGGCATAACATGTGCAAAGATCCAGTAGTGAAAGAAAACACATTTCTTAGGCATCTAATTGATGACAATGGCGGCAAGAGCTAAAAAACCAAATGAAGCCCGGGAGGTGAATGGTCCCTTGCAGTCATGTAATTTGACAGGCATGAGGATGATCTTTGTAAATCATGGTAAAGATTTACACCTTTACACTAAGAGAAATCAGGAGCTATTAAAGGATGTAAGTGTATGTGTATGCATTCATGTATGTATGATAAAGGACACTGGACTAGTTATTGACAACATCAAATCCTGGTTTGAAAATAGGGCTGTGATAACCAGACATCCAGATGCATTAGAAGGAAGTTGGACTCCTTCCTCACACGCTACACAAAAATTAACTCAAAATGGATCAGAGTTGAGCTGGGCGCAGTGGTCACGCCTGTAATCCCAGCACTTTGGGAGGCCGAGGTAGGCGGATCACAAGGTCAGGAGATGGAGACCATCCTGGCCAAGGTGGTGAAATCCCGTCTCTACTAAAAATACAAAAATTAGCTGGGCATGGTGGTGTATGCCTGTAATCCCAGCTATTCAGGAGGCTGAGGCAGGAGAATCACTTGACCCAGAGAGTCGGAGGTTACAGTGAGCCGAGATCCCGCCACCGCACTCCAGCCTGGGCGACACAGCAAGACTCTGTCTCAAAAAAATAAAAATAAAAATACAAAGGATCAGAGTCTTAAATGTAACACTTAGAAGAAATAGAGGAGTAATGCTTGCCTCGGCAGCACATATACTAAAACTGGAAAATAGAGGAGTAAATTGTTGTGACCTGGGGTTAGACAAAGGCTTTTTTGATATGACATCAAAGTACAAGCAACAAAAGAAAAATTAGGATTTCATAAAAATTAAAAACTTTTCTCCTTCAATAAATGATGTCAAAAAAGTAAAAAGAAAAATTACACAAAATGGCAGAAAATATCCTAAAGACAACTCAACAAAGGACAACACAGTTAAAAAAAGAATAGGAAAAGAATTTGAATCAAAGATATGCAGACAGCTGTTATGGTTTAAATGTTTCTGTCGCCCTCCAATTACACATGTTGAAACCCTAAGCCACAAAGTGATAGTATTAGGAAGTGGGGACTTTTGGGAGGTGGTTAGGTCATGAGGACAGAGCCCTCATGAATGGGATTAGTGACTATAAAAATGGTTGAAGGCTGGGCATGGTGGCTCACACCTGTCATCCCAGCACTTTTGGAGGCTGAGGTGGGCAGATTACCTGAGGTCAGGAGTTCAAGACAACACTGGCCAACATGGTGAAACCCCGTCTCTAGTAAAAAGACAAAAATTAGCCAGGTGTGGTGGCAGGCACCTATAATGCCAGTTACTCAGGAGGCTAAGGCAGGAGAATCAATTGAACCCAGGAGGCGAAGGTTGAAGTGAGCGGAGATCACGCCACTGCACTCCAGCCTGGGTGACAAGAATGAAAGCCATCTCAAAAAATAAAAATAAAAATGGATTGAAGAAGCTTGTCTACCCTTTCCACTGTGTAAAAGCACAGCTACAAGGCACTCTGTCTGTGAGAACAAGAGCTTTCACCAGGTAATGCCAGCACCCTAATCTTGGACTTCCCCGTCTTCATCACTGTAAGAAATGAATACATTTCTTTTGCTTATAAGTTACTCAGTTTAAGGTACTTTGTCATAGCAGCCCAAACAGAAATAAGACAATGGTGAGTAAGCAAAATGTAAGCTCTACATCTTTAGTCATTAGGGAAATGCAAATCAAACCCACTAGGAGGTACCAACTTACTCTTCCAAGAAAATATATATAATCAAAAAGCCACCT